>NC_000016.10:17232702-18436486 GCF_000001405.40 Homo sapiens | reverse complement strand
GATCTGCTTTTCATCACCATTGGTTAGTTTGCATTTTCGAGTTTTTATAGGTTGGTGCAAAAGTGATTGTGGTTTTTGCCATTGAGAATAATGGCAGAAACCGCAATCACTTTTGCACCAACCTGTATATAAATGGAATCAAACAGGATATACTGTTGTTTTTTTTTTTTTTTTGGTCTGACTTCTTTCACGTAGCATAATTTGGAGAGCTGTTGACTTTAGCATGTTTGTGTACCTTCTGGGAAGTAGTTAAAGCTGTCATCCATAACTGTTCCATTTTGAAGGACACAGAATGTTTTTACTGAGGCGTTTGCTGCCTAGCTCCCTTCCACCGGTCCTTTCTGGGAAGAAGCGTGCTGCGATTGTACAGAGTGGGTCTGGAGATCGTTGAGAATGAATATTTATAAACTATAGGCCAAAGGAAAAGAGTGACAGATTACATCGCATAAAAATTTAAAATTCTATATTGCTGAATACATTTGGAACCAAACTGAAAGATATTCAAACTCGGAAGAAATGTTTGTATCATAAATAATATCCCCATTTTACAAGGAGCTCCTAAAATTGGTAAGAAAAAGACAACCCACTAGAAAAAAAATGAACAAAGATTATGAAAAGGAAATTCATGGAAGTAACGCAGGTGACTAATAAACACAGAAACACAAAGCCTCTGTAGTTACTGAGGAAATGTGCTAAGGAAGTTACAGTCGAAACACTGTTTTGCAGGGATTAGATTTGCTGTAATTAAGACAATCTCTATTTTTTGGTAAGTGTGGGTTTTCCCAAGCATAAATAATTTATGGGACTGTAAGTGGTTACAGCCACTTTGGAATGCAATTAGATAGTATCTTTCTGAATTTAAAGTGCATGTATCCAACAATTCTACTTCTAGGAATGGATTGTTCAGGAAATAAAACTAAGTGCCTAGAGATACATATTTGGGGATATTCCAATTGTCTCTTGTGTACCACAAGAGTAGGTGCTGTGGTTTGTCAAACCCTGCCTTAGAATGCTATGCAGTAGTTAAGAAACAGGCAGATTTCTATTGGCTGGCAGAAGAGAACCAGGATAAATTGTTGAGGAAGAGAGCAAGTTGCAGAACTGTACATATAACATGCCATTTTTATTTCACCTCCTCCACCCACTCAATGAACTTGCCAGTCTGTGAACAATAATATGTAATGTTTATAAAATTTGTGTGGGCATAGAAAGAGTTCTGGGCGGGGCACGGTGGCTCATGCCTCTAATCCCAGCACTTTGGGAGGCCCAGGCATGTGGATTGCTTGAGCCCAGTAGTTTGAGATCAGCCTGGGCAACGTGGCAAGACCCGTCTCTATAAAAAATACAGAAATGTAGTTGGGCATGGTGGTGTGCGCCTATAGTCCCATCTCCTCAGGAGGTTAAAGCTGAAGGATTGCTTGAGCTTGGGAGGCGAAGGTTGTAGTGAGCCCAGGTTGTGCCACTGCACTCCAGCCTGGGTGACAGAGCAAGACCCTGTCTCAAAAAAAAAAAAAAAAAAAGTTCTAGAAGGCTACACACCAAACTTACAAAACTTACAACAGTAGTTACCTGTGGGGAGGAAGATTAGGTCCCCTGTCCTCCTTTGAGTAACAATAAAAGAAAAAAACCTTGAAAAAATGACCTCTTGACTTGTGGAACTGTTATTTTCATAGTTAGTAGGAGTTTAACCTTGCTCTGGTCTCACCTTCTCATCCCCAGATAAAAGCTGAGGATGACCAGCCCCTCCCGGGAGTCCTCTTATCCCTGAGTGGTGGCCTGTTTCGTTCCAACCTCTTGACCCAGGACAACGGCATTCTGACATTCTCAAACCTGGTAACGTGTTCTGCAATTTACCACCTGCCTGTCTTCCCTGAGAGAGAGCCAGGATGCAGCATGCGAGACTTATGTGTTGCTTGACAACGTGAGAAGAGAAGGCCAATGTGGAGTGGTTTCAGTTTCTTGGGGGCCCACGGTCATTAGAGTATTGCTCTTACTCGAACTTAATGCTGCTGATTCATGTTCCCTTCCACACGCGCTTCTTGTTTTCTGATCACCCGCTTGTCACTAAGACAGTGTAATTAATTTCCCTGGCCACAACGGCTGCTCTCTTAGGCGTCTTCTCGTTTTGCCACAGAATCATGTTTATGATGCTGAGTCTTGTTTGGTGGTTAGCTTGCGTTTCTTCTGAAAAGACATTCCACTTGGTGGGAAGAGAGCAGCAGTTTTTCTTTCAAGATGCAGTCGGAGGCCCTGACTGGTGGGGATTCAGGAAGTGTGTGTTAGTTGGTCATCTTGTCAGTCATGGTGACAAAGTGGCTGTGGTGGGGCTACTGGAGACCGGGCAGTGGGGGCATCTGAAGACACCACTTTGCAGTGATGCAGACTGCTCCTTACTTGCTGTGTCCTATCAGGCAAGTTACTTTGCCTCTCTGAGCCTCAGTTTCTTTATTCATTAAATTCAAATATGAGCCAGGTATGGTGGCCCACGCCTGTAATCCCACCGCTTTGGGAGGGTGAGGCAGTAGGATCGCTTGAGCTTGGGAGTTTGAGACCAGCAACATAGGAAGACCCCATCTCTACAAAAAATAAAAAAATTAGCTGGGCATGGTGGTGCATGCCTGTGGTCCCAGGTACTCAGGAGGCCGAGGTGGGAGATTTGCTTGAGCCCAGAAGGTTGAGACTACGGTGTGCTGTGATCGTGCACTCCATCCTGGGGGACAGAGTCAGGCCCTGTCTCAGAAAAAAAAAAAAAAAAGAAAAGAAAAATTAAATATGACTTCTACCTCTCTGAGTCATTGCAGGCAGGTGATACCATCAGCTGCCGTTGTTAGAGTTGTGATTGCCACTACCTGACTGTGAGTGGTGATTATAGAGAGAGGGTTACTATTTTTGGCTGCCAGGG
The DNA here is from genome assembly GCF_000001405.40 of Homo sapiens. Lineage (NCBI taxonomy): Eukaryota > Metazoa > Chordata > Mammalia > Primates > Hominidae > Homo > Homo sapiens. The sequence goes on along the minus strand of NC_000016.10, from coordinate 18,433,584 downwards.
AAGCCATGGCGCTCCCCTGGTGTAATTCTGGTCCATCGTGACATTCGCCCCTCACTTTTAAGCCATGCCTAGATGTGGCTGCTGAGGCTCAGTGTGATTATCTTGGCAGAGCCCTGGCCAGTATTACTTCAAACCCATGATGAAGGAGTTCCGGTTTGAGCCATCCTCACAGATGATCGAGGTGCAGGAAGGCCAGAACCTGAAGATCACCATCACGGGGTACCGAACCGCTTACAGGTAAGTGCCCTGGCCACCCCACTCTCTTCCAGGGCTGGGCTGGTGAATCACATTCAGGCCTCTGTTGCCTGGAAACGCATCCCAGGCTTCACACTGATTTTACTTGGGAGGGAAGGGAGATGAGATATGAGGGCAAAGGAGTTTTGACTGCTGCCCTTCTCTCCTAGGAGCTCAACCTGGTGGTTCAGTCTCAAATTTCCTATTTTGGAATTGGCTTGAGAGAGCCTATTGAGTTGCTAAAAGCTTTTATTTATTTTTTATTTTTTGAGACGGAGTTTCATTCTTCTTGCCCAGGCTGGAGTACAATGGCGCAGCCTTGGCTCACTGCAACCTCTGCCTCCCGGGTTCCAGCAATTCTCTTGTCCTGGCCTCCCAAGTAGCTGGGACTGCCACCATGCATGGCTAATTTTTCTATTTTTAGTAGAGACAAGATTTCACTTTGTTGGCCAGGTTGGTCTCGGACTCCTGATCTCAGATGATCTGCCTGCCTCGGTCTCCCAAAGTGTTGGGATTACAGGCGTGAGCCACTGCGCCTGGCCACTTTTATTTTTTAAAAGAGTTTCAAACCTGAATTACATCATTAAAAGGAGAAAATGTGCTCAGTTGAATAAAACTTCAAAATGCTGAAAAGAGTATAGTGTAAAATTTCCCCTCTGTCTCGTCTCCTAGCCACCCAAGTTCCTCTTCTGGGAGACAACCAGTACTTCCAGTTTTTCTGAATGCTCCCAGCTGTAGATAGATAGATACACATGAGTGTCTGGCAAGGCACAGTGGCTCACACCTATAATCCCAGCACTTTTGGAGGCTGAAGTGGGAAGTTCTCTTGAGTCTGGAAGTTCAAGACCAGCCTAGGCAACATAGCAAGACCCCGTCTCTACAAAAAAATAAAAATACAAAATAAAAAAGATACACATCTATAGATAGAGAGATGCATACATATATACATGTATACACACAGATACACACATATGTGTATTTTTTGTAGACTTATACAGAATCACTTTAGAGGAAGAGTAATTGGAAAGATTGGGTTTAGAAAAATGGACCATTTTCTACTGAATATATGGAATGAAAGAGGAAGTGAGTTATTTCCATGTTATTGAAAGCTCCATTATTTCAAATAAAGCCTAGAAAGAATAAAATAAAGCTTTAGCCTTCTTAAATTACAATTTTCCAGAGCATCCCTCAAAATGTATGAGAAAAGAAATTGATGGCAGCTTATCCCTCCGGCAGGAAGGTGTGGTTTGAAAGTGGGCCGGCCACACCGAGTTGCCTGGGTCATTGAGGCACAGTTCTCCCCTGAACTATTTTGCCCCATAATTGTTGGTAAACGGGAAACACTTGGGTCCTTCAGATAACCATGAGAATATCTCATTCGTGCCTGTTCTTGCCATACTAGTTGCTATGGCACAGTGTCTTCCTTAAACGGAGAGCCCGAACAAGGGGTTGCCATGGAAGCGGTGGGCCAGAACGACTGCAGCATTTACGGAGAAGACACCGTGACAGACGAAGAGGGCAAGTTCAGATTACGTGGATTGCTGGTGAGACTTGGAATGTGTTTTCTTTGGGGACTTTTTTTTCATCCTGTGTCCAGAAGTATCTTGTGGTGGCCCCAAGACTGCTAGGAGTGGGTTGGGCGAGAGGGCTGGGGGTGGGGCTCTGGAGCCCTCCCAGTTCTTACCTTTAATTGGTAGAGTTTGCCTTTTTTCTAGCCAACAGGTCAGATCAAGGATCTGTGGCACAATGGAGTTGGAAAACCATGGGTTTGGTAGGGCTTTTCCCTAGCAGTATGTGGCCATGGCTTACGCCAGGGCTCAAGCCAAACGCCTATGGAGCCAGAAGAGCAGTATGAACGGGGGAGAGGAGGCTGTGCGAAATGATAGGGAGTGGTGAGGGCTGTGGAGTGGGCACGGCCTGTGGAAAGGGACAGCCTGTCACTTGGTTCCAGCTTATTGTAGCCATGGGGGAAGACAGAGTCAGGGTTGCCAGATCCTTGAAATTTTAAAAAGAGAAGTCAGAAATTCCCACTTCCCAGAAATAATACCCAACACAAGCATTTGGGAATGCTTATGGTGGACATTCCAGATATCCATCAATGTGTATATACGGGTAGAGGGGAGGGGTGGATGGAGAGGAAAAACATCTTAGAAGAGTAAGAGCACATAGTATGCTTGGAATTTTGAAATAAGAAACCAAATTTGATTTATTTTGGGGTAGGAGAAAATGAAACTGAGTTGGGATGGAAGGAGTCGCAAAATTTCAGATGTTTCAACACTAGGGGTGTTCTTAAAGGAACTCTGGACTCTTAAGGTTAACAGGCCACAGATTAGGAAATGAGGGGAGAGAAATGCTCCTGTCTTAATGATCTCGTGCAGCCAAACCAGGCTTGGACCAGGCACGATACGACAAGCCCCCTTTCTAGAGAACTGACTCCTGAGTTTTTTTGCAGCCGGGATGTGTGTACCACGTTCAGCTCAAGGCAGAAGGCAACGACCACATTGAGCGGGCGCTCCCCCACCATAGGGTGATTGAGGTAAGGCATTCAGTGCTGCCGCTGCACCTGGGTGTGGGTGCCTCCCTAATCAGAAGTCCTCCCGTCTCCTCTGGCTGTCTGCCTTTCATCTGTGGCGGGGGGAACTTTCATCCTAATTAAGGGTCCTCTTAGAATAGTGTCATCTTCACAAGCAGAATCTTATGTGGGTTTTTAGTGAACAGCGTTGCTGTCATGCATCCAGAAAGGAAATTGGAACTGTTGTATCCTCCCCGCGACTTGCCCTGTAAGCTCTGATCATTATTCTGCAAGTTAAGGAACTTAAGGCCTAAGCAGCATTTCAAATCAAGGGACAATAATAGCACATGGGCTTAATGGGTGGCAGGGCCACGCAGTTATCTTAGGTTCAGATGACCTTTTTCCTGCTCCCATTTTGTGGGCAGAGTCTTTTGATACTCAAGATCATGACCTAGCTAAATTAATCCCTAAAGAGGACATCCTTCGAGTCACAGAATGTGGCCTGGGAATCATTTGAAGTAAGGCTTTTCTCTTACTGAGTAACTCTCATTGGGAAGACTAGAGGGCTTAGGTAGGGCAAGAGGGGCTGCCTCTTAGTGGCTTTATTTAGGTGGCTTCATTATGCATGAAGATTGTGAGGGAGGATAGAACTTTTGACCTAGGAAGTGGATTTTCTTTTTTTTTTCTTTTTTTTTTTTTTTGAGATGGAGTCTCACCCTGTCACGCAGGATGGAGTGCAGTGCCGTGATCTCGGCTCACTGCAACCTCCTCCTTGTGGGTTCAAGTGATTTTCCCACCTCAGCCTGTAGCTGGGACTACAGGCATACACCATCACACCCGACTAATTTTTGTATTTTTAGTAGAGACGGGGTTTCACCATGTTGGCCAGATTGGTCTTGAACTCCTGACCTCAGGTGATCTGCTCGCTTCGGCCTCCCAAAGTGCTGGGATTACAGGCATGAGCCACCGCACCGGGCCGGAAGTGGATTTCCTTGACGTCTTTACGGTGTTGGCATTTTAAATGGCTGGGATGACTGCATCTCACACCAAAATGCTTTGCATGTTCTCGGTGTAGTAACTTAGGCCAGGATCACTAGCATAATGTGGACTGTGGCCGGGCAGGTATGAAAGGGAAGGGGGCCGGCCCTCTGGGATCTCGCAAACTCCATGTACAGACCTCACGCAGAGGGGGTGCTGTGACTCTGCCCCTGCTCTAACAGGCAAGAGCATCCTTCTCCTCTTTTTTTTTAAGAGAAGCTGGAAAATCTGGCTTCATATATGAAATTTCTTAATTTTTAACATGTTGGCAAGTAATTCAAACGTAGAAAAAAAATACTGTGCTTTCGAAATGAAATGTGTCTATGGGCCAGGGATATGCCCCTGCTCTAACAGGCAAGAGCATCCTTCTCCTTTTTTTTTAAGAGAAGCTGGAAAATCTGGCTTCATATATGAAATTTCCTAATTTTTAACATGTTGGCAAGTAATTCAAACGTAGAAAAAAAATACTGTGCTTTCGAAATGAAATGTGTCTATGGGCCAGGGATAGCCATCTTCTGTCGGTTTGTGACCTTGGACGTAGGGTACTCAATGACAAACTTAGCTTCCTTAATGTAAGAAGCAAAGTTTGCCATGAAGCAGCTCTCAGGCCATCGGACAGCTGGCATAGAAGTTCCTCCACCAGCTTTCTCATTACTGGCATTCCCTCTTTCTCTCTCTAGGTTGGGAATAATGACATCGATGATGTAAACATCATAGTTTTCCGGCAGATTAATCAATTTGATTTAAGTGGAAATGTGATCACTTCCTCTGAATACCTTCCTACGTTATGGGTAAGTCCAGACTTTTAAGCTCCAAGTATTGTGTTCCCTTTGGCTTTGAGACAAGTACGAATGGGATGTTTTTGGTTTTGTGCCTGTCTCGTGCCTTAGGTGTGACAGGTGGAGGTGCTCCAGAGTGCCGCCTGCTGAGGGTTGAGGTTGAGATTTAAGAACCTTGGACCACAACACGTATTTGGGAGAGTGATTGCCAGTTGTGGGAGAGAATGTGGTCCAGTTTCAGATAACTGTCTGCCATCAGTTAATCTTCCAAAGAATTATAGTAGAAGCCTGATCAATGATCAATACAATATGGAATCTAACGTGGAAAGCCAATTCTAAAGAAAGCGCCTTGTAACTTAAAATTTTCTCTGGAGTGGAGGTCGTATTAAACGTTCTTGCATTGGTTTAAAGAAATGCCTGAGGCTAGATAATTTATAACAAAAGAGGTTTCATTGGCTCCTCGTTCTGTAGGTTGTACAGGAAGCATAGTGGCGTCTGCTTCTGGGGAGGCCTCAGGAGGCTTCCAATCATGGCAGAAGGTGAAGTGGGAGCAGGCATGTCATGTGGGAGAAGCTGGAGCAAAAGAGAGAGTTGGGGCATGGTGCCACACACTTTTAAATGATCAGATCTCACAAGACTCATAACGAAGACAGCACCAAGCCACGAGGGATCCACCCCAAAGATCCGATCATCTCACAGCAGGCCCTACCTCCGGCACGGGGGATTACAATTCAACATGAGATTTGGGCAGGGACAAATATCCAAACAGTATCAGAGGTGGTGGACGGTGGGCTGGAGAGCAGGTGGTCTGGGCTTTCTCTTGTCTCCAGTAGTGACTCACCTTGCTGCCTGGGCCAGTCACTTCATTTCCACATGCCTCGACTTCGTCCTCTGCAAAACCTAGATTTTGGACTCAGAGACCTCTTATAATCTTGTTCAGCTCTAACAAAATCTCCATGTTACCATTAATGAAGAAATGTTTATAAAATACCCTGCAGACCCTCTGCGGATGTTAGTGATTTGCTCTGGGGGTACATTGTTAAGATGCGCTTGTAATTTTATAAGCAGTTAAGTATTTGGCATGGGTGAGAAAGTGTGTGTGCGCTTTAGTCCACTCTGTCCAGGGCTTGCAGGCGTGTGCTTGTAGGGACCAGGCAGGTAATGTCAGAGAGTGCAGAGGGTTGGGTAGGGTGGGGGGCAAACTGGGGAACTCCTGCCCCATCCATGAGGGGCACAAGGGAGGGGAAGAGGCAGAGAGGAGGGGAGGGCGCCACTCTCTTGCTCCTGAGTGTTGCTGTGCTAGAATTGAGGCTCAGGGTTGGTGTCACTTCCCAGTTTTCCGGAGAAGCTGGAAATTAGAATTATTTGAAATCACCTGATTTTTAAATATAGTCGGTGAATTCAGATTTACTTAAGATGTTATAGAAGAAAAAAGAACACATAAGGGATCTTCAATGCGACCCATAACCTTCAGTCTGTGACTTTCATTTTAGGAAAATTCCCCTGGTGTGTTATGTAGAAAGGTGCCAGTGTGGGCCCAGGGAGGTGGTCCTGGCATTCTCTTGCGGCAGGTGCACTGTGGCATCCTCACAGCCTTTGCCATCAGCCAGGGCTGCACCTTAACCCTGCTCATGCCCCATCCCGTGTGGGAGTGAGAACAGGCAACAACCCCAGAAATAAAGCCAGAAACAAAGTACTCCAGTGCCTCCTGAAGCAGCGTGGAGAGCCACGTACATGATGGAATGCGTTTTGAGTTTAACAGATTGGTGGAGTTAAGGTGACATCATATGATGAGGCAGTGCAAGGCGGGAAGGACCCTCAGGAGTCGTCAGGGGGTTGAGTCCCAGGCTCTACCATGTGTAAGTTGTGTGACCTTAGGTGACTTTGGCTCTCTGGGTCTCCATAGGGATAATAACAATACCTGTTTTGTAGTCAGGATTGGCGATAATGTAGATAAAATATCTGGCGCCTGCCTGGCATATTACAGATGTTCAACACGTGTTAGAAGCTATTTTTAATATTACTATTATATTAACTTATATTACTATTTTGAGCAAGAACATGGGTAGTCAGAATCTGATTTGAATCTTAATTTCTGTGCATGATACATAACTGGATGGAGTCTCAGATGACAGAGGGATGTGTGATGTCTATGGAGGGAGCTTTCTTTTTCAAATATCCATGTTTCCAAAGACACCTACCCAGAGAGCGGCTGTCCTGAGGATGTCTGCTATGAAATATTGATTGTGTTTCAGTTTCAAAGCATGTCTGACTTTGTTTCTCCCTCCAGGTCAAGCTTTACAAAAGCGAAAACCTCGACAATCCAATCCAGACAGTTTCCCTTGGCCAGTCCCTGTTCTTCCATTTCCCCCCACTGCTCAGAGATGGCGAGGTAATGCCTGTGGCCGGATTCTACCTTCTGCCTTTGTTTTAATAATTCTGCTGTTTAGTTTAAGGAAGCACAGTTCTCTCCTTTTCTCCCTAAATACCACTCTGCAGAAATGCGCTCTCTGAATCAAAAGAGGTTGGGTTCTGTAGGGATTATTTTTTCTTCATTGTTTTTCTGTTTACAAAAAGAATACATATTCATGGCAGGAGATTTTGGGAAAAAGAAGACATAAGCCCATCATCCAGAAATAGCCACTGCTAACATGGTGATTGGTATCCTTTGGGTCTTTTTTCAGGCACGTGTGCGCATGCATGTATAAATATAAATAGACATTTATTTTAATAATTCAAAACTGACACTGTTTTGTACATTGTTTTGTAATCCATGCTTTTCAATGAAGAATTTATCACAAATCTGTTCCTCATCATCAAATCTTTCTTTTTTTTTTTTTTTTGAGACGGAGTCTCGCCTTGTCGCCCAGGCTGGAGTGCAGTGGCGCAATCTGGGCTCACTGCAAGCTCCGCCTCCTGGGTTCACACCATTCTCCTGCCTCAGCCTCCGAAGTAGCTGGGACTACAGGCGTGCGCCACCACACCCGGCTAATTTTTTTTTTTGTGTATTTTTAGTAGAGACGGGGTTTCACCATGTTAGCCAGGATGGTCTTGATCTCCTGACCTCGTGATCCACCTGCCTCGGCCTCCCAAAGTGCTGAGATTACAGGCGTGAGCCCCCGTGCCTGGCCAAATCTTTCATACTATGATTTTTATGGACAGTAGTCCATAAACTAGGAAACGCGATGATTTATTTAACCAAGGCCTACTGTTGGGCATGATCGACTCTTGCACTTTGAACATATCACCCCATGCTTTCCTGCTAAGAAGTCCACTTTTAAAAATGCCTTGTAATTTTTAAAAATTCCTCTATTTTAACATTCTGCTATTGAGTTTAGGGAAATACAGTTTCCTCATGATGGGGGATCCCTTGAATGAGATGAGTTGCTTTTCTCTTGCTGCTTTGAACGTTCTCTCTGTCTTTGATAATCTGATTATAACGTGTGTCGTGTAGAACACTTGCAGCTCCACCTTTTCAGTGTCCTTTGGGTTCCATGAATCTGGATGTCTCCCTCCTTGGAACTGGGAAGTTTTCAGCCATTATTCTGGCCGTCATTTACTGATTATAAAGTGCTTATTATCAATTCTATTTGGACAGAGCTAACTTGTAGTTGGTGTGGGGAGTGCAAACTTTGCAAAGAATTTGGTTCTTTTCTGGTGGTCTTAGCCTGAGGATGTCAAGTGTGAGCCTAGAGGGTGACGTTTCCTCTCCTGGCTCCTTACCACCTGCCGTGAAGATGATCTACTCTGGCCTTTCTCTGTGGAAAATGGCTGCGAAATAATGAAACAGGCTGTCACGGAATTTTCTCCTCCTCTTTCTCCAGGGGTGTTGAAATAGTCACTTCCTACAGCGATGCGGAAACATCTTGGGCTTTGGGGTCACACTTCCCCTGAGTTCAGAGCCTTCATAGATGTGTGGCAGCCTTCTTAGCTGAGTGACCTTGGGCAAGTTACTCTTAGTCTCTTCGTGCTTGACTTTCCTCGTCTATAAGACGGGGTGATGATCCCGACCTTGCCAGTGGTAGAAAGCAAAGCAGCCGCGGGCCTCATGCAATGTGCATGGTGCCTGGCAGCTGGTCGGTGCTCAGCACACAGAGCTGTGACGGGCCTCATGCAATGTGCATGGTGCCTGGCAGCTGGTCGGTGCTCAGCACACAGAGCTGTGGCTGCCCCTGGTGCCGTTCCAGGGATGCTGTATTTTTAGGATTTGCCAGCTTACGAGCCTCTCAAGCATCGTCCCTTAGAAGTCAGCCCCGTTGTGGATCCTCAGTTGTATCACGTACCTCCCTCATCAGAATTGGCTCATAATAATTTTTTGTGTTTCATAAAGTCAGATCCTCAGAGGACCGTAATTGTCAAGGTTGGGTACTCATAAAAAGGCTGCAGGCTCTGACAGCCTTATCAGAAGCCACAGTCTCAGAGACACTGGGGACACATGCCCGCCACTGATGGAATAGCCCGCTGAGGTTGATACTTTGAAGGCAGCAACCTTGGTTTGGATGTGTAGTCTTGGGGATTTCTTTAAAAACATAAAGTTCTTTACATCACAGCCATACGTTAGGTTTTAGTTTTCATTTGCTTTGCCAGAGCTGTCCTTATAAAAATAACTTCTTCCCATGTGTGCACAGAACTATGTTGTGCTTCTGGACTCCACACTCCCCAGATCCCAGTATGACTACATCTTGCCTCAAGTTTCTTTCACCGCAGTGGGCTACCATAAACACATCACCTTGATTTTTAATCCCACGGTAAGTAAAAGAGGGAGTTAAAAAAAAATCCATGGGCTGGGTTTGGTGGCTCACGCCTGTAATCCCAGCACTTTGGGAGGCCAAGGCTGGTGGATCTCTTGAGCCCGGGAGTTTCAGACCAGCCTAGGCAATACGGTAAAACCCCAACTCTACAAAAAATACAAAAATTAACCGGGCGTGGTGGAACGCACCTATAGTCCCGGCTACTCAGGAGGCTGAGGTGGGAGGATCACTTGAGCCTGGGAGGTTGAGGCCTCGATGAGCCATGATCATGCCCCTGCACTCCAGCTTGGGTAACAGAGTGAGACCCTTTCTCCAGAAGAAACAAAACAAAACAAAACAAAACAAAACAAAACAATCCATGGGGTGGCGAAAGAAGGCATGTCCATACAACCTGTGCTCCAGGTCGCAGGTTGCAGGGCAGATATTTAAAGGGCTCCTGGCATTGGGTCACTTTCTCATTCTGCCTTCTGGATTCTGGGCTTCCCCAGATTGTTTTTAGCTTTTCTGAGCACTGATGCCTGCGATTCCCTTTGAGGAGGAAACTGGTAATAAGAGCAGTGTAATTGTTTAGATCGGTGGCTCAGGAATGATTTTGGGGGAGGAGGGACACCACTATCGCTGGTGTGGCGTGTGCTTCTCCATGAGGGAGCACATGGTACATGGCCACGCAAACCCCTAGAACCAACTGCTACTTTACAGGAAATAGGGAGGACCCAGGAGCACGCAAATGACTCCACAGGGATGCAGGACAACCACCTGGAGCCTGATTTGTTTGACAAATAAATTGCAAGGAAAAAAAAACCAACAACAGATGGACAGAATACCTGTGGGTTAAAAGAAACTTAACTTATCGCTTAATTCATTGCAATATGTGGCCCTTACTATTTGCAATATGTGTATCTGTTGCATACGGTCTGTCCTGTATCCGATAGGCTGGAACAGTGGAACAAACAAAACATACACGTATCTTTTACCTTCTTGATAAAATTGTTTAGTGATTCCTAAAGCTCAGATGCAGTATTGTCACCTGATGATTAAACAGACACATCAGCAATAGCAAAAACAGAGTCCAGGGCTCAGCCTCAGGACTGCTGATTCTGAACTTGACGGGGTGAAAGTGTAGCACAGGAGTCTGCATTAAAAACAAAAATCTGGCCTCATAGCTACTGTGTTGGTTGTTGCTTCTAGGCCTTTTCAGTGGGCAGAATAAGAACTTTATTGTTTTCAAAAGATGTAACTGTAAGTGGAACAATATCCTCCGATCCTCCTTTTTCCTTTTTTGATAACGACACAGCATTCCTCTGTGTGGATATACCGTGTGTCTTAGGCCATTTGGGCTGCTATTTTGTATCTTAGACTGGGTAACTTATAAACAACAAACATTTATTTCTTACAGTACTAGAGGCTGGGAAGTCCAAGATCAAGGCATTGGCAGATTTGGGGTCTGGCGAGGACTTGCTGTCTGCTTCATAGATGGTGCCACCTAGCTGTGTCCCCACAAGGCGGAAAGGGGCAAACAAGTTCCCTCAGGCCACTCTTACGGGGCATTAATCCCTGACTTAATCACCTCCTAAAAAGGGTGTCCTCTTGACACTATCACATTATGGATTAGGGTTCAACCTATGAATTACGTAGGCACAGACACATTCAGATCCTGGCACTACATGTAGGATATTCAGTTAGCCCCTGGTTGAGGGGCGTTTGTGTTGTTACTGGTTTTCTGCTATTACACATAACCCTTTAATGAATTGCCTTACGCATGCATGTTTTTGAGTGTTCGTCAGTCTCTCTTTGGAATAGACTCCCAGAAGTGGAATTGCTGAGTCAAAGGGTAAATGCATACGGAATTTTGATTGATACGGCCACTTCCCATCCATGGGGGTTTTACTGTTTTATATTCCCGCCAGCAGTGAATGAGTACCCTTTTTTCCCCAACAGAGTATTTTGTCAAATTTTTCAATTTTTGCAGGCTTATAGATGAGAAGTGATATTATCTCACTGTACTTCTAATTGCATTTCTCTCTTTTCATGTGGTTAAGAGCCATTTGTATTTTCTGTGAACTATTTAACCTATTTTTCTATAGAATTTTTGGTCTTTTTCAACCATTTTCAGCTCTTTGTATACTAGGAATATTAACCCTTTGTAATGTTTGTTGTACATATTTTTCCCAATTTGTCATTTATCTTTTCACTTGGTTTCTGCAAAGATTTACTTTATTTCTGTGTTAAATGTGTTGATTTTTTCTTATTGCTTCTGGATTTTAGAGTCATAGGAAGGTTTTCTTCATTCCCAGCTTTTACAGGAATTTATCGTGTTTTTTTCAGGCAGACTTTTATAGTTTCTGTTTTTACATTTAAATCTCTCTATCCATTTGGAGTTTTTCCTGGTATAGATGTGAAGTATGGCTCCAGATTGTCTTTTTCCACATGCTATCCAGTTACCATTTCATGCTTTTCAAACGCCATCCTGCATGGAAGGTGGACAGGAATTACCTTTCATTTAGAGATGAGAAGATGGGAACCTAGAAGGAGATGTGAGCAGCCCAAGGTCACCAGCTCACGTGGAGCAGTGCTAGGGCTTGAGCAGAGCTCTGCTGCTGATTCTGGGCTTCTGTGAAGAGTGATTCATGCTCAGTGAGCCTGTAAATATGATCTTACCTGAACAAGAGAGTTTTTCTCATGACCCACGAGGAAACACTTCCTTGTTACTCACAGTAGAGACCTGGTTAGAAAGTGCTGGAGAGGGCTAGGTGTGGTGGCTCACGCCTGTAATCCCAGCATTTTAGGAGGCTGAGGTGGGCAGATCATTTGAGGTCAGGAGTTCGAGACCAGCCTGGGCAATGTGGTGAAAGTGAAACCCCATCTCTGCTAACAATACAAACATTAGCCAGGCGTGGTAGCACGCACCTGTAATCCCAGCTACTCGAGAGGCTGTGGCAGGAGAATTGTGAACCTGGGATGCAGAGTTTGTAGTGAGCTAAGATAGCCCCAGTGCACTCCAGCCTGGGCGACAGAGCAAGACTGTCTCAAAAAAAAAAAAAAAAAAGAAAGTGCCAGAAAGATAAGCATATACAAGAACCACTTACCTTTGCTTGGGGCTGCATTGTGGCCCAGTTGCTGGGAGAGGCTTCTGTGAAGGCCGTTGATAGCTGCAGGCAGTGACATTCTCAGGGGCCCCTAGCAGACAACTCATCCGGGCTCAGGGACACACCTGGGAGCCAGTGGCAGGAATGTGGAGACACTGCTTGGTGGTGGCCGAGCAGCCCAGCCTCGTAGCTGCTGCCTGTCACTTCTGAGAATGTAAGAAACTGTGCCCTGGTGTGTGATGTTCCCCTTCCTGTATACCTATGTAACTAACCTGCACATTGTGCACATATATCCTAAAACTTAAAGTATAATTAAAAAAAAAAAAAAAAGCTGTGCCTGCTGGGGCTTGGATTCCCGAGCAGGGCCAAGTGTTGAATGAAGAGAGCGCCCACTCTGTGCCACCCCGTACAGGGCCCTCACAGGTTGATCCTCACAACAAGCCTTCAAGCAGGTGTGCCATTCCTCCCATTTTCACAGAAGCCCAGAAAGATTGAGTCACTTACTGAGTGTTAGCAGAACCAGGACTCAAGTGAGGCAGTTTGTCTCAAGCCACATGGTTTCCACCTCGTTCTGCCCTCCGCGTGATGAGTGGCTCAGCATTGCATGTTCACGGGGGCTTTGTAAGCACATTGGTTTCCTTCTTTGTTGATGTGACTGCCCACAGCCTCGCGACTGGATTTTACTCAGTATTCCATGCCCTGCTGAGCATTTCACATACTCCTTTCATCAAGTTTCACAGCATCCACCCCCAGTGGGTGTTGTTCATATGATCTCCATGTCATAGTTGAGTAAACTGAGTCTCAACGTGGTTGCCTGAGTTTACCCAGTGAGGCCTGGGACCTGAGCCTAGACTGAATCACTCTTAATTCCTGCTGAATTAAACTTTTATTTATTTATTCATTATTATTTTTTTCTGAGACAGAGTCTTGCTTTGTTGCCCCTGCTGGAGTGCAGTGGCACGATCTTGGCCCACTGCAACCTCTGCCTCCCGGGTTCAAGTGATTCTCACCTCCTGAGTAGCTGGAATTACAGGCATGCACCACCACTTCTGGCTAATTTTGTATTTTTATAGAGACGGGGTTTCACCATGCTGGCCAGGCTGTTCTCAAACTCCTGACCTCAGGTGATCTGCCCACCTCAGCCTCCCAAAGTGCTGGGATTACAGGCGTGAGCCACTGCACCTGGCCTGAATTAAACTTTTAAGTAAGTGTTTACTTCAGTGGAAAAATGGGTTGGGTTCTAAGAGATGTCCAGAGATACAGGAGTAGGCAGTTGTTGATGGAAATCTGTTCCTGCCCTTATTCTTTCATTTATGAAAGGGCATCCCAGGTACAGCGGCCCCCACAGTCACTCTCTAGCCCAGCAGTTCTCGGATGGGTTGGTTGCAGGACCCCTTTATACTGTTAAAAATTATTGAGGATTTTAAAGAGTTTGAGTTTGCATGGATTATCTCTGTGTATATTTATCATATTAGTAATTAAAACCGAGATGTTGAAAACGCAAGAACTCACAAGCTACACATTCCGTTAGCTGTGGGCGTGATGACATCAGGGTGCGTAGTCTCTGGAAAAGTCCACTGTGTGCTTGCGAATGAAAGAGGGCGGAAAAGGCACATCACATCTTACTATTGGCTGAAAATAGCTGTGGCCTCGGGAACCTCTGCGAGAGGAGTCCCGGTATCCTACACTGAGAACACTGCTCTGGCTCATTAACTTGTTTTTATCATTATTGGGAAGTTCTCCTTCCATTTATTTGCTTCCTTTATGAGAGTAGAGTGGGCCAATGGGATATAGGTTCACTTGATGCTTTAGAACCCAGCATTTCAGGGGCTTTAGCAAGATGGAAATGTCTGTCTCATGTCAAGTGTCCAGGAGTGACCAGTGCAGAGATAGTCTGGTAGCTCCAAGGCGTCAGGGGACCCAGGCCCCTTCTGTCTCATTGTGCTGTTCCAGTGCATTGCTTTTCTCCAAAATGGGGCAATTGGCCAAATGCTGTCTACCCAGCAAAAGGGAGGGCACACCACTTCCCTAGGGTCCAGCCAGGGTGTGGCACTTACCGCTTCTGTTCCTGTACCATTGGCCAAAATTTAGTTCCAGGGCTGCGCCTGCTGCAGGGAAGGCTGGAAAAGGTGATCTATATTGTCGGTGGCCCAGATAAAAGTTGGGGGTTCTATTGGGAGAAAGGGAGAATGGCCACAGGGATGCTAGTAGCAGTGCCTGCTTTGCTTCCTCACTAGACCGTACTGGCTGGGAATAGCTGCCCATCACTGTGTGCCCTGGGTCTAGAACTGTAGGTTCTTGATACATCCTTGTAGGACTAAGTCCCTGCATGTTGCTGGGACTCAACAAACTGAGACCCAGTTGCTTTTCAACCACCAAGACTCTCTGATAGCTGCATCTCTTCATTTCCTCAGTTGGGAGGAGGGTCCAGAGGCTGAGGAATGCCTTGTCATTGGAATCTCTTTGTCCCTGAGTTTCAGAAGCAAATAGTGAAGCTTTGGGCAGAAGAGGATTCATGGGAAAATACATCCAAATCACTTTGGTTCCTTCCTTTGGATAGAAGGAATTTGGATCATGAGGGCCCCTGGGTGTCCTCAAGTGGCCACTTTGGAAGGCTGGGTGGGTGGTGGCTGTGGCATTGTGGATGATGGACAAGCTTGTGGCCTTGGTGAGGAGTGATGGGGCTCTCGGTGTTTGCAGAGGAAGCTGCCTGAACAGGACATCGCACAAGGATCCTACATTGCCCTGCCATTGACGCTGCTGGTTCTGCTGGCCGGTTACAACCATGACAAGGTAGGAAATCCAGAGGCCTCAGGAGATGGCGGGCATGTCAGGGAGAGCGAGTCCTCACAGCTGCAGGAGTGATAGCAGAGGGATGTCCAGGGTCACAGAAATCACATTTCCGGGTCGGGAGGGCCCGTGAAGGCCTCAAGTCCAGACTTAGGTCTCCTTTCAAGGCTGTAAACTTCTGTAACATCTCCTAATCCTTAAACCTGGAACACCTCTAGGGACATATTAGGCCCGGAGAGAGGCCAGCCCATCCCTGGGGACTCATTAGTAAGAGGCCTGCCTCGTTTGAACTGAAACCCACCCATTAGCACGTGGCAGCTGCTGATCATGTCTGAAGAAGGTGTGTTGAGAAGTGAGGCTCCGCTGTTCATCTGGCAAAAGCCTCCTCTTTGTACCCCTCTCTCTCACACTTTCTCTCTTTTCTAGCTCATTCCTTTGCTGCTGCAGTTGACAAGCCGGCTACAGGGAGTCGGCGCGCTCGGCCAGGCAGCCTCTGACAATAGCGGCCCAGAAGATGCAAAGAGACAAGCCAAGAAACAGAAGACAAGGCGGACGTGAGGAGGAAGGGGACAGTTGCAGTCTCACTTGGGACAGGCCACAGCCAGGGGTCCGGCCACTACCCGCCCGTGGGATAAAAGCCAAAAGCATGCGTCAGCTAACTTCAGCCTGTGCTGCTGGGCCCGCACCCCATGTCCCTTGTCACTGTGGCATCCTGCACCCATCCTCACCCCTCCGTAGAGCCCCTCGTGCAATGCAATGAATGGACCCTCCTGTCACTCTGCTGAACAGAATTTATTTTCTGAGTCAAATATAATTTATTATTATTTTTGTCAAAGAAGTATTTAAGCTGTGCTGTGGTGTGAGAATGTCATTCTTGATCTTCAGCCTTCGTTTGCAAGAAGAGTTCCAGTTGATGTGGTGTTTGGTTCCATGGCGGGGTACCCTAGGGATTCATCTGTTTTCTTCACTTCCCTTTGCATCTGAGATCCTGCTGGAAACCACGGCAACCTGTATCCACTATTAGGAGGTAAAAATCAATAAAATGGCCCATTCATTTGTGTTGTAGCTCATCATAGATGTATTTCTTGGATGACATGCACGTAACCCCCGGGAGTCTTCAGTTGAGCCAAATGTAGAGCAAGTCAGAGTCCTGAGTGAAGCTGGCTGGGGCAGGAAAAACACGAGCTCAGCCAACATGGTCCCCAGCAGCTTTTGGCGTCAGTGATAGAGAAATCGGAGATAGTGGAGGTTGTGGCAAGTTGAAGTGTGCCCACCACGTCTAAGGGAAGCTTAGGGACTCAGCTCTGGCTCACCCCTGCTGTGCAGAAATGTGCGTTCATTTTTCTAGAGAAGCCAGAAAAACAAAGATTTACGTGAAATTTTCCCAATTTTAAATGTTAGCCACAAATGCAGTGTTTTTTTAAGAAAACCACACACTTTGGCCAAACAAAATGCCTACGTCGGCCGGGTGAGGCTTAAAGGTTGCCGGCTTGCATCAGAGATCCAGAGGAAGTCACAGCATTTTAACAGCTAAACTTAATCCTCACAGGAAGTCATCAAGTGAATTAAGTGATATTGAAGGAGGGGACACATCCATCCATCCGACATTTATTGAGTGCCACATAGGACAGGCATGGGTATGTGAGGATGAGTAGGGTAGACAACACTCTACAGCGAGCTGGAAGAGGCCAGGGAGGCCCCGTCTGCCTTGTTCTTCGTACCCCAATGCTTGGCACTTGGTGGGCATTCAGTAAGGAATGAATGAACGCACGCACAGAGGAATGAATAGATGGGCACACAGTGTGTGCCCTCACAGCACATGGCCCATCACTGGGTAGAAGGCAAGTCAGTAAGTAGACAGGGGTAATGCAGGGAGCCGAGGGCCTCCAGGTGGAGGAACATGGAGGACCACAGGAGCACAGAGCAGAGTTCTCATCCCACTGGAGAGCTTAGGGAACTTTCTGGATGTGATGCGTGAGCAGAGTCCAAAAGGACAAAACGGAGAGAGGGAAAACAAGGTGGAAGTTCTTGTTAGGTGCCACTGCCACCCCAGGGGGTCAGCTTGGGGGACTCCCTGGCTCTTGGGGGCCAACCGCAGAGCTGCCCTGTTCCCACCTATCAGCTAGCTTGGTGTTGGCACCGTGGAAGGAAAGTGAACAGTGTTGGAGATCTGGGACAGATGTGATATTAATACAGGATCCATTTCTTGGAGTGTTTTCCAACTCTTATTCCAAGTGGACACCCAGAAACATCCCTTTTAAATGTTAATGGGGTTTTTATTGACGGTATAAAGGTTAAGAGCTTGCGAAAGATACAATTGTCAGTACACTCCTTCCAGTTCCGGAGGCCGCCAGTAAGTGGCAGTCTTTCCCTGTCGCTGGCTGCAGGTCACCCTTGGCCTCGGTGGAACTTGTGTGGGTCATTCTCAGTCCATTTGAAAGTTGGGCCTGTTCGGTTGTGTATAATTTTCTGTTCATCATTTTTCTGGCAATCTCAGGACAGAAGTCCTCTGATCCTCCTGTGAGAAGTAAACATTAATGTTATTAGATTCTTTTTTTTTTTTTTTGAGTTTCGCTCTTGTGGCCCAGGCTGGAGTGCAGTGGCGTGATCTCGGCTCACTGCAACCTCTGCCTCCCGGTTTCAAGCGATTTCCTGCCTCAGCCTCCCGAGTAGCTGGGATTACAGGTGCCCACCACCACGCTCGCCTAATTTTTTGTATTTTTAGTAGATACGGGGTTTCACCATGTTGTCCAGGCTGGTCTTGAACTCCCTACCTCAGGTGATTCATCAACCTTGGCCTCCCAAAGTGCTGGGATTACAGGCGTGAGCCACCGCACCCGGGCTGTTATTAGACTTGGAATGGGACAAAAGTCATATGAGACAGACTTGTTTGCTGAGGTATTTAAAAAACAAAATGGTCTAAGATGGCAGATTCTTGGGGAACTCTGCTCTGTGCACATTTCTGCCTATTAAAGTGGCCGTAAAAACAACCATAAATCCTTGATGAGGACACCTCAGGAGCTTTAGGACGGTGCCATTCTTTTTTAATTAAAAGCTTTTTATTTGATTTGATTTTTCTGTAGAGACAGGGTCTCGGCTATGTTGACCAGGCTGGTCTTGAACTCTTGGCCTTAAGTGATCCTTCTGCCTCAACCTCCCAAAGTGCTGAGATTATAGGCATGAGTCACCACACCTGGCCAGGGCAGTGCCATTCTAAGGCAACGGCTTCAACTCGGTCTTCTTTTCTGGGGTTACAGGAGATGGGAAGGGCCGAAGGTAGCATGAGAACGTGTGTGTGTGTGTGTTTGTGTGTGTGTGTGTGTGTTTGTGCATGTGTATGTGGAAGGACTGGTGAGATGGCTGGAGGAAGAGGCAGTCCTTCTGCTTAACTCTAATGGCCTAAATGTGAGAAACAAAGATTCAGGAAATAAGGAAAAAGCAAATGAGTGATTGCCTCTCTGGATCAAGCACACCAGCAGGCACAACCAGCCTTTCTTGAGCTACTGTGTGCCGGGCGCTGTGCCGTGCCCTTGCATGCATGTGGATGCTTCATGAGTTCATGAAGTAGGTATGCTTCCAGCCCCATTTTTCAGAGAAAGAAACTGAGGCTGAACAATCTTGCAGCTGTCAAGTGGCAGAGCAGGGGTTTGAACCCAGGTCCAAGAGTTCTTAACCACCATGTTTTCCTGCCCTTGATGTATGAAATGAGATGATGTAGTCACATGCCAGCTTGTCTAGGGATGACTCAGAGGTTTAGAGATGGATGTCACGTGGATGTTGTACAGGAGAGGCAGGTATAAGCTGTAGTAAAGTTAGGAAAGGCACAGTGACGTGGAGCACTGTGTGCAGTGGACGGGGTCATGGCTGGGGGTGAGAATGGTGGAGGACCTTCGATTATTTCATCAGCGTTGTTTCTGTAACCAAAGAGCTGCATGACCAAACCCTGAGATCTAGTTCCTTAATAGGAACAATTATTCGGCACGATTCCCTTTACTTAAAAGCAGGGGCCGTCCTAAGGGAGGAGTTGGAAAGAGTTTGGGGGATAAGGTTTGCTTGGTTGCCTTCTGTTTAGGCTGATGTTCAGTGGGGGTCAAAGGCTGTGTGTCCAGTCCCTGGCATGTGGCGGGTGTTTGTGGTACACAGCCAGCCTCAGGATGGCCCCCAGGGATGCACACTGCCTTTGTGTGTGGTCCCCTCCCACACTGAATCAGGCTGGCTCTGTGCGACCAGTGGGAAGTGGTGGAAGTGAGTGATGATGTGTGACTTCTCGGGCTAGGTCGTAACAGGCATTGCACTTTGGCTCTCGGGAAGCCAACTGCCTTGCGTGAGGGTGCTCAGGCAGCCTCGTGGGGAGGGGTGAGGCCCCTGGCCCCCAGCATGTACAGCTTGCCACCACGTGAGTGAGCCAGCTTGGAAGCGAATTTCCCCGCCCCGGTCAAGCCTTCTGGTGAGTGCAACTGCAGATGACATCTGACTTCCACCACTCAAGAGACCCCAGGTCAGTGCTGCCCAGCTGAGCTCTTCCCAGGTTCTTTATGTCCCCCGAAAATGAGCTGTTTTAAGTTTAGAAAACTTAAAAACACAGTGACAATGAAGCACAGATATGCATTACATACAGTCCCAAATCAGTAATGACTTCAAGCTGTGTCCTCTCTTTCCAAGAAAGACAAAGCAGAGAACAAAGTTCAACCTACAGTGTCTTCCCAAATTCTTGACCCACGGGATCTGTGAATATCTTATACGACTGAATTAAGCCTCTAAGTTTTGGGGTAACTCATGCAACATTAGGTAACTGGAATAGTGCTCAATAAATGTCTGTCACATGAATGGGCAGTGACCATGGATGCATTTCTAGTTGTGTATTAGTTAAGGCTCTCTTGGTTTCAAGTAACAGAAATCCAACTCCAACTAGCTTGAGCAAAATGGGGCATTCCTCTGGTCAAGTAACGGAGAAATCCAAGAGTCTCTGGCTTCATGCATAGCGGGACCCAGTCTCAATTTCCACCTCCTGGCTCTGCTTCCCTTGATGCCAACTTTCAGGAATCAGCTTTCTGAAAGACCACTCTGCTAGAAACAGACAGGCCCATCCTTTCAACCAGGTCCAGGACTGTTTGCTCAGTCACTGCTCTCAGAGGCAGGGGCAGAGGCAGATGCCGGGCACACATCCACAGAAGTGGAGATGGCAGGAAACTGAGAGTGGAGTGCTGGAAAGCTGGCTTTTGCCTATGGGTTCCGCTTCTGACATCATCCGGCAATGTCAGGCTTTACATTGCCCCCATCTGCAGACCCAGCAGAAGGACAGCTTCCATCCCACCACATCAATATGCCAGTCCTGGGGCGGGGGAAGGACTTATGGGCAACCTTTGCAGAATCACTGGGGCCTGGCCGCACATGAGCCATGCCCACGCTCATGTGACAGGCGGCCCCTGTGCCTGGGGTGCTGTATTACCCAGAGGAATAAGTGATCCTGGGTGGGCAAAAGCAACAGAAGAGAAGTCAGCTCCACTTCCTTCCAAAACTTGAGAAGGCCTGGTCAAAATCACCCTCCAGGCCCGGTGTGGTGGCTCATGCCTGTAATCCCAGCACTTTGGGAGGTTGAGATGGGCAGATCATGAGGTCAAGAGATCGAGACCATCCTGGCCAATATGGTGAAACCCCGTCTCTACTAAAACTACAAAAATTAGCTAGGTGTGGTGGTGGGCGCCTGTAGTCCCAGCCACTCGATAGGCTGACAGGAGAATCACTTGATCCAGGGAGTCGGAGGTTGCAGTGAGCCGAGATCGCACCATTGCACTCTAGCCTGGCGACAGAGTGAGACTAAAAAAAAAAAAAAAGAAAAAAGAAAAAAATCAGCCTCCATTTTTGGCTTTCTCTTTCATTAGAAAAATGAACCTGACTTTATGACCATGACAATGAAATGCCTAGAGAAGGGAGCACTCATTTTCCAGTGGGCCTACTGTGTGCTGGGGTGGCGAGACTCTTCCTGCCCTGGAACTTGGTGAGGTCAGGAGGGAAGATATTATATGACTGCCTTCCTCTGTACTTTTTCAGTGGGGGCAGGTGTTTATGCTTGATGATGCAATGGTGAGATCTTGGTTGGAATATGAACTTTTCTTTCTTTTTTTTTTTTTAGATGGGTTCTTGTTCTGTTCCCCAGGCTGGAGTACAATGGCACCATCACAGCTCACTGCAGCCTTGATCTCCCAGGGTCAAGGGATCATCGTGCCTCAGCCTGCTGAGTAGCTGGGACTACAGGAGTGCACCACCACACCTGGCTAATTTTTTTAAAAAAAATCTTTGTAGAGATGAGCTCTCACTAGGTTGCCCAGGCTGGTCTTGAACTCCTGAGCTCAAGCAATCCTCCCACCTTGGGCTCCCTAAGTGTTGGGATTACAGGCAAGAGTCACCACGCCCAGCCAGGATCACAGACGTTTAAATTACACTCCTTCTGCTGTGCCTTACAGCAGTAGAAGGGGTGAAATTTAAACGTCTGTGATCCTGGGGTTGTTGAAGATGCCACCCATCTACATATTCTTTCAGATGCACAATATTTCACTGTGTGAATGAAACAGCAGCCCTTCTTACGTGTGCTTTTTGGAATTTGAAGATTTTGTAAGATAAGATGAATGCATTGGAACAAGTGATCCTCAATTCTGTGCAGTCTGTGCCTCCGGAGACTGGCGGCTGCCCCTCCCTGTCTAGTCTTGCAAGAGAGGCAGCTGGCAAGAGGACAGAAGCCGGCAGCTGCTGCGTTTTCATCCTGTTTCTGCTCTTGGAGCTGAGGGGGAGAGGTGGCTAGCAGCCACCCAGTGATCAAACTTGCAGCCTGCCTCTCTTGCTTCCTTTTCACAGACTGGAGTGTGCCTGGGTATGGAGAAAGAACATTTTGCTTCTTGCCTCTCAGAGTTTCAAGAACGCCTCACCTGAGTGGCATGCATTCATGGAATGAGTAATTATTACAGTGGAGAACTCCTCACTGTGAATTAATTACACAGATGATATTCAAGACTTAGACTGGGCTAGTGCAGGGGTTAGCAAACTATGGCCCACTGTTCTTGTTTTATAAATAAAGTGTTATGAGCACACAGCCATGCCCATTCATTTGCAGATTATGGCTGCTTTTGCCTGACAGTGCCAGATGTAAGTAGTTGTGGCAAAGACCAGGTAGCCTAAAAAGCCTAAAATACTTGCTATCTGGGTCTTTACAGAAGACATTTTGTTGTTGTTGTTGTTGTTTTTGAGATGGGGTCTTTCTCTGTCACCCAGGCTGGAGTGCAGTGGTGTGATCTCAGCTCACTGCAACCTCCGCCTCTTGGGTTCAAATGATTATCGTGCCTCAGCCTCCCTAGTAGCTGGGATTATAGGCGCCTGCCACCAAGCCTGGCTAATTTTTGCATTTTTAGTAGAAACAGGGCTTTACCATGTTGGCCAGGCTGGTCTCAAACCCCGACCTCAGATGATCTGCCTGCCTCAGCCTCCCAAAGTGCTGGGATTACAGGTGTGAGCCACTGCGCCTGGCCTAGAAAATGTTTTCTAACCTGTTGTCTAGTGGGTGCTTTGTAAAGTTTAGTTTTAGGGGGAGCATCATTAATTCATTCAACAAGTATTAACTGAGCATCTCCCCTGTGCTGGGTGCTGCTTGGCATACTGGGGGTTTAGTGGTGTGAGAGAGACCGAGCCTCAGCTCTTAGGAGCACAGTGCTGATGGAGGACGAAAGGTAAACACACACATTAGAAGTTGTTGGATAATGCCAGGCGTTACGAAGAAAAGAAGCAGAACAAGGCAATGTGACAGAGGATGATTGGTATCATGGAAGGTCTCTCTGAGGAGGCAGCATCTGAGCTGAGACCTGAGGAGGGGAAGGGCCAGTTATGCAAAGATCTGGGGGAAGAGCTGCCCAGGCAGAGGGGACCATAATTGCAAAGGCCCCCAGGAGGAAATGAGCTCCCTGAGTTTCAGGAATAGCAAAGAGGCCAGGGTGGCCAGAGTCAAGTGATTGAGAGGAAGAGATGAGAACGATGGCAGGGACCGGGTCATGTGGGTGCCCTGGAAAGGAGTTTAGATTTTATTCTAATGGCAACAGAAGGCATTGGAGGGTTTAAGTAGGGAAAGGGGAGTGATCTGATGTATGTTTTTAAACAATTGCTTCTTTAAATTTTGAGGAGATTGGATTATTGGGAAGCAAGAATGAATTTAGGGAGAGAAGCAAAGAGGACGTTGTGTTGGTTTAGGCAAAAGACAGCAATGGCTTGGATTGGGGTGATGGAAGTAACAGTGGCAGGAAGTGGTGAGCTTGGGGCTATGCTTCAGAGATAGAGCAGAAAGGTCTTGCTGATGTATTTAATACAGGAGGTGAGGGAAGGGAGGAATCAACGATAAGTGAATCGTTTGTTTCTAGCTGAACCACTGAAATGTGTAGGTAAATTGAGACTTCTGTTTTGGCCATCGTGAGTTTGAGATGCTTATCAGACACCCGAGTCTGCAGCCTGGGTGAGAAATCACGGCTGGAGATGAGACGTGGTGAGCTGGGAGTGTTTTTGGATGACAGATGAGGCCACGGGATTGAATAATAGGTATCCTTATGAAGACTGAGAAAAGGAGAGGGCTGGGGGCCAAGCCCTGGGACAGTGCAACCTTCAGAGGATGGGCGAGGAGGGCCCTGCCCAAGAGACAGAGAGGAAGTGGCCCGTGAGGTAGGGGGAAGTCCAGGAGAGGACAGTGTGGTGAATACCTAATGCTTTACTCATTCACTGGTGAATGAATGGATGGATGGATGGATGGATGGATGGATGGATGGATGAATGCATGAATATTCCTTAATAATATGGTTGGCCATGGTCCATCCATATGACTCCTACGGACACCATGTTACCATTTCACACTCGTCTTCTATTTAGGAGAAATCAGACGAAACTGCCATCTTATATATAGGTCAAAAATGGTTTCCATAACCACCCACCTCACATGCTTACTGAAATTCATTAAGTAATAGATGGGGTGGGGGGCGGGAGGTTTACAGGTCGGCAAAGGAGGCAAGGCTAGAGTGATCCATGTGGCAGTGGATTAGAGTGGCAGGCATCAGTATGAACACATGTTTAGCTCAATATAGATACAGATGGCTACATAGAGAAATATTTATGGATATGTGCATATACACAAATTAGTAAGACACACATTACTAATCCTGGCTGTCAGCGAAGAGAGCCTAGAAGCAAGGATACCCCAGTAGCAACAAACCTCTGGTGCCCAGGTCTCTGTTCTCCAATAAACACCATTCTCCAGTAAAAGGAACCAGGCTTCTTGAACAAATGTCGATCCTAGGACCGAGGGAGGAAATAGATAAGAAGAACCTGAAGCATCTTGTAGGGTCACAGGGTGAGGAGGCGCTAAATGAAACAAAATGAAACTGCTGCAGTGATGGGGCATCTCAGAGGGACACAGGAGCCAGTGGAAAAGCTCCCAGGGGTCAAAGCCAGAACAATTTGAGCCCCAAAAAAGTACTATTGGATTAGAATTCAAAGAATAAATACCCATGATTCCATACTGCTATAAATGATCAGATAAGAGAGAAGAGACAAATCTCCCAGGCAGAAGAATTCCAGATTATTTATTTATTTTTATTTAATTTTTTTTTTTTACACAGGGTCTTGCTCTGTTGCCCAGGTTGGAGTGCAGTGATGTAATCTTGGCTTACTGCAACCTCCACCTCCCAGGTTCAAGCGATTCTTGTGCCTCAGCCTCCCGAGTAGCTGGGATCACAGGCATGCGCTGCCACACTCGGCTAATTTTTTGTATTTTTAGTAGAGGCGGGGTTTCACCATGTTGACCAGGTTGGTCTCAAACTCCTGACCTCAAGTGATCACCCTCCTCGGCCTCCCATTCAAGTGCTGGGATGACAGGTGTGAGCCACCGTGCCCGGCCCCAGGTAATTTATATAGCTATTCCATCGTCAAGGAGGTGGAGCGGACTTCCCACATCCTAAGTGTGGGCTGTGCATAGTGACTCTCTTCCAAAGAGTACAGTGTGAAAAGAGAGGAGAGAGTAACTTTACAGTGGAGAACACGGACAGACTACCTCAGCCAGGTGATCAAAGTCAACTTCAATAGCGGCAAGTCATCTTGAGAGAATGCGTGCCTGATACAGAGTGCTGAGAATGATTCTTAAGCTCTGTGGTCCTCCTCCTCAAAACACACACAAGCCAAGACTAAGGATGAGAAGCATCTGCCAAATCCCAGTTGAGGAACATTCTACAAAATACCTGGCCAGCACTCCTCAAAATGCTCCATGTGGTATCCTGGAACAGAAAAAGGACATTAAGCAAAAACTAAGGCAATCAGAATCAACTATGGACTTTAGGTGGCCAGGCACGGTGGCTCGCGCCTGTAACCCTAGCACTTTGTGAGGCCGAGGCCGGCGGATGGGTTGAGCCCAGGAGTTCAAGACCAGCCTGGGCGACATGGCGAAACCCCATCTCTACAAAAAATACAAAAAATTAGCCAGGCTTGTGGTGTGCACCTGTAGTCCTAGCTACTCGGGAGGCTGAGATGGGAGGATCACTTGAGTCCGGGAAGTCAAGGCTGCAAGTGACCCGTGATTGTGCCACTGTATACCAGCATGGGCAATGAGAGTGAGACCCTGTCTCAACAAACAAACAACAAACAAACAAACAAAAACAAATTCTCTGGGGATGGTAGCAGGCACCTGTATTTCCAGCTACTTGGGAGGCTGAGATGGAGGATCGCTTGAGCCAGGGGAGGTGGAGGGTTGAGGCTGCCATGAACTATGATCACACCACCACACTCCAGCCTAGGTGACGAGCAAGACCCTGTCCCCACCCCCCTAAAAAAAGTATGGACTTTAGTTCATAATGCATCAAGCTATGGGGTACATGGAAACTCTCTGTACTGCTTTCACCATTTTTCTAAAACTGTTCTAAAATAAAAAATTTACTTAAACATTTATTTAAAAAAAAAAACAAACCATTTGAGTACCAACAGTGTCATATGCTCAACTTAGCACATCTTTTTCCTGGTTTGGTTTGTGGGCGTGAATGTGTACTGAGCCATCTAAACCTTGGTTGCCCGACCTTCACCGTAGCCACTGACCCAGGTTAACAGACAAAAGGCCCAGGTTAAGGTTATGCCCAGTGGCCATAAAATAGCCCAGCATCCAGACTGCACTCCTTGATGTACCCAAAAAAGCCAAGGAATAGGACGGATGGGCGGGGAGTGGGGGGCAAACTACTGCCCATTGCCCAACTCTGGCCAGCTGTCTGTTTTATAAATAAAGTTTTATTGGAACACAGTCACACCCATTCATTTATTATCATCTATGGCTACATTTGCATGACAATGGCAGTGTTGAGTAGTTGCACCAGAGATCGTGTGGCCCACAAAATATTTATTATCTAGCACTTTACAGAAAAAGCTTGTCAACCTCCAGGACAGTGGCCACAAGTTCTGCCATCATCTCATCCCTTAGCAAGAAGGGAAAGGAATGCCCATTAAGGCACAAATTGTTTTCTGTTGTTGTTTGTTTGTTTGTTTGTTTTTGAGACGGAGTTTCAGTCTTGTCGCCCAGGCTGGAGTGCAATGGCGTGATCTTGGCTCACTGCAACCTCCGCCTCCCAGGTTCAAGCGATTCTCCTGCCTCAACCTCCCGAGTAGCTAGGATTACAGGCGCCAGCCACCACATCCAGCAAATTTTTGTATTTTTAGTAGCGACGGGGTTTCACTATGTTGACCAGGCTGGTCTCGAACTCCTGACCGCAGGTGATCCACCTGCTTTGGCCTCCCAAAGCGCTGGGATTACAGGTGTGAGCCACCGTGCCTGGCCACAAGGTGGTCTTTTAACAACAGAGCACACAGCTGGACAAAGCCCAACGCTCTCTTCTTTGGGGCCGAGGTGGGTCATTAATATTGAACATTTACAATGTACTTGCTCCAGGTGATTCAGTTTAATTTCTGCCGTCTCTTGTAACAGGGCTCCCACGTGCACGGGTTGGGGCCGTGTGTCTGCCTCTGCTTTCTGAGGCCCCACAGCGTATTGATTCTGCGAAACGTACGTTTCTTTGAAAACAGCGTCTCTTGACATGACAGGAGATCACACATCGCTTGTTTTCTGTCCCTTTCATTGCCCTCTGAACATGATAAAATCATGACCTAGTGTCACCGAGGGACCTCAGCATCTCTTGGAAAGAAGGACTTGCCTTCTTTTTTATCTTTGTCAAGCCAGTGAGGCCAAGTAGAAAATTTTTAGCAGCTTTGGAGCCAGACAGATCGGAGTGCGAGTTCTGCCCGTTATTGACTGGACCGTGTGACCCTGGGAGAGCCGCCTAGTGTCTATGAGACGGAGGCTGTTGGGCAAGAAAATGGGGATGGTCCCAGCATTATGGGGCGGTTGTGAGAATTCAGTGCAATGATGCAGTGCTCCCAGAACAGCTGGTCTAGGGCTTGGCTCATGGGACTGTCCCTTCGCAGAGGCAGCGTGGACATTCCGCTGGTATCCACTGGTGTGGCTGTGCCTGTTTGGTCACCGTGTCTGTTCTGATTGGTCGGTGCTCCTGCATGTCAAGAGTTCAATGTTATGAAAATCATCCCTGCCTAGAGATGAATTCCCCCTTCCCCTGAGGTCTAGACTGGTATAGCTGCTTTTGGAGCCTCACCTGCTGAGAGCTCACAGCTGTCCTTCTCTAGAGAATCACCCTCAGATGGGAGCCACATTGCCTGGGATGGGATGCCATGCCCAGTAATGGCCCAGTGACTAACTGATACAGCAACGTGAATGGCTGGTCCCTGCCCCACGGTGGGGACGATCCTGTGGCGTGCTCTCTGCTGCTCGTGGGATAGGTCAAGGCGGGACTTTAAGGGACCACATTCTCACTCTGCTCTGTCCCCTTCTGCATCCTGTAGTCCTCACCTCCCTTCTCCTGAAAGCCCCTTTCAAAACAAAAACAAAAACCACATCCACCCAAGTCCCTGTCTCCAGCTCTGCCTCCAGGAAAGCCGGCGGAAGGCCGCCAGTCTCAGCTGTGACAGATACAGATATTTCTGCATTTCCAGGACTGAGGTCAATCCCTGGGGACCCAGTGAGGCGGTATCTGAAGGGCCATGGAGCTGGCTTGATGGGGTCTACAGGTAGGCAGGGACCTGGTGGGGATGTGACTCAAGGATTTTTATCAAATATCTTTATCCCCTGACAGATGCAAAAAAAAAAAAATGAGATCAGACTCCAGGGTTTCCTCCATGCCACACTGTGGCCCCATTGTTTGTTGTGCTATCAGCAGAAGTTGATTTTGCAAGGAATGTACACGTGTATGTGATGTTTGAATGCACCTATCTGTGTGTGCGTGCATTTGTGTGTGTGTGTGTGCATTCGCTTGTGTGTGTGTGTGTGTGTGTGTGTGTGTGTGTGCTGAGGATGTGAGCCCCACTTCCGGCCCAGTGCCCCTGCCCAGGCTGGCTCTGCCCTCCTGCTGCTCTGGGCCCCTCAGGCAGTGACTACCTGGTACATAGGGAAGGCATCAGCATCCCTTATTCATGGGGACTGTATACTGTCTCCACCATATTGGGCCTTTTGGCCTCTTGGACATGACTTGGCCTCTGCTGGCTTTAAGGGACTGCCAGAGATGCCATCTTCTCTGGGAAATGTTCTCAGCCTGGGCACAGCCCACTAACCACTGCCTGCTTGTCTGAGACTTCTCTGTCCAGGAAAACAGCCCAGCCTGACCAGAGATGGGCATAGAGCCATATTTTGGGAAAGACTGGTTGGGGGTCAACTTGGTTTCTGGAACCAGTTCTGATTTCAGTTGCAGGGGACAGTGAGCCAGTTACTGCCCACTGGCTGCATCCTAAGCCTTCCTAGAGGAGAGCTAGCCTCCTCCTAGGGTTGCCCAGGCTGGACCACTTCTGCCTGGGTGATGGGTTGGGAGAAAGACGTTAATATTTGGAGCAGTGTTATATTAGTCAGCCCTCCCATTTGCAAACATTAGAAAACCAGCTCAAATTAGTGATAAAAGAAAATCTCAGCTGAATTAAATTTAAAGTAGTTTAATTGAGCAATGAATGATTCGCGAATTGGGCAGACCCCAGAATCACAGCAGATTCATAGAGACTCCAGCGCAGCCACGTGGTGGAAGAAGATTTATGGACAAAAGAAGGGAAATGATGTACAGAAATCAGAAGTGAAGTACAGAATGGCTGGATTGTTACAAGTTGGCGTTTGCCTTATTTGAGTACAGTTTGAACACTCAGCAGCGTATGAGCGGTTGAACTACGGCCTCTGGGATTGGCCAAGACTCAGCTATTGTTACAGGCGCATACTCCTAAGTTAGGTTTTCAATCTTGTCTACCTATTAAGCTAGGTTGCAATTTGTCCACAAGGACTCAACTATAGAAGTACGAAGTCCCACTCAGGCCATATTTAGTTCACTTTAACACTAGCTTCGGCAACTGTCTCTCAGAGCCCAGGGCAGGGCAGGGATGCAACTGGGCTTCAGGAAACTTGAATTCATTGACTGTCTCTTCCCCATCTTAGATGCAGTGCTAAGGGCTTTTTAGTAATTTTCTCATTTGACTCTCAAAACAAACTGATGAGGAAACGGTCTGAGAGTAGTTAGGCAGCTTTTCAAGGTCACACAGATAGTAAATGTCATCACTGGGACTTGAACTCAGGTCTTTCTGACTCTCATGTCTGTGCAACATGTCATCTCAGCCACTGTTGACACTGTATATGTGGATTAGGGTTGGCTAAACTGCTGTAACAAATAGACCCAACTCGAATGGTGCATGTATGTACAATAGGGGTTTATTTCTTATGATATAGTTCACGGTGGTCCCAGGTGAATAAGGATGGGTAGGTCTGCATTTTTCATAATCATCTGGATTTCTGCTCAGGCTCCTAGAGTCTCTGCCACCTTCCCCATGTGGCTTCCAAGGCCACCTTGGAGACAGAGCTTGGTGGAGCACATGTGGTAGGATTTTTTTTGTTTTTTTGAGACGGAGTCTCACTGTATTGCCCAGTCTGGAGTGCAGTGGTGCAATCTCGGCTCACTGCAACCTCTGCCTCCCAGGTTCAAGCTATTCTCCTGTCTCAGCCTCCCTAGTAGCTGGGACTACAGGCACCTGCCACCACGCCTGGCTAATTTTTGTATTTTTAGTAGAAATGGGATTTCACCTTGTTGGTCAGGTTGGTCTCAAACTCCTGACCTCAGGTGATCCACCCACCTCGGCCTCCCAAAGTGCTGGGATTACAGGCATGAGCCACCACTCCCAGCCAGTTCTTTTTTTCTTTTTTCCATTTTTTTTTTTTCGAGACAGGGTCTTACTCTGTTGCCCAGGCTGGAGTGCAGTGGCACAATCACGGCTCAGCGCAGCCACTGCCTCCTGGGCTCACACGCTCCTCCGGCCTCAGCCTCTCGAGTACCTGGGACTACAAGTGTGAGCCAGTTTGGCTAATTTTGGCTAATTTTTGTAGAAACGGGGTCTCGCCATGTTGGCCAGGCTGGTCTCCAACTCCTGGGCTCAAGGGATCCACCTTCCTCCCCCTCTCAAAGTTCTGGGATTACCGGAGTGACCCACTGTGCCCTGCTGGCAAATTTCTTAAACTGTGCCTCAGTGACCTCATTTAATAAAGGGAATAATTGTAGCACACTTTTTCTAGAGCTGTGAAGATTCAATGGAATAAATAAGGCAATAAATGAATGGATGGGGAATGAAGGATGTGGGTTTCCTCCCTCTTGTCTTTCAATAAGCTCTCACCATCAACCTCCCATTGCCTGTTCTCTCTCTTCCCCCTCTCTCCCTCTGTCTCTCTCTTAGCCAGGAAACCTGGGGTAGGGAGGCTTGGAGCCAGCGGGTGCGTCGGGAGGCTGCGGGTACTGACTGGGGACGCGCACGGAGATTGCGGGAGAAGGATCCACGCCGCGGGAGAAGGATCCATGCCGCGGGAGAAGGATCAGAGTGGAGCCTGTGGCTGCTGCAGGAGGAGGAAGCCGCCGCCTGGCCCACACCACAGGAGAAGGGCGGAGCCAGATGGCACCCTGCCCACCGCTTCCCGCCCACGCACTTTAGCCTGCAGAGGGGCGGAGCGTGAAAAATACCTCGTGCGCCTCGGCCGACTCTACAGTGCGACGGGCGGAGCTTCCAGACGCTCCGCCCCACGTCGCATGCGCCCCGGGAAAGCGTGGGGCGGAGCTTCCGGAGGCCCCGCCCTGCTGCCGACCCTGTGGAGCGGAGGGTGAAGCCTCCGGATGCCAGTCCCTCATCGCTGGCCCGGTCGCGCTGTGGCGAAGGGGGCGGAGCCTGCACCCGCCCCGCCCCCCCTCGCCCCGTCCGCCCTGCGCCGCGCGGGGAGGAGGAGGAGGAGCCGCGGCGGGGCCCGCACTGCAGCGCCAACGTCCGAGCGGGCGGCCGAGCTCCCGGAGCGGCCTGGCCCCGAGCCCCGAGCGGGCGTCGCTCAGCAGCAGGTCGCGGCCGCAGCCCCATCCAGCCCCGCGCCCGCCATGCCGTCCGCCGGCCCCGCCTGAGCCGCGGCCTCCGCGCGCGGGCGGGCCTGGGGACGGCGGGGCCATGCGCGCGCTGCCCTAACGATGCCGCCCGCCGCGCCCGCCCGCCTGGCGCTGGCCCTGGGCCTGGGCCTGTGGCTCGGGGCGCTGGCGGGGGGCCCCGGGCGCGGCTGCGGGCCTTGCGAGCCCCCCTGCCTCTGCGGCCTAGCGCCCGGCGCCGCCTGCCGCGTCAACTGCTCGGGCCGCGGGCCGCGGGCTGCGGACGCTCGGTCCCGCGCTGCGCATCCCCGCGGACGCCACAGCGCTGTGAGTAGCGGGCCCAGCGGCACCCGGGAGAGGCCGCGGGACGGGCGGGCGTGGGCGCGTTCCCTGGCCCGGGACGGGAAGCAGGACGCGGGCCAGGACGCTCCCAGGGCGAGGCTCCGGCGCGGCACAGCGGCCCTGCTAAATAAGGAACGCCTGGAGCCGCGGTTGGCACGGCCCCGGGGAGCCGAAAAACCCCGGGTCTGGAGACAGACGTCCCACCCGGGGGCTCTGCGGACGCCAGCGGGGGCGGGGCGCGGAGGCCGCGCTCAGCTGGGAGGACAAACAGTCGCTAATTGGAGAGGAATTGGGATTCGGCCTGGGGCTGCGGGGTACCCGGAGAGATGGGGATGGCTGTAGGGGGCTGCAGGGAAGAGTTCCAGGAGGTGTCTGGACAAGGATTTGATGGATGTGCAAGAATTGGGCTGATGCTTAGGAAGGGGCGATGAGGTGGGTCCAGAAGAAGGGGGGTGAACGGTGTGAGCAAAGACCGTGAGGCTGGAGGCTGGCCACGGGAGGTGTGAGGGGTAGGGGCAGGGTGGGAGGTGGGCTCGCGGGTGGGCTGGGGTCATGAAGGGCCTCAGGCGCTCTGCTATTGGGTTCCAAGGCTATCCTGAGAACAGGGGTGAGGGCGGATTGCCGTGGGGGGTTAAAGCCTTGTCATGTTCGCTTTCGGGAGATAAAAACAACAGGTGGCCTTTATGGAGACGCTGCCCAGAGCCAGGTCTGTGCCAGGCTCCTGTTGGGGGTCGTCATGCGGAATCCTGACTCTGACCATCCGAGGCATAGGGACCGTGGAGATTTGCATTTCACAGATGAGGAAACAGGTTTGGAGAGGTGACACGACCTGTCCCAGGCATCACAGCCAGGACAGGACCTGTCCCAGGCATCACAGCCGGGATGTGCATAGCAGGGGTTTGGAACTATGAGGTGCCCAGGACCCAGGGTTGGATTGAAAAGGGCGCAGGGGACTAAGATAAGCAGACAGTTGTCCCCAGCGCTGGGGAGAGTCTTGGTACCAGTCTGATGCCTTGTATTTCCCAGGCTCCAGGCTCCTCGCCGGGACAGTGTCTCTTTGGGTGCGTGCTGGATCCCTGGGGGACGTGGCACATCCCCAGGCTTTCTAAACATTGGATGGGTTCTGGCATTTGGTTTTGTAACGTTTCTGGGTCACTCCCGCCTGTGGCCACCCTTCCTTAGGGGAGCCGTGTGTCCTTGGGGCTTTGCTGGGTGGTCTCGAGGGTGGGAGAAGAATGGGTTCTCCTGGACCAATGGAGCCCGTGCCCCTCGGGGCCACATTGCTCCTGCGCTCCCTGACTGCGGACGCGTGTGTCTCGCGGCTGTCTCTGTGGAGATGGCCTCCTCCTGCCTGGCAACAGCACCCACAGAATTGCATCAGACCTACCCCACCCGTTGTTTGTGATGCTGTAGCTGAGGGCTCCTCTGTCTGCCAGGCCGGTCACTGGGGACTCTGTCCAGGTCCTGGTGGTTCCTGCTTCCCAGCACCTGATGGTGTCCATGAGAGCAGCCCCTCGGGAGCTGTCCGGGAGAGAAGGGCGCTGGTGGCTGCTGAGCGGAGAGCAAGGCCCGTGTTCTCCAGGCCCTTGGCACAGCAGTGGAACCCCCGCCCCTGCCTTGTGTTGTCCTCTTAGGCTCTGGTCCTGGGGTTTGGAGGAGGGGGACCCTGGGGGTTGGTGGCCTGTCCCAGCCTGAGCTGGCAAGATTCCGAATGCCAGGCCCCTCAAGTGTGCAACAGGGCACAGGGTGACCTCGTGGGCAGGTGGGTGCTGTTCTGTACACACCTGGGGCCGCCGCTGGGAGAGTTCTGGAAGGTGGGGTGAGGGGACCCATGGGAAACTAGGGCCCTAGGAAGGATGTGAAGGCCCTGGCTGGCCCCCCAGGCCACCCTCTGTGCTGTGGGGCAGCCCAGCCATTTTGCTGTCTACCCTGCAAACTCCTCCTCGGGGAGACGGCTGGGTTTTCCCCAGGGAAGAGGGGTCAAGCTGGGAGAGGTGAAGGACACAGATCACAGCTGCTGGCAGGTGTTCAAGGGTCCAGGAGCGTTGCTGTCTGGGTGTCACCAGTAGCCTTCCTGGGGGGCTCACGCAGGTGCCTCTCCACTTGTGGCTCCCTGGCTGCTGAAGCTCAGCAGGGACAGCTGTGTCCAGTTCCAGGTGGAGGACAGCCGGGGCTTCTGAGGCCACAGCCTGCCTTGGGTTAAGGATGCTGCCGAGAGGTGGTGGCTTTTGGAAAAGATGGCGTACTGCAAAACGTGCTGCTCTGCATGGCTCGAAGCTTCGTGGGGAGACGTGGGCAGAGCCGTGGCTGACTCACAGACCCCCCACCCCAGAGCCTGCCCTGCCCTCCCTGCCCCGACCCTTCCCCTCCTGACCCATGTGTTTTTTGTTTTTTTTTTTGAGACAGAGTTCACTCTTGTTGCCAAGGCTGGAGTGCAATGGCACGATCTCGGCTCATGGCAACCTCCGCCTCCTGGGTTCAAGCGCTTTTCCTGCCTCAGCCTCCCGAGTAGCTGGGATTACAGGCGTGCACCACCATGCCTGGCTAATTTTGTATTTTTAGTAGAGACAGGGTTTCTCCATATTGGTCAGGCTGGTCTTGAACTCCTGACCTCAGATGATCCGCCCGCCTCGGCCTCCCAAAGTGCTGGGATTACAGGCATGAGCCACCACGCCCAGCCCTGACCCATGTTTTGAACCAAATTCCAGCCACCCTTTTATCTGCAAGCATTTTGGAGGGCATCGCAATACCGCAGACCCACCTAACACAACAGACAATTCCTTCATGCCACCGAAGGCCTGGTGTGTTCACATTTTTGGTTTAATAGTTTGAATTAAGAGCCAAATAAGGTCCACACACTGCAATTAGTTGATGTCTTTTTTTTTTTTTTTTTTTTTTTTTTTGAGACGGAGTCTTGCTCTTGTCTCCAGGCCGCAGTGCAGTGGCATGATCTCAGCTCGCCGCAACCTCCGACTCCCTGGTTCAAGTGATTCTCCTGCCTCAGCCTCCCGAGTACCTGGTAGCTGGGTTTACAGGCATGCACCACCGTGCCCAGCTAATTTTTGTATTTTTAGTAGAGACGGGGTTTTACCGTGTTGGCCAGGATGGTCTCGATCTCCTGACCTCGTGATCTGCCCACCTCGGCCTCCCAAAGTGCTGGGATTACAGGCGTGAGCCACCGCACCCGGCCAATGTCTTTTAAAAATATATACTTTTTTTTTTTTTTTTTTGAGACAGAGTTTCGCTCTTGTTGCCCAGGCTGGAGTGCAGTGGCGCGATCTCAGCTCACGGCAACCTCCGCCTCCCGGGTTCAAGCGATTCTCCTGCCTCAGCCTCTCCAGTAGCTGGGATTACAGGCGTGTGCCACCATGCCTGGCTAATTTTGTATTTTTAGGAGAGACGGGGTTTCTCCACGTTGGTCAGGCTGGTCTCAAACTCCTGACCTCAAGTGATCCACCTGCCTTGGCCTCCCAAAGTGTTGGGATTACAGGTGTGAGCCAGCGCGCCCAGACAAAAATGTATATGTGTGTCTTTAAGGCTGGTCAAGCAAAGCAGTGGAACTGGAGAAAGAATGAAGAATTCTACCTGGCTGTGATCAATTCGTTGTGAACACCACTGTGCTTGGACCAGCTAGCTGATGTCTTTTGTTTTGTTTTGTTTGAGACGGAGTCTGGCTCTGTCACCCAGGCTGGAGGACAATGGTGTGATCTCGGCTCACTGCAGCCTCCACCTCCCGGGTTCAAGCGATTCTCCTGCCTCAGCCTCCTGAGTAGCTGGGATTACAGGCGCGCGCCACCACGCCCAGCTAATTTTTAAAAATATTTTTAGTAGAGATGGGGTTTCACCATGTTGGTCAGGCTGGTCTTGAACTCTTGGCCTTAGGTGATCTGCTTGCCTCGGCCTCCCGAAGTGCTGGGATTACAGGTGTGAGTGATGTCTTTTATTTATTTATTTATTTATTTTTTATTATTATTTGAGATGGAGTCTCACTCTGTTGCCCAGGCTGGAGTGCAGCAGTGCCATCTCGGCTCACTGCAAGCTCCGCCTCCTGGGTTCACACCATTCTCCTGCCTCAGCCTCCCGAGTAGCCTGGACTGGTGCCCGCCACCACGCCCAGCTAATTTTTGCATTTTTAGTAGAGACGGGGTTTCACCCTGTTGGCCAGGATGGTCTTGATCTCTTGATCTCATGATCCACCCACCTTGGCCTCCCAAAGTGCTGGGATTACAGGAGTGAGCCACCGTGCCCAGCCATCTTTCTTTTCTTGCTTTCTCTTTCTTTTCTTTCGAGACTGGGTCTTGCTCTGTCGCCCAGGCTGGACTGCAGTGGCACAATCATAGCTCACTGCAGCCTCGACCTCCCTGGCTCAAGCGATCCTTCCTCCTCAGCCCCCCGAGTAGTTGGAACTACAGCTCCACACCACCATGCCTGGCTGATTCTTTTTTTCCTTGTAGAGATGGGGTCTTGCTATGCTGTCCATCCTGGTCTCAAACTCCTGGCCTTCCCAAAGCACTGGGATTACAGGCATAAGCCACCACAGCCAGTTTCCTTTTCTTCTTTTTAACTGGAATAGTTGACTTTTTCTTTATTAGCTGTGTGTCAGGAGGGTATTTTTGGCCTTTAGTATGTCGTCTAAGTTGCTAGTGCTTTTCTGAGATTGTAGTTTGTTTTCTAATTTTATTTATATTTTGCGTAGAAGTTGTGTATTTTAGATGGAGTTAGGTCGGCTGGTCTTTGATGTTTTATTTATTAATTATGTATGTATTTATTTATTTTTGAGGTAGAGTCTCGCCGTTTCACCCCAGCTGGAGTACAGTGATGCGATCTCAGCTCCCTGTAGCCTTGACCTCTCTGGGCTCAAGTGATTTTTCTCTCCTCTACCTCCCGAGTACTTGGGACCCCAGGCGCATGCCGCCATGCCTGGCTAATGTGTATTTTTTTGTAGATACGGGGTCTCACTGTGTTGCCCAGGGTGGTTTCAAAATCCTGGGCTCAGGCGATCCTTCCGTCTCAGCTCCCACGGTGCTGTGTTACCGGCGTGTGCCCCAGTGCCTGGCCGTCTTGGAGGTCTTGTTTCTCTGGGTTTATGCCTCAAGGTGGCGCCTGCTCCCCTGTGCTCCCTGGTAGCCTGGTAGTGAGCCTGCTTCTCACACAGTCATACCTGGTTGTGGTCCCACAGTGGGACCACCCTGTTGGGTTCAGAACAGGAGATGGGGGCCCCTCGAGTCTGTGTGGGGGCTGTGGACAGGGTTGGGAGACCTTGGCTCTGTGGGGGACTGTGGACAGGGGATGGGGGGCCTTGGCCCTGCGTGGGATGGGTTGGGGGTCCGTGCCCTTCCTGGCCCTGGGTGGACAGGTCCAGGTGGCACTCGGCATAGGGCTGAGATGGGTGCAGAGGGCTGAGGCCCCCAGGCCTCTCCTGGCTTGGTTTCCCCAGATGAGTGTTCATTTGGGTCTTCCATCAGAAAGGCCCCTCCTGACCTCTGGGAGTGGGGAGCTCAAGGGTGGGAGGCCTTAGCTTGGGGATGCTGGAAATGTGTGGGATGGGCCCAGGGATGGCCTCTGGCCTACTAAGGGCTCTGGCCCTGACCCACGGCCACTCACTCCTCAGAGACGTCTCCCACAACCTGCTCCGGGCGCTGGACGTTGGGCTCCTGGCGAACCTCTCGGCGCTGGCAGAGCTGTGAGTGTCCCCCAGTCGTGCCAGCATGCGGGGCTCACTCCGGGTGGGCTGGCGGCACCGCCTCTTGCTGCTCAGCTGTGGGGGCTTCCGTCAGCTTTGCCGAATCCCCCCTCTCTTCCAGGGATATAAGCAACAACAAGATTTCTACGTTAGAAGAAGGAATATTTGCTAATTTATTTAATTTAAGTGAAATGTAAGTTGTGGTTCTTTGGGTGGGGTCCTGGCTGGACCCCAGGCCCCCAGTATCCCTTCTGCCCTCCCAGTTGGTCCGTGTCCCCTTCCAGGCTTGAGACCAGATCCTGGGGGCAGTTCACTACCTGCTTGGAGCCCCCCAGTGCCGGCTTGGTTGGGGCAGGGGAGGCGGTGCTGTCAGGGTGGCTCCAGGGCCTGGTTGCCAGTGGGGGGCTGGCATAGACCCTTCCCACCAGACCTGGTCCCCAACACCTGCCCCTGCCCCGCAGAAACCTGAGTGGGAACCCGTTTGAGTGTGACTGTGGCCTGGCGTGGCTGCCGCGATGGGCGGAGGAGCAGCAGGTGCGGGTGGTGCAGCCCGAGGCAGCCACGTGTGCTGGGCCTGGCTCCCTGGCTGGCCAGCCTCTGCTTGGCATCCCCTTGCTGGACAGTGGCTGTGGTGAGTGCCGGTGGGTGGGGCAGCTCTGTCCTTCCCAGCCAGGTGGGACCTGGGCCCTGCAGACACTGGGCAGGGCTCAGGAAGGCCTCTCTGGGGGGGGCCTCCGGGCCAAGGGAACAGCATGGGAGCCTGTGAGTGCGGCGGGCGGATGGGGGGGTGTGGGGTGGAGCCAGGAGGAGCAGAACCCGGGGTCCAGTGGCTGCCTCTTCTAGGTGAGGAGTATGTCGCCTGCCTCCCTGACAACAGCTCAGGCACCGTGGCAGCAGTGTCCTTTTCAGCTGCCCACGAAGGCCTGCTTCAGCCAGAGGCCTGCAGCGCCTTCTGCTTCTCCACCGGCCAGGGCCTCGCAGCCCTCTCCGAGCAGGGCTGGTGCCTGTGTGGGTCAGCCCAGCCCTCCAGTGCCTCCTTCGCCTGCCTGTCCCTCTGCTCCGGCCCCCCGCCGCCTCCTGCCCCCACCTGTAGGGGCCCCACCCTCCTCCAGCACGTCTTCCCTGCCTCCCCAGGGGCCACCCTGGTGGGGCCCCACGGACCCCTGGCCTCCGGCCAGCTAGCAGCCTTCCACATCGCTGCCCCGCTCCCTGTCACTGCCACACGCTGGGACTTCGGAGACGGCTCCCCCGAGGTGGATGCCGCTGGGCCGGCTGCCTCGCATCGCTATGTGCTGCCTGGGCGCTATCACGTGATGGCCGTGCTGGCCCTGGGGGCCGGCTCAGCCCTGCTGGGGACAGACGTGCAGGTGGAAGCGGCACCTGCCGCCCTGGAGCTCGTGTGCCCGTCCTCGGTGCAGAGTGACGAGAGCCTCGACCTCAGCATCCAGAACCGCGGTGGTTCAGGCCTGGAGGCCGCCTACAGCATCGTGGCCCTGGGCGAGGAGCCGGCCCGAGGTGAGTGTCTGCTGCCCACTCCCCTTCCTCCCCAGGGCCATCCAGATGGGGCAGAGCCTGGTACCCCCGTTTTGGGCCCACACTGACCGTTGACACCCTCGTTCCCACCGGTCTCCAGCGGTGCACCCGCTCTGCCCCTCGGACACGGAGATCTTCTCTGGCAACGGGCACTGCTACCGCCTGGTGGTGGAGAAGGCGGCCTGGCTGCAGGCGCAGGAGCAGTGTCGGGCCTGGGCCGGGGCCGCCCTGGCAATGGTGGACAGTCCCGCCATGCAGCGCTTCCTGGTCTCCCGGGTCACCAGGTGCCTGCCCCCACCCCCCGAGGGGCCATAGGTTGGGAGATCTCTGAAGCAGTGGGGCAGAGCCTGCGGCTGGGGAGTCTCAGGAGGAGGGAGGTGGGAGCTGGGCCGGCCCTGGTGAGCAGGTGGCGCCGGCCGGTGGGGCCGTTCCTGTCAGCTCTGCAGATGCAGAGGTGGACACGAGCTGGGGGCAGCCTCCGGACACTCCTGGGCACGCCATACGGGAGGTGGCCTGCACGGGGATCCCTGCCAGTGCCCACAGGCCTCGTGGGTGGGTGCTGCTGTGAGCCTGGGCTGGTGGGCCCTGCTCTCCGGGCTCTGAGCCTCAGTTTCCCCATCTGGAAAGGGGGACAGTGACGGGGCTCCCAGTGGGCTGCTGTGAGGGTGGGAGGATGGAGGAGTGCCCTGAGCCCCCTGCCATCCCACACCCGCCCCCAGGAGCCTAGACATGTGGATCGGCTTCTCGACTGTGCAGGGGGTGGAGGTGGGCCCAGCCCCGCAGGGCGAGGCCTTCAGCCTGGAGAGCTGCCAGAACTGGCTGCCCGGGGAGCCACACCCAGCCACAGCCGAGCACTGCGTCCGGCTCGGGCCCACCGGGTGGTGTAACACCGACCTGTGCTCAGCGCCGCACAGCTACGTCTGCGAGCTGCGGCCTGGAGGTGTGCGAGGGGCCAGGCAGGGGCCTGAGACGCTGGCTGTGGTTAGGGGCCTGCCGAGCGCCCGCGGTGGAGCCTGGGCTGAGGAGGAGGGGCTGGTGGGGGGGTTCTCGGGCGGCTCGGTCCCCAGTCTGTTCGTCCTGGTGTCCTGGGCCCTGGCCCGGCGCCTCACTGTGCACTTGCCACCCCAGGCCCAGTGCAGGATGCCGAGAACCTCCTCGTGGGAGCGCCCAGTGGGGACCTGCAGGGACCCCTGATGCCTCTGGCACGGCAGGACGGCCTCTCAGCCCCGCATGAGCCCGTGGAGGTAGTCGGCCCCCCACGTTCTAAAACCTGCCCTCCTGCCTGCCCCTGGAGGCCTCGCCTGCCCTGCCCACTGTGGGTCTCCCCAAAAAACTTGGGGGCCTTAATGTTGCTTGTGCCCAGTGAAGATGGTTGGGAAAATCCAGAGTGCAGAGAGGAAAGCGTTTACTCACATTACCCCCTTTTCTCTGAGTGTGGGTGAGTTATTCCTGAAAGGCAGGTCAGGGGTCCTGCCCCCCATGGACAGTTTCCATCGGAGTCTTCCTCTCGAGCGACAGGAGCCAGGCCTGTGGGGGTCCGATGGCTCGCTCTCCTTCCCTCCCCTCTTCCTGGGAAGTTCGGGTGGGGGGAGTCTGGGCTTCAGGCTGGGATGGGGTCTGTGGAGCTGAGGCGGCCCCCTGCCCACCAGGTCATGGTATTCCCGGGCCTGCGTCTGAGCCGTGAAGCCTTCCTCACCACGGCCGAATTTGGGACCCAGGAGCTCCGGCGGCCCGCCCAGCTGCGGCTGCAGGTGTACCGGCTCCTCAGCACAGCAGGTGGGACTCTGGGGTGGTGGGCGCCGCAGGACTCGGGGTGGCCTCTCTGAGCTCTCACGTCTGCTGGTCCTGTGGCCATCAGAGTGGTTCCCAGTCTTAGGTGGACAGAGCAGGGGTTCCAGAGACACCAGCTCATTCCAGGTGTCCTGGGGGTGGATCGGGTGGGGCCTGCCTGGGGACCGGCCTGGGTCAGTCAGCTGGCCGGAGACAGGGACGCAGCACTGGGCTGGGAGTGCTGCCCGGGCGGGGAGACCTGTCCTCACAGCAAGGCCAGGCTCGCTGGTGCAGGCAGTTGGGCATCTCTGACGGTGGCCCGTGGGCGAATGAGGGCCCCAACACCCTCCCCTCCTCGCAGGGACCCCGGAGAACGGCAGCGAGCCTGAGAGCAGGTCCCCGGACAACAGGACCCAGCTGGCCCCCGCGTGCATGCCAGGGGGACGCTGGTGCCCTGGAGCCAACATCTGCTTGCCGCTGGACGCCTCCTGCCACCCCAGGCCTGCGCCAATGGCTGCACGTCAGGGGCCAGGGCTACTCGGGGCCCCCTATGCGCTATGGAGAGAGTTCCTCTTCTCCGTTCCCGCGGGGCCCCCCGCGCAGTACTCGGTGTGTGGCCCTGACCTGGGTCTGTTCCCTGCATCTCCTCAGGCCACCTTCCTGTCTGCTGCCCAGGGTCTGGGTCTGCGCAGCAGACACACCCAGCCTGCAGGCCCCTCCCACGTCCTTGCCACCTCTGACCTCCGACCTCCGACCTCCAACCTCCGACCTCTGCAGTGCCCTTGCCCCTCTCCCAGTGGGAGAAGCTCTCGCCTGGGCCCTTGGCACGAGCTGTGCCTCCTCTTCCTCTCTCCCAGCACAGCCGCTCCTTCCTGTCTGCCAGGTCTTGGCCTGTGTCCTCTCCCCGTGTGTCCCCCTGTCTGCAACTGTCCTGCCTGTCCTTGTCACGAGCACTGTGGGGAGGCTCCCTGAGGTGTGGCTGACGAAGCGGGGAGCCCTGCGTGTCCACCCTCATCCGTCGTGCAGGGGTCCACGGGCCATGACCGTGAGGACGTGATGCAGCCCTGCCTCCCTCTCCACAGGTCACCCTCCACGGCCAGGATGTCCTCATGCTCCCTGGTGACCTCGTTGGCTTGCAGCACGACGCTGGCCCTGGCGCCCTCCCGCACTGCTCGCCGGCTCCCGGCCACCCTGGTCCCCAGGCCCCGTACCTCTCCGCCAACGCCTCGTCATGGCTGCCCCACTTGCCAGCCCAGCTGGAGGGCACTTGGGCCTGCCCTGCCTGTGCCCTGCGGCTGCTTGCAGCCACGGAACAGCTCACCGTGCTGCTGGGCCTGAGGCCCAACCCTGGGCTGCGGCTGCCTGGGCGCTATGAGGTCCGGGCAGAGGTGGGCAATGGCGTGTCCAGGCACAACCTGTCCTGCAGCTTTGACGTGGTCTCCCCAGTGGCTGGGCTGCGGGTCATCTACCCTGCCCCCCGCGACGGCCGCCTCTACGTGCCCACCAACGGCTCAGCCTCGGTGCTCCAGGTGGACTCTGGTGCCAGCGCCACGGCCACGGCTCGCTGGCCTGGGGGCAGTGTCAGCGCTCGCTTTGAGAATGCCTGCCCTGCCCTGGTGGCCACCTTCGTGCCCGGCTGCCCCTGGGAGACCAATGATACCCTGTTCTCAGTGGTAGCACTGCCGTGGCTCGGTGAGGGGGAGCACGTGATGGACGTTGTGGTGGAAAACAGCGCCAGCCGGGCCAACCTCAGCCTGCGGGTGACGGCGGAGGAGCCCATCTGTGGCCTCCGCGCCACGCCCAGCCCCGAGGCCCGTGTACTGCAGGGAGTCCCAGTGGTGAGTATGGCCGAGGCTCCACCACCAGCCCCCAGGCAGGTGCCTGCAGACAGGGTGCTCACACAGGGCGTGAGGCCTGGCTTCCCAGTGAGGGCAGCAGCCCAGTTACTGGGGACGTCGGCCCCGGGCAGGTCCTGCTGGCTGGCTCCTCAGGCT
Organism: Homo sapiens; assembly: GCF_000001405.40. NCBI lineage: Eukaryota > Metazoa > Chordata > Mammalia > Primates > Hominidae > Homo > Homo sapiens. The sequence goes on along the minus strand of NC_000016.10, from coordinate 18,390,588 downwards.
ACCTGGTGGGCTTTAAATTCCTGGAAAGTCACGGCTCTGACAGCGGCTCCGCTAACTCATTCCACCGTCTCATTTCATGAAATGAATTTAAAACTCCGCTCCCTGACCTCACACGAGCCCCCGTGAGTCTCTCACGCCCTCTGCTGTGTTCTCACCTGGCTAAAGCGAGTGGCTTTTGAGGTGGAGTCTGAACCCCTGATGGGAAACTGCGGGCTGCCCGCGGTGCCACCATGCTGGGTACATGGGGGACAGGGCTGTCTCCGTCTTGCGGGTACCTGCCCCTTCACCAGGGGCCTTGGGAGGGGCCATCAGAAATGGCGTGACCTGTGCAGCCTGTCCTGGGTTCTGTAAGCCAGTGTAGGTGCTGTCCCTGTGAGGCCCGTGTGCCTCCCCTCACTGCTCCGAGCTCTCTGGCTGAGGAGCTGGGGCAGGAGCCCCGGGAGGGTCTGAGAAGACTCAGAGAGAGGTGGACTCTTTGTAGCTGGTACTAGGTTTGCTTTACAGATGGGGAAACTGAGGCACAGAGAGGTTGAGGCATTAGTAGTACTACATGGCTGGCTGGAGAGCCGGACAGTCAGTGTCCCAGCCCGGGCTTGGCTCCCATGGCATGCAGAGCCCCGGCCACCTCCTCTCCTCTGTGCCCCGCGTGGGACTCTCCAGCCTGACGGGAGGTGTGTCCAGGAGGCGACAGGCTAAGGGCAGAGTCCTCCACAGAGCCCAGGCTGACACCAGTCCCCCCGCAGAGGTACAGCCCCGTGGTGGAGGCCGGCTCGGACATGGTCTTCCGGTGGACCATCAACGACAAGCAGTCCCTGACCTTCCAGAACGTGGTCTTCAATGTCATTTATCAGAGCGCGGCGGTCTTCAAGCTCTCAGTAGGTGGGCGGGGGTGGGGAGGGGAGGGGATGGGGTGGGGCGGGGCGGGCTCCACCTTCACCTCTGCTTCATGCTGCCCGAGGACGCTGCCATGGCTGTGGGTGAGTGGAGGGAGGGACGCTAAGCAGGGCCAGGCCTCTCACCTGCCACCTGGGCCCACTGATGCCTATCCCTGCAGCTGACGGCCTCCAACCACGTGAGCAACGTCACCGTGAACTACAACATCACCGTGGAGCGGATGAACAGGATGCAGGGCCTGCGGGTCTCCACAGTGCCGGCCGTGCTGTCCCCCAATGCCACGCTGGCACTGACGGCGGGCGTGCTGGTGGACTCGGCTGTGGAGGTGGCCTTCCTGTGAGTGACTCGGGGGCCGGTTTGGGGTGGGCACCAGGCTCTTGTCCCGGCCCCAGCCTCAGCCGAGGGACCCCACATCAGGGGGTTGCTTTTCTGAGCCTCGGTTTCCCTATCTGTTGGGAGGTACTGGGTGCACAGGAGCCCTGAGGCTGCACGGGAGCCGGGAGAGGCCTCAGCACAGCCGGGTGGGCCCTGAATGGAGGCCCGGGGCGTGACTGCAGAGTGGAGCCTCAGCTGGGTCCCAAGCACCCCCTGCCCCCCCACCGCGCACCTGTGCCCCGCCACTGCGCACCCCTGTCCCGGTTCACTCACTGCCTCCCACCGCCCCGGCAGGTGGACCTTTGGGGATGGGGAGCAGGCCCTCCACCAGTTCCAGCCTCCGTACAACGAGTCCTTCCCAGTTCCAGACCCCTCGGTGGCCCAGGTGCTGGTGGAGCACAATGTCACGCACACCTACGCTGCCCCAGGTGAGGGATGAGGGGGTGAGGGGGCCACTGCCTTTCAGGCTCTGAGCACGGGGCACCCCCAGTCCCCCAGTCAAGCTGCCCCCCTTCCTCCCCAACAGCCCTCACTGTGACCTCACCTGGGCTGATGGCTTAGGTCCCTACTGGGGTGAGGGAGGGGCCAGGCGTGGGGGGAGTGGACAGGGAAGCTGGGCCCCCTGAACTGCCCCCCGCCGCGGCCTGGCTCTTGCTGCTCTGCTGCCCCGAGTGCAGCTGCACTTGGAGGCGGTGCCGTCCTCACCAGGCAGCCCTCAGTGCTGCTGCACCTGTGCTCCGTCCCGCACGTGGCTTGGGAGCCTGGGACCCTTAAGGCTGGGCCGCAGGTGCAGCCGTTCACCCCGGGCTCCTCAGGCGGGGGGCTTCTGCCGAGCGGGTGGGGAGCAGGTGGGGGTGCCGCGGCTGCCCCACTTGGGCCTGTCCCCACAGGTGAGTACGTCCTGACCGTGCTGGCATCTAATGCCTTCGAGAACCGGATGCAGCAGGTGCCTGTGAGCGTGCGCGCCTCCCTGCCCTCCGAGGCTGTGGGTGTGAGTGACGGCGTCCTGGTGGCCGGCCGGCCCGTCACCTTCTACCCGCATCTGCTGCCCTCGCCTGGGGGTGTTCTTTACACGTGGGACTTCGGGGACGGCTCCCCTGTCCTGACCCAGAGCCAGCCGGCTGCCAACCACACCTATCCCTCGAGGGGCATCTACCACGTGCGCCTGGAGGTCAACAACACGGTGAGCGGTGCGGCGGCCCAGGCGGATGTGCGCGTCTTTGAGGAGCTCCGCGGGCTCAGCGTGGACATGAGCCTGGCCGTGGAGCAGGGCGCCCCCGTGGTGGTCAGTGCCGCGGTGCAGACGGGCGACAACATCACGTGGACCTTCGACATGGGGGACGGCACCGTGCTGTCGGGCCCAGAGGCCACAGTGGAGCATGTGTACCTGCGGGCACAGAACTGCACAGTGACCGTGGGTGCGGCCAGCCCCGCCGGCCACCTGGCCCGGAGCCTGCACGTGCTGGTCTTCGTCCTGGAGGTGCTGCGCGTCGAGCCCGCCGCCTGCATCCCCACTCAGCCTGACGCGCGGCTCACGGCCTACGTCACCGGGAACCCGGCCCGCTACCTCTTCGACTGGACCTTTGGGGATGGCTCCTCCAACACGACCATGCGGGGGTGCCCGACGGTGACACACAACTTCACGCGTAGCGGCACGTTCCCCCTGGCGCTGGTGCTGTCCAGCCGCGTGAACAGGGCGCGTTACTTCACCAGCATCTGCGTGGAGCCAGAGGTGGGCAACGTCACCCTGCAGCCAGAGAGGCAGTTTGTGCAGCTCGGGGACGAGGCCCGGCTGGTGGCATGTGCCTGGCCCCCGTTCCCCTACCGCTACACCTGGGACTTTGGCACCGAAGAAGCCGTCCCCGCCCGTGTCGGGGGCCCTGAGGTGACGTTCATCTACCGAGACCCAGGCTCCTATCTTGTGACAGTCACCGCGTCCAACAACATCTCCGCTGCCAATGACTCAGCCCTGGTGGAGGTGCAGGAGCCCGTGCTGGTCACCAGCATCAAGGTCAATGGCTCCCTTGGGCTGGAGCTGCAGCAGCCGTACCTGTTCTCTGCTGTGGGCCGTGGGCGCCCCGCCAGCTACCTGTGGGATCTGGGGGACGGTGGGCGGCTCGAGGGTCCGGAGGTCACCCACGCTTACAACAGCACAGGTGACTTCACCGTTAGGGTGGCCGGCTGCAATGAGGTGAGCCGCAGCGAGGCCTGGCTCAATGTGACGGTGAAGCGGCGCGTGCGGGGGCTCATCGTCAATGCCAGCTGCACGGTGGTGCCCCTGAATGGGAGCATGAGCTTCAGCACCTCGCTGGAGGCCGGCAGTGATGTGCGCTATTCCTGGGTGCTCTGTGACCGCTGCACGCCCATCTCTGGGGGTCCTGCCATCTCTTTACACCTTCCGCTCCGTGGGCACCTTCAATATCATCGTCACAGCTGAGAACGAGGTGGGCTCCGCCCAGGACAGCATCTTCGTCTATGTCCTGCAGCTCATAGAGGGGCTGCAGGTGGTGGGCGGTGGCCGCTACTTCCCCACCAACCACATGGTACAGCTGCAGGCCGTGGTCAGGGACGGCACCATCTCCTACAGCTGGACTGCCTGGAGGGACAGGGGCCCGGCCCTGGCCGGCAGCGGCAAAGGCTTCTCGCTCACCGCGCTCGAGGCCGGCTCCTACCATGTGCAGCTGCGGGCCACCAACATGCTGGGCAGCGCCTGGGCTGACTGCACCGTGGACTTCGTGGAGCCTGTGGGGTGGCTGATGGTGGCCGCCTCCCCGAACCCAGCTGCCGTCAACACAAGCGTCACCCTCAGTGCCGAGCTGGCTGGTGGCAGTGGTGTCGTATACACTTGGTCCTTGGAGGAGGGGCTGAGCTGGGAGACCCCCGAGCCATTTACCACCCACAGCTTCCCCACACCCGGCCTGCACTTGGTCACCATGACGGCAGGGAACCCGCTGGGCTCAGCCAACGCCACCGTGGAAGTGGATGTGCAGGTGCCTGTGAGTGGCCTCAGCATCAGGGCCAGCGAGCCGGGAGGCAGCTTCGTGGCGGCCGGGTCCTCTGTGCCCTTTTGGGGGCAGCTGGCCACGGGCACCAATGTGAGCTGGTGCTGGGCTGTGCCCGGCGGCAGCAGCAAGCGTGGCCCTCATGTCACCATGGTCTTCCCGGATGCTGGCACCTTCAACATCTGGCTCAATGCCTCCAACGCAGTCAGCTGGGTCTCAGCCACGTACAACCTCACGGTGGAGGAGCCCATCGTGGGCCTGGTGCTGTGGGCCAGCAGCAAGGTGGTGGCGCCCGGGCAGCTTGTCCATTTTCAGATCCTGCTGGCTGCCGGCTCAGCTGTCACCTTCCGCCTGCAGGTCGGCGGGGCCAGCCCCGAAGTGCTCCCTGGGCCCCGTTTCTCCCACAGCTTCCCCCGCATCGGAGACCACGTGGTGAGCGTGCAGGGCAAAAACCACGTGAGCTGGGCCCAGGCGCAGGTGCGCATCGTGGTGCTGGAGGCCGTGAGCGGGCTGCAGGTGCCCAACTGCTGTGAGCCTGGCATCGCCATGGGCACTGAGAGGAACTTCACAGCCCGCGTGCAGCGCGGCTCTCGGGTCGCCTACGCCTGGTACTTCTCGCTGCAGAAGGTCCGGGGCGACTCTCTGTTCATCCTGTCGGGCCGCGACGTCACCTACACGCCGTGGCCGCGGGGCTGTTGGAGATCCAGGTGCGTGCCTTCAACGCCCTGGGCAGTGAGAACCGCACGCTGGTGCTGGAGGTTCAGGACGCCGTCCAGTATGTGGCCCTGCGCAGCGGCCCCTGCTTCACCAACCGCTCGGCGCAGTTTGAGGCCGCCACCAGCCCCAGCCCCCGGCGCGTGGCCTACCACTGGGACTTTGGGGATGGGTCCCCAGGGCAGGACACAGATGAGCCCAGGGCCGAGCACTCCTACCTGAGGCCTGGGGACTACCGCGTGCAGGTGAACGCCTCCAACCTGGTGAGCTTTTTCGTGGCGCAGGCCACGGTGACCGTCCAGGTGCTGGCCTGCCGGGAGCCGGAGGTGGACGTGGTCCTGCCCCTGCAGGTGCTGATGCGACGATCACAGCGCAACTGCCTGGATGCCTACGTTGACCTGCGCGACTGTGTCACCTACCAGACTGAGTACCGCTGGGAGGTGTACCGCACCGCCAGCTGCCAGCGGCCGGGGCGCCCGGCGCGTGTGGCCCTGCCCGGCGTGGACGTGAGCCGGCCTCAGCTGGTGCTGCCGTGGCTGGCGCTGCCTGTGGGGCACTACTGCTTTGTGTTTGTCGTGTCATTTGGGGACACGCCACTGGCACGGAGCATCCAGGCCAATGTGACGGTGGCCCCCGAGCGCCTGGTGCCCATCACTGAGGGTGGCTCCTACCGCGTGTGGTCAGACACACAGGACCTGGTGCTGGATGGGAGCGAGTCCTACGACCCCAACCTGGAGGACGGCGACCAGACGCCGCTCAGTTTCCAGTGGGCCTGTGTGGCTTCGACACAGGTCAGTGCGTGGCAGGGCCGTCCTCCCTGCCCCTCACCCGTCCACACCCATGAGCCCAGAGAACACCCAGCTTGCCACCAGGGCTGGCCCGTCCTCAGTGCCTGGTGGGCCCCGTCCCAGCATGGGGAGGGGGTCTCCCGCACTGTCTCCTGGGCCGGGCTCTGCTTTAAAACTGGATGGGGTTCTCGGGCCACGTCGCCCCTTGTTCTCGGCCTGCAGAGGGAGGCTGGCGGGTGTGCGCTGAACTTTGGGCCCCGCGGGAGCAGCACGGTCACCATTCCACGGGAACGGCTGGCAGCTGGCGTGGAGTACACCTTCAGCCTCACCGTGTGGAAGGCCGGCCGCAAGGAGGAGGCCACCAACCAGACGGTGGGTGCCGCCCGCCCCTCGGCCACTTGCCTTGGACAGCCCAGCCTCCCTGCTCATCTACTGTTTTCCGTGTTTTAGTGCTGGTGGAGGCCGCGCGCTCTCCCCTCTCTGTTTCTGATGCAAATTCTATGTAACACGACAGCCTGCTTCAGCTTTGCTTCCTTCCAAACCTGCCACAGTTCCACATACAGTCTTCAAGCCACATATGCTCTAGTGACAAAAGCTACACAGTCCCCCAGCAATACCAACAGTGAGGAAGAGCCCCTTCCCACCCCAGAGGCAGCCACTGTCCCCAGCCCATGTCCCTGTTGCTGGATGTGGTGGGCCGGTTCTCACCCTCATGCTCCCCACTCTGGACCGGCCAGGAGGCTTGGTGACCCTGAGCCCATGGTGGCTGCTCCTGCTGCTGTCAGGCGGGGCCTGCTGGTGCCCCAGAGTGGGTGTCTGTTCCCCAGTCCCTGCTTTCCTCAACGGGCCTGATTGGGGGTCTGCCCAGAGGGGTCGTCTGAGGGGAGGGTGTGGGAGCAGGTTCCATCCCGGCTCAGCCTCCTGACCCAGGCCCTGGCTAAGGGCTGCAGGAGTCTGTGAGTCAGGCCTACGTGGCAACTGCGGTCCTCACACCCACACATACGTCTGTTCCCACACGCATCCCCCCAGGGGCCCTCAGTGAGCATTGCCTGCCTCCTGCCAGGGTCCAGCTGGGTCCAGTACACCAGAACACACACCCCAGTGTCCTCTGCCCTGTGTATGCCCTTCCGCCGCCCAGGTTGGAAGGTGGCAAACCGGATGAGTATCCTGGGAGGGGGTGAGCTCACCGGCAGTGGCCAGGCCCCTGGGAAACCTGGAGTTTGGGAGCAGCATCCTCCACGGGTCCCCCAGACCTTCCAGCAGGCCAAATAGACCTGTGTTGGAGGTAACCCCACTCCCACGCCAGGTGCTGATCCGGAGTGGCCGGGTGCCCATTGTGTCCTTGGAGTGTGTGTCCTGCAAGGCACAGGCCGTGTACGAAGTGAGCCGCAGCTCCTACGTGTACCTGGAGGGCCGCTGCCTCAATTGCAGCAGCGGCTCCAAGCGAGGGGTGAGTGTTGAGCGGGGTGTGGGCGGGTTGGGGATGGGTCCCATGGCCGAGGGGACGGGGCCTGCAGGCAGAAGTGGGGCTGACAGGGCAGAGGGTTGCGACCCCTCACCATCCCTTCTGCCTGCAGCGGTGGGCTGCACGTACGTTCAGCAACAAGACACTGGTGCTGGATGAGACCACCACATCCACGGGCAGCGCAGGCATGTGACTGGTGCTGCGGCGGGGCGTGCTGCGGGACGGCGAGGGATACACCTTCACGCTGACGGTGCTGGGCCGCTCTGGCGAGGAGGAGGGCTGTGCCTCCATCCCCCTGTCCCCCAACCGCCCGCCGCTGGAGGGCTCTTGCCGCCTCTTCCCACTGGGCGCTGTGCACGCCCTCACCACCAAGGTGCACTTCGAATGCACGGGTGAGTGCAGGCCTGCGTAGGGGGAGCAGCGGGATCCCCCGACTCTGTGACGTCACGGAGCCCTCCCGTGATGCTGTGGGGACCATCCCTCAGGCTGGCATGACGCGGAGGATGCTGGCGCCCCGCTGGTGTACGCCCTGCTGCTGCAGCGCTGTTGCCAGGGCCACTGCAAAGAGTTCTGTGTCTACAAGAGCAGCCTCTCCGGCTACGGAGCCGTGCTGCCCCCGGGTTTCAGGCCACACTTCGAGGTGGGCCTGGCCGTGGTGGTGCAGGACCAGCTGGGAGCCGCTGTGGTCGCCCTCAACAGGTGAGCCAGGCCGTGGGAGGGCGCCCCCGAGACTGCCACCTGCTCACCAACCCCCTCTGCTCATAGGTCTCTGGCCATCACCCTCCCAGAGCCCAACGGCAGCGCAATGGGGCTCACAGTCTGGCTGCACGGGCTCACCGCTAGTGTGCTCCCGGGGCTGCTGCGGCAGGCCGATCCCCAGCACGTCATCGAGTACTCGCTGGCCCTGGTCACTGTGCTGAACGAGGTGAGTGCAGCCTGGGAGGGGACCTCACATCTGCTGCATGCGTGCTGGGGACCAAGACCTGTTCCCCTGCCTGGAGCTTTGCGGAGGGCTCATCCCGGGCCCCAGAGATAAATCCCAGTGACCCTGAAGCAGCACCCCGACGTTCCGCTCCCAGCAGCCACACCCACCGGGCCCTCTCCGGTGTCTGCTTTCCACAATGCAGCCCCCGCCCAGGAGGGCCCATGTGCTTACCCTGTTTTGCCCATGAAGAAACAGCTCAGTGTTGCGGGTCAGTGCCCACATCACACAGCATCTAGCACGTAACTGCACCCCGGGAGTCGTGGGCATCTGCTGGCCTCCTGCCGGCCTCCTGCCCTGCTGACAGCTTGCTGTGCCCCCTGCCTGCCCCAGTACGAGCGGGCCCTGGACGTGGCGGCAGAGCCCAAGCACGAGCGGCAGCGCCGAGCCCAGATACGCAAGAACATCACGGAGACTCTGGTGTCCCTGAGGGTCCACACTGTGGATGACATCCAGCAGATCGCTGCTGCGCTGGCCCAGTGCATGGTAGGATGGCCCCACATGCTCACCCCGCCCCGCATGCCTGCCAGGGTACTGGGTTCAGCCCCCCAGGGCAGACGGGCAGCTTGGCCGAGGAGCTGAGCCTCCAGCCTGGGCTCCTTCCTGCCGTGGCGTTCCTCGGTCTCTGACCTGCTTCAGTAGCCTCAGCCTTTCTGCTGTCCTGTGTGAACGCAGGGTGCCTCTCGGGGGACCCAGGGTGTAAAGAGGGGCCCAGATGTGGGGAGGGACTAAGAAGATGCTGCTCTGTGCCCTCCACTCTCCCCTCCCCTCCCCCTTCCCTCCCCTAGCCCCTCCCCTCCCCTTTCCCTCCCCTAACCCCTCCCCTCCCCCTTCCCTCCCCTAGCCCCTCCCCCCTCACCTAGCCCCTGCCTCCTCCCCTAGCCCCTCCCCTCCCCTAGCCCTTCCCCTCCTCCCCTCCCCTAGAGCTTCCCCTCACCTCATCCCTCCCTTTTCTCCATCTCTCTCCCCTTTTCTCCATTTCCCCCCCGATCCTCCCCGTCCTTTTGTCCATTCCCCTCATCTTTCTTATCCCCCTTATCCTCCTTCCCCTCCCTTATCCCCCTTCCCCTCCCTTATCCCCCTTATCCCCTTCCCCTCCCTTTCCCCCTGCTCCTCTTCTTCTCCCCTTTCTCTTTTCTCTACCCTTTTCCTTCCTTTTTCCTCCCTCTCCCCATCATCCCCCTCATCTTCGTCCTCATCCCCATCCCCTTCCCCCTCCCCCTCCACCACTCTCTCTCCAGCTTCCCTCTTCCTTCTGCCTGCACCTCGCTCTCTGCCCCCTCAGGTTCCCCCTTTCTCCCAGTCCCCACCCTCCGGCTCCCCCTTTTTGCCTGCCCCCACCCTCCCTCTGCCTCCCTGTCTCTGCACTGACCTCACGCCTGTCTGCAGGAGACCTCATCCACCTGGCCAGCTCAGACGTGCGGGCACCACAGCGCTCAGAGCTGGGAGCCGAGTCACCATCGCGGATGGTGGCGTCCCAGGCCTACAACCTGACCTCTGCCCTCACGCCCATCGTCACGCGCTCCCGCGTGCTCAACGAGGAGCCCCTGACGCTGGCGGGTGAGGAGATCGTGGCCCAGGGCAAGCGCTCGGACCCGCGGAGCCTGCTGTGCTATGGCGGCGCCCCAGGGCCTGGCTGCCACTTCTCCATCCCCTAGGCTTTCAGCAGGGCCCCGGCCAACCTCAGTGACGTGGTGCAGCTCATCTTTCTGGTGGACTCCAATCCCTTTCCCTTTGGCTATATCAGCAACTACACCGTCTCCACCAAGGTGGCCTCGATGGCGTTCCAGACACAGGCCGGCGCCCAGATCCCCATCGAGCGGCTGGCCTCAGAGCGCGCCTCACCGTGAAGGTGCCCAACAACTCGGACTGGGCTGCCCGGGGCCACCGCAGCTCCGCCAACTCCGTTGTGGTCCAGCCCCAGGCCTCCGTCGGTGCTGTGGTCACCCTGGACAGCAGCAACCCTGCGGCCGTGCTGCATCTGCAGCTCAACTATACGCTGCTGGACGGTGCATGCAGCGGTTGGGGCACACGCGGCCCCCTGGCCTTGTTCTTGGGGGGAAGGCGTTTCTCGTAGGGCTTCCATGGGTGTCTCTGGTGAAATTTGCTTTCTGTTTCATGGGCTGCTGGGGGCCTGGCCGGAGAGGAGCTGGGGGCCACGGAGAAGCAGGTGCCAGCTCTGGTGCAGAGGCTCCTATGGCCTTTCAGGCCCATGGCAGAGGGTGGGCTCAGGAGGGCCATCGTGGGTGTCCCCCGGGTGGTTGAGCTTCCCGGCAGGCGTGTGACCTGCGCGTTCTGCCCCAGGCCGCTACCTGTCTGAGGAACCCGAGCCCTACCTGGCAGTCTACCTGCACTCGGAGCCCCGGCCCAATGAGCGCAACTGCTCGGCTAGCAGGAGGATCCGCCCAGAGTCCCTCCAGGGTGCCGACCACCGGCCCTACACCTTCTTCATTTCCCCGGGGTGAGCTCTGCGGGCCGGCCTGGCAGGGCAGGGCAGGGCATCATGGGTCAGCATTGCCCGGGTTACGGGCCCCGTGGGGACGGCAGGCAGCGAGGGGACTGGACCGGGTATGGGCTCTGGGACTCCGACATCCAACCTGGCGGAGCCTGGGCTCACGTCCACTGCCCCTTCCCTTCCCAGGACCAGAGACCCAGTGGGGAGTTACCGTCTGAACCTCTCCAGCCACTTCCGCTGGTCGGCGCTGGAGGTGTCCGTGGGCTTGTACACGTCCCTGTGCCAGTACTTCAGCGAGGAGGACGTGGTGTGGCGGACAGAGGGGCTGCTGCCCCTGGAGGAGACCTCGCCCCGCCAGGCCGTCTGCCTCACCCGCCACCTCACCGCCTTCGGCACCAGCCTCTTCGTGCCCCCAAGCCATATCCGCTTTGTGTTTCCTGTGAGTGACCCTGTGCTCCTGGGAGCCTCTGCAGAGTCGAGGAGGGCCTGGGTGGGCTCGGCTCTATCCTGAGAAGGCACAGCTTGCACGTGACCTCCTGGGCCTGGCGGCTGTGTCTTCACAGGAGCCAACAGCGGATGTAAACTACATCGTCATGCTGACATGTGCTGTGTGCCTGGTGACCTACATGGTCATGGCCGCCATCCTGCACAAGCTGGACCAGTTGGATGCCAGCCGGGGCTGCGCCATCCCCTTCTGTGGGCAGCGGGGCCGCTTCAAGTACGAGATCCTCGTCAAGACAGGCTGGGGCCGGGGCTCAGGTGAGGGGCGCGGCGGGGTGGCAGGGCCTCCCCTGCTCTCACTGGCTGTGCTGGTTGCACCCTCTGGGAGTGAGTCTCGTCGCAGGCGTCAGAACAAGGCAGTTTTTGCAGTGCTGTGTGAAGGGCTCGTGTGTTCATCCTGGGAATGACCTCGTGAGCACTCACTGTCCCTGAGGACTAGGACAGCTCCTAGCTGGAAGTAGGTGCCAGTCAGTCAGGGTGGGCAGCCCACGTTCTACACAGTAGCGTAGCCCCACAAGTTACGTGAGCATCGCTACCACTGTGGGAGACCATGCATCCACCCGCGATCCTGACTGCATAGCTCGTCTCTCAGACGGAGGCGCCAGCACCCTCCCCGTGGCTGTTTCTTCAATACCTCCATTTTCCTTTCTTTGGAATTGCCCTTCTGGCATTCCCTTTTTGTTTTCGTTTTTCTTTTTTTGGAGACGGAGTCTCGCTCTGTTGCCCAGGCTGGAGTGCAATGGCGTGATCTTGGCTCACAGCAACTTCCAGCTCCTGGGTTTAAGCGATTCCCCTTAAGCGATTCTCCTGAGTAGCTGGGAGTACAGGTGCACACCACCACACCCAGTTAATTTTTCACCATGTCAGCCAGGCGAACTCCTGACCTCAGGTGATCCGCCTGCCTCGGCCTGCCAGAGTGCTGGGATGACAGGTGTGAGCCACCACACCTGGCCGTGTTCCCATTTTTTATTTCCATGCTGCTTTCATCTTCATTTCCCAGTTCTTTCTTTTGATTACCTACTTTTAAAAACTGTCGGCCGGGTGCGGTGGCTCACACCTGTAATCCGAGCACTTTGGGAGGCTGAGGCAGGCTAATCACGGGGTCAGGAGATCGAGACCATCCTGGCTAACGGTGAAACCCTGTCTCTACTAAAAAATACAAAAAAATTAGGCCGGCGTGGTGGCAGGCGCCTGTAGTCCCAGCTCCTCGGGAGACTGAGGCAGGAGAATGGCGTGAACCCGGGAGGCGGAGCTTGCAGTGAGCTGAGATTGCGCCACTGCACTCCAGCCTGGGTGACACAGCAAGACTCCATCTCAAAAAAAAAAAAAAAAAAAATACTGTCACCTGGGTCTGTCACTGGGAGAGGAGGTGACACAGCTTCACGCTTCGCAGTCTGTGCATGAACTGAGGGACGGGTGTGTGGTGCAGGTCACCGGTTGTGGCGTGACTGAGGTGTGGACAGGTGTGCAGTGCGGGTCACTGGTTGTGGTGTGGACTGAGGCGTGTGCAGCCATGTTTGCATGTTACAAGTTACAGTTCTTTCCATGTAACTTAATCATGTCCTTGAGGTCCTGCTGTTTATTGGACAAATTGCAGTAACCGCAGCTCCTCGTGTATAGCAGAGCTGTGCAAAGCCGGGACTGCCTGTGTGGCTCCTTGAGTGCGCGGAGGCCAAAGCTGAGATGACTTGCCTGGGATGCCACACGTGTTGGGCAGCAGACCGAGCCTCCCACCCCTCCCTCTTGCCCTCCAGGTACCACGGCCCACGTGGGCATCATGCTGTATGGGGTGGACAGCCGGAGCGGCCACCGGCACCTGGACGGCGACAGAGCCTTCCACCGCAACAGTCTGGACATCTTCCAGATCGCCACCCCGCACAGCCTGGGTAGCATGTGGAAGATCCGAGTGTGGCACGACAACAAAGGTCTGTATGGACCCTGCCAAGCTCTGCCCCTCTGCCCCTGCATTGGGGCGCCCTGCGAACCTGACCTCCCTCCCGCGCCTCTGCAGGGCTCAGCCCTGCCTGGTTCCTGCAGCACATCATCGTCAGGGACCTGCAGACGGCACGCAGCACCTTCTTCCTGGTCAATGACTGGCTTTCGGTGGAGACGGAGGCCAACGGGGGCCTGGTGGAGAAGGAGGTGCTGGCCGCGAGTAAGGCCTCGTTCCGTGTTCCCACTCCGTGGGAGGTTGGGCAGGGTGGTCCTGCCCCGTGGCCTCCTGCAGTGCGGCCCTCCCTGCCTTCTAGGTCACGCAGCCCTGTTGCGCTTCCGGCGCCTGCTGGTGGCTGAGCTGCAGCGTGGCTTCTTTGACAAGCACATCTGGCTCTCCATATGGGACCGGCCGCCTCGTAGCTGTTTCACTCGCATCCAGAGGGCCACCTGCTGCGATCTCCTCATCTGTCTCTTCCTGGGCGCCAACGCCGTGTGGTACGGGGCTGTTGGAGACTCTGCCTACAGGTGGGTGCCGTAGGGGTCGGGACAGCCTCTTCCTGCCCAGCCCTTCCTGCCCCTCAGCCTCACCTGTGTGGCCTCCTCTCCTCCACACAGCACGGGGCGTGTGTCCAGGCTGAACCCGCTGAGCGTCGACACAGTCGCTGTTGGCCTGGTGTCCAGCGTGGTTGTCTATCCCGTCTACCTGGCCATCCTCTTTCTCTTCCGGATGTCCCGGAGCAAGGTGGGCTGGGGCTGGGGACCCGGGAGTACTGGGAATGGAGCCTGGGCCTCGGCACCATGCCCAGGGCCGCCACTTTCCAGTGCTGCAGCCAGAGGGAAAGGCGTCCACCAAAGGCTGCTCGGGAAGGGTCAACACACTTGAGCAGCCTTAGCTAGACTGACCAGGGAGAAAGAGAGAAGACTCAGAAGCCAGAATCGTGAAAGAACGAGGGCACTTCGCTAAGCAGACGCCACGGACAACTGCACAGCAGCACGCCAGATAACTCAGAAGAAGCAAGCACGCGGCTGTGCACGCTTCCGAAATGCACTCCAGAAGAAAATCTCAGTACATCTATAGCAAGTGAAGAGGCCGAGTTAGTCCCTTAGAAACCTCCCAGTGGCCGGGCCGGGTGTGGTGGCTCACGCCTGTAATCCCAACACTTCAGGAGGCCGAGGTGGGCGGATCTGAGTCCAGGAGTTTGAGACCAGCCTGGGCAACATAGCAAGACCCCATCTATATAAAACATTAAAAAGGGCCAGGCACGGTGGCTCATGCCTGTAATCCCAACACTTTGGGAGGCCGAGGCGGGCAGATCAGTTGAGGTCAGGAGTTCGAGACCAGCCTGGCCAACACAATGAAACCCCATCTCTACTACAAATACAAAAACAGCTGGGCATGGTGGCGGGCGCCTGTAGTCCCAGCTACTCGAGAGGCTGAGGCAGGAGAATGGCATGAACCCAGGAGGCGGAGCTTGCAGTGAGCCGAGATTGCGCCACTGCACTCCATCCTGGGCAACGGAGCAAGACTCCGTCTCCAAAAAAAAAAAAAAAAAAAATCCCACAAAGAAAAGCCCAGGCTCAGAGCCTTCACGATAGAATTTTTCTAAGCAGTTAAGGAAGAATTAACACCAATCCTTCACAGACTCTTTCCAAGAATACAGCAGGTGGGAACTCTTCCCATTCATACGGAAACGGGAGGCCGCACCCCTTAGGAATGCACACGTGGGGTCCTCAAGAGGTTACATGCAAACTAACCCCAGCAGCACACAGAGAAGGCGCATAAGCCGCGACCAGGAGGGGTTGCTCCCGAGTCCGTGGCAGGAACCAGAGGCCACATGTGGCTGCTCGTATTTAAGTTAATTAAAATGGAACGATGGCCGGGTGTGGTGGCTCACACCTGTAATCCCAGCACTTTGGGAGGCGGAGGCGGGCAGATCACTTGAGGTCAGGAGTTCCAAGACCAGCCTGGCCAACACAGTGAAACCCCGTCTCTACTAAAAATACAAAAAATTAGCTGGGCATCGTGGCAGGCACCTGTAATCCCAGCTACTAAAGAGGCTGAGCCAGGACGGACAATCGCCTGAACGCGGGAGGTGGAGGTTGCAGTGAGCTGAGATTGCGCCAGTGCACTCCAGCCTGGGTGACAGAGCGAGACTCCATCTAAAAAAAAAAAAAATGAAATTTAAAACTCTGTTCCTTAGCTGCACCAGTCTGCTGTCAAGTGTTCAGTGGCACATGTCGCGAGGGGCTGCCATCACGGACGGTGCAGATGTCCCATATATCTAGCATTCTAGGACATTCTGTCAGATGGCACCGGGCTCTGTCCTGTCTGCTGAGGAGGTGGCTTCTCATCCCTGTCCTGAGCAGGTCTGAGCTGCCGCCCGCTGACCACTGCCCTTGTCCTGCAGGTGGCTGGGAGCCCGAGCCCCACACCTGCCGGGCAGCAGGTGCTGGACGTCGACAGCTGCCTGGACTCATCCGTGCTGGACAGCTCCTTCCTCACGTTCTCAGGCCTCCACGCTGAGGTGAGGGCTCTACTGGGGGTCCTGCCGCCTTGGCGCAGCTTGGACTCAAGACCCTGTGCACCTCTCAGCAGGCCTTTGCTGGACAGATGAAGAGTGACTTGTTTCTGGATGATTCTAAGAGGTGGGTTCCCTAGAGAAACCTCGAGCCCTGGTGCAGGTCACTGTGTCTGGAGTACCGGGGGTGTGCGGGCTGCGTGTCCTTGCTGGGTGTCTGTGGCTCCATGTGGTCACACCACCTGGGAGCAGGTTTGCTCGGAAGCCCAGGGTGTCCGTGCGTGACTGGACGGGGGTGGGCTGTGTGTGTGACACATCCCCTGGTACCTTGCTGACCCGCGCCACCTGCAGTCTGGTGTGCTGGCCCTCCAGCGAGGGAACGCCCAGTTGGCCGGACCTGCTCAGTGACCCGTCCATTGTGGGTAGCAATCTGCGGCATGACCCCCACTTACTGGGTCTCTCCTTTTACAACCAACACAACCGAAATCTAGGGCTTCTTCTTTTTTTTTTTTTTTTTTTTGAGACAGAGTCTCATTCCATTCTGTCACCCAGGCTGGAGTGCAATGGTACGATCTCGGCTCACTGCAACCTCCGCCTCCCAGGTTCAAGGGATTGTCCTGCCTCAGCCTCCTGAGTAGCTGGGATTACAGGCGTGTGCCACCATGCCTGGCTAATTTTTGTATTTTTGGTAGAGACGGGGTTTCAGCATGTTGGTGAGGCTGGTCTCGAACTCCTAACCTCGTGATCCGCCTGCCTCAGCCTCCCAAAGTGCTGGGATTACAGACGTGAGCCACCATGCCCAGCCAAATCTAGGGCTGGAACATGGCTGCAGCATATAAATAGAATTGAATTCCATAGTTTTGTTAACCCTGTTTTTTGTTTGTTTGTAGTTGTTGCTGTTTTTGAGACAGAGTCTCGCTCTGTCGCCTAGGCTGGAGTGCAGTGGTGCAATCTCGGCTCACTGCAGACTCTGCCTCCCGGGTTCAAACTGTTCTCCTGCCTCAGCCTCCCAAGTAGGTGGGACTACAGGCGCCCACCACCACACCCGGCTAATTTTTGTATTTTATTAGAGACAGGGTTTCACCATATTGGCCAGGCTGGTCTGGAACTCCTGACCTTGTGATCCGCCCACCTCGGCCTCCCAAAGTGCTGGGATTACAGGCGTGAGCCACCACCCCCAGCCCCTGTTTTGTTTTTGTTTTGCTTGCTTCTTAGGGTTGTTTTTCTATTTATGGTAAAGGCATTGGCTTTCCATTTGTAGCATCAATAGAATATTTCCTGTTTACAATAACCTTATGTCATAGTAAATGGTAAAGGGATTTAAAGCAGTGGTTTTCAGCTGCCAGAGGCCTGAGTTTGGGCACACTCTGTGTGATCGGGCAGAAGGCCTGTGGGAAGTTTAGCTGAGGACAGGGCCAGGAAAGGTGATGGACAGTGGGGGTCTGTCCTGGTCACCAGGCCCCTGGGTCCTGCCCACCTGCTTGGAGCTCCCCACCCATCACACATGATGCTGCCAAGCCCTCTGGGTATTGTGGGCAAATACCTTAGGAGAGAAGCTGATGAACTTTGTTTCTTGAAATGCACAGATTCCTTGGACGTCCCTGAGAGCTCAGTCATGAAAGTCAGCTTGGTTTTCTCCCCCTCATTTGGGTTCAGAATTTAAAGTCCACACACACGGGCAGTAAGATGATATAGATAAGGACATCATCACTCGGTTTCGGATGTTAAAATGTCTAGGTGGGTTAGGGGTGATTTGAGATCACACAACCTTGTGCCACAAAGAGGAATTCCCAGGCCAGAGGGAGACATTTTATTGCCATGTTATGATCTCATCATTGAGTTGAAAGGCAATCTTGTTTCATTTTGGATTCTTTCTTATGTTTATGTCTTATAAGGGCACTTTGAATTTCCAAGCAAATAATAATTTTGAATTAGCTTTTAATCATTGACTTCTAGCACAGTTTTATGATCAGAAACATGCTGTGTGATTTGATTGCTCTCAAATATATTGAGATTTGCTGGAACAAAATAAGTCAGGTTAATTTTTGTAAATGTACCATGCATGCTTAAAATGAATGTATGTACATTTGTTCCTGAGATACAGGTTGATGGACGGATGGCTACATGGATGTGATGGAGATGGTTTACTATCGGGACCTTCCGCATCCTGCTGATGTTTTGTTGCTTAGGATATGAATGGCTGAGCGGAGGCTGTAAAACCTGGCACTCTGCTTGGGTATGAGGTTCTTCCTGCCATCCTGCCATCATTTGTTTTTTATGTTTTGTCGCCAAAAGTGACCTTGAGGAACCCTGGGAGCTCAGGAAGGAAGGAGCACCCAGAAGCAGGGACAGGGAGCTGGTTGGGGAGGACCAGAAATCAGGTTTGTGAAGGTTCCAGAGAGGACCTGGCCTTGGGAGGAGCGTGGGGGACTGAGAAGGGGGAGGGGTCATTGGGATGATGCGGGCGCTACTTGGAATGTCCATTGTGAGGCACCACCGGGGTCATCAGGGATTGGTGGAGAGAGAGTCTAAAGCCCCAGGGTTGCTAAGGGAGGGCCCAGACCGAAGAAGGTTTGGTGGAAAGCAGAACCTTTGTCTCCTAATTGCTCCTAAGCCTCACGCTCCCTTGCCCCGCCTGTCCTGTTGCTTCCCTGATCTTCTCCGTGACCTGTAGCTAAACCTTCCACCAGCGCTTGAGAACTTAATTTGAACCGGATCCTTTCCCAGACCCCTTTCTTCTTCTCCTCCTCCTCCTCCCCAACAGCCCCCTTCTCCTCCTTTCCCTTCCCTTACTTCCCCCCTTCCCCTCCCCTTCCCCTCCCCCTCCCCTCCCCCTCCCCTCCCCCTCCCCAACTCAGATCGGGCCCGGTCCCCGTCCCCTTCCCTCCCCCCTGCCCTAAGCCACCTCCACCTCTGTCCTGGCTGCCTCAGGGCGCCCTGAAAGGACCAGGACATGCGGGTGCGGTGGCTGCTCTTTTGGCTCCTCTTTTGGCTCCTGCTGGGATTTATCAGCCATCAGTCCACCTGTGTGAGTAGATGGGTGCTGTGGCTGCTCTTTTGGCTCCTGCTGGGATTTATCAGCCATCAGTCCACCTGTGTGAGTAGACGCTGGACCCGCGGGGTTTCTTCCTTTTTACTGGGCTGTGTCACGCGGCATGAAATTACACAGCTCAGGCCTGTAATCCCAGCACTTTAGGGGGCTGAGGTGGGCAGATCACTTGAGTCCAGGAGTTGAAGACTAGCCAGGGCATCATAGCGAAACCCCATCTCTACAAAAAATTCCAAAAAAGATTAGTCGGGCCTGGTGGTGCGTACCTGTTATCCCAGTTACTGGAGAGGCTGAGGTGGGAGGATCGCTTGGGCCCAGGAGCTGGACGTTGCAGTGAGCCGAGATGGCCCCGCTGCACTCTTGTCTCTAACAAACAAAACGGACCAAAACAAAGTGAAATGTCATTTCATTTGTGTCATCTGGTTTGATGACTTTTTTTTTTTTTTTTTTTTTTTTTTAAGACAGAGTCTCATTCTGTCGCCCAGGCTGGAGTGCAGTGGCAAGATCTCGGCTCACTGCAACCTCCGCTTCCGGGGTTCAAGCAATGGTCCTGCCTCAGCCTCCTGAGCAGCTCAGATTACAACGCCTGGCTAATTTTTGTATTTTTAGTAGAGACTGGGTTTCACCGTGTTCGCCAGGATAGTCTCCATGTCTTGACCTCGTGATCTGCCTGCCTCGGCCTCCCAGTGCTGGGATTACAGGCGTGAGCCACCGCGCCTGGCCAAAATATATAACCTTAAGTGTAAGTTTACTAACTTTGGAAAGTACATACACCAGCATAAACCAACCCCCTTTCAAGATCTACATTATTTTATTTATTTATTTATTTTTTTGAGACAGTTTCTCCCTTGTTGCTGAGGCTGGAGTGCAATGGGGCAATATCAGCTCACCGCAACCTCTGCTTCCCAGGTTCGAGCGATTCTCCTGCCTCAGCCTCCCGAGTGGCTGGGATTACAGACATGTGCCACCACTCCCAGCTAATTTTGTATTTTTAGTAGAGATAGGGTTTCTCCATGTTGGTCAGGCTGGTTTTGAACTCCCGACCTCAGGTGATCCGCCTGCCTCGGCCTCCCAAAGTGTTGGGATTACAGGCATGAACCACCGTGCCCAGCCAAGATCTACACTATTATGTCACCCCAGAAAGTGAACTCTCACTCTTCCCAGCCAGTCTCTTTCTTATCATAGCTTAGCTTGCTTATTCTGGAATTTCGCGTATACAGATGCATGCCATGCCATAGGTACTCTTTTGTGTCTGCTTTATTCTGCTCAACACCATGTTTCTGAAATCATTACCATTGTTGTACGGTTCTCTAACTCCATCATTTCCATTTCAGACTCAGCATATGCTGAGTTCAACCTGTTGAAGGGCTATCTCTGTTTAATTCACCATCTTGAAAGAAACATTTAAAATTGAGATGTTTTCAAGAATATATAGTTAAATCCTGAGGAATCGATGTAGAAATGTTATCAGAAGCTGTCTGAACTTACTCAGGGGAAGTCTTCGTCTTCACTCACATAAGAGTCTAATGGAATTAATATCAACAATCTTAGAGAAATCCCACGCTATTCATGCCATTTTCATGATCTCCACCTTGGTAATTTTTTTTTTTTTTTTTTTTTGAGACAGAGTCTCGCTCTGTCACCCAGGCTGAAGTGCAGTGGTGCGATCTTGGCTCACTGCAACCTCTACCTCCCAGGTTCAAGTGATTCTTCTGCCTCAGCCTCCCAAGTAGCTGGAACTATAGGCGCGTGCCACCATGCCCTGCTAATTTTTTGTATTTTTAGTAGAGATGGGTTTCACCGTGTTAGCTAGGATGGTCTCAATCTCCTGATCTCGCGGTCCACCCACCTCGGCTTCCCAAAGTGCTGGGATTGCAGGCGTGAGCCACCACGCCCAGCCCACCTTGTTACTTTTTAAGAACTAAAATTCGATACTTATTTGTGAATGAAGTAATCTCTTCATTGTATTTTTTTTTTTTTTTACTTATGCTGAGCTTTAAATGACAAAGATTCATATAATCCAAGAGAGAAGTATTATTTAGAGGGATTCTTTTACCATGTGATATATAATAAATGCATCCAATGTTATACATCAATTTAAAAAACAAGTAAATAACTAAAGAAAAGATAACTACTGGCCAGGTGCAGTGGCTCACACATGTATTGCCAGCACTTTGGGAGGCCGAGGCAGGTGGATCATGAGGTCAGGAGTTGGAGACCAGCCTGGCCAAGATGGTGAAACCCTGTTTCTACTAAAAAGACAAAAATTAGCCGAGCGTGGTGGCAGGCGCCTGTAATCCCAGTTACTCAGTAGCTGAGGCAGGAGAATCGCTTGAACCCGGGAGGCGGAGGTTGCAGTGAGCTGAGATCATGCCACTGCAATCTAGCCTGGGTGACAGAGCAAGACTTTGTCTCAAAACAAAAATAAAAGATAAGATAATTACTTTATACTTAGCTTGTCTTACCCATGAGTGACGGGCTGCATGTGGCCCAGGACAGTTTTGAATGCAGTTCAACACAAATTTGTAAACTTTCTTAAAACATTAGGAGATTTTGGCCAGGTACAGTGGCTCATGCCTGTAATCCCAGCACTTTGGGAGGCTGAGGCGGGCAGATTACCTGAGGTCAGGAGTTCGAGACCACCCTGGCCAACATGGCAAAACCCCATCTCCACAAAAAATACAAAAATTTGCTGAGTGCACTGTCAGGCACCTGTACTCCCAGCTACTCAGGAGGCTGAGGCAGGAGAATCACTTGAACCTGAGAGGCAGAGGTTGCAGTGAGCCGAGAGCACACCACTGCACTCCAGCCTGGGTGACAGAGTGAGACCCCATCTCAAAAACAAACAACAAACAAAAACAAAAAAAATGGCCGGGCACGGTGGCTCACACCTGTAATCCCAGCACTTTGGGAGGCCGAGGCAGGCAGATCGCCTGTCAGGAGTTCAAGGCCAGACTGGCCAACATGGTGAAACCTCATCTCTACTAAAAATACAAAAATTAGTCGGGCATGGTGGCAGAGACCTGTAATCTCAGCTGCTCGGGAGGCTGAGGCAGGAGAATGGCTTGAGCCCAGGAGCTGGAGGTTGCAGTGAGCCGAGATTGCACCACTGCACTCCAGCCTGGGCGACTGAGTGGAGCGGAACTCTGTCTCAAAAAAAAAAAAAAAAATTTTTTTTTTTAGATCATCAGCTATTGTTAGTGTTAGTGTATGTTATGTGTGGCTCAAGACAACTTTGCTTCTTTTAATATAGGCAGGGAAGTCAAAAGATTGGATATCCCTGCTTTATACCAAGAAAGACAACACCCCACATTTGCAATGCCTAAAAACACTACCAGCCATCTGAAAAACATGAGACTTCTCTAACTTCTGTTCTTTTTTGTAGCAGTGGAATCCCACGGTGATATCTGAGGGATGTGGTTACCTTTTGGAGGAGGTTGACGGTTTCTAAGGATGATTCTTTCTGAGTGAAATATTGTCAGTGTCATTGACCTTTTCATTATTTCAACTATTATTATTCCAGGTTATCAATACTCTGGCTGACCATCGTCATCGTGGGACTGACTTTGGTGGAAGTCCTTGGTTACTTATCATTACTGTGTTTCTGAGAAGTTATAAATTTGCCATCTCCCTCTGCACAAGTTACCTTTGTGTGAGTATACTAACTTTCTGTAGAGGTATACTTGTAATCACAAATAAGAATAAATTATATGAAACAATTCACGTTTCTGGACTTCATTATGAATATGTGGTTTTACCCAAAAAATCAGGGAAATGATTTATTAGCATAAGAATTATGAAAATATCTGCCATTTACATTATGAAAATTAAATAGGTCGGTGTTTAATAGAATGTCAACAGAGCTTTTGGTCAAAAATAAGTTTTTTTAACCTTTGTGCTATTTGTCACAAATGGAGTATGAGATTTCGTCACTTAAATGGGAAAGTCTTTCTAAACTCTTCTGCTTTATAGTTCTATCGTATGGGTGGAAGGAAAGCTTCCAATCTCCTCTCTGAAGATTCACTGCAGAAATGAGCTGACAACAGACAGCTTAACAGGAAAAGAAAAACATAGAACAGGCATAAACATGGGAACCAGCTGAAAAATGAGACTGCTAGAAGGGCTGGATGGTTGATGCTTAAAGAGCACCCTCTTCTGAGGGTAGAGGGAGATAGATGGAGATGTAGGCCATTTAGAGGGGCAGCAAATGATTTTTAGGGGAAATGAAAGAGCCCAAGGAACAAACAGTTGGCCTGAGACAAAGTTCCTCTGAGGTCATAGGGACGAGGTGACAAACTGCCGGAAGGTGAAGGGCAGAACTGCACTGCGTCTCATGATGCAGAGAAAGCCCCAGAGAATCTCTTAGAACTGCCCTCCAAGAGAATCAATGAAAAGTGTGTCTGGGCAGGGTAATTTTGAATGACATCATTCAAAGTGCATGTTCCCACTTGCAACTGGAATGAGATCAGTATGTCAAAAGTCTATACTTGGTAAGAATTTGGCTGCTAAGTTGTGGCATAATTTGTCTTTTGAGCCTTTTATCCTTTGCGTAAGTTGAGCTCTACATTTTGTCTTGCCATTCATGACAATAAAAATGTGGTTGTGTGGGGGCTGAACCTCCTTCTGAACAATGATCCAAGATAAAAGTACTAAACCACAATGCTTTTTTATATTCAAGGGAAGAGGAAGTATGTTTCAGTTTTACCGCCTAGATAATTACACGTCATTTGGCACTGCCTTTCAAGATATGTAGAAAACAGAAAATATATGAGTTATGAAGATATCTAGGCACATTTAACATTCTCTATGCCACTTAGTCCTGAACAGAGAATTTTCGGTATAAATTGGAGGAAGCTTTTTTTTTTTTCTTTTCTCACCCCCAAGAGGAGTCTCCCTCTGTTGCCCAGGCTGGAGTATAATGGTGTGATCTCGGCTCACTGCAACCTCCACCTCCTGGCTTCAAGTGATTCCCCTGCCTCAGCCTCTCAAGTAGCTGGGATTACAGGTGCCCACCACCATGCCCAGCTAATTTGTGTATTTTTAGTAGAGTCGGGGTTTTACCATGTTGGCCAGGCTAGTCTCAAAACCCGACCTCAAATGATCCACCCGCCTCAGCCTCCCAAAGTGCTGGGATTACAAGCGTGAGTCACCACGTGAGCCAGGGGAAGTTTTTAAATTTACCACTTTTTAACAATTCCATTTAGGAAAGTTCAGTTGAGCTGTTGGACTTGGACAACTTTGCACCTCTCATCTTTGTCCTTGTCATCTAGTCATCTATACCATTACCTCCTAAGCAGGGACATCATGGGTGCCATGAAGCATTCATGTGTGATGGCATTTCTTTGCTTCTCATTTCTTCATGTGTTTGACATTTCTCCTAGCTCCAAACTGGGCCAGCTACCTTTCCTATGAAATCTAGCAGTAGCTGTGGGATAGACGTGGTTGCTCTTTTCATCTTTTTAGATTACCCATTGCTTCTCTTGAAATCCTAGTACATGATTTTTTTTTAATCCTATGTGCAGAAATCAGGAAAAAACAAGTTCTACAAAGAATTTGAAAGATATTATTTCAGGCCAGGTGTGGTGGCTCATGCCTGTAATCCCAGCACTTTGGGAGGCTGAGGCAGGTGGATCACTTGAGGTCAGGAGTTCAAGACCAGATGGGCCAACATAGTGAAACCCCATCTCTACTAAAAAGACAAAAATTAGCCAGGCATGGTAGCAGGCACCTGTAATCCCAGCTACTTGGGAGGCCGAGGCACAAGAATCGCTTGAATCTGGGAGGTGGAGGTTGCCGTGAGCCAAGGTAGTGCCACTGCACTTCAGCATGGTTGAGTGACACTCCGTCTCAAGAAAAAAGTCATTTCAATGACTACCTCAGGAGATTCATAGGTATCTGACCCACATCTGAGATGGGATTTGCATTGCATTTTAGCTATGATGAGAACAAATATTTAATATCTTCGAAGATTAAAAGCATACTGTGATAATATGGAAATCTTGGTGGGAATTCAGTCATTAGTGAGAATGTTTTGCGTTAAGTTCAAACCAGCCTCAACGAAGCTGATGTGAGGGAAGGGAAAGTGAACTCTGAGTAGAGCAGGGACAGAAGAAAGATGCTCCAGTGCAGATCAGGAAGGAGCAGGGGGTGAAATGTTACAAATTCTAGAACTCAGAGAGCTGAAGGTAATTAATTACTTCCTTTTCAAGTTGTGAAACATGTTAACCTGTGGTAAAATACTTACAAGATGATAATTACCATCTAACCGTGTTGAAGTGTACAGTTCAGTTGTGTGAAGTATATTCATGTCATTTTTTTTTTTTTTTTTTTTTGAGACAGAGTCTCACTCTGTCACCAGGCTGGAGTGCAGTGGTGGGATCTTGGCTCACTGCACCCTCTGCCTCCTGGGTTCAAGCAGTTCTCCTGCCTCAGCCTCCCGAGTAGCTGGGACTACAGGCGTGGGCCACCATGCTCAGCTAATTTTTGTATTTTTAGTAGAGACGGGGTTTCACCATGTTGCCCAGGATGATCTCCATCTCTTGACCTTGTGATTCACCCGCCTCGGCCTCCCAAAGTGCTGGGATTACAGGCGTGAGCTACCGCACCTGGCCTATATTTTTTTTTTTTTTTTTTTTGAGACAGAGTTTGAATTTTGTTGCCCATGTTGGAGTGCAATGGCACAATCTCAGCTCAACACAACCTTTTCCTGCTGGGTTCAAGTGATTCTCCTGCCTCAGCCTCCCGACTAGCTGGGATTACAGGCATGCACCACCATGCCTGGCTAATTTTGTATTTTTAGCAGAGACAGCGTTTCTCCATGTTGGTGAGGCTGGTCTCAAACTCCCGACCTCAGGTTATCCGCCTGCCTCGGCCTCCCAAAGTGCTGGGATTACAGGAGTGAGCCACCATGCCAGCCTCATGTCATTCTTGTGTGTTGTGTTGTGTGTGTGTGTGTGTGTGTGTGTGTGTGTGACAGAGTCTCATTCTGTCACTCAGGCTGGAGTGCAGTGGTGTGATCTCGGCTCACTGCAACCTCCACCTCCCAGCTTCAAACGGTTCTCTGCCTCAGCCTCCCGAGTAGCTCGGATTACAGGCGCCCACTGCCATGCCCGGCTAATTTTTGTATTTTTAGTAGAGATGGGGTTTCACCATCTTGGCCAGGCTGGTCTTGAACTCCTGACCCCGTGATCCACCCTGCCTCGGCCTCCCAAAGTACTGGGATTATACGCATGAGCCACCGTGCCCAGCCGTCATTCTTATATTATTATTTCCTAGGTGTCTTTCCTGAAGACTATCTTCCCGTCTCAAAATGGACATGATGGATCCACGGATGTACAGCAGAGAGCCAGGAGGTCCAACTGCCGTAGACAGGAAGGTATGGCTCTGTTGGAGTCCCCATAGTGTGGAAATGAGTTTGCCCTGGAAAGGGAAAGAACAGCTTCTTGCCCTCAGGTTTCTCACCTTCTCCTCTCCTCACTCTCACCAAGGGCTGAGGTCCGTTTGTATGCACACAAAGAAAAGAGTTTCTTCCTTTCCAGGAATTAAAATTGTCCTGGAAGACATCTTTACTTTATGGAGACAGGTGGAAACCAAAGTTCGAGCTAAAATCCGTAAGATGAAGGTGACAACAAAAGTCAACCGTCATGACAAAATCAATGGAAAGAGGAAGACCGCCAAAGAACAGTAAGATGTGCCTTGACACAAATACTGTTGTATGAACCATGTGCCAATCAAAGTAGACAACTGTAAAGTCCTTGAGAATATTTTCTACAATATTTGTGGCAAATTCAGTGGGTTCAAAATTGAGCTTGTCCTTTCTGCTTCATTAGTTTAAGCTGTATAATTCCTTTCCCTTCCTACATTCTTGTTTGTCATTTTTTCAGGGGAAGAGGAGTTGCTAGTACTGGCATTGGTTTTCCTTTCTCTCTCTCTTTTTTTTTTTTTTTCCTGAAATGGAGCTTTGCTCTTGTTGCCCAGGCCGTAGTGCAATGGCACAATCTCAGCTCACTGCCTTTTGGGTTCAAGCAATTCTCCTGCCTCAGCCTCCCAAGTAGCTGGGATTACAGGTGCCCACCACCACGCCCAGCTAATTTTTGTATTTTTACTAGAGATGGGGTTTCACCATGTTGTCCAGACTGGTCTCGAACTTCTGACCTCAGGTAATCCACCCGCCTCAGCCTCCCAAAGTGCTGGGATTAGAGGTGTGAGCCACCACACCCAGGCTTTTTTTTTTTTTTTTTAATTTTGAGATAGAGTCTCGCTCTGTCGCCCAGGCTGGAGTGCTATGGTGCAATCTTGGCTCACTGCAACCTCTGCCTCCCAGTTTGAAGCAATTCTGCCTTGGCTTCCCGAGTAGCTTGGATTACAGGTGTGTGCCACCACATTCGGCCAATTTTTTTTTTTTTTTTTTTTTTTGAGACAGAGTCTCACTCTGTCACCCAGGCTAGAGTGCAGTGGCATGATCTTGGCTCACTGCAACCTCCGCCTCCCAGGTTCAAACGATTCTTATCCCTCAGCCTCTTGAGTAGCTGGGACTACAGGCATATGCCACCATGCCCAGATAATTTTTGTATTTTTAGTAGAGGCAGGGTTTCACCATATTGGCCAAGCTGGTCTAGAACTCCTGACATCATGATCCGCACAACTCGGCCTCCCAATGTGCTGGGATTACAGGCGTGAGCCACCGTGCCCAGCCCAATTTTTGTATTTTTAGTAGAGACGGGTTCACCATGTTGGCCAGGCTAGTCTTGAACTCCTGACCTCAGGTGATCTGCCTACCTCAGCCTCCCAGTGTGAGCCACCGCACCCAGCCTGGATTGTTGAATTCAATGCTTGGGTCACCTCCAAATTCATTTTCACAGTCTTTCATGTTTTGGTCATACTACATTGTATTTTGCTGCCATATGACTGATCTTTTTTTGTTAAATGTGAGATACTTTTTAAAAAATATTTAACAATGCATTGAGGCCTAGTAGCATGTTATCTTGCTGCAGAAGAGATGGGAGTCTACTTCTGGGGGATGGTCAGGGGTCCTCCGTACAGGCTGCAATTGAGGTCGTCTCTGCAGGCTCAGTCCCTACAAAGGCCAGGGTATTTCCTGTCCACCTCTATTCTGATGCATGACTCTTCTGGGTCTCAACCAGAGCCAGTGGACTTCAGTATGGATCGCTTTCATTGGCAGACCCTCAATCCACTTGTTTTCCATCTAACCCCACGCATGTGTGCAAAAGCTGCTGTGCTTCTTTGCATCTCAGTAGTTCCTTCTGGAATTCAGCAATGAAACTCAGGGAAATGGGTTCCAAATGCGAGGCTGACTTTCGTCCTGGGTTTCCTTCTTCTCCATCTTCACCTCATGTCTGTTTACTGCCATGTTAGCAATTTGATGTATTCAATCATGGGTTTTATATTCTGTTTGGTGTCCCCCATTGTTCTCATCGGAGATCAGAAGCTTCAGATGCACTTATGTCAACTCAAGAGTAGAATGCTTCCTTAGCTTCCCTCCAGAGTCAGGTTTTGTGTTTCTAGTTCCCAAGTGCACAGCAGGAGTAGTGCTGTCCTCACTGGCTTCTCATTTGCATTAAACTGTGAGCTTCTTTAGCGTGGGGACAGGACCCTGCTCCCATTGCATTGTCAGCACCTCACCACACACACCTTGTTTGAGGCCACTCCAGACAGCATGTGCTGAAGGATGCCCTGTGGTCAGAAACAAGTTCATTAACTTTCTCTTTGAAGTGATTTCGTCCCTGTTTCCTAGCGTTCTGGGAATTTTACACATCCTTCCTATAAAACCAAGTATCAGGTGAGATCCTTAGGATCAGGACCATGAATCAAGTGGTGTGAGGGCAACACAGCAAACTTACCCTTTTGAGGCCGTTTCCTTTTTCTGCCCTCAATCTCTGTGAACTGAACCTTGTTAAAGTCAGTCAACACCAGGGTGGATGGTTTGCCGTTGTCACCTATTTTCAGGACATAACATCCTGACTTAGGAGCCATTCCGATCATTTCTAATTCAATAGATGCGCCCAGCATTCAGATTGCCTTTTCAGGATCTTTAAAGTCGATGACAAGAGTTCCAGTCCTGAATCATGGCAAAGTGCAGTAGTGAACTGCGGGGTTAATGACACCATATTCTGGAAGGATCTCTCTATGGCTGATGGTCTCAGTTCCGGCATCAGCCTCTGACTGAGAATCAGGTCTCACACAGGAGGAGTCAGATGAGGAGCAATCCTCTGCTTCCGATGGAGTTAGTTGTGATGAATTGGTGAGGTCTGGTTTTTCACACTGAACTAAAATGAGCTTTCGCTGTGTCAAGCACAAGACTGACCCCAGAGACGCACATAGTGCACCTCATAGAAGCTTTTAATAGTCTTTATATTTACTAAAGAATAGGACTAACTATGGAACTATGAAGATGAGCTGGAAATGACAGGTGACTTGCCAGCAGGCCAGAGTGTGATTTTTTTTTGTCCCTCAATGGGAGGTGTCCATTCTTCCTTCGGTTGTGAGAATCAGTTGGTTCATTTGTGGGAAGGTTGCAGGGGGGATCTTTGAATCAGCCTTCAGATGCCAGAAGGGCAGAGGGAATCCCACACGTGCTGGTGGATCATGTGTGTGCATTTCTCTCCCTTCTAGTCTGAGGAAACTAAGCATGAAAGAACGTGAGCACGGAGAAAAGGAGAGGCAGGTGTCAGAGGCAGAGGAAAATGGGAAATTGGATATGAAAGAAATACACACCTACATGTGAGTTCAGAAACTGAACCCCACCCTCTTGGGAAACGCCCATTGGAGTGTTGTTTTTAACCTTTGTACAATGTTTAGACCCAGTAAATGCAGAAATAGAAACAAATGGTCAGAAGACATATCGTGAGAGAGAGAGAGTTCACAAAACAGAAAACAAAGTACCTTAATATTTACCAGTGACCAAAAGATGTGAAGTAGCAAAACGGCTCCTGACCCCATTGCCAGCTAGACTGTGTGGAAACTCGGTTCATACCAGCCATTCTAGGGGTGGGGTGAGTTGTTGTCATCCTTAGGAAAGTGTGTTGTTGTAGGATCAACCACATCCTTCAAAAGGACTATGCCTGTTTATAAGCCCAGCTGTTTCTGCCCTGTGAAACACGGTAAAGATATTAATACAAAGAGAATACAGCTTTATGATAAAAGATGCTCAATGAAGGATGAATTAGGGATATACTGAGAATGGGGAAGGAAACTATCATCTCAGAAGTCAGCAGGCAGTAAGCAAGAGGAGGAATCAATATAGCAACAGTTTGGATCAGACTGTACAGTTTTTTTTGTTTTTGTTTTTGTTTTTGTTTTTCTGAGATGGAGTCTCGCTGTGTCACCCAGGCTGGAGTGCAATGACGTGATCTTGGCTCACTGCAACCTCCGCCTCCCAGGTTCAAGTGATTCCCCTGCCTCAGCCTCCCGAGTAGCTGGGATTACAGGCGCCTGCCACCACCCCCGCCTAATTTTTTGTATTTTTAGTAGAGACGGGGTTTCACCGTATTAGCCAGGATGGTCTCAATCTCCTGACCTCGTGATCCATCCGCCTCGCCCTCCCAGAGTGCTGGGATTACAGGCGTCAGCCACCGTGACCGGCTCAGACTGTACTCTTCTAGCCATCTGAAATACGTTTTCTAGGTAGAGATAGATTGTGTAAGGGTACAGTTGTGAGGATAACAGAAACATGGCAGATTATTTAAAATCATCCTGAAAGTGGTGCTTTATCTGATGAAAGTGATTGTAATCCATAGGGAAATGTTTCAACGTGCGCAAGCGTTGCGGCGGCGGGCAGAGGACTACTACAGATGCAAAGTAAGGAGCTTCCTCCCCGCAGTTGCAGGATAGTTCAGTGCTGATGCAGATGATGCCACGGCCCTTAGACTCTCTCAACATTCAATTTCTCATGTGTTGGCTTTTTCAGATCACCCCTTCTGCAAGAAAGCCTCTTTGCAACCGGGTAAGTTTGCTTGTTTTCCTTGCTTTTGGACATAGTCTGCCAGGTCAGGACATGGATACATTTTTCTCCCTACGGCTCTGTGCTCAAGCCCTGCAGAGGGAGATGGCAGAGAGGAAGGCTGCCTACAAGCATCACAGTCCCATCCCTGTTGGTAACTGTGTTGCGCAAAAACACCTTCATCCCCACCCAGTGGGGCCCCCATCTAATATTCTAAGTGTCAGAGGTTCCGTATTTGTAATAGCAAATGGGCCCTGACTGTAAATTAGTGAAGAGTGAATGTAACTTATTACCCACAGGGACAATTCCAAATGAGGGCCTTAAATGATGCTCAGCTAAGCTGGTTCTTGTGTGGCCTCTGTACCTTCAAAAGCTGCCGAGTCCTATGATTACACGCGATGGGACTTGTACACTTGAAGTGAAACACAGTTTTAAAACTTGCTTTGTTTAGAATTCCCACCTCATTTTTCCATGGACAAAAGTATTCTTTATGTCCTAGTGCACTTACAATTTGGTATTACCTGGGAGTGAAAAGAAATATTACAGCCATGCCTAACTGACTTCTTGAGGTAAGATTGTTCTGTCAGAAAACCCTCTCCCAGTTCCCCTGCAGCTCTTCAGGAATCCACATCTCTCCAGAGCTCTTTGTTCTCATGGGTGGCACCTCCAGAGTGAAGAAGATCCTTTGTCAAGAAGGGAAACAGAGGGGAAATGAGAGGGTCCTGCAGGCAGAGCTGGAATCAACTTCCACTCTGCCTCTTGCAAGCTGTGTGACCCTGGGCACAATTTCTCCTTCCTCTGGAAACCTCTGTTTTCTTAGATTTGGAGCAGGGTGGTCACACTGACCTTGCAGAGTTCTGAGAATCAGAGACAGAACATAAAAGGCCTGGAAAACATTCTCCAAAAAGAAGCTGCAACATGTGTGGACAATGGGCTTTTCATGCCTCTCTTACTGTCTCTTACTGTCTATTGACCTGGTGCAAGAAACATGCTCTGGTGATGGCTGTGAGGGAGGAATGAGGATAGACATAGACACTCCTGTGTCTCAAACATGCTTCTTTATTACTCTGTTATGACTCTGTCTTCCCTGGGGCAGGACCCCAGCCTGCCTACATTTGCAGACAGACACAGTGGCATGTGGAGACAACAGTGTGTCCCAATGACTTTTCTTTACCCCCTAGCTGTCGGCAGTACTCAGTGGAAGGGTGATATTATGACACTGACACTGCTATTTTGAAACCTGGAGGATGGAAAGGTGCAAAAATCTATCACCAGCAACAGAAGGTGCAGACTGTGTTGGTGGCGGTAATTTTGTCCATCAAATGAATATGTGTGAAAACATTCCCTCCTTTGGCCCTACAGGTCAGAATGGCGGCAGTGGAGCATCGTCATTCTTCAGGATTGCCCTACTGGCCCTACCTCACAGCTGAAACTTTAAAAAACAGGATGGGCCACCAGCCACCTCCTCCAACTCAACAACATTCTATAATTGATAACTCCCTGAGCCTCAAGACACCTTCCGAGTGTGTGCTCTATCCCCTTCCACCCTCAGCGGATGATAATCTCAAGACACCTCCCGAGTGTCTGCTCACTCCCCTTCCACCCTCAGCTCTACCCTCAGCGGATGATAATCTCAAGACACCTGCCGAGTGCCTGCTCTATCCCCTTCCACCCTCAGCGGATGATAATCTCAAGACACCTCCCGAGTGTCTGCTCACTCCCCTTCCACCCTCAGCTCCACCCTCAGCGGATGATAATCTCAAGACACCTCCTGAGTGTGTCTGCTCACTCCCCTTCCACCCTCAGCGGATGATAATCTCAAGAAACTAAGGAAGAATAAATAAATAATATAAAAATAAAATGAATACTGCAGTCCTTATGTTATTGCTTTGTTTCAATATCTGGTATGATTGCCTGAGGGACCTGAGGTTTTTAATCGTAGGGGTTTTTTTAATCTTTAGAAGTGGTTGGTTATGTAAAATATTATTATTTGTTTTTTTTTTGAGACTGGAGTTTGCTCTGTCACCCAGGCTGGAGTGCAGTGGCTCGATCACAGCTCACTGCAGCCTCAACCTCCTGGGCTTCAAGCAATCCTCCTGCCCCAGCCTCCCAAGTAGCTGGGATCACAGATG
Source organism: Homo sapiens (assembly GCF_000001405.40). Classification (NCBI taxonomy): domain Eukaryota; kingdom Metazoa; phylum Chordata; class Mammalia; order Primates; family Hominidae; genus Homo; species Homo sapiens. The sequence goes on along the minus strand of NC_000016.10, from coordinate 18,357,818 downwards.
TGTGCCACCACGCCTGGCCAATGTTAAAAAATCCTTTAACTTTTTTGTAGAGATGCACTCCTGGACTCAAGCAATCCTCCTACTTGTCCCGACCACCAGCCTCTTTCTGATAAACATTTACACTGTTTATTATCTGATGCCATTTCTATCTTCTTCCTTGTCATCCAGACATCAAAGAATTAGGTTTCTTCAGGGTTTTCTTTTTCAAGTGCTCAGTGTTAAAGATCACTCACATTAGGGCCAGACACCACGGCTCATGCCTGTAATCCCAGCACTTTGGGAGGCCGAGGCGGGCAGAGCACTTGAGGTGGGGAGTTTGAGACCAGCCTGGCCAACTTGGTGAAACCCCACCTCTACTGAAAAAATACAAAAATTAGCTGGGCGTGATGGTGCATGCCTGTAGTCCCAGCCACTTGGGAGGCTGAGGCATGAGAATCGCTTGAACCCAGGAGGCAGAGGTTGTAGTGAGCCGAGATCACATCAGCACACTCTAGCCTGGGTGACAGAGCGAGACTGACTCAAAAAATAAATAAAATAAATATCACTTACATTAGATATACCCAAGGGGTGGTCTATAGAGACTTGGAAGCAGTGGTTATTGCAACAGGGGCACGGAAGTCATCTGGCTATGCCAGGGTGCCCAGGGGATACTCGGGGTGGGTGGCATGGTGCTGCTGGGGACTCACCGCACAGGACGCTCTGATTGACGCACTGCCAGGAGTAGCGCTCTGTCTTGGGGCTGCAGCCGGCCTCCTCAGCTCGAGTGTAACAACAGTCGTGGCCATGGCAGCACCTGCGGATGTCACATGGGCAGGACAGCAGGTGGGTGAAGCTCTCTCCTGGCCCTCCTCTCTTGCCAGGACTATGGGTGACTGAAGACCCCCAGGGAGGCACAGCATCCTCTTATCTAAGATTTTTTTTTTTTTTTTTTTTTAAGAGACAGGGTCTTTCTCTGTCGCCCAGGCTGGACTGCAGAGGCACAATCATAGCTCACGGCAGCCTTGAACTCCTGGGCTCAAGCGATCCTCCCACTTCAGTGTCCCAAGTAGCTGAGACTACAGGCACACGCCAGCATGCCCGGCTGGTTTTTTAATTTGTATTTCCTTTGAGACAGCGTATCTCTCTGTTGCTCAGGCTGGAGTGCAGTGGCTCAATCAGCTCACTTTAGCCTTGAACTCCTGGGCTCAAGTGATACTGCCACCTCAACCTCCCAAGTCTGCTACTACAGGAACACAAACTCCTTTTTTAAATTTTTTATGGATATGGGGTCTTACTATGTTGCCTAGGCTGGTCTCGAACTCCCAGGCTCAAGCAGTCCTCCTACCTCAGCCTCCCCAAATGCTGGGATTACAGGTGGGAGCTACTGTACACCTGGCCTTATCTAAGCTGTTTCCCTGAAAATCCCCGTCTTGGGTAATGATTCCATTGGCCCCACCATGCCCTCTGCCTTCCTGGCTGTGCCCAAGCTTGGTCCCTGCCTGCCTGCCTGCCTCCCTCTCTGGGTCTTGAGCTCCTGTGACACATGACTCCTCTCTCTTCCTGGAGTGATCCAAGCCCTGCCACTTCCTGACTTTGCCCACACTGTACCCTCTGCCTGGGGCAACTTCATGTCTGCCCATTGTCCCTTAGGCCTCAGCCCAGGCACAAGCCCCTGCCTCCGGAGGTCATCCAGGCCTCACCAGGCTACACCCTCTCGTAAAATTGGATTCCCTCCCTTCAGGGCAGGTTTATAATGAAATCCTCCTCAGAGGCCAGGTGCGGTGACACCCATCTGTAATCCCAGCACTTTGGGAGGCTGAGGTGGGAGGATCACTTGAGGCCAGGGGGTCGAGACCAGCCTGGGCAACATAAGAGAGACTCTTGTCTCTATAACAAATTTAAAAATTACCTCACCAGGCCAGGCTCAGTGGCTCATGCCTGTAATCCCAACACTTTGAGAGGCCGAGGCAGGTGGATCACGAGGTCAGGAGTTCGAGAGCAGCCTGACCAACATGGCGAAACCCTGTCTCTACTAAAAATACAAGATTAGCCAGGCATGGTGGCACGCACCTGTAATCCCAGCTACTCGGGAGGCTGAGGTAGGAGAATTGCTTGAACCCAGGAGGTGGAGGTTGCGGTGAGCCAGGATCACGCCATTGCAGTCCAGCCTGAGCAACAGAGCAAGACTCTGTCTCGAGACAATAAAAACACACAAAAGATTAACTCGCCATGATGGCACATGCCTATAGTCCTAGCTACTTGGGAGGCTGAGGTGGGAGGATTCCCTTCAGCCCAGGAGTTTGAGGCTGCAGTGAGCCACTATGATTGTGCCACTGCACTCTAACCTGGGCAAAAGCGAGACCCCAGGCTAGAGTGCATGATTTTGGGTCACTGCAACCTCCACCTCCCAGGTTCAAGTGATTCTCCTGCCTCAGCCTCTTGAGTAGCTGCGACTACAGGCATGTGCCACCACGCCTGGGTAATTTTTGTATTTTTAGTAGAGACAGGGTTTAGTAGAGACCATGGTGAAACCCCGTCTCTATTAAACAAATCTCTACTAACCCCATCTCTACAAAAATCAGCTGGGCGTGGTAGTGCACACCTGTAATTCTAGCTACTTGGGAGGCTGAGGCACGAGAATCATTTGCATCTTGGAGGCAGAGTTTGCAGTGAGCTGACATCGCACCACTGCGCTCCAGCCGGGATGACAGAACAAGACCCTGTCTCAAAAAAAAGAAAAAGGAACAAACAACAGCAACGACAACAAAAAAACCTCTGTGTCAATCACAGCCTTCAAGCTAGGGGAGAGGCGGCCGAATTCTGCCCTCTGCTAACTAACTATAGCTTTGTGGAAATGGGTGAATGGTGTGCCCTTGTGAGCCTCAGGGCCCCATCTGTAAAATGGGCATAACTGTCATGCCCGTCTTTAAGAACAGCCTTGGGGGTAAATGAGTGGAAGTCATGGAAAGATCTCAGCCCACAACCTTCCACAGAACAGACGCTTCTCACACAGTAAGTAGCAGGAGTGCAGAGGCTGCAGGCATGAATCCAGCCAGACTGCCTGGGTTCAAGTCCCAGCTCCCACGTCTTGGTAACTATGTGGCCTCAGACAAGTTACTTAATATTTCTTTTTTTTTTTTCAGACGGAGTTTTGCTCTGTCACCCAGGTTGGAGTGCAGTGGTGTGATCTCGGCTCATTGCAACCTCTGCCTCCCGGGTTCAAGCAATTCTCCTGCCTCAGCTTCCTGAGTAGCTGGAATTACAGGCACCTGCCACCACACACAGCTAATTTTTGTATTTTTAGTAGAGACGGGGTTTCACCATGTTGGCCAGGATGGTCTCGAACTCCTGACCTCGTGATCTGCCTGCCTCAGCCTCCCAAAGTACTGGGATTACAGGCGTGAGCCACCACACCTGGACACGTTACTGAATATTTCTGTGCCTAGGTTTCTTCATGTGAAATGGGATTGTTGTGAGAACACAAAGGGATTCCCAGGGCAGTTCCTAGTGCATAGTCTGGCTGCCTTTGTATGTGTGTGTGTGTGTGTGTGCACGCGCGTGTGTGTGTGTGTTTAATATAGAGACAGGGTCTCACTCTGTTGCCTAGGCTCGTTTCAAACTCCTGGGCTCCAGTGATTCTCCTGCCTCGACCCAAAGTGGTGGGATTACAGGCATGAGTCAACACACCTGGTCACTTTATATTATTATTATTTTTTTCTTTTGAGACAGGGTTTGGCACTGTTGTCCAGGTTGGAATACAGCGGTGCAATCTCAACTCACTGCAAACTCCGCCTCCCGGGTTCAAGCAATTCTCCTGCCTCAGTCTCCCGAGTAGCTGAGATTACAGACGCCTGCCACCACACACAGCTAATTTTTGCATTTTTAGTAGAGATGGGGTTTCACCATATTGGCCAGGCTGGTCTTGAACTCCTGACCTCAAGTGATCTGCCGGCCTCGGCCTCCCAAAGTGCTGGGATTACAGGAGTGAGCCACCGTGCCCAGCCATCTTTCTTTTCTTGCTTTCTCTTTCTTTTCTTTCGAGACCGGGTCTTGCTCTGTCGCCCAGGCTGGACTGCAGTGGCACAATCATAGCTCACTGCAGCCTCGACCTCCCTGGCTCAAGCGATCCTTCCTCCTCAGCCCCCCGAGTAGTTGGAACTACAGCTCCACACCACCATGCCTGGCTGATTCTTTTTTTCCTTGTAGAGATGGGGTCTTGCTATGCTGTCCATCCTGGTCTCAAACTCCTGGCCTTCCCAAAGCACTGGGATTACAGGCATAAGCCACCACAGCCAGTTTCCTTTTCTTCTTTTTAACTGGAATAGTTGACTTTTTCTTTATTAGCTGTGTGTCAGGAGGGTATTTTTGGCCTTTAGTATGTCGTCTAAGTTGCTAGTGCTTTTCTGAGATTGTAGTTTGTTTTCTAATTTTATTTATATTTTGCGTAGAAGTTGTGTATTTTAGATGGAGTTAGGTCGGCTGGTCTTTGATGTTTTATTTATTAATTATGTATGTATTTATTTATTTTTGAGGTAGAGTCTCGCCGTTTCACCCCAGCTGGAGTACAGTGATGCGATCTCAGCTCCCTGTAGCCTTGACCTCTCTGGGCTCAAGTGATTTTTCTCTCCTCTACCTCCCGAGTACTTGGGACCCCAGGCGCATGCCGCCATGCCTGGCTAATGTGTATTTTTTTGTAGATACGGGGTCTCACTGTGTTGCCCAGGGTGGTTTCAAAATCCTGGGCTCAGGCGATCCTTCCGTCTCAGCTCCCACGGTGCTGTGTTACCGGCGTGTGCCCCAGTGCCTGGCCGTCTTGGAGGTCTTGTTTCTCTGGGTTTATGCCTCAAGGTGGCGCCTGCTCCGCTGTGCTCCCTGGTAGCCTGGTAGTGAGCCTGCTTCTCACACAGTCATACCTGGTTGTGGTCCCACAGTGGGACCACCCTGTTGGGTTCAGAACAGGAGATGGGGGCCCCTCGAGTCTGTGTGGGGGCTGTAGACAGGGTTGGGAGACCTTGGCTCTGTGGGGGACTGTGGACAGGGGATGGGGGGCCTTGGCCCTGCGTGGGATGGGTTGGGGGTCCGTGCCCTTCCTGGCCCTGGGTGGACAGGTCCAGGTGGCACTCGGCATAGGGCTGAGATGGGTGCAGAGGGCTGAGGCCCCCAGGCCTCTCCCGGCTTGGTTTCCCCAGATGAGTGTTCATTTGGGTCTTCCATCAGAAAGGCCCCTCCTGACCTCTGGGAGTGGGGAGCTCAAGGGTGGGAGGCCATAGCTTGGGGATGCTGGCAATGTGTGGGATGGGCCCAGGGATGGCCTCTGGCCTACTAAGGGCTCTGGCCCTGACCCACGGCCACTCACTCCTCAGAGACGTCTCCCACAACCTGCTCCGGGCGCTGGACGTTGGGCTCCTGGCGAACCTCTCGGCGCTGGCAGAGCTGTGAGTGTCCCCCAGTCGTGCCAGCATGCGGGGCTCACTCCGGGTGGGCTGGCGGCACCGCCTCTTGCTGCTCAGCTGTGGGGGCTTCCGTCAGCTTTGCCGAATCCCCCCTCTCTTCCAGGGATATAAGCAACAACAAGATTTCTACGTTAGAAGAAGGAATATTTGCTAATTTATTTAATTTAAGTGAAATGTAAGTTGTGGTTCTTTGGGTGGGGTCCTGGCTGGACCCCAGGCCCCCAGTATCCCTTCTGCCCTCCCAGTTGGTCCGTGTCCCCTTCCAGGCTTGAGACCAGATCCTGGGGGCAGTTCACTACCTGCTTGGAGCCCCCCAGTGCCGGCTTGGTTGGGGCAGGGGAGGCGGTGCTGTCAGGGTGGCTCCAGGGCCTGGTTGCCAGTGGGGGGCTGGCATAGACCCTTCCCACCAGACCTGGTCCCCAACACCTGCCCCTGCCCCGCAGAAACCTGAGTGGGAACCCGTTTGAGTGTGACTGTGGCCTGGCGTGGCTGCCGCGATGGGCGGAGGAGCAGCAGGTGCGGGTGGTGCAGCCCGAGGCAGCCACGTGTGCTGGGCCTGGCTCCCTGGCTGGCCAGCCTCTGCTTGGCATCCCCTTGCTGGACAGTGGCTGTGGTGAGTGCCGGTGGGTGGGGCAGCTCTGTCCTTCCCAGCCAGGTGGGACCTGGGCCCTGCAGACACTGGGCAGGGCTCAGGAAGGCCTCTCTGGGGGGGGCCTCCGGGCCAAGGGAACAGCATGGGAGCCTGTGAGTGCGGCGGGCGGATGGGGGGGTGTGGGGTGGAGCCAGGAGGAGCAGAACCCGGGGTCCAGTGGCTGCCTCTTCTAGGTGAGGAGTATGTCGCCTGCCTCCCTGACAACAGCTCAGGCACCGTGGCAGCAGTGTCCTTTTCAGCTGCCCACGAAGGCCTGCTTCAGCCAGAGGCCTGCAGCGCCTTCTGCTTCTCCACCGGCCAGGGCCTCGCAGCCCTCTCCGAGCAGGGCTGGTGCCTGTGTGGGTCAGCCCAGCCCTCCAGTGCCTCCTTCGCCTGCCTGTCCCTCTGCTCCGGCCCCCCGCCGCCTCCTGCCCCCACCTGTAGGGGCCCCACCCTCCTCCAGCACGTCTTCCCTGCCTCCCCAGGGGCCACCCTGGTGGGGCCCCACGGACCCCTGGCCTCCGGCCAGCTAGCAGCCTTCCACATCGCTGCCCCGCTCCCTGTCACTGCCACACGCTGGGACTTCGGAGACGGCTCCCCCGAGGTGGATGCCGCTGGGCCGGCTGCCTCGCATCGCTATGTGCTGCCTGGGCGCTATCACGTGACGGCCGTGCTGGCCCTGGGGACCGGCTCAGCCCTGCTGGGGACAGACGTGCAGGTGGAAGCGGCACCTGCCGCCCTGGAGCTCGTGTGCCCGTCCTCGGTGCAGAGTGACGAGAGCCTCGACCTCAGCATCCAGAACCGCGGTGGTTCAGGCCTGGAGGCCGCCTACAGCATCGTGGCCCTGGGCGAGGAGCCGGCCCGAGGTGAGTGTCTGCTGCCCACTCCCCTTCCTCCCCAGGGCCATCCAGATGGGGCAGAGCCTGGTACCCCCGTCTTGGGCCCACACTGACCGTTGACACCCTCGTTCCCACTGGTCTCCAGCGGTGCACCCGCTCTGCCCCTCGGACACGGAGATCTTCTCTGGCAATGGGCACTGCTACCGCCTGGTGGTGGAGAAGGCGGCCTGGCTGCAGGCGCAGGAGCAGTGTCGGGCCTGGGCCGGGGCCACCCTGGCAATGGTGGACAGTCCCGCCGTGCAGCGCTTCCTGGTCTCCCGGGTCACCAGGTGCCTGCCCCACCCCCCGAGGGGCCATAGGTTGGGAGATCTCTGAAGCAGTGGGGCAGAGCCTGCGGCTGGGGAGTCTCAGGAGGAGGGAGGTGGGAGCTGGGCCGGCCCTGGTGAGCAGGTGGCGCCGGCCGGTGGGGCCGTTCCTGTCAGCTCTGCAGATGCAGAGGTGGACGCGAGCTGGGGGCAGCCTCCGGACACTCCTGGGCACGCCATACGGGAGGTGGCCTGCACGGGGATCCCTGCCGGTGCCCACAGGCCCCGTGGGTGGGTGCTGCTGTGAGCCTGGGCTGGTGGGCCCTGCTCTCCGGGCTCTGAGCCTCAGTTTCCCCATCTGGAAAGGGGGACAGTGACGGGGCTCCCAGCGGGCTGCTGTGAGGGTGGGAGGATGGAGGAGTGCCCTGAGCCCCCTGCCATCCCACACCCGCCCCCAGGAGCCTAGACATGTGGATCGGCTTCTCGACTGTGCAGGGGGTGGAGGTGGGCCCAGCGCCGCAGGGCGAGGCCTTCAGCCTGGAGAGCTGCCAGAACTGGCTGCCCGGGGAGCCACACCCAGCCACAGCCGAGCACTGCGTCCGGCTCGGGCCCACCGGGTGGTGTAACACCGACCTGTGCTCAGCGCCGCACAGCTACGTCTGCGAGCTGCGGCCTGGAGGTGTGCGAGGGGCCAGGCAGGGGCCTGAGACGCTGGCTGTGGTTAGGGGCCTGCCGAGCGCCCGCGGTGGAGCCTGGGCTGAGGAGGAGGGGCTGGTGGGGGGGTTCTCGGGCGGCTCGGTCCCCAGTCTGTTCGTCCTGGTGTCCTGGGCCCTGGCCCGGCGCCTCACTGTGCACTTGCCACCCCAGGCCCAGTGCAGGATGCCGAGAACCTCCTCGTGGGAGCGCCCAGTGGGGACCTGTAGGGACCCCTGATGCCTCTGGCACGGCAGGACGGCCTCTCAGCCCCGCACGAGCCCGTGGAGGTAGTCGGCCCCCCACGTTCTATAACCTGCCCTCCTGCCTGCCCCTGGAGGCCTCGCCTGCCCTGCCCACTGTGGGTCTCGCCAAAAAACTTGGGGGCCTTAATGTTGCTTGTGCCCAGTGAAGATGGTTGGGAAAATCCAGAGTGCAGAGAGGAAAGCGTTTACTCACATTACCCCCAGGCCTTTTCTCTGAGTGTGGGTGAGTTATTCCTGAAAGGCAGGTCAGGGGTCCTGCCCCCCATGGACAGTTTCCATCGGAGTCTTCCTCTCGAGCGACAGGAGCCAGGCCTGTGGGGGTCCGATGGCTCGCTCTCCTTCCCTCCCCTCTTCCTGCGAAGTTCGGGTGGGGGGAGTCTGGGCTTCAGGCTGGGATGGGGTCTGTGGAGCTGAGGCGGCCCCCTGCCCACCAGGTCATGGTATTCCCGGGCCTGCGTCTGAGCCGTGAAGCCTTCCTCACCACGGCCGAATTTGGGACCCAGGAGCTCCGGCGGCCCGCCCAGCTGCGGCTGCAGGTGTACCGGCTCCTCAGCACAGCAGGTGGGACTCTGGGGTGGTGGGCGCCGCAGGACTCGGGGTGGCCTCTCTGAGCTCTCACGTCTGCTGGTCCTGTGGCCATCAGAGTGGTTCCCAGTCTTAGGTGGACAGAGCAGGGGTTCCAGAGACACCAGCTCATTCCAGGTGTCCTGGGGGTGGATCGGGTGGGGCCTGCCTGGGGACCGGCCTGGGTCAGTCAGCTGGCCGGAGACAGGGACGCAGCACTGGGCTGGGAGTGCTGCCCGGGCGGGGAGACCTGTCCTCACAGCAAGGCCAGGCTCGCTGGTGCAGGCAGTTGGGCATCTCTGACGGTGGCCCGTGGGCGAATGAGGGCCCCAACACCCTCCCCTCCTCGCAGGGACCCCGGAGAACGGCAGCGAGCCTGAGAGCAGGTCCCCGGACAACAGGACCCAGCTGGTCCCCGCGTGCATGCCAGGGGGACGCTGGTGCCCTGGAGCCAACATCTGCTTGCCGCTGGACGCCTCCTGCCACCCCCAGGCCTGCGCCAATGGCTGCACGTCAGGGCCAGGGCTACTCGGGGCCCCCTATGCGCTATGGAGAGAGTTCCTCTTCTCCGTTCCCGCGGGGCCCCCCGCGCAGTACTCGGTGTGTGGCCCTGACCTGGGTCTGTTCCCTGCATCTCCTCAGGCCACCTTCCTGTCTGCTGCCCAGGGTCTGGGTCTGCGCAGCAGGCACACCCAGCCTGCAGGCCCCTCCCACGTCCTTGCCACCTCTGACCTCCGACCTCCGACCTCCAACCTCCGACCTCTGCAGTGCCCTTGCCCCTCTCCCAGTGGGAGAAGCTCTCGCCTGGGCCCTTGGCACGAGCTGTGCCTCCTCTTCCTCTCTCCCAGCACAGCCGCTCCTTCCTGTCTGCCAGGTCTTGGCCTGTGTCCTCTCCCCGTGTGTCCCCCTGTCTGCAACTGTCCTGCCTGTCCTTGTCACGAGCACTGTGGGGAGGCTCCCTGAGGTGTGGCTGACGAAGCGGGGAGCCCTGCGTGTCCACCCTCATCCGTCGTGCAGGGGTCCACGGGCCATGACCGTGAGGACGTGATGCAGCCCTGCCTCCCTCTCCACAGGTCACCCTCCACAGCCAGGATGTCCTCATGCTCCCTGGTGACCTCGTTGGCTTGCAGCACGACGCTGGCCCTGGCGCCCTCCTGCACTGCTCGCCGGCTCCCGGCCACCCTGGTCCCCAGGCCCCGTACCTCTCCGCCAACGCCTCGTCATGGCTGCCCCACTTGCCAGCCCAGCTGGAGGGCACTTGGGCCTGCCCTGCCTGTGCCCTGCGGCTGCTTGCAGCCACGGAACAGCTCACCGTGCTGCTGGGCCTGAGGCCCAACCCTGGGCTGCGGCTGCCTGGGCGCTATGAGGTCCGGGCAGAGGTGGGCAATGGCGTGTCCAGGCACAACCTGTCCTGCAGCTTTGACGTGGTCTCCCCAGTGGCTGGGCTGCGGGTCATCTACCCTGCCCCCCGCGACGGCCGCCTCTACGTGCCCACCAACGGCTCAGCCTCGGTGCTCCAGGTGGACTCTGGTGCCAGCGCCACGGCCACGGCTCGCTGGCCTGGGGGCAGTGTCAGCGCCCGCTTTGAGAATGCCTGCCCTGCCCTGGTGGCCACCTTCGTGCCCGGCTGCCCCTGGGAGACCAATGATACCCTGTTCTCAGTGGTAGCACTGCCGTGGCTCGGTGAGGGGGAGCACGTGATGGACGTTGTGGTGGAAAACAGCGCCAGCCGGGCCAACCTCAGCCTGCGGGTGACGGCGGAGGAGCCCATCTGTGGCCTCCGCGCCACGCCCAGCCCCGAGGCCCGTGTACTGCAGGGAGTCCCAGTGGTGAGTATGGCCGAGGCTCCACCACCAGCCCCCAGGCAGGTGCCTGCAGACAGGGTGCTCACACAGGGCTTGAGGCCTGGCTTCCCAGTGAGGGCAGCAGCCCAGTTACTGGGGACGTCGGCCCCGGGCAGGTCCTGCTGGCTGGCTCCTCAGGCTACCTGGTGGGCTTTAAATTCCTGGAAAGTCACGGCTCTGACAGCGGCTCCGCTAACTCATTCCACCGTCTCATTTCACGAAATGAATTTAAAACTCCGCTCCCTGACCTCACACGAGTCCCCGTGAGTCTCTCACGCCCTCTGCTGTGTTCTCGCCTGGCTAAAGCAAGTGGCTTTTGAGGTGGAGTCCGAACCCCTGATGGGAAACTGCGGGCTGCCCGCAGTGCCACCATGCTGGGTACATGGGGGACAGGGCTGTTCCATCTTGCGGGTACCTGCCCCTTCACCAGGGGCCTTGGGAGGGGCCATCAGAAATGGCGTGACCTGTGCAGCCTGTCCTGGGTTCTGTAAGCCAGTGTAGGTGCTGTCCCTGTGAGGCCCGTGTGCCTCCCCTCACTGCTCCGAGCTCTCTGGCTGAGGAGCTGGGGCAGGAGCCCCGGGAGGGTCTGAGAAGACTCAGAGAGAGGTGGACTCTTTGTAGCTGGTACTAGGTTTGCTTTACAGATGGGGAAACTGAGGCACAGAGAGGTTGAGGCATTAGTAGTACTACATGGCTGGCTGGAGAGCCGGACAGTCAGTGTCCCAGCCCGGGCTTGGCTCTCATGGCATGCAGAGCCCCGGGCACCTCCTCTCCTCTGTGCCCCGCGTGGGACTCTCCAGCCCGACGGGAGGTGTGTCCAGGAGGCGACAGGCTAAGGGCAGAGTCCTCCACAGAGCCCAGGCTGACACCAGTCCCCCCGCAGAGGTACAGCCCCGTGGTGGAGGCCGGCTCGGACATGGTCTTCCGGTGGACCATCAACGACAAGCAGTCCCTGACCTTCCAGAACGTGGTCTTCAATGTCATTTATCAGAGCGCGGCGGTCTTCAAGCTCTCAGTAGGTGGGCGGGAGTGGGGAGGGGAGGGGATGGGGCGGGGCGGGGGCGGGCTCCACCTTCACCTCTGCCTTCTGCTCTGCTTCATGCTGCCCGAGGACGCTGCCATGGCTGTGGTGAGTGGAGGGAGGGACGCCAAGCAGGGCAGGCCTCTCACCTGCCACCTGGGCCCACTGATGCCTGTCCCTGCAGCTGACGGCCTCCAACCACGTGAGCAACGTCACCGTGAACTACAACATCACCGTGGAGCGGATGAACAGGATGCAGGGCCTGCGGGTCTCTACAGTGCCAGCCGTGCTGTCCCCCAATGCCACGCTGGCACTGACGGCGGGCGTGCTGGTGGACTCGGCCGTGGAGGTGGCCTTCCTGTGAGTGACTCAGGGGCCGGTTTGGGGTGGGCACCAGGCTCTTGTCCGGGCACCAGGCTCTTGTCCCGGCTCCAGCCTCAGCCGAGGGACCCCACATCAGGGGGTTGCTTTTCTGAGCCTCGGTTTCCCTGTCTGTTGGGAGGTACTGGGTGCACAGGAGCCCTGAGGCTGCACGGGAGCCGGGAGAGGCCTCAGCACAGCCGGGTGGGCCCTGAATGGAGGCCCGGGGCGTGACTGCAGAGTGGAGCCTCGGCTGGGTCCCAAGCACCCCCTGCCCCGCCACCGCGCACCTGTGCCCCGCCACTGCGCACCCCTGTCCCGGTTCACTCACTGCCTCCCACCGCCCCGGCAGGTGGACCTTTGGGGATGGGGAGCAGGCCCTCCACCAGTTCCAGCCTCCGTACAACGAGTCCTTCCCGGTTCCAGACCCCTCGGTGGCCCAGGTGCTGGTGGAGCACAATGTCACCCACACCTACGCTGCCCCAGGTGAGGGATGAGGGGGTGAGGGGGCCACTGCCTTTCAGGCTCTGAGCACGGGGCCCCCCCAGTCCCCCAGTCAAGCTGCCCCGCTTCCTCCCCAACAGCCCTCACTGTGACCTCACCTGGGCTGATGGCTTAGGCCCCTACTGGGGTGAGGGAGGGGCCAGGCGTGGGAGGAGTGGACAGGGAAGCTGGGCCCCCTGAACTGCCCCCCACCGCGGCCTGGCTCTTGCTGCTCTGCTGCCCCGAGTGCAGCTGCACTTGGAGGCGGTGCCGTCCTCACCAGGCAGCCCTCAGTGCTGCTGCACCTGTGCTCCGTCCCGCACGTGGCTTGGGAGCCTGGGACCCTTAAGGCTGGGCCGCAGGTGCAGCCGTTCACCCCGGGCTCCTCAGGCGGGGGGCTTCTGCCGAGCGGGTGGGGAGCAGGTGGGGGTGCCGCGGCTGCCCCACTTGGGCCTGTCCCCACAGGTGAGTACGTCCTGACCTTGCTGGCATCTAATGCCTTCGAGAACCGGACGCAGCAGGTGCCTGTGAGCGTGTGCGCCTCCCTGCCCTCTGTGAGCGTGTGCGCCTCCCTGACTGGGGCCTGCTGGTACCCCAGAGTGGGTGTCTGTTCCCCAGTCCCTGCTTTCCTCAGCTGGCCTGATTGGGGGTCTGCCCAGAGGGGTCGTCTGAGGGGAGGGTGTGGGAGCAGGTTCCATCCCGGCTCAGCCTCCTGACCCAGGCCCTGGCTAAGGGCTGCAGGAGTCTGTGAGTCAGGCCTACGTGGCAACTGCGGTCCTCACACCCACACATACGTCTGTTCCCACACGCATCCCCCCAGGGGCCCTCAGTGAGCATTGCCTGCCTCCTGCCAGGGTCCAGCTGGCTCCAGTACACCAGAACGCACACCCCAGTGTCCTCTGCCCTGTGTATGCCCTTCCGCCGCCCAGGTTGGAAGGTGGCAAACCGGATGAGTATCCTGGGAGGGGGTGAGCTCACCGGCAGTGGCCAGGCCCCTGGGAAACCTGGAGTTTGGGAGCAGCATCCTCCACGGGTCCCCCAGACCTTCCAGCAGGCCAAATAGACCTGTGTTGGAGGTAACCCCACTCCCACGCCAGGTGCTGATCCGCAGTGGCCGGGTGCCCATTGTGTCCTTGGAGTGTGTGTCCTGCAAGGCACAGGCCGTGTACGAAGTGAGCCGCAGCTCCTACGTGTACCTGGAGGGCCGCTGCCTCAATTGCAGCAGCGGCTCCAAGCGAGGGGTGAGTGTTGAGCGGGGTGTGGGCGGGTTGGGGATGGGTCCCATGGCCGAGGGGACGGGGCCTGCAGGCAGAAGTGGGGCTGACAGGGCAGAGGGTTGCGCCCCCTCACCATCCCTTCTGCCTGCAGCGGTGGGCTGCACGTACGTTCAGCAACAAGACGCTGGTGCTGGATGAGACCACCACATCCACGGGCAGCGCAGGCATGTGACTGGTGCTGCGGCGGGGCGTGCTGCGGGACGGCGAGGGATACACCTTCACGCTGACGGTGCTGGGCCGCTCTGGCAAGGAGGAGGGCTGCGCCTCCATCCCCCTGTCCCCCAACCGCCCGCCGCTGGGGGGCTCTTGCCGCCTCTTCCCACTGGGCGCTGTGCACGCTCTCACCACCAAGGTGCACTTCGAATGCATGGGTGAGTGCAGGCCTGCGTAGGGGGAGCAGCGGGATCCCCCGACTCTGTGAGGTCACGGAGCCCTCCCGTGATGCCGTGGGGACCGTCCCTCAGGCTGGCATGACGCGGAGGATGCTGGCGCCCCGCTGGTGTACGCCCTGCTGCTGCAGCGCTGTCGCCAGGGCCACTGCGAGGAGTTCTGTGTCTACAAGGGCAGCCTCTCCGGCTACGGAGCCGTGCTGCCCCCGGGTTTCAGGCCACACTTCGAGGTGGGCCTGGCCGTGGTGGTGCAGGACCAGCTGGGAGCCGCTGTGGTCGCCCTCAACAGGTGAGCCAGGCCGTGGGAGGGCGCCCCCGAGACTGCCACCTACTCACCACCCCCCTCTGCTCGTAGGTCTCTGGCCATCACCCTCCCAGAGCCCAACGGCAGCGCAATGGGGCTCACAGTCTGGCTGCACGGGCTCACCGCTAGTGTGCTCCCGGGGCTGCTGCGGCAGGCCGATCCCCAGCACGTCATCGAGTACTCGCTGGCCCTGGTCACTGTGCTGAACGAGGTGAGTGCAGCCTGGGAGGGGACCTCACATCTGCTGCATGCGTGCTGGGGACCAAGACCTGTTCCCCTGCCTGGAGCTTTGCGGAGGGCTCATCCCGGGCCCCAGAGATAAATCCCAGTGACCCTGAAGCAGCACCCCGACGTTCCGCTCCCAGCAGCCACACCCACCGGGCCCTCTCCGGCGTCTGCTTTCCACAATGCAGCCCCCGCCCAGGAGGGCCCATGTGCTTACCCTGTTTTGCCCATGAAGAAACAGCTCAGTGTTGCGGGTCAGTGCCCACATCACACAGCATCTAGCACGTAACTGCACCCCGGGAGTCGTGGGCATCTGCTGGCCTCCTGCCGGCCTCCTGCCCTGCTGACAGCTTGCTGTGCCCCCTGCCTGCCCCAGTACGAGCGGGCCCTGGACGTGGCGGCAGAGCCCAAGCACGAGCGGCAGCGCCGAGCCCAGATACGCAAGAACATCACGGAGACTCTGGTGTCCCTGAGGGTCCACACTGTGGATGACATCCAGCAGATCGCTGCTGCGCTGGCCCAGTGCATGGTAGGATGGCCCCACATGCTCTCCCCGCCCCGCATGCCTGCCAGGGTACTGGGTTCAGCCCCCCAGGGCAGACGGGCAGCTTGGCCGAGGAGCTGAGCCTCCAGCCTGGGCTCCTTCCTGCCATGGCGTTCCTCGGTCTCTGACCTGCTTCAGTAGCCTCAGCCATTCTGCTGTCCTGTGTGAACGCAGGGTGCCTCTCGGGGGACCCAGGGTGTAAAGAGGGGCCCAGATGTGGGGAGGGACTAAGAAGATGCTGCTCTGTGCCCTCCACTCTCCCCTCCCCTCCCCCTTCCCTCCCCTAGCCCCTCCCCTCCCCTTCCCTCCCCTAACCCCTCCCCTCCCCCTTCCCTCCCCTAGTCCCTCCCCCCTCCCCTAGCCCCTGCCTCCTCCCCCAGCCCCTCCCCTCCCCTAGCCCTTCCCCTCCTCCCCTCCCCTAGACCTTCCCCTCACCTCATCCCGCTGAGCCCCTCCACTCCTCCCCCAGCCCCTCCATCCCCTCACCCCTCCCCTCCTCCTTCCTCCCCTCCTCCCCCTCCCTCCTCTCCCCCCTTCTCTCCCCTCCCCTCTCCTCTCCCCCTTCTCTCTCCTTCCCTCTCCTCTCCCCCCTTTTCTCCACTTCCCTCTCCTCTCTCCCTTCTGCCCTCCTCCTTCTCTCATGTGAAGAGGTGCCTTGTGTGGTCGGTGGGCTGCATCACGTGTTCCCCAGGTGGAGGCCCTGGGTCATGCAGAGCCACAAAAAATGCTTAGTGAGGAGGCTGTGGGGGTCCAGTCAAGTGGGCTCTCCAGCTGCAGGGCTGGGGGTGGGAGCCAGGTGAGGACCCGTGTAGAGAGGAGGGCGTGTGCAAGGAGTGGGGCCAGGAGCGGGGCTGGACACTGCTGGCTCCACACAGGGGCCCAGCAGGGAGCTCGTATGCCGCTCGTGCCTGAAGCAGACGCTGCACAAGCTGGAGGCCATGATGCGCATCCTGCAGGCAGAGACCACCGCGGGCACCGTGACGCCCACCGCCATCGGAGACAGCATCCTCAACATCACAGGTGCCGCGGCCCGTGCCCCACGCCACCCGCCCGCCCCACGTGGCCCGTCCGCCCCATGCCGCCCTTTCCTCTGCCTCCCTCCTCCCCACAACCGCCTCGCCTTTGCCCCATCCCATCTTCGTCCCCCTCCCCTCCCCCCAATTCCCATCCTCATCCCCCTCCCCCAATTCCCATCCTCATCCCGCTCCCCCAATTCCCATCCTCATCCCGCTCCCCCAATTCCCATCCTCATCCCCCTCCCCCAATTCCCATCCTTATCCCCCTCCCCCAATTCCCATTCTCCTCCCCCTCCCCCTTCCCTATTACCATCCCTTTTCTCCATCTCTCTCCCCTTTTCTCCATTTCCCCCCCGATCCTCCCCGTCCTTTTGTCCATTCCCCTCATCTTTCTTATCCCCCTTATCCTCCTTCCCCTCCCTTATCCCCCTTCCCCTCCCTTATCCCCCTTATCCCCTTCCCCTCCCTTTCACCCTGCTCCTCTTCTTCTCCCCTTTCTCTTTTCTCTACCCTTTTCCTTCCTTTTTCCTCCCTCTCCCCATCATCCCCCTCATCTTCGTCCTCATCCCCATCCCCTTCCCCCTCCCCCTCCACCACTCTCTCTCCAGCTTCCCTCTTCCTTCTGCCTGCACCTCGCTCTCTGCCCCCTCAGGTTCCCCCTTTCTCCCAGCCCCCACCCTCCGGCTCCCCCTTTTTGCCTGCCCCCACCCTCCCTCTGCCTCCCTGTCTCTGCACTGACCTCACGCCTGTCTGCAGGAGACCTCATCCACCTGGCCAGCTCAGACGTGCGGGCACCGCAGCGCTCAGAGCTGGGAGCCGAGTCACCATTGCGGATGGTGGCGTCCCAGGCCTACAACCTGACCTCTGCCCTCATGCGCATCCTCACGCGCTCCCGCGTGCTCAACGAGGAGCCCGTGACGCTGGCGGGCGAGGAGATCATGGCCCAGGGCAAGCGCTCGGACCCGCGGAGCCTGCTGTGCTATGGCGGCGCCCCAGGGCCTGGCTGCCACCTCTCCATCCCCTAGGCTTTCAGCAGGGCCCCCGCCAACCTCAGTGACGTGGTGCAGCTCGTCTTTCTGGTGGACTCCAATCCCTTTCTCTTTGGCTATATCAGCAACTACACCGTCTCCACCAAGGTGGCCTCGATGGCGTTCCAGACACAGGCCGGCGCCCAGATCCCCATCGAGCGGCTGGCCTCAGAGCGCGCCATCACCGTGAAGGTGCCCAACAACTCGGACTGGGCTGCCCGGGGCCACCGCAGCTCCGCCAACTCCGTTGTGGTCCAGCCCCAGGCCTCCGTCGGTGCTGTGGTCACCCTGGACAGCAGCAGCCCTGTGGCCGTGCTGCATCTGCAGCTCAACTATACGCTGCTGGACGGTGTGTGCAGCGGGTGGGGCACACGCGGCCCCCTGGCCTTGTTCTTGGGGGGAAGGCGTTTCTCGTAGGGCTTCCATGGGTGTCTCTGGTGAAATTTGCTGTTTCATGGGCTGTTGGGGGCCTGGCCGGAGAGGAGCTGGGGGCCACGGAGAAGCAGGTGCCAGCTCTGGTGCAGAGGCTCCTATGGCCTTTCAGGCCCGTGGCAGAGGGTGGGCTCAGGAGGGCCATCGTGGGTGTCCCCCGGGTGGTTGAGCTTCCCGGCAGGCGTGTGACCTGCGCGTTCTGCCCCAGGCCGCTACCTGTCTGAGGAACCCGAGCCCTACCTGGCAGTCTACCTGCACTCGGAGCCCCGGCCCAATGAGCGCAACTGCTCGGCTAGCAGGAGGATCCGCCCAGAGTCCCTCCAGGGTGCCGACCACCGGCCCTACACCTTCTTCATTTCCCCGGGGTGAGCTCTGCGGGCCGGCCTGGCAGGGCAGGGCAGGGCATCATGGGTCAGCATTGCCCGGGTTACGGGCCCCGTGGGGACGGCAGGCAGCGAGGGGACTGGACCGGGTATGGGCTCTGGGACTCCGACATCCAACCTGGCGGAGCCTGGGCTCACGTCCACTGCCCCTTCCCTTCCCAGGACCAGAGACCCAGTGGGGAGTTACCGTCTGAACCTCTCCAGCCACTTCCGCTGGTCGGCGCTGGAGGTGTCCGTGGGCTTGTACACGTCCCTGTGCCAGTACTTCAGCGAGGAGGATGTGGTGTGGCGGACAGAGGGGCTGCTGCCCCTGGAGGAGACCTCGCCCCGCCAGGCCGTCTGCCTCACCCGCCACCTCACCGCCTTCGGCGCCAGCCTCTTCATGCCCCCAAGCCATGTACGCTTTGTGTTTCCTGTGAGTGACCCTGTGCTCCTGGGAGCCTCTGCAGAGTCGAGGAGGGCCTGGGTGGGCTCGGCTCTATCCTGAGAAGGCACAGCTTGCACGTGACCTCCTGGGCCCGGCGGCTGTGTCTTCACAGGAGCCGACAGCGGATGTAAACTACATCGTCATGCTGACATGTGCTGTGTGCCTGGTGACCTACATGGTCATGGCCGCCATCCTGCACAAGCTGGACCAGTTGGATGCCAGCCGGGGCTGCGCCATCCCCTTCTGTGGGCAGCGGGGCCGCTTCAAGTACGAGATCCTCGTCAAGACAGGCTGGGGCCGGGGCTCAGGTGAGGGGCGCGGCGGGGTGGCAGGGCCTCCCCTGCTCTCACTGGCTGTGCTGGTTGCACCCTCTGGGAGTGAGTCTCGTCGCAGGCGTCAGAACAAGGCAGTTTTTGCAGTGCTGTGTGAAGGGCTCGTGTGTTCATCCTGGGAATGACCTCGTGAGCACTCACTGTCCCTGAGGACTAGGACAGCTCCTAGCTGGAAGTAGGTGCCAGTCAGTCAGGGTGGGCAGCCCACGTTCTGCACAGTAGCGTGGCCCCACAAGTGACATGAGCATCGCTACCACTGTGGGAGACCATGCATCCACCCGCGATCCTGACTGCATAGCTCGTCTCTCAGACGGAGGTGCCAGCACCCTCCCCGTGGCTGTTTCTTCAATACCTCCATTTTCCTTTATTGGAATTGCCCTTCTGGCATTCCCTTTTTGTTTTCGTTTTTCTTTTTTTGGAGACGGAGTCTCACTCTGTTGCCCAGGCTGGAGTGCAATGGCGTGATCTTGGCTCACAGCAACTTCCAGCTCCTGGGTTTAAGCGATTCCCCTTAAGCGATTCTCCTGAGTAGCTGGGAGTACAGGTGCACGCCACCACACCCAGTTAATTTTTCACCATGTCAGCCAGGCGAACTCCTGACCTCAGGTGATCCGCCTGCCTCGGCCTGCCAGAGTGCTGGGATGACAGGTGTGAGCCACCACACCTGGCTGTGTTCCCATTTTTTATTTCCGTGTTGCTTTCATCTTCATTTCCCAGTTCTTTTGATTACCTACTTTTAAAAACTGTCGGCCGGGCGTGGTGGCTCACACCTGTAATCCGAGCACTTTGGGAGGCCGAGGCAGGCAAATCACGGGGTCAGGAGACCGAGACCATCCTGGCTAACGGTGAAACCCTGTCTCTACTAAAAAATACAAAAAAATTAGCCCGGCGTGGTGGCAGGCACCTGTAGTCCCAGCTCCTCGGGAGACTGAGGCAGGAGAATGGCGTGAGCCCGGGAGGCGGAGCTTGCAGTGAGCTGAGATTGCGCCACTGCACTCCAGCCTGGGTGACACAGCAAGACTCCATCTCAAAAAAAAAAAGAAAAAAAATACTGTCACCTGGGTCTGTCACTGGGAGAGGAGGTGACACAGCTTCACGCTTCGCAGTCTGTGCATGAACTGAGGGACGGGTGTGTGGTGCGGGTCACTGGTTGTGGCGTGACTGAGGCGTGGACAGGTGTGCAGCGCGGGTCACTGGTTGTGGTGTGGACTGAGGCGTGTGCAGCCATGTTTGCATGTCACAAGTTACAGTTCTTTCCGTGTAACTTAATCATGTCCTTGAGGTCCTGCTGTTTATTGGACAAATTGCAGTAACCGCAGCTCCTCGTGTATGGCAGAGCCGTGCAAAGCCGGGACTGCCTGTGTGGCTCCTTGAGTGCGCGGAGGCCAAAGCTGAGATGACTTGCCTGGGATGCCACACGTGTTGGGCAGCAGACCGAGCCTCCCACCCCTCCCTCTTGCCCTCCAGGTACCACGGCCCACGTGGGCATCATGCTGTATGGGGTGGACAGCCGGAGCGGCCACCGGCACCTGGACGGCGACAGAGCCTTCCACCGCAACAGTCTGGACATCTTCCGGATCGCCACCCCGCACAGCCTGGGTAGCGTGTGGAAGATCCGAGTGTGGCACGACAACAAAGGTCTGTGCGGACCCTGCCAAGCTCTGCCCCTCTGCCCCCGCATTGGGGCGCCCTGCGAGCCTGACCTCCCTCCCGCGCCTCTGCAGGGCTCAGCCCTGCCTGGTTCCTGCAGCACATCATCGTCAGGGACCTGCAGACGGCACGCAGCACCTTCTTCCTGGTCAATGACTGGCTTTCGGTGGAGACGGAGGCCAACGGGGGCCTGGTGGAGAAGGAGGTGCTGGCTGCGAGTAAGGCCTCGTTCCATGTTCCCACTCCGTGGGAGGTTGGGCAGGGTGGTCCTGCCCCGTGGCCTCCTGCAGTGCGGCCCTCCCTGCCTTCTAGGTCACGCAGCCCTGTTGCGCTTCCGGCGCCTGCTGGTGGCTGAGCTGCAGCGTGGCTTCTTTGACAAGCACATCTGGCTCTCCATATGGGACCGGCCACCTCGTAGCTGTTTCACTCGCATCCAGAGGGCCACCTGCTGCGTTCTCCTCATCTGCCTCTTCCTGGGCGCCAACGCCGTGTGGTACGGGGCTGTTGGTGACTCTGCCTACAGGTGGGTGCCGTAGGGGTCGGGACAGCCTCTTCCTGCCCAGCCCTTCCTGCCCCTCAGCCTCACCTGTGTGGCCTCCTCTCCTCCACACAGCACGGGGCATGTGTCCAGGCTGAGCCCGCTGAGCGTCGACACAGTCGCTGTTGGCCTGGTGTCCAGCGTGGTTGTCTATCCCGTCTACCTGGCCATCCTCTTTCTCTTCCGGATGTCCCGGAGCAAGGTGGGCTGGGGCTGGGGACCCGGGAGTACTGGGAATGGAGCCTGGGCCTCGGCACCATGCCCAGGGCCGCCACTTTCCAGTGCTGCAGCCAGAGGGAAAGGCGTCCACCAAAGGCTGCTCGGGAAGGGTCAACACACTTGAGCAGCCTTAGCTAGACTGACCAGGGAGAAAGAGAGAAGACTCAGAAGCCAGAATCGTGAAAGAACGAGGGCACTTCGCTAAGCAGACGCCACGGACAACTGCACAGCAGCACGCCAGATAACTCAGAAGAAGCAAGCACGCGGCTGTGCACGCTTCCGAAATGCACTCCAGAAGAAAATCTCAGTACATCTATAGCAAGTGAAGAGGCCGAGTTAGTCCCTTAGAAACCTCCCAGTGGCCGGGCCGGGTGTGGTGGCTCACGCCTGTAATCCCAACACTTCAGGAGGCCGAGGTGGGCGGATCTGAGTCCAGGAGTTTGAGACCAGCCTGGGCAACATAGCAAGACCCCATCTATATAAAACATTAAAAAGGGCCAGGCACGGTGGCTCACGCCTGTAATCCCAACACTTTGGGAGGCCGAGGCGGGCAGATCAGTTGAGGTCAGGAGTTCGAGACCAGCCTGGCCAACACAATGAAACCCTGTCTCTACTACAAATACAAAAACTTAGCTGGGCATGGTGGCGGGCGCCTGTAGTCCCAGCTACTCGAGAGGCTGAGGCAGGAGAATGGCATGAACCCAGGAGGCGGAGCTTGCAGTGAGCCGAGATTGCGCCACTGCACTCCATCCTGGGCAATGGAGCAAGACTCCATCTCCAAAAAAAAGAAAAAAAAAATCCCACAAAGAAAAGCTTGGGCTCAGAGCCTTCACGATAGAATTTTTCTAAGCAGTTAAGGAAGAATTAACACCAATCCTTCACAGACTCTTTCCAAGAATACAGCAGGTGGGAACTCTTCCCATTCATACGGAAACGGGAGGCCGCACCCCTTAGGAATGCACACGTGGGGTCCTCAAGAGGTTACATGCAAACTAACCCCAGCAGCACACAGAGAAGGCGCATAAGCCGCGACCAGGAGGGGTTGCTCCCGAGTCCGTGGCAGGAACCAGAGGCCACATGTGGCTGCTCGTATTAAAGTTAATTAAAATGGAACGATGGCCGGGCGTGGTGGCTCACACCTGTAATCCCAGCACTTTGGGAGGCGGAGGCGGGCAGATCACTTGAGGTCAGGAGTTCCAAGACCAGCCTGGCCAACACAGTGAAACCCCGTCTCTACTAAAAATACAAAAAATTAGCTGGGCATCGTGGCAGGCACCTGTAATCCCAGCTACTCAGGAGGCTGAGCCAGGACAATCGCCTGAACGCGGGAGGTGGAGGTTGCAGTGAGCTGAGATTGCGCCAGTGCACTCCTGCCTGGGTGACAGAGCGAGACTCCATCTTAAAAAAAAAAAAAAAATGAAATTCAAAACTCTGTTCCTTAGCTGCACCAGTCTGCTGTCAAGTGTTCAGTGGCACATGTCGCGAGGGGCTGCCATCACGGACGGTGCAGATGTCCCATATATCCAGCATTCTAGGACATTCTGTTAGATGGCACCGGGCTCTGTCCTGTCTGCTGAGGAGGTGGCTTCTCATCCCTGTCCTGAGCAGGTCTGAGCTGCCGCCCGCTGACCACTGCCGTCGTCCTGCAGGTGGCTGGGAGCCTGAGCCCCACACCTGCCGGGCAGTAGGTGCTGGACATCGACAGCTGCCTGGACTCGTCCGTGCTGGACAGCTCCTTCCTCACGTTCTCAGGCCTCCACGCTGAGGTGAGGGCTCTACTGGGGGTCCTGGGCTGGGCTGGGGGTCCTGCCGCCTTGGCGCAGCTTGGACTCCAGACACTGTGCACCTCTCAGCAGGCCTTTGCTGGACAGGTGAAGAGTGACTTGTTTCTGGATGATTCTAAGAGGTGGGTTCCCTAGAGAAACCTCGAGCCCTGGTGCAGGTCACTGTGTCTGGAGTACCGGGGGTGTGCGGGCTGCGTGTCCTTGCTGGGTGTCTGTGGCTCCATGTGGTCACACCACGTGGGAGCAGGTTTGCTCGGAAGCCCAGGGTGTCCGTGCGTGACTGGACGGGGGTGGGCTGTGTGTGTGACACATCCCCTGGTACCTTGCTGACCCGCGCCACCTGCAGTCTGGTGTGCTGGCCCTCCAGCGAGGGAACGCCCAGTTGGCCGGACCTGCTCAGTGACCCGTCCATTGTGGGTAGCAATCTGCGGCACAACCCCCACTTACTGGGTCTCTCCTTTTACAACCAACACAACCGAAATCTAGGGCTTCTTTTTTTTTTTTTTTTTTTTTGAGACAGAGTCTCATTCCATTCTGTCACCCAGGCTGGAGTGCAATGGTACGATCTCGGCTCACTGCAACCTCCGCCTCCCGGGTTCAAGGGATTGTCCTGCCTCAGCCTCCTGAGTAGCTGGGATTACAGGCGTGTGCCACCATGCCTGGCTAATTTTTGTATTTTTGGTAGAGACGGGGTTTCAGCATGTTGGTGAGGCTGGTCTCGAACTCCTAACCTCGTGATCCGCCTGCCTCAGCCTCCCAAAGTGCTGGGATTACAGGCGTGAGCCACCATGCCCAGCCAAATCTAGGGCTGGAACATGGCTGCAGCATATAAATAGAATTGAATTCCATAGTTTTGTTAATCCTGTTTTTTGTTTGTTTGTAGTTGTTGCTGTTTTTGAGACAGAGTCTCGCTCTGTCGTCTAGGCTGGAGTGCAGTGGTGTAATCTCGGCTCACTGCAGACTCTGCCTCCCGGGTTCAAACTGTTCTCCTGCCTCAGCCTCCCAAGTAGGTGGGACTACAGGTGCCCACCACCACACCCGGCTAATTTTTGTATTTTATTAGAGACAGGGTTTCACCATATTGGCCAGGCTGGTCTGGAACTCCTGACCTTGTGATCTGCCCACCTCGGCCTCCCAAAGTGCTGGGATTACAGGCGTGAGCCACCACCCCCAGCCCCTGTTTTGTTTTTGTTTTGCTTGTTTCTTAGGGTTGTTTTTCTATTTATGGTAAAGGCATTGGCTTTCCATTTGTAGCATCAATAGAATATTTCCTGTTTACAATAACCTTATGTCATAGTAAATGGTAAAGGGATTTAAAGCAGTGGTTTTCAGCTGCCAGAGGCCTGAGAGAGTTTGGGCACACTCTGTGTGATCGGGCAGAAGGCCTGTGGGAAGTTTAGCTGAGGACAGGGCCAGGAAAGGTGATGGACAGTGGGGGTCTGTCCTGGTCACCAGGCCCCTGGGTCCTGCCCGCCTGCTTGGAGCTCCCCACCCATCACACATGATGCGGCCAAGCCCTCTGGGTATTGTGGGCAAATACCTTAGGAGAGAAGCTGATGAACTTTGTTTCTTGAAATGCACAGATTCCTTGGACGTCCCTGAGAGCTCAGTCATGAAAGTCAGCTTGGTTTTCTCCCCCTCATTTGGGTTCAGAATTTAAAGTCCACACACACGGGCAGTAAGATGACATAGATAAGGACATCATCACTCAGTTTCGGATGTTAAAATGTCTAGGTGGGTTAGGGGTGATTTGAGATCACACAACCTTGTGCCACAAAGAGGAATTCCCAGGCCAGAGGGAGACATTTTATTGCCATGTTATGATCTCATCATTGAGTTGAAAGGCAATCTTGTTTCATTTTGGATTCTTTCTTATGTTTATGTCTTATAAGGGCACTTTGAATTTCCAAGCAAATAATAATTTTGAATTAGCTTTTAATCATTGACTTCTAGCACAGTTTTATGATCAGAAACATGCTGTGTGATTTGATTGCTCTCAAATATATTGAGATTTGCTGGAACAAAATAAGTCAGGTTAATTTTTGTAAATGTACCATGCATGCTTAAAATGAATGTATGTACATTTGTTCCTGAGATACAGGTTGATGGACGGATGGCTACATGGATGTGATGGAGATGGTTTACTATCGGGACCTTCCGCATCCTGCTGATGTTTTGTTGCTTAGGATATGAATGGCTGAGCGGAGGCTGTACAACCTGGCACTCTGCTTGGGTATGAGGTTCTTCCTGCCATCCTGCCATCATTTGTTTTTTATGTTTTGTCGCCAAAAGTGACCTTGAGGAACCCTGGGAGCTCAGGAAGGAAGGAGCGCCCAGAAGCAGGGACAGGGAGCTGGTTGGGGAGGACCAGAAGTCAGGTTTGTGAAGGTTCCAGAGAGGACCTGGCCTTGGGAGGAGCGTGGGGGACTGAGATGGGGGAGGGGTCATTGGGATGATGCGGGCGCTACTTGGAATGTCCATTGTGAGGCACCACCGGGGTCATCAGGGATTGGTGGAGAGAGAGTCTAAAGCCCCAGGGTTGCTAAGGGAGGGCCCAGACCGAAGAAGGTTTGGTGGAAAGCAGAACCTTTGTCTCCCTCTAATTGCTCCTAAGCCTCACGCTCCCTTGCCCCGCCTGTCCTGTTGCTTCCCTGATCTTCTCCGTGACCTGTAGCTAAACCTTCCACCAGCGCTTGAGAACTTAATTTGAACCGGATCCTTTCCCAGACCCCTTTCTTCTTCTCCTCCTCCTCCTCCCCAACAGCCCCCTTCTCCTCCTTTCCCTTCCCTTACTTCCCCCCTTCCCCTCCCCCTCCCCTCCCCCTCCCCTCCCCCTCCCCAACTCAGATCCGGCCCGGTCCCCGTCCCCTTCCCTCCCCCCTGCCCTAAGCCACCTCCACCTCTGTCCTGGCTGCCTCAGGGCGCCCTGAAAGGACCAGGACATGCGGGTGCGGTGGCTGCTCTTTTGGCTCCTCTTTTGGCTCCTGCTGGGATTTATCAGCCATCAGTCCACCTGTGTGAGTAGATGGGTGCTGTGGCTGCTCTTTTGGCTCCTGCTGGGATTTATCAGCCATCAGTCCACCTGTGTGAGTAGACGCTGGACCCGCGGGGTTTCTTCCTTTTTACTGGGCTGTGTCACGCGGCATGAAATTACACAGCTCAGGCCTGTAATCCCAGCACTTTAGGGGGCTGAGGTGGGCAGATCACTTGAGTCCAGGAGTTGAAGACTAGCCAGGGCATCATAGCGAAACCCCATCTCTACAAAAAATTCCAAAAAAGATTAGTCGGGCCTGGTGGTGCGTACCTGTTATCCCAGTTACTGGAGAGGCTGAGGTGGGAGGATCGCTTGGGCCCAGGAGCTGGACGTTGCAGTGAGCCGAGATGGCGCTGTTGCACTCTTGTCTCCAACAGACAAAACGGACCAAAACAAAGTGAAATGTCATTTGATTTGTGTCATCTGGTTTGATGACTTTTTTTTGTTTGTTTGTTTTTTAGACAGAGTCTCACTCTGTTGCCCAGGCTGGAGTGCAGTGGCAAGATCTCGGCTCACTGCAACCTCCGCTTCCGGGGTTCAAGCAATTGTCCTGCCTCAGCCTCCTGAGTAGCTCAGATTACCACGCCTGGCTAATGTTTGTATTTTTAGTAGACCACCACGCCTGGCTACTTTTTGTATTTTTAGTAGAGACTGGGTTTCACCATGTTCGCCAGGATAGTCTCCATGTCTTGACCTCGTGATCTGCCTGCCTCGGCCTCCCAGTGCTGGGATTACAGGCGTGAGCCACCGCGCCTGGCCAAAATATATAACCTTAAGTGTAAGTTTACTAACTTTGGAAAGTACATACACCAGCATAAACCAACCCCCTTTCAAGATCTACATTATTTTATTTATTTATTTATTTTTTTGAGACAGTTTCTCCCTTGTTGCTGAGGCTGGAGTGCAATGGGGCAATATCAGCTCACCGCAACCTCTGCTTCCCAGGTTCGAGCGATTCTCCTGCCTCAGCCTCCCGAGTGGCTGGGATTACAGACATGTGCCACCACTCCCAGCTAATTTTGTATTTTTAGTAGAGATAGGGTTTCTCCATGTTGGTCAGGCTGGTTTTGAACTCCCGACCTCAGGTGATCCGCCTGCCTCGGCCTCCCAAAGTGTTGGGATTACAGGCATGAACCACCGTGCCCAGCCAAGATCTACACTATTATGTCACCCCAGAAAGTGAACTCTCACTCTTCCCAGCCAGTCTCTTTCTTATCATAGGTTAGCTTGCTTATTCTGGAATTTCGCGTATACAGATGCATGCCATGCCATAGGTACTCTTTTGTGTCTGCTTTATTCTGCTCAACACCATGTTTCTGAAATCATTACCATTGTTGTACGGTTCTCTAACTCCATCATTTCCATTTCAGACTCAGCATATGCTGAGTTCAACCTGTTGAAGGGCTATCTCTGTTTAATTCACCATCTTGAAAGAAACATTTAAAATTGAGATGTTTTCAAGAATATATAGTTAAATCCTGAGGAATCGATGTAGAAATGTTATCAGAAGCTGTCTGAACTTACTCAGGGGAAGTCTTCGTCTTCACTCACATAAGAGTCTAATGGAATTAATATCAACAATCTTAGAGAAATCCCACGCTATTCATGCCATTTTCATGATCTCCACCTTGGTAATTTTTTTTTTTTTTTTTTTGAGACAGAGTCTCGCTCTGTCACCCAGGCTGAAGTGCAGTGGTGCGATCTTGGCTCACTGCAACCTCTACCTCCCAGGTTCAAGTGATTCTTCTGCCTCAGCCTCCCAAGTAGCTGGAACTATAGGCGCGTGCCACCATGCCCTGCTAATTTTTTGTATTTTTAGTAGAGATGGGTTTCA
Source organism: Homo sapiens (assembly GCF_000001405.40). Taxonomy (NCBI): domain Eukaryota; kingdom Metazoa; phylum Chordata; class Mammalia; order Primates; family Hominidae; genus Homo; species Homo sapiens. The sequence goes on along the minus strand of NC_000016.10, from coordinate 18,329,964 downwards.
CCGTGTTAGCTAGGATGGTCTCAATCTCCTGATCTCGCGGTCCACCCACCTCGGCTTCCCAAAGTGCTGGGATTGCAGGCGTGAGCCACCACGCCCAGCCCACCTTGTTACTTTTTAAGAACTAAAATTCGATACTTATTTGTGAATGAAGTAATCTCTTCATTGTATTTTTTTTTTTTTTACTTATGCTGAGCTTTAAATGACAAAGATTCATATAATCCAAGAGAGAAGTATTATTTAGAGGGATTCTTTTACCATGTGATATATAATAAATGCATCCAATATTATACATCAATTTAAAAAACAAGTAAATAACTAAAGAAAAGATAACTACTGGCCAGGTGCAGTGGCTCACACCTGTATTGCCAGCACTTTGGGAGGCCGAGGCAGGTGGATCATGAGGTCAGGAGTTGGAGACCAGCCTGGCCAAGATGGTGAAACCCTGTTTCTACTAAAAAGACAAAAATTAGCCGAGCGTGGTGGCAGGCGCCTGTAATCCCAGTTACTCAGTAGCTGAGGCAGGAGAATCGCTTGAACCCGGGAGGCGGAGGTTGCAGTGAGCTGAGATCATGCCACTGCAATCTAGCCTGGGTGACAGAGCAAGACTTTGTCTCAAAACAAAAATAAAAGATAAGATAATTACTTTATACTTAGCTTGTCTTACCCATGAGTGACGGGCTGCATGTGGCCCAGGACAGTTTTGAATGCAGTTCAACACAAATTTGTAAACTTTCTTAAAACATTAGGAGATTTTGGCCAGGTACAGTGGCTCATGCCTGTAATCCCAGCACTTTGGGAGGCTGAGGCGGGCAGATTACCTGAGGTCAGGAGTTCGAGACCACCCTGGCCAACATGGCAAAACCCCATCTCCACAAAAAATACAAAAATTTGCTGAGTGCACTGTCAGGCACCTGTACTCCCAGCTACTCAGGAGGCTGAGGCAGGAGAATCACTTGAACCTGAGAGGCAGAGGTTGCAGTGAGCCGAGAGCACACCACTGCACTCCAGCCTGGGTGACAGAGTGAGACCCCATCTCAAAAACAAACAACAAACAAAAACAAAAAAAATGGCCGGGCACGGTGGCTCACACCTGTAATCCCAGCACTTTGGGAGGCCGAGGCAGGCAGATCGCCTGTCAGGAGTTCAAGGCCAGACTGGCCAACATGGTGAAACCTCATCTCTACTAAAAATACAAAAATTAGTCGGGCATGGTGGCAGAGACCTGTAATCTCAGCTGCTCGGGAGGCTGAGGCAGGAGAATGGCTTGAGCCCAGGAGCTGGAGGTTGCAGTGAGCCGAGATTGCACCACTGCACTCCAGCCTGGGCGACTGAGTGGAGCGGAACTCTGTCTCAAAAAAAAAAAAAAAAATTTTTTTTTTTAGATCATCAGCTATTGTTAGTGTTAGTGTATGTTATGTGTGGCTCAAGACAACTTTGCTTCTTTTAATATAGGCAGGGAAGTCAAAAGATTGGATATCCCTGCTTTATACCAAGAAAGACAACACCCCACATTTGCAATGCCTAAAAACACTACCAGCCATCTGAAAAACATGAGACTTCTCTAACTTCTGTTCTTTTTTGTAGCAGTGGAATCCCACGGTGATATCTGAGGGATGTGGTTACCTTTTGGAGGAGGTTGACGGTTTCTAAGGATGATTCTTTCTGAGTGAAATATTGTCAGTGTCATTGACCTTTTCATTATTTCAACTATTATTATTCCAGGTTATCAATACTCTGGCTGACCATCGTCATCGTGGGACTGACTTTGGTGGAAGTCCTTGGTTACTTATCATTACTGTGTTTCTGAGAAGTTATAAATTTGCCATCTCCCTCTGCACAAGTTACCTTTGTGTGAGTATACTAACTTTCTGTAGAGGTATACTTGTAATCACAAATAAGAATAAATTATATGAAACAATTCACGTTTCTGGACTTCATTATGAATATGTGGTTTTACCCAAAAAATCAGGGAAATGATTTATTAGCATAAGAATTATGAAAATATCTGCCATTTACATTATGAAAATTAAATAGGTCGGTGTTTAATAGAATGTCAACAGAGCTTTTGGTCAAAAATAAGTTTTTTTAACCTTTGTGCTATTTGTCACAAATGGAGTATGAGATTTCGTCACTTAAATGGGAAAGTCTTTCTAAACTCTTCTGCTTTATAGTTCTATCGTATGGGTGGAAGGAAAGCTTCCAATCTCCTCTCTGAAGATTCACTGCAGAAATGAGCTGACAACAGACAGCTTAACAGGAAAAGAAAAACATAGAACAGGCATAAACATGGGAACCAGCTGAAAAATGAGACTGCTAGAAGGGCTGGATGGTTGATGCTTAAAGAGCACCCTCTTCTGAGGGTAGAGGGAGATAGATGGAGATGTAGGCCATTTAGAGGGGCAGCAAATGATTTTTAGGGGAAATGAAAGAGCCCAAGGAACAAACAGTTGGCCTGAGACAAAGTTCCTCTGAGGTCATAGGGACGAGGTGACAAACTGCCGGAAGGTGAAGGGCAGAACTGCACTGCGTCTCATGATGCAGAGAAAGCCCCAGAGAATCTCTTAGAACTGCCCTCCAAGAGAATCAATGAAAAGTGTGTCTGGGCAGGGTAATTTTGAATGACATCATTCAAAGTGCATGTTCCCACTTGCAACTGGAATGAGATCAGTATGTCAAAAGTCTATACTTGGTAAGAATTTGGCTGCTAAGTTGTGCCATAATTTGTCTTTTGAGCCTTTTATCCTTTGCGTAAGTTGAGCTCTACATTTTGTCTTGCCATTCATGACAATAAAAATGTGGTTGTGTGGGGGCTGAACCTCCTTCTGAACAATGATCCAAGATAAAAGTACTAAACCACAATGCTTTTTTATATTCAAGGGAAGAGGAAGTATGTTTCAGTTTTACCGCCTAGATAATTACACGTCATTTGGCACTGCCTTTCAAGATATGTAGAAAACAGAAAATATATGAGTTATGAAGATATCTAGGCACATTTAACATTCTCTATGCCACTTAGTCCTGAACAGAGAATTTTCGGTATAAATTGGAGGAAGCTTTTTTTTTTTTCTTTTCTCACCCCCAAGAGGAGTCTCCCTCTGTTGCCCAGGCTGGAGTATAATGGTGTGATCTCGGCTCACTGCAACCTCCACCTCCTGGCTTCAAGTGATTCCCCTGCCTCAGCCTCTCAAGTAGCTGGGATTACAGGTGCCCACCACCATGCCCAGCTAATTTGTGTATTTTTAGTAGAGTCGGGGTTTTACCATGTTGGCCAGGCTAGTCTCAAAACCCGACCTCAAATGATCCACCCGCCTCAGCCTCCCAAAGTGCTGGGATTACAAGCGTGAGTCACCACGTGAGCCAGGGGAAGTTTTTAAATTTACCACTTTTTAACAATTCCATTTAGGAAAGTTCAGTTGAGCTGTTGGACTTGGACAACTTTGCACCTCTCATCTTTGTCCTTGTCATCTAGTCATCTATACCATTACCTCCTAAGCAGGGACATCATGGGTGCCATGAAGCATTCATGTGTGATGGCATTTCTTTGCTTCTCATTTCTTCATGTGTTTGACATTTCTCCTAGCTCCAAACTGGGCCAGCTACCTTTCCTATGAAATCTAGCAGTAGCTGTGGGATAGACGTGGTTGCTCTTTTCATCTTTTTAGATTACCCATTGCTTCTCTTGAAATCCTAGTACATGATTTTTTTTTAATCCTATGTGCAGAAATCAGGAAAAAACAAGTTCTACAAAGAATTTGAAAGATATTATTTCAGGCCAGGTGTGGTGGCTCATGCCTGTAATCCCAGCACTTTGGGAGGCTGAGGCAGGTGGATCACTTGAGGTCAGGAGTTCAAGACCAGATGGGCCAACATAGTGAAACCCCATCTCTACTAAAAAGACAAAAATTAGCCAGGCATGGTAGCAGGCACCTGTAATCCCAGCTACTTGGGAGGCCGAGGCACAAGAATCGCTTGAATCTGGGAGGTGGAGGTTGCCGTGAGCCAAGGTAGTGCCACTGCACTTCAGCATGGTTGAGTGACACTCCGTCTCAAGAAAAAAGTCATTTCAATGACTACCTCAGGAGATTCATAGGTATCTGACCCACATCTGAGATGGGATTTGCATTGCATTTTAGCTATGATGAGAACAAATATTTAATATCTTCGAAGATTAAAAGCATACTGTGATAATATGGAAATCTTGGTGGGAATTCAGTCATTAGTGAGAATGTTTTGCGTTAAGTTCAAACCAGCCTCAACGAAGCTGATGTGAGGGAAGGGAAAGTGAACTCTGAGTAGAGCAGGGACAGAAGAAAGATGCTCCAGTGCAGATCAGGAAGGAGCAGGGGGTGAAATGTTACAAATTCTAGAACTCAGAGAGCTGAAGGTAATTAATTACTTCCTTTTCAAGTTGTGAAACATGTTAACCTGTGGTAAAATACTTACAAGATGATAATTACCATCTAACCGTGTTGAAGTGTACAGTTCAGTTGTGTGAAGTATATTCATGTCATTTTTTTTTTTTTTTTTTTTTGAGACAGAGTCTCACTCTGTCACCAGGCTGGAGTGCAGTGGTGGGATCTTGGCTCACTGCACCCTCTGCCTCCTGGGTTCAAGCAGTTCTCCTGCCTCAGCCTCCCGAGTAGCTGGGACTACAGGCGTGGGCCACCATGCTCAGCTAATTTTTGTATTTTTAGTAGAGACGGGGTTTCACCATGTTGCCCAGGATGATCTCCATCTCTTGACCTTGTGATTCACCCGCCTCGGCCTCCCAAAGTGCTGGGATTACAGGCGTGAGCTACAGCACCTGGCCTATTTTTTTTTTTTTTTTTTGAGACAGAGTTTGAATTTTGTTGCCCAGGTTGGAGTGCAATGGCACAATCTCAGCTCACCACAACCTTTTCCTGCTGGATTCAAGTGATTCTCCTGCCTCAGCCTCGCGACTAGCTGGGATTACAGGCATGCACCACCATGCCTGGCTAATTTTGAATTTTTAGCAGAGACAGCGTTTCTCCATGTTGGTGAGGCTGGTCTCAAACTCCCGACCTCAGGTTATCCGCCTGCCTCGGCCTCCCAAAGTACTGGGATTACAGGAGTGAGCCACCCTGCCAGCCTCATGTCATTCTTTGTGTGTGTGTGTGTGTGTGTGTGTGTGTGTGTGTGTGTGACAGAGTCTCATTCTGTCGCTCAGGCTGGAGTGCAGTGGTGTGATCTCGGCTCACTGCAAACTCCGCCTCCCAGCTTCAAACGGTTCTCTGCCTCAGCCTCCCGAGTAGCTCGGATTACAGGCGCCCACTGCCATGCCCGGCTAATTTTTGTATTTTTAGTAGAGACGGGGTTTCACCATCTTGGCCAGGCTGGTCTTCAACTCCTGACCCCGTGATCCACCTGCCTCGGCCTCCCAAAGTACTGGGATTATACGCATGAGCCACCGTGCCCAGCCGTCATTCTTATATTATTATTTCCTAGGTGTCTTTCCTGAAGACTATCTTCCCATCTCAAAATGGACATGATGGATCCACGGATGTACAGCAGAGAGCCAGGAGGTCCAACCGCCGTAGACAGGAAGGTATGGCTCTGTTGGAGTCCCCATAGTGTGGAAATGAGTTTGCCCTGGAAAGGGAAAGAACAGCTTCTTGCCCTCAGGTTTCTCACCTTCTCCTCTCCTCACTCTCACCAAGGGCTGAAGTCCATTTGTATGCACACAAAGAAAAGAGTTTCTTCCTTTCCAGGAATTAAAATTGTCCTGGAAGACATCTTTACTTTATGGAGACAGGTGGAAACCAAAGTTCGAGCTAAAATCCGTAAGATGAAGGTGACAACAAAAGTCAACCGTCATGACAAAATCAATGGAAAGAGGAAGACCGCCAAAGAACAGTAAGATGTGCCTTGACACAAATACTGTTGTATGAACCATGTGCCAATCAAAGTAGACAACTGTAAAGTCCTTGAGAATATTTTCTACAATATTTGTGGCAAATTCAGTGGGTTCAAAATTGAGTTTGTCCTTTCTGCTTCATTAGTTTAAGCTGTATAATTCCTTTCCCTTCCTACATTCTTGTTTGTCATTTTTTCAGGGGAAGAGGAGTTGCTAGTACTGGCATTGGTTTTCCTTTCTCTTTTTTTTTTTTTTTTTTTTTTTTTTTTTCCTGAGATGGGGCTTTGCTCTTGTTGCCCAGGCTGCAGTTCAATGGCACAATCTCAACTCACTGCCTTTTGGGTTCAAGCAATTCTCCTGCCTCAGCCTCCCAAGTAGCTGGGATTACAGGTGCCCACCACCATGCCCAGCTAATTTTTGTATTTTTACTAGATATGGGGTTTCACCATGTTGTCCAGGCTGATCTCGAACTTCTGACCTCAGGTAATCCACCCGCCTCAGCCTCCCAAAGTGCTGGGATTAGAGGCGTGAGCCACCACACCCAGCACCCAGCCTTTTTTTTTTTTTTTTTAATTTTGAGATAGAGTCTCGCTCTGTCGCCCAGGCTGGAGTGCTGTGGTGCAATCTTGGCTCACTGCAACCTCTGCCTCCCAGTTTGAAGCAATTCTGCCTCAGCTTCCCGAGTAGCTTGGATTACAGGTGTGTGCCGCCACATTCGGCCAATTTTTTTTTTTTTTTTTTTTTTTTGAGACGGAGTCTCACTCTGTCACCCAGGCTAGAGTGCGGTGGCATGATCTTGGCTCACTGCAACTTCCGCCTCCCAGGTTCAAACGATTCTTATCCCTCAGCCTCTTGAGTAGCTGGGACTACAGGCATATGCCACCATGCCCAGATAATTTTTGTATTTTTAGTAGAGGCGGGGTTTCACCATATTGGCCAAGCTGGTCTAGAACTCCTGACATCATGATCCGCACACCTCGGCCTCCCAGTGTGCTGGGATTACAGGCGTGAGCCACCGTGCCCAGCCCAATTTTTGTATTTTTAGTAGAGACGGGTTCACCATGTTGGCCAGGCTAGTCTTGAACTCCTGACCTCAGGTGATCTGCCTACCTCAGCCTCCCAGTGTGAGCCACCGCACCCAGCCTGGATTGTTGAATTCAATGCTTGGGTCACCTCCAGATTCATTTTCACAGTCTTTCATGTTTTGGTCATACTACATTGTATTTTGCTGCCATATGACTGATCTTTTTTTGTTAAATGTGAGATACTTTTTAAAAAATATTTAACAATGCATTGAGGCCTAGTAGCATGTTATCTTGCTGCAGAAGAGATGGGAGTCTACTTCTGGGGGATGGTCAGGGGTCCTCCGTACAGGCTGCAATTGAGGTCGTCTCTGCAGGCTCAGTCCCTACAAAGGCCAGGGTATTTCCTGTCCACCTCTATTCTGATGCATGACTCTTCTGGGTCTCAACCAGAGCCAGTGGACTTCAGTATGGATCGCTTTCATTGGCAGACCCTCAATCCACTTGTTTTCCATCTAACCCCACGCATGTGTGCAAAAGCTGCTGTGCTTCTTTGCATCTCAGTAGTTCCTTCTGGAATTCAGCAATGAAACTCAGGGAAATGGGTTCCAAATGCGAGGCTGACTTTCGTCCTGGGTTTCCTTCTTCTCCATCTTCACCTCATGTCTGTTTACTGCCATGTTAGCAATTTGATGTATTCAATCATGGTTTTTATATTCTGTTTGGTGTCCCCCATTGTTCTCATCGGAGATCAGAAGCTTCAGATGCACTTATGTCAACTCAAGAGTAGAATGCTTCCTTAGCTTCCCTCCAGAGTCAGGTTTTGTGTTTCTAGTTCCCAAGTGCACAGCAGGAGTAGTGATGTCCTCACTGGCTTCTCATTTGCATTAAACTGTGAGCTTCTTTAGCGTGGGGACAGGACCCTGCTCCCATTGCATTGTCAGCACCTCACCACACACTCCTTGTTTGAGGCCACTCCAGACAGCATGTGCTGAAGGATGCCCTGTGGTCAGAAACAAGTTCATTAACTTTCTCTTTGAAGTGTTTTCGTCCCTGTTTCCTAGCGTTCTGGGAATTTTACACATCCTTCCTATAAAACCAAGTATCAGGTGAGATCCTTAGGATCAGGACCATGAATCAAGTGGTGTGAGGGCAACACAGCAAACTTACCCTTTTGAGGCCGTTTCCTTTTTCTGCCCTCAATCTCTGTGAATTGAACCTTGTTAAAGTCAGTCAACACCAGGGTGGATGGTTTGCCGTTGTCACCTATTTTCAGGACATAACACCCTGACTTAGGAGCCATTCCGATCATTTCTAATTCAATAGATGCGCCCAGCATTCAGATTGCCTTTTCAGGATCTTTAAAGTCGATGACAAGAGTTCCAGTCCTGAATCATGGCAAAGTGCAGTAGTGAACTGCGGGGTTAATGACACCATATTCTGGAAGGATCTCTCTATGGCTGATGGTCTCAGTTCCGGCATCAGCCTCTGACTGAGAATCAGGTCTCACACAGGAGGAGTCAGATGAGGAGCAATCCTCTGCTTCCGATGGAGTTAGTTGTGATGAATTGGTGAGGTCTGGTTTTTCACACTGAACTAAAATGAGCTTTCGCTGTGTCAAGCACAAGACTGACCCCAGAGACGCACATAGTGCACCTCATAGAAGCTTTTAATAGTCTTTATATTTACTAAAGAATAGGACTAACTATGGAACTATGAAGATGAGCTGGAAATGACAGGTGACTTGCCAGCAGGCCAGAGTGTGATTTTTTTTATCCCTCAATGGGAGGTGTCCATTCTCCCTTCAGTTGTGAGAATCAGTTGGTTCATTTGTGGGAAGGTTGCAGGGGGGATCTTTGAATCACAGCCTTCAGATGCCAGAAGGGCAGAGGGAATCCCACACGTGCTGGTGGATCATGTGTGTGCATTTCTCTCCCTTCTAGTCTGAGGAAACTAAGCATGAAAGAACGTGAGCACAGAGAAGAGGAGAGGCAGGTGTCAGAGGCAGAGGAAAATGGGAAATTGGATATGAAAGAAATACACACCTACATGTGAGTTCAGAAACTGAACCCCACCCTCTTGGGAAACGCCCATTGGAGTGTTGTTTTTAACCTTTGTACAATGTTTAGACCCAGTAAATGCAGAAATAGAAACAAATGGTCAGAAGACATATCGTGAGAGAGAGAGAGTTCACAAAACAGAAAACAAAGTACCTTAATATTTACCAGTGACCAAAAGATGTGAAGTAGCAAAACGGCTCCTGACCCCATTGCCAGCTAGACTGTGTGGAAACTCGGTTCATACCAGCCATTCTAGGGGTGGGGTGAGTTGTTGTCATCCTTAGGAAAGTGTGTTGTTGTAGGATCAACCACATCCTTCAAAAGGACTATGCCTGTTTATAAGCCCAGCTGTTTCTGCCCTGTGAAACACGGTAAAGATATTAATACAAAGAGAATACAGCTTTATGATAAAAGATGCTCAATGAAGGATGAATTAGGGATATACTGAGAATGGGGAAGGAAACTATCATCTCAGAAGTCAGCAGGCAGTAAGCAAGAGGAGGAATCAATATAGCAACAGTTTGGATCAGACTGTACAGTTTTTTTTGTTTTTGTTTTTGTTTTTGTTTTTCTGAGATGGAGTCTCGCTGTGTCACCCAGGCTGGAGTGCAATGACGTGATCTTGGCTCACTGCAACCTCCGCCTCCCAGGTTCAAGTGATTCCCCTGCCTCAGCCTCCCGAGTAGCTGGGATTACAGGCGCCTGCCACCACCCCCGCCTAATTTTTTGTATTTTTAGTAGAGACGGGGTTTCACCGTATTAGCCAGGATGGTCTCAATCTCCTGACCTCGTGATCCATCCGCCTCGCCCTCCCAGAGTGCTGGGATTACAGGCGTCAGCCACCGTGACCGGCTCAGACTGTACTCTTCTAGCCATCTGAAATACGTTTTCTAGGTAGAGATAGATTGTGTAAGGGTACAGTTGTGAGGATAACAGAAACATGGCAGATTATTTAAAATCATCCTGAAAGTGGTGCTTTATCTGATGAAAGTGATTGTAATCCATAGGGAAATGTTTCAACGTGCGCAAGCGTTGCGGCGGCGGGCAGAGGACTACTACAGATGCAAAGTAAGGAGCTTCCTCCCCGCAGTTGCAGGATAGTTCAGTGCTGATGCAGATGATGCCACGGCCCTTAGACTCTCTCAACATTCAATTTCTCATGTGTTGGCTTTTTCAGATCACCCCTTCTGCAAGAAAGCCTCTTTGCAACCGGGTAAGTTTGCTTGTTTTCCTTGCTTTTGGACATAGTCTGCCAGGTCAGGACATGGATACATTTTTCTCCCTACGGCTCTGTGCTCAAGCCCTGCAGAGGGAGATGGCAGAGAGGAAGGCTGCCTACAAGCATCACAGTCCCATCCCTGTTGGTAACTGTGTTGCGCAAAAACACCTTCATCCCCACCCAGTGGGGCCCCCATCTAATATTCTAAGTGTCAGAGGTTCCGTATTTGTAATAGCAAATGGGCCCTGACTGTAAATTAGTGAAGAGTGAATGTAACTTATTACCCACAGGGACAATTCCAAATGAGGGCCTTAAATGATGCTCAGCTAAGCTGGTTCTTGTGTGGCCTCTGTACCTTCAAAAGCTGCCGAGTCCTATGATTACACGCGATGGGACTTGTACACTTGAAGTGAAACACAGTTTTAAAACTTGCTTTGTTTAGAATTCCCACCTCATTTTTCCATGGACAAAAGTATTCTTTATGTCCTAGTGCACTTACAATTTGGTATTACCTGGGAGTGAAAAGAAATATTACAGCCATGCCTAACTGACTTCTTGAGGTAAGATTGTTCTGTCAGAAAACCCTCTCCCAGTTCCCCTGCAGCTCTTCAGGAATCCACATCTCTCCAGAGCTCTTTGTTCTCATGGGTGGCACCTCCAGAGTGAAGAAGATCCTTTGTCAAGAAGGGAAACAGAGGGGAAATGAGAGGGTCCTGCAGGCAGAGCTGGAATCAACTTCCACTCTGCCTCTTGCAAGCTGTGTGACCCTGGGCACAATTTCTCCTTCCTCTGGAAACCTCTGTTTTCTTAGATTTGGAGCAGGGTGGTCACACTGACCTTGCAGAGTTCTGAGAATCAGAGACAGAACATAAAAGGCCTGGAAAACATTCTCCAAAAAGAAGCTGCAACATGTGTGGACAATGGGCTTTTCATGCCTCTCTTACTGTCTCTTACTGTCTATTGACCTGGTGCAAGAAACATGCTCTGGTGATGGCTGTGAGGGAGGAATGAGGATAGACATAGACACTCCTGTGTCTCAAACATGCTTCTTTATTACTCTGTTATGACTCTGTCTTCCCTGGGGCAGGACCCCAGCCTGCCTACATTTGCAGACAGACACAGTGGCATGTGGAGACAACAGTGTGTCCCAATGACTTTTCTTTACCCCCTAGCTGTCGGCAGTACTCAGTGGAAGGGTGATATTATGACACTGACACTGCTATTTTGAAACCTGGAGGATGGAAAGGTGCAAAAATCTATCACCAGCAACAGAAGGTGCAGACTGTGTTGGTGGCGGTAATTTTGTCCATCAAATGAATATGTGTGAAAACATTCCCTCCTTTGGCCCTACAGGTCAGAATGGCGGCAGTGGAGCATCGTCATTCTTCAGGATTGCCCTACTGGCCCTACCTCACAGCTGAAACTTTAAAAAACAGGATGGGCCACCAGCCACCTCCTCCAACTCAACAACATTCTATAATTGATAACTCCCTGAGCCTCAAGACACCTTCCGAGTGTGTGCTCTATCCCCTTCCACCCTCAGCGGATGATAATCTCAAGACACCTCCCGAGTGTCTGCTCACTCCCCTTCCACCCTCAGCTCTACCCTCAGCGGATGATAATCTCAAGACACCTGCCGAGTGCCTGCTCTATCCCCTTCCACCCTCAGCGGATGATAATCTCAAGACACCTCCCGAGTGTCTGCTCACTCCCCTTCCACCCTCAGCTCCACCCTCAGCGGATGATAATCTCAAGACACCTCCTGAGTGTGTCTGCTCACTCCCCTTCCACCCTCAGCGGATGATAATCTCAAGAAACTAAGGAAGAATAAATAAATAATATAAAAATAAAATGAATACTGCAGTCCTTATGTTATTGCTTTGTTTCAATATCTGGTATGATTGCCTGAGGGACCTGAGGTTTTTAATCGTAGGGGTTTTTTTAATCTTTAGAAGTGGTTGGTTATGTAAAATATTATTATTTGTTTTTTTTTTGAGACTGGAGTTTGCTCTGTCACCCAGGCTGGAGTGCAGTGGCTCGATCACAGCTCACTGCAGCCTCAACCTCCTGGGCTTCAAGCAATCCTCCTGCCCCAGCCTCCCAAGTAGCTGGGATCACAGATGTGTGCCACCACGCCTGGCCAATGTTAAAAAATCCTTTAACTTTTTTGTAGAGATGCACTCCTGGACTCAAGCAATCCTCCTACTTGTCCCGACCACCAGCCTCTTTCTGATAAACATTTACACTGTTTATTATCTGATGCCATTTCTATCTTCTTCCTTGTCATCCAGACATCAAAGAATTAGGTTTCTTCAGGGTTTTCTTTTTCAAGTGCTCAGTGTTAAAGATCACTCACATTAGGGCCAGACACCACGGCTCATGCCTGTAATCCCAGCACTTTGGGAGGCCGAGGCGGGCAGAGCACTTGAGGTGGGGAGTTTGAGACCAGCCTGGCCAACTTGGTGAAACCCCACCTCTACTGAAAAAATACAAAAATTAGCTGGGCGTGATGGTGCATGCCTGTAGTCCCAGCCACTTGGGAGGCTGAGGCATGAGAATCGCTTGAACCCAGGAGGCAGAGGTTGTAGTGAGCCGAGATCACATCAGCACACTCTAGCCTGGGTGACAGAGCGAGACTGACTCAAAAAATAAATAAAATAAATATCACTTACATTAGATATACCCAAGGGGTGGTCTATAGAGACTTGGAAGCAGTGGTTATTGCAACAGGGGCACGGAAGTCATCTGGCTATGCCAGGGTGCCCAGGGGATACTCGGGGTGGGTGGCATGGTGCTGCTGGGGACTCACCGCACAGGACGCTCTGATTGACGCACTGCCAGGAGTAGCGCTCTGTCTTGGGGCTGCAGCCGGCCTCCTCAGCTCGAGTGTAACAACAGTCGTGGCCATGGCAGCACCTGCGGATGTCACATGGGCAGGACAGCAGGTGGGTGAAGCTCTCTCCTGGCCCTCCTCTTGCCAGGACTATGGGTGACTGAAGACCCCCAGGGAGGCACAGCATCCTCTTATCTAAGATTTTTTTTTTTTTTTTTTTTAAGAGACAGGGTCTTTCTCTGTCGCCCAGGCTGGACTGCAGAGGCACAATCATAGCTCACGGCAGCCTTGAACTCCTGGGCTCAAGCGATCCTCCCACTTCAGTGTCCCAAGTAGCTGAGACTACAGGCACACGCCAGCATGCCCGGCTGGTTTTTTAATTTGTATTTCCTTTGAGACAGCGTATCTCTCTGTTGCTCAGGCTGGAGTGCAGTGGCTCAATCAGCTCACTTTAGCCTTGAACTCCTGGGCTCAAGTGATACTGCCACCTCAACCTCCCAACTATGCTACTACAGGAACACAAACTCCTTTTTTAAATTTTTTATGGATATGGGGTCTTACTATGTTGCCTAGGCTGGTCTCGAACTCCCAGGCTCAAGCAGTCCTCCTACCTCAGCCTCCCCAAATGCTGGGATTACAGGTGGGAGCTACTGTACGCCTGGCCTTATCTAAGCTGTTTCCCTGAAAATCCCCGTCTTGGGTAATGATTCCATTGGCCCCACCATGCCCTCTGCCTTCCTGGCTGTGCCCAAGCTTGGTCCCTGCCTGCCTGCCTGCCTCCCTCTCTGGGTCTCGAGCTCCTGTGACACATGACTCCTCTCTCTTCCTGGAGTGATCCAAGCCCTGCCACTTCCTGACTTTGCCCACACTGTACCCTCTGCCTGGGGCAACTTCATGTCTGCCCATTGTCCCTTAGGCCTCAGCCCAGGCACAAGCCCCTGCCTCCGGAGGTCATCCAGGCCTCACCAGGCTACACCCTCTCGTAAAATTGGATTCCCTCCCTTCAGGGCAGGTTTATAATGAAATCCTCCTCAGAGGCCAGGTGCGGTGACACCCATCTGTAATCCCAGCACTTTGGGAGGCTGAGGTGGGAGGATCACTTGAGGCCAGGGGGTCGAGACCAGCCTGGGCAACATAAGAGAGACTCTTGTCTCTATAACAAATTTAAAAATTAGTCACCAGGCCAGGCTCAGTGGCTCATGCCTGTAATCCCAACACTTTGAGAGGCCGAGGCAGGTGGATCACGAGGTCAGGAGTTCGAGAGCAGCCTGACCAACATGGCGAAACCCTGTCTCTACTAAAAATACAAGATTAGCCAGGCATGGTGGCACGCACCTGTAATCCCAGCTACTCGGGAGGCTGAGGTAGGAGAATTGCTTGAACCCAGGAGGTGGAGGTTGCGGTGAGCCAGGATCACGCCATTGCTGTCCAGCCTGAGCAACAGAGCAAGACTCTGTCTCGAGACAATAAAAACACACAAAAAATTAACTCGCCATGATGGCACATGCCTATAGTCCTAGCTACTTGGGAGGCTGAGGTGGGAGGATTCCCTTCAGCCCAGGAGTTTGAGGCTGCAGTGAGCCACTATGATTGTGCCACTGCACTCTAACCTGGGCAAAAGCGAGACCCCAGGCTAGAGTGCATGATTTTGGGTCACTGCAACCTCCACCTCCCAGGTTCAAGTGATTCTCCTGCCTCAGCCTCTTGAGTAGCTGGGACTACAGGCATGTGCCACCACGCCTGGGTAATTTTTGTATTTTTAGTAGAGACAGGGTTTAGTAGAGACCATGGTGAAACCCCGTCTCTATTAAACAAATCTCTACTAACCCCATCTCTACAAAAAACAGCTGGGCGTGGTAGTGCACACCTGTAATTCTAGCTACTTGGGAGGCTGAGGCACGAGAATCATTTGCATCTTGGAGGCAGAGTTTGCAGTGAGCTGACATCGCACCACTGCGCTCCAGCCGGGATGACAGAGCAAGACCCTGTCTCAAAAAAAAGAAAAAGGAACAAACAACAGCAACGACAACAAAAAAACCTCTGTGTCAATCACAGCCTACAAGCTAGGGGAGAGGCGGCCGAATTCTGCCCTCTGCTAACTAACTATAGCTTTGTGGAAATGGGTGAATGGCGTGCCCTTGTGAGCCTCAGGGCCCCATCTGTAAAATGGGCATAACTGTCATGCCCGTCTTTAAGAACAGCCTTGGGGGTAAATGAGTGGAAGTCATGGAAAGATCTCAGCCCACAACCTTCCACAGAACAGACGCTTCTCACACAGTAAGTAGCAGGAGTGCAGAGGCTGCAGGCATGAATCCAGCCAGACTGCCTGGGTTCAAGTCCCAGCTCCCACGTCTTGGTAACTATGTGGCCTCAGACAAGTTACTTAATATTTCTTTTTTTTTTTTTCAGACGGAGTTTTGCTCTGTCACCCAGGTTGGAGTGCAGTGGTGTGATCTCGGCTCATTGCAACCTCTGCCTCCCGGGTTCAAGCAATTCTCCTGCCTCAGCTTCCTGAGTAGCTGGAATTACAGGCACCTGCCACCACACACAGCTAATTTTTGTATTTTTAGTAGAGACGGGGTTTCACCATGTTGGCCAGGATGGTCTCGAACTCCTGACCTCGTGATCTGCCTGCCTCAGCCTCCCAAAGTACTGGGATTACAGGCGTGAGCCACCGCACCTGGACACGTTACTGAATATTTCTGTGCCTAGGTTTCTTCATGTGAAATGGGATTGTTGTGAGAACACAAAGGGATTCCCAGGGCAGTTCCTAGTGCATAGTCTGGCTGCCTTTGTATGTGTGTGTGTGTGTGTGTGTGTGCACGCGTGTGTGTGTGTGTGTTTAATATAGAGACAGGGTTTCACTCTGTTGCCTAGGCTCGTTTCAAACTCCTGGGCTCCAGTGATCCTCCTGCCTCGACCCAAAGTGGTGGGATTACAGGCATGAGTCAACACACCTGGTCACTTTATATTATTATTATTTTTTTTCTTTTGAGACAGGGTTTGGCACTGTTGTCCAGGTTGGAATACAGCGGTGCAATCTCAACTCACTGCAAACTCCGCCTCCCGGGTTCAAGCAATTCTCCTGCCTCAGTCTCCCGAGTAGCTGAGATTACAGACGCCTGCCACCACACACAGCTAATTTTTGCATTTTTAGTAGAGATGGGGTTTCACCATATTGGCCAGGCTGGTCTTGAACTCCTGACCTCAAGTGATCTGCCGGCCTCGGCCTCCCAAAGTGCTGGGATTACAGGAGTGAGCCACCGCTCCTGGCCAATTTTTTAAGGCAACGTTTTCAGCCCATGGCCAGGGTAAGGCACAGCTAGTACCAAGATCTGGCTTCACTGGCCATGTTATCCAAGAGGCCTCTGCCTGCCTGCAAAGTAGTACTGCACACTGGGATCTCCCTGGACCAAACCCCAGCTTCAGTTTTGGGTACTTCCTCATAAGCCTTGACTACCCCAGAGTGTGAGGGATTTTGCAGCCTGGTCCCAGGCATGCACTCACCAGTCAATGGCATCGCGGGGCTGGCCATGGCCTCCCAAGCCACAAAAGCAACCATATTTCACATAGGCGATGGGAGTTCAGGGACCAACACAACCCACAGTTCCTGCCAGTTCCAGGATCCCACGCCGGTGCACACGTAATATCCTGGAGGCTGGGGGGTAAACAAAGGTGACAGGCTGCAGGTCAGGGCTTCCCAGACCCCTGGGAAGGGCATGAGCCTGAGAGGAGCCTAGGTATTACAGCCTGGCTGTCTGGGTTTGAATCCTACTTCCTGGCTGTGTGACCTTGGACAAATTCCTAACCTCTCTGGGCCTTGGTTTCCTCATCTGTGAAATGGGGGATAAGCTGACTTCAACTCATATGAATGAAATGAGATAATGAGTATAAAGCCCCTGGTGCATGAAAAGGCTATTATAATCCGGCTGGGCTCAGTGGCTTACACCTGTAATCCCAAGATTTTGGGAGGCCCAGGCGGGCAGATCACCTGAGGTCAGCAGTTCAAGATCAGCCTGGCCAACATGGTGAAACCCCATCTGTAGTAAAAATACAAAAATTAGCCGAGCATAGTGGTGCATGCCTGTAATCCCAGCTACTAGGGAGGCTGAGGAAGGAGAGTCACTTGAACCTGAGAGGCGAAGATTGCAGTGAGCCAAGATTTTGCCACTGCATTCCAACCTGGGCGACAGAGCAAGAGTCTCAAAAAAAGAAAAAAAAAAAAAGGCTAACTATTATAATCAAGGTCCTCAAGGTAGCCAAGGAGGGAAAAGAGTCGTGCATGAAACCTTTGTCCAGTTCCCTGTGTTGGGCACTCGGCATCATATGAGCCTACAGGTGTCTGTCACCAAGGTGGGCTCCTCTGTGGCAGCTCCCAGGCCCTGGCACTGCCCTGTGCTCATGACTTTTCCTCCAGACTCAGGCTCAGGGCCCTTGGTATCTCCTCTTATTTTCACTGCCAGATAGGAAGGCCCCTTGGACTGAGCCCAGCCATTTATCTAGATCCTGGCACAGCTTGGACATGTAATGGTGCCCAATGCATGTGACTGGAACCCCTGCATTGGACATGTAGGAAACGAGGCCAGCCGGGAAAGGTAACCCCACATTCCCACAGCCAGCAGGAACTCAAGCAGAGGCTTCAACCCAGGCTTCTGACTTGCAAACCAGTGCTCCTTCCTCCTTACACAGTAACAACAGGGGAAGGTGGCCTTCCAGGTTGCCAGAGCCGAGTGGTACCAGCAATAGAGTGGAAACTCACACACAGGCTTGCCTGCTTCCTGGTTTAGGTTTAGGGTTTATACGGCTCCGGGAGGTTGATGCATTGTGTTTGATCATCCCCTTTTTTTTTTTTTTGAGACAGAGTCTCATTCCTGTTGCCCAGGCTGGAGCACAGTGGTGTCATCTTGCTCACAACAGCTCCGGGAGGTTGACGCATTGTGTTTGATCATCCCTTTTTTTTTTTTTTTTTTTTTTTTGTTTGAGACAGAGTCTCATTCCTGTTGCCCAGGCTGGAGCACAGTGGTGTCATCTTGCTCACAGCAACTTCTGCCTCCCAGGTTCAAGCAATTGTCCAGCCTCAGTCTCCCGAGTAGCTGGGATCACAGGCGTGCCCCACCACACCCAGCTGATTTTTTTATTTCTAGTAGAAACGGGGTTTCACCATCTAGGCTGGGCCGGTCTCAAACTCCTGACCTCATGTGATCCACCTGCTTTGGCCTCCCAAAGTGCTGGGATTATAGGCGTGAGCCACTGCGCTCATCCTGATCATCTTGTCTCTCTTTTTTTAAATAGAGACAGGGTCTCACTCTGTCACCCACACTGGAGTGCAGTGGCACAATCATAGCTCACTGCAGCCTCCAAATCCTGGGCTCAAGCGATCCTCCTGCCTCAGCCTCCAGATCCTGGGCTCAAGCGATCCTCCTGCCTCAGCCTCCAGACATACGGGCATGCACCACCATGCCCAGCTAATTTTTAAATTTTTAGTAGATCTGCGGTCTCACTATGTTGCCCAGGCTGGTCACAAACTCCTGGCCTCAAGTGATTCTCCTTCCTTGGCCTCCCAAGGTGCTGGGATTCCAGGCATGAGCCACCATGCCCAGTCTCATTTCTGTTTTATCTAGAACATGTTTTCATCACACTGACTTTTTTGAGAAGTCCAGGCCAATTTTAAATTCCATTTTGTCTTTTTATCAGTGGAAAAGTAGCATATTTATGTTGCACGACAAAGATGAATCAAATAGGAAGAAAATGTAAAACACATTTGGGGCCGGGCACAGTGGCTCATGCCTGTAATCCCAGCACTTTGGGAGGCCAAGGCGGGCGGATCACCTGAAGCCAGGAGTTCCAGACCAGCCTGACCAACACGGAGAAACCCTGTTTCTACTAAAAATATAAAATTAGCCACGCATGGTGGCACATGCCTGTAATCCCAGCTACTTGGGAGGGTGAGGCAGGAGAATCGCTTGAACCCGGGAGGCAGAGGTTGCAGTGAGCCGAGCTCGTGCTATCACACTCCAGCCTGGGCAATAAGAGTGAAACTCTGTCTCAAAAAAAAAAAAAACACACGAAAATAAAACGGCATTTAGAGTTGAAAGCTTCACCTTCCTCTCTGGATGGTGAGTCCTCACTCTCCCAGCAGCCCACACCTCTGCCTCAAACCTCCATGGCTCCCATGAGTCTGGTTAAAGCTAAGGAGTCTCACTGCACCTCAAGTCCTGGGGGTAGTCAGCCCCTCTCACCCCTCCCTCATCCTCTCACACAAGAGTCATTTACTGTCCCTCCAGTTATGCCCGGTCACGCAGACACTCTGCTGCTCAAATGCCCTCACCCCATCCTCAGCCTGCTCCCAGGCCACCTCCCTCCAGAATCCACCCTGCCTGCCAGGTGGTCATAGGGACCCTCGCCATACTGTCTGCTTGTGGCAGTGCCCTCCAGCCTGGGGGGTCTTCCAGAGCAGATCTCTGGCCAAGCGCAGTGGCTCATGACTGTAATCTCAGCACCTTCAGAGGCCAAGGCAGGTGGATCACCTGAGGTCAGGAGATCGAGACCAGCCTTGCTCACATGGTGAAACCCCGTCTCTACTAAAAATACAAAAATTAGCCAGGTGTGGTGGTGGTGCATGCCTGTAGTCCCAGCTACTCAGGAGGCTGAGGCAGGAGAATCTCTTGGACCCGGGAGGTGGAGGTTGCAGTGAGCCAAAATGGTGCCACTGCACTCCAGCCTGGGCAACAGTGAGACTCTGTCTTAAAAAAAAAAAAGAAAAAGAAAAAGAGCGGAGCTCTGATATAAGCTGCCCTGGCACACAGTGAGCTTCCAGAAATGGTCCCTTGACCTCTAAATCCACCAAGACCCAGGGAACATGCCCTCTCTGAGCACTCTGACAATGATTTGCATTTCTCTAATGACCAGTGATGATGAGCTTTTCTTCACATGTTTGTTGGCCACATAAATGTCTTCTTTTGAGAAGTGTCTGTTCATATCCTCCGGCCACTTTTGGATGGGGTTGTTTTTTTCTTATAAATATGTTTAAGTTCCTTGTGGATTCTGGATATTAGCCCGATGGATAGATTGCAAAACTTTTCTCCCATTCTGTAAGTTGCCTGTTCACTCTGATGATAGTTTGTTTTGCTGTGCAGAAGCTCTTTAGTTTAATTAGATCCCATTTGTCAATTTTGGCTTTTGTTGCCATTGCTTTTGGTGTTTCAGTCATGAAGCCTTTGCCCATGCCTATGTCCTGAATGGTATTGCCTAGGTTTTCTTCTTGGGTTTTTATGGTTTTAGGTCTAACATTTAAGACTTTAATCAATCTTGAGTTAATTTTTGTATCAGGTGTAAGGAAGGGGCCCAGTTTCAGTTTTCTGCATATGGCTAGCCAGTTTTCCCAACACCATTTTAAATAGGGAATCCTTTCCCATTCTTGTTTTTTATTACAACTTTTTACCTAAACATTCAATAATTTTCACTAACTTTTTGGCAATGAGGCAGCTGAGTCTAAGTAGGTTAAATCACTTATCTGAGGTCACACGGCAGGACAGTGCTTGTTCTGCAAAGTTAAGTGTGTTTCTTTTTGTGGACCATGAGAACATCTCCAACTGCCCTTTTTGACTTGGCCACCAGGGAACTCAGCGCCATGTTCTCAAATCCAGTTTAGTAACTGGCCTTCTGGCCTGTATATCTTTATTCTACCTTCCATCCTGCTCTGTTCTGCTTTTACCTCTTATTCTAGATTATCTTTCTTTAGTCCTAATTTTAAATTTATATCTATAATCTTGTTATATATATTTCTTGGCATCTACTGTAAGTGGGTAGTGAACGAATAAACAAAATGTGATGAATTTTAGAGGACTAAGAGGGGCCTAAGTCACACCAAGATTCATGCTGGATAATTTGTCATCGACCCAGACTGTGGTTCTGCACTCGCCAGTAACCAGTTTTTTTTTTTTTTTTTTTTTGCTTTTTGCCAACCATACATTTTGCTTTCATGGTATCGAAGTGGTTTAAGCTTATGGCTTCCAGCCTGCAGTGGCTATGAGGGGTCAGTCTCTCATCAGGAGGGGTTGGCAGACTCTGTTCTCAGATAGGCAGCAAGGATGGAGGTGGGGCAGGAGCAATTTCACTACCTGCCTGGCGTCTGGGTCTTGCTTAGAGAAATAATTCCAGGCTCTGCTGCTTTCGACTCTGTCTCTCATGGTTCCACTGATTCCTGCAGAGATCTAGAGAGAAAATTTCCAGCGAGGAGTTTCTGGCTCGTTTGATTTTGAACACGTTTTGAGTATTCCACCCCTTACCCCCCCGCCCCCACTCACTACTCTGTAGTTTTTTTTTTTTTAAGAAAACAGTTTGAAAGCACAAATAAATAAATAATTCAAAACAGAGGGGCCATTTTTATTTACTTTGGTTGTTTCAGGAGAGGGAAGGGAGCTTACACTTTTTTTGAACTCTTATTCTATGCTAGCCGATGTGCTGCATTCTTAGCTTAAAAGCCTGCTTCTCTTTGATTTCAGAATAACTTGGAAATAAATGATCAGACCCTGCATGCTCTGATCCTGGCTGTCTGCTCTAACTAAATCTCCTCTTCCTTGCTTCCTCCAGCGAGTTGTTCTCCCTTCACCTCCCAGCACAAGCTTTGCACGTGTTGCCGTCTGTCCTACAAAGGTCTGTCCCTTCCCAGTCTCCGTGTGACTCCCTCCTTCACACCCATGGTTCTCCACTGAAATGTCCTTTGAGCACGTCTCAGATGCCTCAGTCTAAAGTAGATGATTCTGGGCTGGGTGCAGTGGCTCACGCCTGTAATCCCAGCACTTTGGGAGGCTGAGGCAGGCAGATCACCTGACATCAGGAGTTCAAGACCAGCCTGGCCAACATAGTAAAACCCCGTGTCTACTAAAAATACAAAAATAAGCCAGGCATGGTGGCGGGTGCCTGTAATCCCAGCTACTTGGGAGGCTGAGGCAGGAGAATCGCTTGAACCTGGGAGGTGGAGGTTGCAGTGAGCTGAGATCACGCCACTGCACTCCAGCCTGGGTGACAGAGCAAAACTCTGTCTCAAAATAAATAAATAAATAAATAAATAAAGTAGATGATTCACAGAAACCTCTGTTCTTTTAGAGCACTCTTCAACACTTTTTATGCTTTTTATGTTTGATTTCTAATAAATATGTTTCTTTCACTACACCATAAGTATATTCCTTCTTCTAAGTTTCATTAAGGTAGAATCACGTATGTCTTATTTCCTGTTATATCCCTAAGTACCTAGCATGTAGTAGGCATTCAATAAAAATTGATTGAATGATTGAACACTCAATCCCATGATTTGAGTGTTTTTTTTGTTTTTGTTTGTTTGTTTGTTTTGAGACAAAGTCTTGCTCTATCACCCAGGCTGGAGTGCAGTGGTACTATCTTGGCTCACTGCAATCTCTGCATCCTGGGTTCAAGCGATTTTCTTGCCTCAGCCTCTCAAGAAGCTGAGACTAACTACAGGCATGTGCCACCATGCCCAGTGATTTGTTTTGCGTGTGTGTGTATTTTTAGCAGAGATGGGGTTTCACTGTGTTGGCCATGCTGGTCTTAAACTCCTGACCTCAGGCCATCCACCCTCCTTGGCCTCTGAAAGTGTTGGGATTACAGGTGTGAGCCACCACGCCTGGCCTTTTGTAAGTATTCTAACAGCTACTACTTATTAGGTGCTGACTATATGCCAGGCACTGTGCCAATTGATTTATTTATTTTCAGGGATTGGGTCTTGTTCTGTCACCATGGCTGGAGTTCAGTGGCACAATCATAGCTCGCTGAAGCTTCAAACTCCTGGGGTCAAGCAGTCCCCCTGCTTCAGCTTCCCAAGTAGCTGGGATTACAGAGATATACCATTACACTCAGCTAATTTTAAAAAATGGCTGATTTTTTTTTTCAGAGATGGAAAAAAAAACAAAAAACAAAAAACAGCTACTACTTATTAGGTGCTGACTGTATGCCAGGCACTGTGCTGATTTTTTTTTAATGTTTTTTATTTTTTTAGAGTTGGGGTCTAGTTCTGTCACCATGGCTGGAGTTCAGTGGCATGATCATAGCTCACTACAGCTTTGAACTCCTGGGCTTAAGCAATCTTCCTGTCTCAGCTTCCCAAGTAGCTGGGATTACAGGCATGGGCTATCACACCCAGCTAATTAAAAAGACATTTTATTGTATAGATAGGGGTCTGGCTATGTTGCCCAGGTTAGTCTCAAACTCCTGGCTTCAAGCGATTCTCCTGCCTCCACCTCCCAATGTGCTGGTGTTACAGGTGTGAGCCATGGCACCTGGCCCTGTGTTGATGTTTTACATACAGCATCTCATTTAATCCCCACCAGGATCCTGTGGGGATGGATTGGATTATCCCCCACTCCTTGGAAGAGCTTAAGGATACCCAACCAGTTGGTGATTGAGCTGGGATTTGAACTCAGGCATTCTAATGGCAAAGCTGTGCCCCTTCCACTCTACCATCCTGTTCCTCTCCAGGGGAGGTGTCCCTGCAGTGCTGTGACTTTGTCGTCGAACATGTGCTGAGGTACGTGAATCCTCTGGAGAAGAAGGGCAAAGGAACAGGCTTTCCAGGCAGGAAGCCCCTGCAGGTGAGGGAGGAAGGCTGCAAGGGACATGGTAGGAGGTATCTTGCTCCCCATAGCTGGGCTGGGAGGATGAGATGGCTGAGAGCCAGGAGCCGGGCTGGGGTTAGGCTCATATCAGCCTGCAGAGGGCTTTGGGGAACCCAGGCTTTGGGGCCAGACAAACATAGCTTCTCACCCACCTGATCATTTCCTCTCTGTTGTATCCTATGTTTCTGGGTCTCAGTTTCCTTATCTATGAAATGGGGATACCATGACCTGTTCCGCCTGCTTCATAGAGTGCTAAGGAGCAGATGACATAACGTGTGCAAAAGCAGCTGTTCTTATTTCTATCACTTATTTTCATTATCGCTATTCTCAAGCAGGCAGACTGTAATTTTTTACCTCTTTCTTTTTTTTCACCCTTGAGTTGTTTGGAAGTTATTTTTAAAAGTCTTTGAAGTGTCCTTTTCCGTATTTGGCAAAAGCAAAATGGAAATTGATAGCATTGTCACCGTCGGCATCCCCTCACTCCGGCCGCCTGGCTGGGGGACAGCTCTGGGAAAATGTGGAGATGTCTGTTGTGGGCGACTGGTTTGTTATTGCGTGAACTTTTCTGGCGAGACCTGACCAACTCCCTTTTAAGGCAATTTCTCGTGTTCTTGTTCCTCCTCTTTTCTTTTCCTGCCAATGTCAGGTCCTTTGTGCCATCTCCAGGCTCAGAAATCCGTACAGCCAGAGTCGGTCCCCAGTTTGGCCACTTCCAGCTGAAAAGCTTTCCCATACCTTCCCTTTAACTTAGAATAGCATCCAAATCCTTCATTGTGACCAAGGCCCTGTGCAGTCTGCTCCTGTCACTTTCCTCTCCATTACTCAGCTCCAAAAGTGTCACCTCCCTTGACTCCTCCAATGCCCCACATGGTTTCCAGCCCCAGGGTCTTTGTGGGGTCTTTGCCAGGAATCCTGTTCCCCGTTTTTTTGTTATGGGTAGCTCTTTCTCATCTTTGACATCTCTGCTCCAGAGTCAACTTCACACATGGCTCTTCCCTAACCCACACTAAAAAATAAGCCTCCTTAAAGAAAAAAAAGAGGCTGGACGTGGTGGCTCATGCCTGTAATTCCAGTGCTTTGGGAGACTGAGGTAGGAGGATCACTTGAGACCGGGAGTTTGAGATCAGCCTGGGCAACACATTGAGACCCCATCTCTAAAAAAAAAAAAAAAAAAAAAAAAAAAAAAAAAAAAATAGCGAGGCGTGGTGCTGTATACCCATAGTTCTAGCTACTCTGGTGGCTGAGGCAAGAGGATTGCTTGAGCCCAGGAGTTCAAGGCTGCAGTGAGCCGTGATTGCACCACTGAACACCAGACGCAGTGTCATGTACTTGTAGTCCCAGCTGCTTGGGAGGCTGAGGTGGGACCATCTCTTAAGCCTGGGAGTTTGAGGCTACAGTGAGCCCTGATCATCCCTGTGAATAGCCATTGCACTGCAGCCTGAGTTACACAGATACGTCTCTTAAAAAATAAATGAAAAGAAAAGCCTTTTAAATTCAGTGTCTTCGCATAGTTAGTCCAACCTTAAGGAGTGTTACCAGATACAAACAGGATGCCCAGTTACATTTTTTTTTTTTTTTTTTTTTTTGAGACAGAGTCTCACTCTATCCCCCAGGCTGGAGTGCAGTGGCATGATCTTGGCTCACTGCAACCTCTGCCTCCCAGGTTCAAGTGATGCTGATGCCTCAGCCTCCCGAGTAGCTGGAATTACAGACGTGCACCACCAGGCCTGGCTAATGTTTGTATTTTTAGTAGAGATGGGTTTTTGCCCTGTTGGCCAGGTTGGTCTCGAACTCCTGATCTCAGGTGATCTGCCCACCTTGGCCTCCCAAAGTGCTGGGGTGACAGGCGTGAGCCACCATGCCTGGCAAAACTTTGTAGCCCAGTTTGTTCTATTTTTTTTTTTTTTTTTTTTGAGACAGAGTCTCGCTCTGTCGCCCAGGCTGTAGTGCAGTGGCATGATCATGGCTCACTGCAACTTCTGCCTCCCGGGTTCAAGTGATTTCCCTGCCTCAGCCTTCCAAGTAGCTGGGAATATAAGGGCGTGCCATTGCACCCAAATTTGAACCTTAGATAAACATTGAATAATTTTCCAGTATTACATCAGATACATAACTTGTATTTAAAAAATCATTCCTTATTTCACTGGATTTAAAATTGAATTGGGTGTCGTATATTTTTACTTGTTAAGTCTGGCAACCCTACCCTCTAGAGAGAGGTGTTGAATGAATGAGTGTGAAGTCCTTAGCTTAGGGCCTGGCACTCAGTAGGTGCTAAGTAAATGTCACCTGTCAGCATCTTCCTCCTCCTCTTCTTCCTCCTCTAGTTGCTTCTCGGAGCTAAGGTCTCCCTGCTCCTTTTTTCCTCTATGGAAATGGATGAGAAAAGGTTTTCTAACAAGGGGCCATCACCTGGATTTTTAGAATAGCATAAAATATTCTCTGCTGCAGCTTCGGAATCCGACTGTGCTGGTGTTTGGCAGGAAAATGCAGTGAGTTATCACAGAGCGTTCCCTCCAGCACTGGGTCATGCAAATATTTATTGCGAGCGTTAAATAATAAATGGAGCAGCCTGCCCAATGGTAAATCTGTCATGTTTGGTTTCAGCCAGGAGTTGTGATGGCTCTGGAATCGCTGCCCGTTTCACCGCATCCACCTGCCCTCTAGAGGAGCAAGGCAAACAGCCGAGTTCTCTGGGGTGGCATCAGTGGGCTGGTGTGGAAGCCAGAGGGGCGGTGGGGGGAGTCAGCCAGGCATGGAAACTGGCAGGTAAGGCAGCCCTGTGGCCCAGGAACCCGAGCCGCAGCCACACCGAGCAGGCCTGGATCTTTGAGTCCCGCTGCCACCACAGTTCTCAGGGGACACGGTCTCATTGTCCACATCTGGATTTATCTTTCCGTATTTCCCTCATTGCTCTTGTCAGCTTCACTCTGGCTGACTGGCTGGAGCTGGCAAGCTTCTGAAAGTGGAGTCAACCTTCCGACCCTTTTTCTAGGCTGAGTGGTGGGTGGAGGAATGAGACCGTGTGTTGGACTCAAACTCGATGCAATAACGTTTCCCAGCCCCTGTGGTGTGCTGGGGCTCCTAGCACACATCCTCTTGTTTAACCTCAGCATTGCAACCTGAAACACAGACACATGGGTTCTTGAGCCAGATGCCTCTGAGTTGGAATCCTATCTCTGCACTTAACAAGCAGTATGACCTTGAGTGAGCCACAGTTTTTCAGAGCCCCTGTTTCCTGATCTGTAAGGTGGGGGAGATGGTGGCACTCACCTTATGGGGCTGTTATGTATTAGTCCATTGAGGTGTCTTAGCCTGTTTTGCGTTGCCATAAAGGAATACTTGAGGGTGAGTAATTTATAAGAAAAGAGGTTTGTTTAGCTCACGTTCTGCAGACTGTACAAGAAGCATGATGCCAGCATCTGCTTCTGGTGAGACCTCAGGAAGCTTTTCTTCACTGTGGAGGGTGAAAGGGGAGCAGGTGTGTCACATGGTGAGAAGAGGGGTGAGAGAGAGACAGGAAGGGTGCCAAACACTTTTTTAACAATCAGACCTCGCCGTGAACTAAAAGAGTGAGAACTCACTCATTACTCAGGGAGGGCACCAAGCTATTCATGAGGGATCTGCTCCCACCACCCAAATACCTCTCGCCAAGCCCCGCCTCCAACATTGGGGATCACATTTCAACATGAGGTTTGGAGGGGACACACATCCAAACTATCTTATGAGGTAGTAGGATAATGTAGGTGAAGACTTGCACAGTGCCCGGGACCTGGGGACAAATGCTAGCTCTAATGGTTAATAATGGTCCAGAGAAGAAAATAACTGCTCAGATGCACAGACATGACTGCACTAGTCAACCATGCAGGTATGAGTCCCCATCCTAGAGTATGGGGTGCATAGAGCTCTAGCCCACCATTATTGAGTTGTAGAACTAAGGCTCCAATCTGGGGCTTTATGGATCCCTAAATCATGCCCTTTCACCTTCCCCATATCTGCTTTATTCCTCATAGGGTGGCAGGGAGGGTGGAGCTCATGCCTGGCCTTAATCATCATGGCCTAAGTTTGGTAGTGTCCAAACAGTGGTGAGGGGTGAAGTTGTAGGGTTGCCAGGTAGGTTGTGTTTGGCTTCAAATCACTGAGAACCCAACTGGAAGTGGTGTAGATGCTAATGGAAGTTATTGTTTCTCTGCAGGGGGCCATGTGGTTAATTGATTCAGTGGCTCCATTGTGGAATGGTGGGCCTTGTTTCCTTCCACTTTTCCACTATTCCATTCTTAGCAGCTGGCTCTTGCCCTCAGCCACACCCCATCATGGTCTCAAGATAATATGGACAAGAGAGAAGAGAGCCTTCTTCCACTTGTTCCCCGCTTGTTTTTGAGACAGGGTCTCGCTCTGTCACCCAGACTGGAGTGTAGTGGTGCAATCATAGCTCGCTGCAGCCTTGAACTTCTAGGCTCAAGTGATCCTCCTTCAGTTTCCTGAGTAGCTGGGACTATAGGTGCATGCTACCATACCCAGCTAACTTCAGAGTTTTTTCTAGAGATGAGGTCTCCCTCTGTTGCCCAGGCTGGTCTCGAACTCTGGGCCTCAAGTGATCCTCTTGCCTCAACCTCCCAAAGCACTAGGGTTACAGATGTGAGCCACCACGCCCAGCCCATCTGTCCCTTTTTATGATCATTTTCTCATTTTCTCAGAAGCTGCCAGCTGACTTCTCCTTCATCGCATTGGTCAGAAATGTATCACGTGCCCTTTTCTAAGCCAGTTGCTGGCAAGGGAATGGAATTACCAAGGTTGCCTTAGACCAGTGCTTCTTAAAGTGAGATCCCCAGGCCAGCAGCATCTGCCATGTCTAGGCAATTTTAAGAACTGCAAATTCTCAGACCCCAGTTCAGACCTACTAAATCAGAAACTCTGGGGGTGGGATCTATGTTTTTATTTATTTATTTACTAGAATCGGGGTCTCTGTTGCCCAGGCAGGAGTACAGTGACACTATCATAGCGCATTGCAGCCTCCAACTCCTGGGCTCGAGCGATCCTCCTGCCTCAGCCTCCCATGTAGCCAGGACTAGAGGTGTGCACCCCCACACCCAGCTAATTTTTTTATTTTTTGTAGAGACAGGGTCTTGCTATGTTGTCCAGTCTGGTCTCAAACTCTTGGCTTAAACAATGCTCTGGTCTCAAACTCTCAGCCTCCCAAAGTGTTAGAATTACAGGCGTGAGCCACTGCGCCCGGCCCATAGTCTATGTTTAAACGTGCCCTCCGGGGGTTTCTGATGGACACTGAGTTTGAGAACCTCTGGTTTCCTAAGATCTTTTCCTCTGAAGAGCCAGAGAATAAATATTTCAGGCTTGTGGCCACACAGTTTCTGTAGCAACCACTCTGTTCTGCTGTTGCAG
Source organism: Homo sapiens (assembly GCF_000001405.40). Lineage (NCBI taxonomy): Eukaryota > Metazoa > Chordata > Mammalia > Primates > Hominidae > Homo > Homo sapiens. The sequence goes on along the minus strand of NC_000016.10, from coordinate 18,300,927 downwards.
TGTGAAAGCAGCTATAGATGATAATAAATAAGTGAATGGGTTTATTTATGGAGACTGAGATTTGAATTTCACCTAATTTTTATGTGTTAGGAGATATTATTACACTTTTGATCTTTTCTAACTACTTAAAAATGTAAAAGCCATTTCCAGCTCCTGAGCCATACAAAAGCAGGTGGTGGGCCGGGTTTAGGCAATGGTTTGCCAGCCCTCCATCAGACTGCTCAAGATTCATCCCCTGAAACTGGGGAGAGTCTAATAGTCTTAAAACACAGAGAGCCCCAGATTCTTTAGAAAATTGGAATTTGGGCTGGGTGTGGTGGCTCACATCTGTAATCCCAGCACTTTGGGAGGCTGAGGTGGGAGGATGGCTTGAGCCCAGGAATTTGAGGCCAGCCTGGGCAACATAATGAGACCCCATCTTTACAAAAAATAAAAATAATAGTCGGACGTGGTGGCATGTACCTGTAGTCCCAGCTACTCAGGAGGCTGAGGCAGGAGGATCTCTTGAGCCCAGGAGTTTGAGGCTGCAGTGAGCTATGATCACGCCACTGATTGCAGCCTGGGTGACAGAGCAAGACACTGTCTCTGTCTAAAAAAAAAAAATGAAATTTGGGCCAGGCGCGGTGGCTCATGTCTCTAATCCCAGCACTTTGGGAGGCCAAAGTGGGTGGATCACCTGAAGTCAGGAGTTCAAGACCAGCCTGGCCAACATGGTGAAACCCCATCTCTACTAAAAATGCAAAAATTAGCTGGGCGTGGTGACACGTGCCTGTACTCCCAGCTACTCGAGAGGCTGAGGCAGGAGAATTGCTTGAACCTGGGAGGTGGAGGTTGCAGTGAGCCAAGATTGCACCATTGCACTCCAGCCTGGGTGACAGAGCGAGACCCTGTTTCAAAAAAAAAAAAAAAACAAAAAGGGCTGGGCGTGGTGGCTCACGCCTGTAATCCCAGCGCTTTGGGAGGCCGAGGCGGGCGGATCACAAGGTCAGGAGTTTGAGACCAGCCTGGCCAATATGGTGAAACCCTGTCTCTACTAAAAATACAAAAATTAGCCGGGCGTGGTGGCAGGCGCCTGTACTCCCAGCTACTTGGGATGCTGAGGCAGGAGAATTGCTTGAACCTGGGAGGCGGAGGTTGCAGTGAGCCGAGAGTGCACCACTGTACTCCAGCCTGAGTGACAGAGCGAGACTCCGTCAAAAAAAAAAAAAATACTGATAATGACAGTGCTAACAGCAATAATAGATAGCTAACAAGTGTGGAGTGCTTATCCATCTTCTAGTCCCCACCTTCCTTTAGCCCAGGAGTTCGAGGCTGCAGTGAGCTATGATTGTGGCACTGTACTCTAGCCTGGGCAACAGAGCAAGGTCCTGTCTCTAAAAAAATAAAAGCATAAAAATAAAATAACCAAACTTTTTATTAACCTTCTACCCCCAGAGGGCCCCCTCCCTCAAATAGCTCATTAACTAGACCTGGTTTGCATGCCCACCCCCTCTAGGGACTGAGCCCAACTTCTGAGATAGGGACCCTTGAAAGAACTGGGGTTCTGTTAGCAAGAAGAATTAAGACAAGAGGATGACTTTTGGTGTTGACAGTGTCTGCCCCTGTTTTTTGTTTGTTTTTTTGAGATGGTGTCTCGCTCTGTCACCCAGGCTGGAGTGCAGTGGCGTGATCTCAGCTCACTGCAACCTCTGCCTCCTGAGTTCAAGCGATTCTCCTGCCTCAGCCTCCCGGGTAGCTGGGATTACAGGCGTGTGGCACCACACCTGGCTGATTTTTGTATTTTTAGTAGAGACAGGATTTCACCATGTTGGCCAGGCTGGTCTCGAACTCCTGACCTCAGGTGATCCACCCGCCTTGGCCTCCTAAAGTGCTGGGATTACACGTGTGAGCCACCGTGCCCAGCCTGCCACAGTTCTTTACACATTTGATCTTTAGCTCACCCAACAACCTTGTAAAAATATGATTGCTACCCATAATTTTCAAATAATCTACGTATGCGTAAGAGAGAGAAGTGATTCCCCAAAGATCACGCAGCTAATAAAGTGGAAGGGAGAACCCAGGCCCACCTGGCTCCGAAGCTCACACTCTTTCCACTAAGCTGCCTGCTTCTTTCATTGGAATAGAGGTTCTCAATCGTGAATGGTAGGAGTGGGGTGGGGTGAATTTTGACCCTCGGGTGAAATTTGAAAATGCTTGGAGACATTTTTGGTTGTCATAATTGGGAGAAAGGGTGTGATATTGGAATCTAGTGGATAGAGGCCATGGATGCTGCTAAAGTTTTTATAGTGGGCCGGGCGTGGTGGCTCATGCCCATAATCCCAATATTTTGGGAGGCCGAGGTGGGTGGATCACCTGAGGTCAGGAGTTCGAGACGACCCTGGCCAACACGGTGAAACCGCGTTTCTACTAAAAATACAAAAATTAGCCAGGCGTGGTGGTTGGTGCCTGTAATCTCAGCTACTCGGGAGGCTGAGGCAGGAGAATCACTTGAACCCAGGAGACAGAGGTTGCAGTGAGCTGAGATAGCGCCACTGCACTCCAGCCTGGGCGACAGAGCGAGACTCTGTCTCAAAAAAAAAAAAAATTATAGTACATAGGACAGCCCCACAACAAAGAATTATTCAGCCCACAATGGTGCCAAAGTTGAGAAACCCTATATACTAAAACAAGCTCTTTGAGGGCAGGGATCATACTACCTTGACTACCTTGTTCAATTCTCAATCCTTTATACCCTGCCTGTCCTGGCACATTGTAAGTGCTCAGTAAGTAATGACTGAGCAACTGAGCAGATGTGCTACACCAGATTCCAGAGTCAAATAATCATAGACTTGGAGAAGTGCAGGGTTATGGGGGCTGCAGTATAACACTCTACCTCACAGTGGGTGCATCCAAGCCACCAGCTTCCCCTGGTTCCAGAAGGCCTGTTAGAGACATGTCTTGCATTTGCACTTGGTCCAGCACAGCCCATGCCTCCCACTTGTGAAAAGAGGCTGACTGATGGGTGGTGATCAGGGTTGGCTGCCTTTTCATTTTTGAGATCATGGGAACAGAGGGACCGGATGAAGAAACACTTCTCTGAATCTACCCATTTCTAAATGGATGAATCACCAAGGAGGAAACTCAAAGATTAATTTCTCACTGCCCTTCTTCCCTTGCTCTGCTCTTTGTAGACAGTTACTGGTGCTCCAGGGCAAAAGATAATGAAAGTTCTTCCTTGCATCAAACTATTTTCTTCAGGAGATAGAGCCAGCATTAGCCAAAGAGATGGTCTGGGCTCTGGGAGCTTGGCTTGGAGGCCCAGGACATTCAAACAGTCCTTCCCGGAGAACAGGCTGGACCTGCAGTGATGAATAATTATTTTGCAATTGACAGTTCAATACCCACCAGATTCTTCATTGTATGTTTCTGTATCGTGTCAAGTTATGAGAAAACGCAATATTCTTTAACAGCTAGGCAAGAACAATGGTTTTTGCTCATTTGTTTGTTTGTTTCCACCCCGCAGAGGTCAGTTTTTGCAGTAAGAAGAGTCTCATTCTTTTTTTATTTTATTTTATTTGTATTTTGAGACAGTCTCTCTCTGTCATCCAGGCTGGCTGGACTGCAGCGGCTGCAACCTCCATCTCTCAGGTTCAAGGGATTGTCCTGCCTCAAACTTCTGAGTAGCTGGGACTACAGGCATGCCTACGCCCTGCTAATTTATTGTATTTTTAGTAGAGACAAGGTTTCAACATGTTGTCCAGGCTGGTCTTGAGCTCCTGACCTCAAGTGATCCACCCGCCTCACCCTCCCAAAGTGCTGGGATTACTGCCATGGGCCACTGTGCTCGTGACTCTTCAAGAAGAGTCTTGAATTTACTCTGAATGTGTCCTTGGTTGGCACAACCACGAGCAGAATATGCATCCTATCTATCCTCACAAACACTGCGTTTATTATCCCCAATTTGCCTTTGAGGAAATGGAGGCTCAGAGAGGTTAAATAACTTGCTCAAGGTCACGTGGGCAATGAGTGGTGGAGTGGAGATTTGAACTCAGGACTGTCTGTGACCCTCCCAGCCCTGCAGTCTCCAAGTCTCCAGTACTATCTGGCTCTAAAATCCGTACTATTCCCTCTGCTATGTTTTTGTGGCGACTTGAACTCTTCCTTCAAAGTCTTGGCTGCTGCTATGAACTGAACGTGTACCTTGTGAAGTTGTATTTTTTCCATATTGTAATTCCATCCTTCAAAAGTAAGTCTTGTTACTGAAAGACTGTTTCAACCGTCCTGGGGTAGGAGTGGCTAACAGGTTGGCTTGGGTCCCACAGTGAAATCTGTTCTGAGCCAGACCCTCCCGAGGGGACAGGGGACGAGCAGGAGAGATTGTAGCTGAAGTAGACATCTCCTGGGTTCCCAGAAATGTGGAAGAACCTTGTGCAAAAACAGCTTCCTGCAGAGCTGCAAGATGGGATCCAGGTTATTGGTATTTGAGCACTGTGTTTAGGGGCTATGAGAGAAACCTAACATGAACCGGCTGAAGGAAAAAAGTGGAGGATTACATGAAAATGAATTCAGGGAGCTTGCAGGTGTACTGAAGGGAAGTGTGAGCTCTAAAAGCTGGAAAAGGTCTAAACGTGTAGATTACAAAAATATCTGCAGCTTAGCATGGCAATGACGGATAAAGCGTCAGATATGTGTTTGTCATCCAGTTGTCTATGGCTGTGCAACAAACCACCCAACATGTAGTAGCTTAAAACATGACAGTCATTTATTTTGCTCACACATCCACAATTTGGGCAGGATGTTGAGGGGACAGTTCGTTCCTGCTCCACGTGGCATCAGCTGGAGCTCACCAGGGGGCTGCAGAATTCATTTCTGAGATGGCTCCTCTAGTGGTTGCTAAGTTGGCGCTTTCTGGTTGGCTGGGAGCTCAGCTAGGCTGTGGTCCAGGGGACTTGGTTCCTTTGTTTGGGCCTCTCCTCTCTTCAGCTACTTGGGCTTCCTCATCGTATGGTGGCTGGGCTCTAAGACAAGGAGAACCCAGTGGAAGCTCTGTCACATTTTATGATGTAGCCTTGGATGTCGCATAACGTTTCTTCTATATTCTATTGGTCAAGCAATCGCACAGTCTGGATTCAACGGTAGATGACATAGGTTCTACCTTTTGATGAATCAAAAAATTCTGGGATCATGGTTTGAAACTACCAAAAAGTAGCGGCTGTATTGTTTGTTATTATTACAAAGTAGGCCGTGTGCAGTGGCTCACACCTGTAATCCTAGCACTTTGGGAGGCCAGCCTGGGCAACATAATGAGACCCGGTCTCTAAAAAAAAAAAAAAAAAAAAAAAGGAGAGAGATTAGCCAAGTGTGGTGGTGTGTGCCTGTAGTCCCAGCTACTTGGGAGGCTGAGGTGGGAGGATCACTTAAGCCCAGGAGATCGAGGTGGCAGTGAACTATGATCACACTAGGCTGGGAGACAGAGTGAGACCTTATCTCAAAAAAAAGTTAATGATAATTACTACAAAGCAAGGCCAATAGTACAAAAACAGTGATCTTTCACAGTCTATGATATAGCAGGACAGTGCTAGATGTTCCCCATCTGCTATGCCATTTATTCCTCCCCAAAATTTGGGAAGCTCAGGGAGGCATATAAACTGCCTAAACAGGGCCGTGAAGCTAGGAAGTGCTAAAGCCAGGATTTAAACCCAGAAGTCAAATGCTAAAGACTCTGCTAGACTGACTACCTGATTCTAGAGGCTGGGGTGTGTGCTAGGTATCTGAAAGATTGGAGAGAAGCAGACAGAAATGTGTGAATGTGAGTGTGCAAATTTGCACAAGGCCAGTAGCACCTAAGGAGGCCCATGTGGGAGATGGGAGGGTCCCTGCCATCTGCTTCCTTCTCCTCATCCATTTCACCCTGGTCTTCTCAGCCCTCCCCTCTCCTCCATGCCCCTCCTTGGTCTCTTCCCATGGACCCTGTGAGAGCCCCTCTCCAGCTGTTTATGGGAGATGTTGAAGGAGAAGCAAGGGCTCCTCACGACCCTGTCTCTGCCTCTTTCCTGTGCTCTGGGACATCTGAACTGTCACATAGTCAGCTGGCAGGGAAGCCCAATTTTCCTTTGGCTCTCCAAAGGGCCTGATTCATGGGTTAGGCTGAGATCAGATAGAGCCCTTGGGTCAGGTGGGTGGGATTCTGGCTCCCAGGGCTGCTGGCAGGTGCCATCTGGTTGTTCTGGAGGGAGTTGAGGGGAATGGTTCCCACCTGGACAGTGTCTGAGGGGTGAGCTGGTGAAGCACTGGGCGGGTGGGGAGCTGGCAGGGACGGGACAGATACAGAGAGTGCCAGGAGGTGTGGACAGCTGCTCGCAGGGCTCTTGGTGACTTTGCCAGGAAACTGTGTCTAGACAGCCTCTGTCTGATCTCTCTTCTCATCCCACATCATCTCCCCGGTTCCTCCCTGGCCTGAGGCCGTCCTGCCAGGTTGGTGCAGGGATATGTTGAACAAAGTTCAGATGTGCTGTGTGCACAGTACCAGGCTCAGCATAGTCTGAGAATGAAAAGCAGCTTCTGAAACTCAGCCCTGCCTCAGGTGCAGGGAGCTGCTGGTCTTGCCAGGAGGCTTAATGCCTGGATCAAATATGAGGGGGCTGGCTGGGCATGATGGCTCACACTCGTGATCCCAGCACTTTGGGAGGCTGAGGTGGTGGGAGGATTGCTTGGGGTCAGGAGTTCGAGATCAGCCTGGGCAACATGGTGAGACTCTGTCTCTACAAAAAAACTAAAATAAAAAAATAGTCGGATGTGGTAGTGCACATCTGTGGTCCTAGCTACTGGGGAGGCTGAGATAGGAGGATCACTTGAGCCCAGGAGTTCAAAGCTGCAGTGAGCTGTGATTGTGCCATTGCACTCCAGCCTGAATGACAGAGGCAGACCTTGCCTCCAAAAAAAAAAAAAAAAAAAAAAGACAAATATTTGGGGGCTTCCCCAGATAGACGTCTGGTGCTATGGTCTGAATGTCATTGTTCCCCTTGAATTCATATGTTGGAACTTAATACCCAATGTGATAGTAGTAAGAGGGGCCCCTTAGGAAGTGACTAATTCATGAGGAATCCACCTTCATGAATGGGATTAGTGCCCCCTTTTATAAAAGGGGCTTGAGCAAGCGCCTTTGCCTCTTTTGCCATATAAGGACATGGCAACAAGGTACCACCTATGATGCAGAGTGAGCCCTCCTCACCAGGCACTGAATCTGCAGGTGCCTTGATCTGGGACATCCCAGCCTCCAGAACTGTGAGCAACACACTTCTGTCATTTATAAATTACCCAGTCTAAGGTATTTTGTGATAATAGCCCCAAAATATGACACCCAGAGAGTGTGGGCCCTCTAGAGGTCATTTCTTCCAGGCCCCTGCCAGATGCTGAGCTCAGCCTGCAACCCCAGGCTGTTGAAAATCCGAGGAGGCTGAGGTCAGGGAGGGAGGCAGGAGGCCAGCAGGCCATCAGGGAAGGGACCCCAGTGGGCTCTTGAGGAATGGGGAAGGGGCATTAAAGGGCCCAGGTAGAGGCCTGGAGTGCTGGTGGTGGCCGTGGGGGTGTGAGAAGCTGGTTTGGGTGAAGATGCAGGGAGACAAACAGAGACCCATTGGGCACGGACAGGTGCTCACATGTTTCCTTGCACCTGGCATGCTTCCCCTGGTGAACACTGCCAATGTCCACCCACCTGTTCTTCACCCAGGTGGGCCTCGGGTCTGCAGGGACACAGCAAAGGAATGAAAGCCAGGGGCAGGGGTTTAAATCCTGGCTCTGTCTCTTTTCCTCCATGTGACCTGGGGCAAGGAAATGGTCTTTATAGCTCATGCGGTCTTTATGCAGTTGTCTTAGGTGATGGGGGATGAGAAAGTGCCTTGTAATCAATAAAGACAGATTTATTACGATAATACAAATTTATTGATTTGTAATCAGTAAAGGCAGATTAACCATACCATTTTTTTTTTTTAAATAGGGTCTTGCTGCGTCTCCCAGGCTGGAGTGTAGTGTCATGATCGTAGCTCACTGCAGCCTCGAACTCCTGGCTCAGACTATCCTTCCACCTCAGTCTCCCGAGTAGCTGGAACTACAGGCGCACACCATCATGCTCAGCTAATTTTTATTTTTATAGAGATGGGGATCTCACTATGTTGCCCAGGCTGGTCTTGAACTCCTGGCCTCCAGCAATCCTCCCATCCCAGCCTCGCAAAGTGCTGGGTTTACAGGCGTGAGCCACTGCACCCAGACAGGATCAACCGTATCTTCTGAGCATCTGTTCTGTGCCTGGCACCAGGACCAATTGCTGTGGGTCAACAGAACAGTTTCAGGTGGGTGGTGGATGGAATGGCTGGTGGGCTCAGAGCTAGAGCTTAGGCCCCTCAGCTACTCCTCTGGGCAGGAGTGAGCAGTGCTCACCCTACCCCAGGCTTAGGCCACTTGCGATGTGGGGTTCCTCTTCGGGCACATCTACTGACCCTGGAACTATTGAAGCTATTTTGTGAGTGCTGTGCCCTCTCTGCTGAGACACAATCCCTGTCTGCCACACCCCCAACACATCATTTGCCCCTGGAGTTTAACTGTACTTTGGTGAAGAGTGGCAGAGGCCAGAGGGACCCCAGGGGTGGACATGTGATTAGCTTGATGGGCAACCCCAGGACAGAGAACAGGGATGGGGAAGGAGATGCTTCCCACTGAAGACCCCATGCACTCTGCAGCTTACAATGCTCCTAAAACCCCGATGCTGGTTTATAAACTCTCTTGTCCAATTGCTGGGGGTCAACTGGGAGCCTTGGTGTGTCCCGCCCCTCCCCCAGGCTGTCCCATTGTCAGGCGAGAATGAGGCTTATTTCTGCTCATCCACCAAGTTTGTCTGTTTCCAACTGTCCATTTTTTTTCCATCCATCTATCTGCCCATCCGTCCATCTTTCCATCACCTCCTGTCCTTAGGCTTAGGGGATTTCCTCTTGGGAGGGGAACTCTTTTTGCAGAAAAGGACGCTGAGCCCCAAAAGCTGAGTATTTCGCAGCATAAATGTCTGAGCCCTGTTCCCTGGGCAGGTCCTGTATTGGGGATTCAGAGTTGAATTGGAGTTGTCTCAGCCTGTGAAGGAAAGAGACCTGTCAACAGGGGGTGACAAGGAGAGTTTGTAGCCAGGTGTGGTGGTGCACACCTGTAGTTCTAGCTAATTGGGAAGCTGAGCAGGGAGGATTGCTTGAGCCCAGGAGTTTGAGACCAGCCTGGGCAACATAGTGAGATGGCCCCATTTCTACAAACATTGTGAAAACTAGCCACGCATGGTGACACATGCCTGTAGTTCGAGCTAATCGGTAGTCTGAGGCAGGAGGATCTTTGGAGCCTAGGGGTTCGAGGCTGCAGTGAGCTAGGATTGTGCCACTGCCTTACAGCCTGGGAGACAGAGTTGCAAGACTCCCAGTTGCGATCATTTAAAAACTGGGAGACTGACATAGCATCTGGCTTTTAGCTTCTCTTAATTTATTAGAAGCTCTGACAGCATTGGGCCCATGTTCCCACGTGGAGACAGTTGGTGGATACAAGATAGGCAGCTACCCCCGTCTTTCAATGGGGCATGCACTCCAATTCACCACAGACCCCACCATTCCCTACTGCTTCTCATTCCTCCCTTTCTTCACTTATGTTATCTGCCTGGACTCTCTGCAAGGATTTTCATTTGTGGCACCTATTTCAGGAACAGGCCATGGTGTGGCCTTTCCTGACCTTGTCAAGCCTCAGGTTCCCAGAGGGGACCAAAATAGATACTGCACATTGTAGAGGGATCAGCTGAGGTAATATAGGTGAAAGCTCTCAGGAAGCCTAAAGCTCTCTGCAATCACAAAGCTACACAAATAGAAATTATTATCATCATTATTTATAACCATTGAAAGGACAGGAGACAAAGAAGTCAGTCCCCACCGTACCCCTCCCAACCCCAAGCCCACAAGGGTATTTGTGCCATTATGATGGCATTGATCATTGACATTGACAGTTATTATTAAACGATGTCAACTTCCAAATGCAAAATGTTTACCAGATGAACTCAAATGGGCTGGCAGAAATAATGTCCAGGTGCCGTCTACCTTCAACTCCTCTTCTCATGAATTTCTGTGGCATTTCTCCAGGGCCCAGAGTCAATAAGGGAGAGAGAAATGACTCCTCTGGTTTACTGAAGGTGTGACTTGTGATTCCAGCCAATGTCCTGTTGGTTCCCATTGTCTCCCCTGCCACTACCCATGTGGAGTCTTAGATCTTGGAGACCGTACTCTGTGGGCCAACTCTCTCCTCAAGACACATTTATTAAAAGGTGGGTGAAGTATCTTCTCCTTTGCCTGTGCCTTTTGCCCAAAGGGAAGTTGATTGACGACAATGCTCCTTTTTCAAGCTCTGATTGCCGGCGGAGATTGGATAAAGCATCTTGCTGTGATCTCTAAGTGGGCTGTGCCTTGAAAACATGATTGTTGTGTCTAATCATGTGTGTCTGTGGCTCCCTTGCCACTCCTGGTTGCCGTGTCACTGTGACTCTATTTAACATACTTTCAGGACCCACTGTATCTGTCCCGCCTCTCTCTGGATCTTCCCAACTCTGTGGTTGCCTCCCTGCTATATTCATGGCCCCTAGGGGATGCCACGTGTGTTCGGTTCTTCATGCTGTTCCTCTGTCTAAAATGTTCTCTTCTGTGGCAGCTTCCTGCAAACATCTTCTTCTCTTTCCAGACTTTCTTTGATGATTAAGAAGCTTGCACGACCTAAGTCTTATAATTCTGAAAATCATCTCCTAGTTTCCAGGACCCCAGATGCACCAGCATGGCTTAGGGAAAGGAAAATGACCTTTGGAGAGAGAATCTTTGGAGGGATTTGAGCCTCGGCATTGCCACTTACTAGCTACACCATTTGGGACATGTTACAAGCCCCCCTGAACCTCAGTTTCCTCATCTGTGAAATGGGCATAATGATAGGCCCTAAATCTTGTGGTGAGGCTTACATGTGCCAATGGATATAAAGTATACATCATCACAATGCCTGGCACATGATGAAAGATTAATAGGGGCAATTAATATAGTGTTTGTGATAGACCCAAAGATAGACTGACCCGAGGCCGACCCTGGGCACCTTTTCAACTGAAATCCCACCACCTTATATTTTGACTTCTAGGTTTCCTTTCCCTAAAAGAGAAGTTTGGAGAAGGATCTAGAATTGTTGGTTAATCAAGGGCTTGCTACCTTCTAATCACTTCATGTTGATATTAGGATAAAGAGCAAACATCCTTCATGGGGTTTACAAGGCCCTCCATGGCCAGGACCGTGTTTATGTCCCCAGCCTCATAGTCCACTTCTCCTCTCTCCCTGGGTGGTGACACATTGCACAGTACCCTCGCACATGCTCTTTTGCCCACTTAATGCCTGCTCATTCTTCAAAGCCCAGGCACTTCCTCTGGAAGCCTTCCACAGCTCCCTGTGTTCCTTCTCGACAGAGTGTAACCGCCCATTGGGTCCACCTTGCCCGCTGCCTAGACAGAGCTGATTTATCAAGACAGGGGGATTGGAATACAGAGAGAGTAATTCATGCAGAGGGGCATTGTGGGAGACTGGAGTTTGATTATCACTCAAATCAGTCTCCACAAGCATTTGGGGAGCAGAGTTTTTAAGAACAGCTTGGTAGGGGTGGTTAGTTGAAGCCAGTGAGCCAGGAGTGCAGATTGGTCAGGGAAGAAATCATAGGGAGTCGAAGCTGTCCTCTTGCGCTGAGTCAGTTCCTGGGTTGGGGCCACAAGATCAGATGAGCCAGTTGATCGATCTGGGTGGTGCCACCTGACCCGTCACGTGCAGGGTCTGCAAATTATCTCAAGCACTGATCTTAGGAACAGTTTAGGGAGGGTCAGAATCTTGTAACCTCCAGCCGCCTGACTCCTAAACCATAGTTTCTAATCTTGTGGCTGATTTTAGTCCTAACAAAGGCAATCTAGTCCCCAGGCAAGAAGGAGGTCTGCTTTGGGAAAGGGCTGTTATCATCTTTGCTTTAAACTACAAACTATGAACCATGAACTCAGTTTCTCCCAAAGTTAGGTCAGCCTACACCCAAGAATGAATAAGGACAGCTTGGAGGTTAGAAGAAAGATGGAATTGATCAAGTTAAATCTCTTTCACTGTCTCAGTCATAATTTTGCTAAGACAGTTTCAAGAGCACTTACTCTAGTTTCTGGTTTTACATTCATGACTGTGTTTTATTTGGTTCATGTCTAATTCCTCCACTGGACCGAGAGCTCCATGATGGCAGGAACCAAGTCCGTGGGTGGCCCCCTGTGGTGTCCCCAGCATTGAACACAGCAGCACGTCCCTCATGGGTGTTCACTACATAATAATTTGTTGGATGCACAGGTGGATACATGACTTACTACTTTAAGAATGTGTGCATTTGAGATGTTTACTTGGAACAACGAAGGCTTATTCTTGAAGAAACAACAAGTGATAAGTCACCAGAAGACAGAAAACAGCATGTTGGAGCTGGGTGGCTCCTGGTGCCTGGGAAATGAACCCTTGGGGTGGTTCTTGGAAGGAAGTGAGCAGGTTTAGTCCCATCGGATGAACTCTTTCCTCTCCATGGTTAAGTTGGCTTCTAACTCAGGGACTAAGTTTTATTTGAGACTGAGGCCACTGCTGGTGGGTTGGTTGGTCTCCTCCACCTTTCCCTTCACCCGTAAATGGGATATTAGTGAACGGGTGGCATAACCCACCTGAGGGTTCTTATAGGGTTTCAGGAGAACAGCCCTCATCTCCCAAGTTCCTGAACTGCCATCAAGATAACTGTGTGTGTGTGTGTGTTTGTGTGTTTAATCGAGACAGAGTCTCGCTCTGTTGCTCAGGCTGGAGTGCAGTGGCATGATCTTGGCTCACTGCAACCTCTGCCACTCAGGTTCAAGCAATTCTCATGTCTCAGCCTCCTGAGTAGCTGGGATTACAGGCACGTGCCACCACACCTAGCTAATTTTTTTTTAAGATAGACTGATTTTTGTATTTTTAATAGAGATGGGGTTTCACCATGTTGGCCAGGCTGGTCTCGAACTCCTGACCTCAGGTGATCTGCTCACCTTGGCATCCCAAAGTTCTGGGATTACAAGTGTGAGCCACCACACCTGGCTATCATCAAGATAACTCTTTAAATAAGCCAAACATTTATTGGCCAAAAGCAATGCACATGTGCTGTCAACAAGCAAATTTGGGGAAACACAAAGAGAATAGAAACAGAAAATAAATATTAACCACCCAGATGTAATCATATTAGCATTTTGGGGCATATGTTTCTGATTCTTTTTAAAAAATATTTATGTCTCTCTGTGTTTTCTATTTATATATGTATTGCAACCTGATTTTTTTCATTGAGCAAATGTAAAATGAACAGAAAATGTCCAGGAAAGCAAATGTCTCCCTTCTGCTGGCCTGGTGTATTACACAGGGTTCTGTGGAGGGACAGAACTAATAGGATAGATGTATATATGAAGGGGAGTTTATTAAGGGGTACTGACTCACACGGTCACAAGGTGAAGTCCCACAATAGGCCATCTGCAAGCTGAGGAGCAAGGAAACCAGTCTGAGTCCCAAAACCTCAAAAGTAGGGAAGCCAGCAGTGCAGCCTTCATTCTGTGGCCAAAGGCTTGAGAGCCCCTGGCAAACCACTGGTGTAAGTCCAAGAGTCCAAAAGCTGAAGAACTTGGAGTCCAATGTTCCAGGGCAGGAAGCATCCAGCACAGGAGAAAGATGAAGGCCGGAAGACTCAGTAAGTCTGTTCTTTCCAACTTCTGCCTGCTTTATTCTAGCCATGCTGGCAGCTGATTAGATGGTACCCACCCAGATTGAGGGTGGGTCTGCCTCTCCCAGTCCACTGACTCAAGTGTAAATCTCCTTTAGCAACATCCTCACAGACGCACCCAGGATCAATACTTTGCCTCCTTCAATCCAATCAAGTTGACACTCAATATTAACCATCACACCTGGTATGACAGTACTAGCCTTGTCCCAAGAGGCAGGAGCCCCAGAACTGCAGAGCATCTGATAGAGATGTGAATAGTGGCTTTGGAAGGAATGACTGTGGCCAGGTAAGGTGACAGGTAATGGCGAAAACAGGCATGAAATCGTGGGGCAGTTCAGGTGAGCCATTCCCCAATATTCACCAAGAGATAATAGGGAAGGGAGAGAGAGTAGGGGTCTCAAAAGCAGGGTCATGGTGCTGATAATCTGAAAGGTAGGGTCTCAGAGCCATTGAATGTTTCATTTATTCACTCAACGAGAATTTCTTGAGTGGCTAATATGTGCCAGGTGCTGCAGCAGCCAGTGGGGATTGTAGGTCACAAAAACATGACTTCATTCAAAGCATGCACCATTATTTACATATGTAAAGTGCCTTGGCATGAAATAGAAGCCCAATAATCTCTTGCAACCATAGAGATGAGCATTAATGACTTTTCCAGAATTGCATCTATGGTTGGTGATTATTCCTATGTGGCCAAATGACCAGAAGGAGCAGAAAGCTACATTTTTGTGGCATCTTGTATACATAGAAATGATTGCTGTAAATATGTGTTGACTCCCTTTAATACATATGCAACTAATTGAAAGCGGGCAGTTTATGGTGTAGTATCAGTGAAACGTGCTCTGTTGCCATTAAGTATAGCTTTGTTACATTATTGAGACAACTTGCCTTGGCGGCACTGGGGTAAGTTATTGCTTCTTCAATCATATTTTGGTCCTTAGAGGACCAACCGTTAGTCCAGCTTTTATTACCTGCTGTTTCTTTAATCACAACAGGGAAATGTTGGCTAGGCATCGGACGGGAGACTTTTCTTATAAGATGAAATGAGCCAAGATTGGAAGACGACATTTTTATTTGCCTTACAAATGGACTGGATACAGTGTGAATGGCTTCGTGAATGAGATGAAGGGCTCTGCTGAGCAGCAATCCCAAACCATTCACCCTTATGCAGAGGCAGAGAGCCTCCTAAATGAATTGGGTTCTGTTGGAGTTAGCTGCTCTTATTTTCCTGTGCTGAGGAGTCTGGAGTGGGAGGGTATCCATTTCCCAACCAATAATAATTAGCTTTGATTCCAGGCAACATGTGCATTTTTAATCCGTTAGGCATAGGGTCTTCCCGGGACCTATACGTTTTTCAAGATCTACAGAAATGTTTGAGACCAAAAACAAACAAACAAACAAACAAACAAACAAACAAAAAACACCACACAAACACACATACACACACACACATTGGCTTAAAAATGCAAAAGAGAAAATGACAAAATTGAAATTAATGAATATCTTAAAAATTACCTACGCTGGGCATGGTGGCTCACGACTGTAATCCCAGCACTTTGGGAGGCTGAGGCAGGCAGATCACCTGAGGTCAGGAGTTCGAGACCAGGCTGACCAACATGGTGAAACCCTGTCTCTACTAAAAATATGAAAATGAGCTTGGTATGGTGGTGCATGCCTGTAAACCTGTAATCCCAGCTACTCAGGAGGCTGAGACAGGAGAATTGCTTGAACCTGGGAGGTGGAGGTGGCAGTGAGCCGAGATCATGCCATGCACTCCAGCCTGGGCAACAAGAGTGAAACTCCTTCTAAAAAAAAAAAAAAAATTACCTACAAATTGTGCTGCTTTGTCAATATCACTAATTGTTAAATTTAACATTCCTAGGGATTTCATTACATCTGAAAAATGTGGATAGTTAGAATTTCCCACTTTCTAGACCTCCTGAATATGCACAATTACCAAGAAATCACATCCAATCTAAATTTAAATAAATCACCTATTGCCAGATAATTTCAGGAGCAGAATTTTAAAATTTTCTCAAAAAATGTTTAGAGCCAAAATTCCATTTAATGTAGGATACAGGCAAATTTGTAGCATGTTTCAAATGCTTATCTGGTGAGACCTCCAAAAGTGAATGTGTCTAGGGTATATAAAATTCTTAAAGGGGCTTTGTCATCCTTCTTCCCCACTCACCCATAAAATAGATGAGATAAAAGCTATTTCTAAGGGTGGCTCTTTTGTGAAGTATTTGAGCTTTACGGTAGATGAGACTATTGTTTAGTAAATATTTGTTCCCTCTCCTATTACATCATTGATGTTCAGCTAGGCTATGTGACTTCCTTTTCCCTGAGAGATGGCATAGTGTACTTCCCTACCCTTCGACTGTTGAGTTGAGCTTAACTTTCTTTGGCTAATGGGATGTGAGAGGACATAACCCTTATGAAAGGCTTGAAATGCTCTCGTGTGATGAGTTTGCCTTCTTGTGCTTTTGCCTTCTCTATGAGAAAAACATGACTTAGTTGGTCGCTGGTCCTAGAAAAATGAGATGCATCTAGAGCAGAGCCGCCCCAGCATGTCTTCAGACCTGCAACCTCCAGCAGAGCTGCTCCAGCCAAGCTATATGGGCATGGCAGAGAAATAAGCTCTTTCTGGGATTTGGGGTTGTTTGTCTTACAGCATCTAGCTGACTGCTGCAAGTTCCTGCACACAGTGGTGCTTACTCATGTTTCTGAAGGAATAGCAGTTTGTTTATTTCAACCATATTGCTAGTTATTTGTTATTTTCCACCATATTGCTAGGGTTATAACTCTGAAAACAAGTTCAGCTACTTCTCACATGTTCCTTCTGCCTGAAAACTTTGTCTCCTTGCTCTTCACGTGGATGGCTTTCTATCTTTGGCTCTGGATTTAAATATTACTCCCTTGGGATGACCTCTTCTGATACATTATTTAAATACCATCTGTGGTGGAGCCTACTATTTACATATTGAAACATCTACATTCCCTTTTCTTCTCTGAAATAACACCTTATTTTCGGGGGAAAAATTTCAAACTGAGACAATAGTTGGAAGAACAGTACAATTAAGTTTTCCCTCTCCTCGAATCGTTTCCCAATACTTTACTGTGTGTGTCTTGCAATAAGGACCTTCTCCTATATGCCCATAATATGACCATTAAAGTCAGGAAATTATTATAACATTGATACATTACCACCATCTAATCCAAAGGCCCCATTCAGGTTTCACTGACCATCCCAATAATGTCCTTTATAATCTTGCAGGGCAAGATTATCATAGCATTTAATTGTCACGTCTTATTCCGGCAGATTCATCAGTCTCTTTGTTACTTTCTTGACCTTGATACTTTTGAAGATACAGGCCATTTATGTTGTATAAGAGCTCTCAATTGGGGATTGTCTGATGCTTTTTCGTGACTAGAACTAGGTCGTGCACCAATTCTAGGCTTCAACACCCCATGCCAGATCTCTGTCCTATCCCCTCTCGTTGATGCTTACTTTGGTTGGTGCCCTTTAGTGACTTTAACACTGAATATTTGAGGAAGAATAAAAGATGAAACACTGATTTTAATTAGGGTGACATAGACTCTGCTTTAAACAACAACAACAAAACCAAAACCCTCTAATTTCCCAATCTCTCATGAAGCTACCCAAGCCATGTGATTTAGCTTTGGCCAAGGAATGCAAAGAGAAGAGTAATATGGACATTTTCTCAGAATGAGGACCATATATTTCTTTGCCCATTTTTCCTGTTGTTGGTCTTGAATTAGGATGCAATGGCTAGATCTCTGGATGCCATATTTGACCATGAAGTCAAGTCCAAATGAGAAACGATCATTCCCAAATTAAGGCCGTGACTTAAGGAGGTATATAAAAGAGAAGGTGGCAATTGGTTGAATGTAGGGTGTGATGGAGAAGGACTCAAAGATGTTGTTCAGGCTCTTGGTTTGGGTAACTGGGTGAATGGTGATGATATTCATGGAGAAAGTGAGCTAAAAATTAGGAGTAAAATTATTTGGAAGGCAAGTTAAATTCGTTTTTGGAAAGAAATGAATCTGAGATATACAATGGACATCTGATGGTGTTCTCTAAGGTAACGGGAATTGGAAACAGATTTCAATATTGAGGTGGTAGAAGAAGGGGTCAAATCATCAAATCATGATTCTGTTACTTGGAAGGAAGGCTGAAGGGGAGACCTTGAGCATCTTGTTTCTTCTTAGTTCCATTTATGCTTTATGCTTTTGAGCACTAATCACAACAGATACTGTGGAGGCTGAGCTCCAGCCATTGTCAAGCCTGTGCTCCAGCACTGGTATAAATTACTGGAGTCCTCATTCTAGAGGAAAGCACGGGGACGAATCTTTTCTAGGGCTCTTTACCTTGTCTACTCTTCCTGCAGGGAGTAGTTCAGACTTTCTTCTTCTACCTCCTCTTCTTCTTTTTTTCTTTATAGAGACAAGATCTCAGTCTGTCACCCATACTGGAGTGTAGTGGCACAATTATAACTCACTGCAGCCTCAAGTTCCTGAGCTCAGGTGATCCTCCTGCCTTAGCCTTCTGAGTAGCTTGGACTGCAGGGTTCATGCCACCATGCCTGGCTTATTTATTTATTTATTTAGTAGAAACAGGGTCTCACTATGTTGCCTAGTCTGGTCTAGAACTTCTGTCCTCAATTCATCCTCCTGCCTCAGCCTCCCAAAGTGCTGGGATTACAGGTGTGAGCCACTACACCCAGCCTAGGTTTTTCTTTCTTTTCAATGAATCATAACCCTTCTCTCTTCATTTCTAGTGAACATGCATCACCTTATCCTATCACAAACCAACTCTGTGACAAATGTACTATTACTATGCCCATTTTACAAATGGAAAAACTGAGACTTAAAGAATTTAAATTGGCTGGGCGCAGTGACTCACACCTATAATCCCAGCTCTTTTGGAGGCCAAGATGGGAGGATTGCTTGAGGTCAGGAGTTCGAGACAAGCTGAGGCAAGAAAGCAAGACCCTGTCTCCACAAAAATTAAATAAATTAGCCAGGTGCGGTGGTGCACACCTGTAGTCCCAGCTACTCCACAGGCTGAGGCAGGAGGATAGCTTAAGCCCAGGAGTTCAAGGCTGCAGTGAACTATGATCATGCCCACTGCACTCCAGCCTGGGCAACAGAGCAAGACCCTGTTTCTAAAAATTAGACAAAATACCAAGCAACAACACCAACAAAACAACAACACCACAAAACAAAGTTAAGTTTCCTGGGGTTATACTGGAATCCAAATAATCTGGTTTAAGAGCTTAACCTCCTAACCACCATGCTATACTGCCTTGTGGCAACTCATGCCTTGTGAATCTTTACTCCTGGTAGTGTTTCACAGTTGACAGAGAGCTTTTGCATTCTTGATCTCATTTGGTCCTCCCAACAGCCCTGTGGGGCAGGTAGGAAAGACCTTGTTATTAGACATGAGGGTCCTAAGAACCAGAAAGCTAATGGACATGCCCAAGGTGGCCCAGCCAATGAATAGCAGAGTTAGATAAGAATTGTGATCTTCAGGCCGGGCACGGTGGCTCACACCTATAATCCCAGCACTTTGGGAGGCCAAGGCGGGTGGATCACTTGATGTCAGGAGTTCAAGACCTGACCTCAAGTCTGGCCAACGTGATGAAATTCTGTTTCTACTAAAAAATACAAAAACTAGCCAGGTGTGGTGGCGCACACCTGTTATCCCAGCTTCTTGGGAGGCTGAGGTAGGAGAATCGTTTGAACCTGGGAGGCGGAGGTTGCAGTAAGCCGAGATTGCACCACTGCACTCCAGCCTGGGACACAGAGCCAGACTGTCTCAAAAAAAAAAAAATTGTGATCTTCAGCAGCCTTATAGAGCACTTCTTCTACTGTATAATCCTCGCTTTCCTCATTTACATCTGTGAAAAAGATATTCCTTTTGTTCAGATGCTCTTAGGTGCTCTGAAGCAAGCAATAGCCCAAGCTGGCATTTTGAGAGTCATTTCATGGATGGAAAGCGGAGGCTCAATGGCTAAGGGAATTAGCCTTGGTTCTCCAGTGTGTCTGCAGTCTTCATGGCATTGGTGCTGCTGATCCACAGTCATGCCAGAGGTTGGGTCCGCAGTGAACCGCTTCACAGCTGGATGGTTGGGGGAAAAGAGAGGTCTAATGATAGAAACCTTCCCCAAAGCAAAGGATGTAAGCCCACACCGAGAATTATTAGAAAGAATAATATTCTCCCACACTGAGAATTATTAGAAAGAAAGAAAGAAAAACTAGAAAGAAGGACAAAGGCATTCCAGCATGCTTCCTGTGACAGATTGAGCCAGTCTTTGTAACCTCAGATTCACAAGGACATTGCAAAGAATTTCCTGTTGCGCTCACCAAAATTGGCTGGCCCTTGTGCCAGAGTCCCACTGACATCCAGAAAACTATTGCCCATCTTCTCTGGGCTGTGCAAGGATTAGTGTCATAATAGATCATCACAGCCAAATGTTATTATGCAAAGCAGAAAGCTGCAAGAAATGGATCTTCATTCATTGAATTTGCATGTTTGGTGGGGACTGCTTCAGACTTCCTTTATCTCGTGATCAGTCGTGTGTGTTGATCCTCTTTGCAAGTTGTTGTGAGAACTGGGTGCAGCAAAAGCTGCCACTTCAAGAGACCAAAGGGATGAAAAAGTGCATCAATTTGCATAAAGAACTCAGATAATTTCTAGGTAGAAAGCAGGTCAGAGAGGCTCTAGACCTAGGACTCTCGTGTTGGATTGCTTAGTTTCAAATCATGCTTATGTCACTTACATGCATGCAATCTGGATAAGACATTTAATATCTCCCCAAGCCTCAGTGTTCTCATCTGTAAAATTAGATGATGTGGTGATGATGAAAGAACATATATAGGCTGGATGCAGTGGCTCATGCCTGTAATCCCGGCATTTTAGGAGGATGGGGTGGGCGGGGCACTTGGGGTCAGGAGTTGAGAACCAGTCCGGCCAACATGGTGAAACTTTGCCTCTAAAGAAAATACAAAAATGAGCCAGGCCTGGTTGTGGGCACCTGTAGTCCCAGCTACTTGGGAGGCTGAGACAGGAGAATTGCTTGAACCCGGGAGACGGAGGTTGCAGTGAGCCAAGATCATACCACTGCACTGCAGCCTGGACAATAGAGCAAGACTCTGTCTCAAGAAAACCCCCAAAAAACAAAAAAAAACAAAAATAATATATATAAAACATATATATTATATAATATATAAAAAACATATATAATATAATATATAAAACATATATTATTTAATATATTATGTAATATCTATTTTAATAACATATATTGTATATTACATAACTTGTTATATTATATAACATATTATATAATATATAATTTGTTATATAACATGTTATATAATATATAATTTGTTATATATGTTATATAACATATAAACCATGTATTATATATAATATAATACATGTTTTATATAATATATAATAATTATAATTTATATAATATATGACATTATATATTATATATAACTTATATATTTATGTATGATAAAATATATGGTATATGAAATATACATAATTATATATTATATGATATAATTATATAATATATCATATATGTATTATGTATATTTCATATACATTATATTTTATTATATAAACATAAGTATATATTATACTATGTAATAGTATACAAGTATACAATGTATAATTATATATTATATGTAATAGTATAATATATAATATACAATGTATAATTATATATTATGATATGTATGACATACATATCTAACATATATTGTAACATGTATGTTATATATAACACATATAGCATCTAGATACCATGTATAGCATGTGTACATGCATATATATTTATGTTATTCAACATGGGTCCAGGAATGGAGTAAGAGATCAACAAATACAGTCATTAAAATCAGTGATTCCTCATTCTTCTCCCAGCTCCTTCTTTATGAGATTTTGAAATCCATATGGATGGATAAAAATATCCCCAAATGGTGCCTAATGTTGCAGGGAAGGAAAATGAAACTCTGGAAATAAAATTAGTTCAAGGAGAAGGAGCATCTCCGCTGTTGACCCGGCTTAACACTAGACTAAGAATAGATTGCAATGGCCCCAACCTCAGGTATGCCGGATAAGTCCCTGAAGGCCCTAGAGGGGAACCTGAGAAGGGTTTGAATGTTTGCATGTGTGTTCGACAAGCTGGTTCCTGGTAGCTGAGATGTAGAGGAGAATCATTGTGCCCTATGTAGAGACTGGACTATGTGGACTTTTTCATAGCTGTAGACAAAGACACGCTGACAGTACCAGACTGGTTTTCAACCTAATGGCAGCCTCGGGGACAAGGGAAGGTGAAAATGGGGCTGCCTATGAATGGATCCGACTCCTCAGGTTTCCATCAGCCTGAAGTTTGGAAGTGATCTTTGGATTAACTGAGTCGGCAGAGTGTTGGACCACGAGAAGGCAGATGTGGAGTGAGATACTGGACTTCTTGGCTCCTGTGAGCAAAGAGGATGGGCATGAGATTAAATGGAAAAGTAAGAGACGTGACAGTTTCCCAGGTTAATAACATGAGTAATGCCAGTTACATGCATGGGAGCTCATTTAACAACTCTTCAGGGTTGTGTTACTACTCAAACCCTTTATGATGCTGAGCACGCACTGCAGACACTGATTCCTGCCTGCCTCTCCACTCTGTTTCCTGGTTACCTTCTGCCTGATTCATTTTGATCTAGACACACTGGCTTCCATTCTTTTCCATGAACAAGCCAAGCTCCTTCCCACCTCTGGGCCTTTGCACATGCAGTTTCCTCCACCTGGAATGCTGCTCCCAGATCTTTTTACAACACATTTCCTCTCATCTGTTGAGCCTCACCTTACACGTTACCCTTTCAGAAAGATTTTCCCGTTCATGTCCTCTCCGCTACATTATTCTCCCTCCCATCACCCTCTCTAACATCATAGTCCTCACCATTCCTGAAATGATCTTTGTTACTTACTGGGTGGCATGTTTAGAGGCTGCTTTCCCCACTGGCTCTGTGACAGTGACTTTGTCATGGTAACTCAACATTCTGTTTCCTGTGGCCTGAAGATTGCCGGGTATATACTAAGTGCTCCATGAATATTTGTTGGAAGATTCAATGAATCATATCTTACCAATGCAATATTGGAAGCCTAGAGAAATGAAATAACGTTTTCACAATTGCACAGAGTAACAGATGCTTTCAGTGCTTCCCTTGTATCTTCTAACCCTTTACCTCTTAAGCATCCACTGACCCATCCAAATGTAGTTGCATTCTCTTTCTGAGGACTTTTTCTTTTTCTTTTCTTTTTTTTTTTTTTTTGAGATGGAGTCTCACTCTGTCGCCCAGGCTGAAGTGCAGTGGCGTGATCTCAGCTCGCAGCAATCTCCGCCTCCCAGGTTCAAGCAATTCTCCTGCCTCAGCCTCCTGAGTAGCTGGAATTACAGGCATGCACCACCATGCCCAGCTATTTTTTTTTTTTTAGTAGATGTGGGGCTTTGCCATGCTGGCCAGGCTGTCTCGAACTCCTGACCTCAGGTGATCCACCTGTCTTGGCCTCCCAAAGTGCTGGGATTACAGGCATGAGCCACCATGCCTGGCCCTCTTTCTGAGGTCTTTTTCTGGTTGTACTGTCTTTGCCCACCCGTATGATGGCTTGGAAGTCTTGGAGGAATCAACACCTGCCCTGGGAGCATCCCTCCACCAGGAACTGATGAGAGTTGGTGTAAGTGGATAACTACCCCATCTCCCTCACCCCTTAGGTCAGATAACTATGAAGCAAGAGCTGGTATGTGCATCTTTCCCCAAGTCCTTGTTCAGGGACAAGGTAGTGTGAAATCAGCCATGGTGGGAGGATTTACACCATGGATATGGGCAGACACTACAAATCTGGGCTTTTAATATTTTTCTGCAGTGTTGGTTGTTAAACATCTACCAGCACATTGCTAGAGATGTTCTACAGTGTATCCTAGAGTTTTCCAGCAAGTTTAAGCTCCAGTTATTGTCCCAAGTGGTAACTTGTTTTATAATATGCCCTTTACTGGCTGCCTCCCTGACCTATTTCATTTCCTGTGTCATGTTTCATTTACCTCCCACATAGATGACTTACTCTTGGAGTCTTGTCTCAGGGTCTGATTCTTGGGAAACCCCGATGAAGGCATACAACTAGTATGCGATAAAACCAGCATTTAAACCTAGGAAGGTCTGACTCCAAATCCACGTGTATTTTACTAATACTCCACTGCCTCTTGTGTCTGACCAGTTCTTTGCCAATTCACTGTGACAGGAGTCCTTTAAGGAGTGAGACAAATGCATTATATTGATGAAAGTAGCTTGCAATTAAGAAGTTAGCTTTCTAGGCCAGGCACAGGGGCTCAAGCCTATAATCCCACCATGATTGGGAGGCCGGGGCAGGGGGATCACTTGAGGTCAGGAGTTCAAGACCAGCCTGGTCAACATGGTGAAACCCCATCTCTACTAAAATTATAAAAATTAGCTGGGCATGGTGACGCACACCTGTAATCCCAGCTACTTGAGAGGCTGAGGTAGGAGCATCACTTGAATTCAGGAGGCAGAGGTTGCAGTGAGTCGGGATCACACCACTGCACTCCAGCCTGGGTGATAGAGTGAGACTCCATCGCAAAAAAAAAAAAAAAAAAAAAAAAAAAATAAGAAGTTACGTTTCTTATGATAAGGGATGGGTTAACTAGATAAAACATGTGGAAATCTAATTTAGTTAGTAAATTATTTTTTATTTCAAAAACACTTTTAAAACATAGACATGTTTTCCATAAAACATGTAGGCACCAAGACAGATTTGATTGCTCTCTTGCGAATGATCAGCAGCAGGCTTCCACTTCATGCTTGTTATAATTTACTGTTTATAGTTCCTAACTCTCTGCTTACACGCTGGTTTGAATATTCAAGGGTCTCACCAAGTGGTGAGGCACTGGACGCAATGATGATGTTGGGTGCAAATGAATAGGGCTTCAGCTGGAAAGGGGCAAGGGGCAGACTGGAAAGAGCTTAGGCTTTAGACCTCTGTACTGGTCAGGACACTTTGGTTCACAAGGGAGAGAAACTCAGTGCAAGCTAGCCTAGGCAGAAAAGAAAAAAGAACTTAATGCCTGGGGAAATTGGAAGGTTGAAGGATGTGTAGTTAGCTTCAGGTATGGCTCGATCAAGGATTACTCGCTAATAAAGCCTCTCTCCTTCACTAGAATAGAAGCTCTGTAAAGACAGGCACCTTGTCTGCCCTATTCATAGCTGCATCCTCCATCATATAGAATAATGCCTGGCACACAGTGATAATAAAAATTATAGAGCATGTCATATGGGCATGCCACTGTTCTTAGTTTATCCACTTAACCCAATGAGGTAGGCAATTATTAATTATAATCCCCATTTTTCTGGGTGGAGAAACCAAGGCACTGAGAAGTCATTTAGCTGATAAGCAGGGTAACTGGGATTTGAACCTAGGACCTCTTGCTCCAGAGTCTGTGCTCATAACCATGCTGCTATATTAACTCAGTAAGTAGTTGTTGATTGAGTGAATGAATAACTGACTAATGATGAAACTTGCCAGACACAGAGTATTCAGTAACTAGGAGTGCTGACATTTATTTGAGTGGCCTCTGTTTTCTGTGTCCCATTAGCTTTGGGTGCTGGTGTCTTCATCTGCAGGATTCCATATATTTAGCCCAGATCAATGGAGTGCTGGAGGGTCAGGATGAGTCGTGTTCAAGAAAATAAGGTTGGAGTTATTTCTAGAATTTTTTTTTTTTTTTGAGACAAGAGTCTCGCTCTGTCGCCCAGGCTGGAGTGCAATGGTGTGATCTCGGCTCACTGCAACCTCTGCCTCCCAGGTTCAAGTGATTCTCATGCCTCAGCCTCCCAAGTAGCTGGGATTACAGGTACCCACCACCATGCTTGGCTAATTTTTGTATTTTTAGTAGAGATGGGGTTTCTCCATGTTGACCAGGCTGGTGTCGAACTCCTGACCTCAAGTGATCCACTGGCCTTGGCCTCCCAATGTGCTGGGATTACAGGTGTGAGACACCACACCCAGCCTGAAATTTTGTTTTAAGTTCCTGAGATCCAGGGGTTGTTTGTTACTGCAGCATAGTCTAACCCATCCTGTGTAGAAGCCCTTACTTACTTAGGATGTGTCATTGAGTTCAGAGAGAGGCAGTAGAGGAAAGGGCCCAGACTTTAAAATCAGAGAGATGAAATTCCAACTCTCCACTCACTAGCTGTGTGACCTTGGGTAAGTTCCTTAACCTCTCTGAGCCTCACTCTGCATTCTCACTAGTGAAATTACAACTGTAATTGCTACTCCATGAAATTGCTTTGACTACTAAAATAGGAAAACCTGTCAAGGGTATAACATAGTAGGTGTTGATGTATGTTGGCTATTACTTTTGCTATTATGTAGCAAAGCATAGATTACTTTGGCTATTTTGAAAAAACCTGTTGCTATCAATTAAGGATAGAGTGGCTAAATTAAGTAAATTCTGTAAGCAAACAAGGATGGGTCTTTAATTCTCCTCCACTTTCGATTTATGGCTGAAGATTTGACAGTTATCTGAAGTCTGACTAGCTTGAAAACCAAGACATCTGTGATTAGACTTACCTTTTGTTCT
Organism: Homo sapiens; assembly: GCF_000001405.40. Classification (NCBI taxonomy): domain Eukaryota; kingdom Metazoa; phylum Chordata; class Mammalia; order Primates; family Hominidae; genus Homo; species Homo sapiens. The sequence continues at coordinate 18,274,426 of NC_000016.10, read as the reverse complement.
TCCCATTAGTGTAATACATTGTTTTAGGACATCTCTGCTAACCCACTCCCCCAATATCCATCTAGCTTGGAGCCTTTATGGCCTTCATAAGGACCCGGCTTCCCCCTTGGTCTTTAAAATTAGACAACAGATGTTCATAATCGAACCTGTCTTGGTTCCAGAAAGTCTGAGATGTTCAGAAATAATCAGAACGTCTCTATAAATATCATAAAGGATATATCATTTTGGCAGAACCAGATCCAGTTTTTGTGGGGACTGAAGCTTATATAATATGGGGATCTCTGTTTAAGAAAAAGAATACAAAATTATGAATTTAAAATTAGGCACAAAAGAGAATGTTATTTTGGAATGAGAAATTAAGTATAATATTCCTGTAGCTGCCTGGACATGGTAGCTCATGCCTGTAATCCCAGCTTTTTGAGACGCCAAGGTAGGAGGATTTCTTGAGCCCAGGAGTTCAAGACCAGCCTAAGCGACATGGCAAGACCCCCATCTCTACAAAAAAAAAAATTCAAAAAATTAGCCAGGTGTGGTGGTGTGTGCCTGTAGTCCCAGCTACTCAGGAGGCCGAGGTGGGAGGATCGCTTGAGCCAGGGAGTTAGAGGCTGCAGTGAGCGATGATCTTGCCACCACACTCCAGCCTCCAGCCTGGGGGTAACAGAGTGAGATGTTGTCTCAAAAAAATAAAAAGAGAAAATTCTGGAGCCTTTAGCTATTTCCATTCCATTCTTCTGGGATCTGTGTAGGCAATTAATCAGAAATGTGAACATAGAGGTGCTTCATTATTGAAACCCAGCTTTCCCTTCTCACCTAAAGCCTTCCCCAAGTCCAGCATTTAAAGAGACAGGTACAAGGAAAAGACCCTGAAGCCCAAGCCTCATTAGCTTCAGGTAAATTCACCTCCACTCTCTGGAGAAGCAGACAACAGAGGCCTCTTGTGAATATTGAGGAGAAGGTTGTATGTGTGTTCATGTGCGTGAGATCCAAGTGGAGAGCATGGGAACCTAGCTCAATTTTCCCTTGAGGTGAGCTTGAAGCTTTGGGTATCTTCCTCTCAGAGAACGTAAACCCATTTTTCCAACATTGTTGTAAAATATTCTGTTCCCACCTTTCCCACAATCAGCTTGCCTGACCCCACCACAGGGTGTGTCATCTTGTGCTTCTGGCACACACACACACACACACACACACACACACACACACACTCTCAGAGCCCTGCCATCTGAAGGCAGCCAGCTCCAGAAAGGCCAACCCTTAGCTGTAACTCAGCATAGCACTGTTCATGATCTTTGGTTTCCATTTCTAGGCTGGTTTCCTTTTTTGTTTTGTTTTTTCCTTTGCCAAGACTGTAGTTGAAATAGGATAAAGGATTTATTTTTCCATAACAAGGTAGGAGAAAGGGTGCTAGGTTACAAGCACCCTGTCAATATCAGAGTTGGAAGCTTCTTCCTACCATCAGGTGTGTGTTGTGAAAGGAACGAGGGGTTCAGGCAAGTATTTCCCAGCAGGTGGGAAGGGGTCTTGATGGGATGGAAACTAGGAAAACAAACCAGATTCCCTGAGGAAAAATCAACTGTTCCTGAACTGTTATCAGTGTGGGAGTAGGGTTCACGGATTTCATATTCTAAACATGATTGTGTGTGGTGTGTGCACACACACCTACTATGTGGCAGAGCCTGTCATAAGTGGTGATGGATTACTGTAGATATAGTTTGCTGGAGCTGCCATAACAAAGTACTACAGACTGGGTGGCTTAAATGACAGAGATTAATTTTCTCACAATTCTGGAGGCTGGAAGTCTGAGATCAGGGTGTCAGCAGGGTTGGTTCCTCCAAAGACCTCCTCTTGGCTTGCAGATGGTCGATTCTGGTGTGTCCTCAGATGGTCTTTCCTCTGTGCCTGTCCATACCTGGTGTCTCTCTGTGTGTCCTAATCTCCTCTTCCTATAAGAACACGAGTCTGATTGGATTAGAGCTCACCCTAAATGAGCTAAATAGGTTTAAACTTAATCACCTATTTAAAGCCCCTATCTCCAAATACAATGACAGTCTGAGGTGCTAGGGGGTTAGGACTTCAACATATGATCCATATGGTTGAAGGGCTTCAAATTCATATATATATAGAGAGAGAGAGAGACAGAGTCTCGTTCTGTCGCCTAGGCTGGAGTGCAGTGGTGCGATCTTGGCTCACTGCCACTTCCACCTCCCAGGTTCAAGTGATTCTCCTATCCTGGCCTCCCAAGTAGCTGGGATGATAGGCATGCGTCACCACACCTGGCTAATTTTTGTATTTTTAGTAGAGATGGGGTTTCGCCATGTTGGCCAGGCTGGTCTCAAACTGCTGACCTAAGATGATCTGCCCACCTCGGCCTCCCAGAGTACTGGGATTACAGGCATGAGCCACTGTGCCTGGCCTCAAATTCATATTTGAACATTTATTCAAATTTGAATTTTAGGGGGACATAATTCAGCCTGTAGCACTGTCAACCTAAAAGGAAGAAGCTGAGGCAAAATTAATATAAGTAAAGACTCTGTTTGGGCCAAGCTTGAGGACTGTAGCCAGGGAGCGTAGATTCAAGTTTCCCTGAATATACACTCCAATTAGCAGCAGTTACAAGTGGATTTATAAAGGCAAAAAAGGGGGACATGGAGTGGGCTGGTACACAGTTGGTTGTCAGGAATTCTCACTGGTTTTCAGAAATAACATTGACGAGTGATTGGCTATACATTGTTAAGCTATAAGGTGTGGGTTATAGCATCCAGTGGGGCATTATTAGATTAATTGATAGCTACTTGTGGCAATGGCAAGCAGTTTTAAGAAATGAATACCGAGCTCAAAGGGGGTATGTAGGACATGATTGCTATCTCATTCTATTGCCTCTCTGGGCCTAATAATTTAAAAGGCTTGTATTCCTCAGATGAAAGTTCTGTTCTTTTCTCAGCACCTTGAATGGCTGGAGAGAGCACCACCCCATCCTTGACCATGCTGAGTGCTGGCTGGACTTCAACTGGGCCAGTACTCCCTTTTCCCTTGTGGAAGGTCCCCTGATTAATGCTTACCTGAACGCCTGCTCTTCCTTCAGTCCCCAGTTCTCTGCATTCCCCAGCACTGGGAACAGAGACAGCATGTCTGTGTTATACAATAGGGAAGAGTATGGGCTCTGGCTTTAAACTTTGACTCTGCCCCCTTGTTAGCCCAGCGACTGTGAGCAAGTCATTTCACTTCACCCAACTTGTTTTCCTTTTTGTACATTGGAGGTTACTAAAAGCACCTTACCTGTCCAATTGTAGAGAGGATTAGGTGTATTAATGGGCATGGCACAGTAAACACTCACAAAATGCTAGCTACTATTAATTGTCAAGATTATGTTGGTTGCAAGGAGCAGAAACTCATATGGAAGTCATTTAGGCAATAAAAGGGGATAATTTATTGACTCTCATAACCAAATCCAGGAAGGTAGGAGAGCAGTTGAGTGGCAGGGGCAACTGGAAAGAGACCATTCCCCATGTCTGTCTGTCTGTCATATCTTTTTTATTTTTATATATGTATTTTTTTACCATGGTGGGTTTTTTTTTGTTTCTTTTCTTTTTTTGGTTGTTTTTTCCATCCTTGGCTAGAACCATGGCTGCCAACAAGCTTCTCTGTTTCATAATGGGAGACCTTCTCATGTGGTTATGATGTGAAAAAAATCCCAGGGAAGGACTCTGATTGGTTCAGCTCAGGTCACATAGCCACCCACGTGGCCAGGTCAGGGGCTGGGGTGCTTAGGTGGGGCAGGGGGTTCTGGGTAGATAAAAATAATTAATGCCTTCTGCCTTATCTAAATGTTCTTTGTACTATGCCTGGCACTTGGTAGAAATTAAACAAATTCCCCTTTTTCCCTTTGACCCTCATGTCTACTTTTTATTACATAAAAGAGTAATCCAGAAAAGAAAGTCAGCTCATTGGAGACACTGGGTAGGGAGAAAAAGCTTTTTATAGAATATTAGGTAGGAGTAGTGGCTTAGGATGGTAAGAGCTCTGCACGAAAGGAAGACATTACGGTCTAAGGCCACCTGGGAGATCTGAGTCAAGCAGCTCTATCCCTTCCTGATGACAAAAGAGATTTCAGGCAATGACTCATTTGTTTGGAGAGCTAATTGACAAGACATATTAAGAGTTTTAGCAATTGTTCATGCTTTTTGATCCAACAAATTCACTTCTAGAGTGTCAAGAACTGTGCTGGTCTAAGATATTATCCTACATGGAGGCTAGTGAGTTTTATGGATGTGGGCAGAAGACATGAGACTCTGGATTGAGAGATAAAGGACTTTATTTTTCATGGCACAACAGGAAGCTTGAGCTTCATGTCTGCACCAGTTCCCTTTGACCCCCAAGTCCCTCAAGGGTGACACAGGTTGACATGGTTTGGCTGTGTCCCCACCCAAATCTCATCTTGAATTGTAGTTCCCACAATCCCCATGTGTCATGGAAGGGACCCAGTGGGAGGTAATTTAATCATGGGGGCAGTTATCTTCATGCTGTTCTTATGATAGTGAATGAGTTCTCACAAAATCTGATGGTTTTATAAGGGGCTTTTTCTTCTTTTGCTCATTCTTCCCCTTGCTGCCGCCATGTGAAGAAGGACATGTTTGCTTTCCCTTCTGCCATGATTGTAAGTTTCCCGAGGCCTCCCTGAGTCAATTAAATCTCTTTCCTTTATAAATTACTCAGTCTAGGGTATGTTTTTTGTTTGTTTGTTTTTTTGTTTTTTTTGAGACAGAGTTTCACTCTTGTCGCCCAGGCTGGAGTGCAATGGCAGGATCTCAGCTCACCCCAACCTCTGCCTCCCAGGTTCAAGCAATTGTCCTGCCTCAGCCTCCTGAGTAGCTGGGATTACAGCCATGTACCACCACACCCAGCTAATTTTGTGTATCTAGTAGAGATGGGGTTTCTCCATGTTGGTCAGGCTGGTCTTGAACTCCTGACCTCAGGTGATCTGCCCACCTCAGCATCCCAAAGTGCTGAGATTACAGCCATGCCTAGCCTTTTTTTTTTCTTTTTTTGAGACAGAGTCTCACTCTGTCGCCCAGGCTGGAGTGCAGTGGCGCATTCTTGGCTCACTGCAACCTCCACCTCCCGGGTTCAAGCGATTCTCCCACCTCAGCCTCCTGAGTAGCTAGGATTATAGGTGTGCACCACAATACCTGGCTAATTTTTTGTATTTTAGTAGAGATGAGGTTTCACCATGTTGCCCAGGCTGGTCTCAAACTCCTGAGCTCAGGCAATCTGCCCACCTCGGCCTCCCAAGGTGTTAGGATTACAGGTGTGAGACACCACACCCAGCCTTGGGTATGTTTTTATTAGCAGTGTGAGAAATGAGTAATACATGGATGGATCCAGGTAGAATCTGTGCCTGCAGTGGATTTGCATCACACCTGAGGAACCCCAAGTTTAGGAATCTTGGTCTTTTCAACCTTTACCCTGGATGGAGGGAGACATTGTCATTATAATCCTTTCTTTTTCTTTTTCTTCTTCTTTTTTTGTTTTTTGTTTTTTTGAGGTAGAGTCTTGCTCTGTCACACCCATGTTGGAGTGCAGTGGAATGATCTTAGCTCATTGCAACCCCTGCCTCTTGGGTTCAAGCAATTCTCCCACCTGTCTCCCAAGTAGCTGGGATTACAGGCGCCCACCACCACACCCAGCTAATTTTTTAAGTGTTTGTAGTAGAGACAGCAGTTTCACCATATTGGCCAGGCTGGTCTCGAACTCCCAACCTCAGGTCATCTGCCTGCCTCAGCCTCACAAATTGGTGGGATTACAGGCATGAGCCACTGCGCCTGGTCCAGAGATATTATTATTATAATCCTAATCAGCAAATAAATCTGTCTTCTACTATACTAGCCCTATCTTCTAATGCTATTAGCTATACAAACATCCTTATAAAGACGGTCTAGAACAAAAGCTGACACAAGATGTGCAGAAATGTAAGAGACACATGGGGAATTGTTGCACAGCATAGAGAATCTTTCCTAAGGAAACTACATCTGAAACACACACAGAAAATGTATTCTTAAAGCAACAATAGTTCAGCATTAGGGGAAGAGGTTAAACAGACTGTTGTTGGGATACTCTTCTGTTTCTAAACATGTTTCTGAAGATCTTGGAATGGGAAGTGTAAACGTTCAACTTAAAATGTAAAGTGGAACAAAAAGCTGCAAAACTTGAATATATGTTTTTATTAACTATGTACAGACATCTATTCTAGGAAACCTGGGAGGGAGACGTGCTAAAATGTTCATAGTCTTTCTCTGGGCGATGAGTCTAGGATCCACTGTTTTTCTTCATTTGGAATGTTCATAGTCCTCCTCTGGGCAATGAGTCTAGGAGCCACTGTTTTTCTTCATGTGGAATGTTCATAGTCTTCCTCTGGGCAATGAGTCTAGGAGCCACTGTTTTTCTTCATTTGGAATGTTCATAGTCCTCCTCTGGGCAATGAGTCTAGGATCAACTGTTTTTCTTCATGTGGAATGTTCATAGTCTTCCTCTGGGCAATGAGTCTAGGAGCCACTGTTTTTCTTCATGTGGAATGTTCATAGTCCTCCTCTGGGCAATGAGTCTAGGATCCACTGTTTTTCTTCATGTGGAATGTTCATAGTCTTCCTCTGGGCAATGAGTCTAGGATCAACTGTTTTTCTTCATTTGGAATTTTTTTTTTCAGTTTTTCTATAATGAACATGTATTACTTTTATAATAGAAAATAACAAGATAAATTATTTCCGAAAGCAGTGCCCAGCATCCAGAATTTGGCAAAAACAGGAGAAGAAAGCATAAAACAAGCAGGGAAAAAGGTTTTCAGTTAAATTAGATGTCCAATGAAGAGATCAGCTTGGCTGCAAAATCTCTTTTTGACAGACAATTAGTTCTGGGCAAGTCAAATATTTCAACAGTGCGTTCTTCTGGGGCAATTAAAGTAATTCATACTTGATGTGCGGAAATGTGGTAATTGGGAAAGTTCCCCAAATGGCAGTTGAAACTGGGCTGGTTGTGTTTGGAGAAGTTAAGTCATGCCCTTGACAAGCCATCTATCTGAGTCTACTGAAGAGGGCTTGGGCTGGGTGATTTTAAGATGGAATTTTCCACTGGGCGTAGGAAGTGATGTTGGGAATGGACTAGAAGGGTCAACAGTGACAACATTAACAGCATTTATTGTAATATAAATACAGTTGGCCCTTGAACAACATGGATTTGAACCGCATGGGTCCACTTATACATGGATTTTTTTCTGTTTTTGCCACCTCTGAGACGGCGAAACCAATTCCTCCTCTTCCTCCTCTTCCTCAGTCTCCTCAATGTGAAGACAATGAGGATGAAGACATTTATGATGATCCACTTCCACTTAATGAATAATAAATACATTTTCTCTTCCTTATGATTTTCTTAATCATATATTGTTTTCTCTAGCTTATTTTATTGTAAAAATACAGTGTATAATCATATAAAATACAACATATGTGTATATTGTTTGTGTTATTGGTAAGACTTCTGGTCAACAATAGGCTATTAGTAGCTACGTTTTGGGGGAGTCAAAAGTTATAGGTGGATTTCCAACTGTGAGGGGGTTGGCATCACAATCATTCATGGGTCAACCATTGTGTCAATAACAATCATACCACACATATTTTGAGTGCCACATGTTGCACTAAGCACTTATGTATCTATTAATTTCTACAACTATCCCGTGCAATAGATATGATTGGAGTTTCCGTCTTACTAATAAGGAAACTGAGGGCCAGAGAGGTCAATTGAGTTGTCCAAGGTCACACAGCCTGTTAGTAATGGAGCTGGAATCTGAATCCATGCAATCTGACCCTTGTTCAATGCTCCTAGACTTATGTGCTGGATTTTTTTTTTTTTTGAAATAACAATGTTTTATACCTCTATCTTTACTTTCCTAGATAAGGGCATCTGATTTCCCTCCATGGCAAGCAAGTTATGTTGTATTTGCTACATTTGAGAGGGAAAAAAGCTGAAGTTCAGAACGGATTAGAAATTTCCCAAGGCCACACAGTGAAAGAATAGAAAGTTTCCTTTTTTAAATGGCGGAGCTTTTATATCAATGCTGTTTGTAAATTTTAGTTGGCAATGTCTGTTATATTCCATGAAACTGAATGAGAGGTGAGGTGGTATATTAGCCAAAACTCTCTCAGCTACATCTTGCTATTGTTCCATGCAACTTCAAAGCCCACAGATAGACTGGACTTCAAGTATGGCTGGATCCAGATGCTTAAATGATATGCTTTGAAATCTGTCTGATCTCTACTTCTCAGCTCTCTTTTCATCCATGTTGGCTTCATTATCAGGCCCTTTTCTTATGCCATCAGCAGCTGCTGACTTACCTCCTACCAGCTTAGTAATCCCAGGGGAAAATGAACCTACCTTTGCCAAAAGCACTGGCATAAGAAGCTGACTCTCATTGCATTGTAAGAGTCAGGTGCCCATCTCTGAACGAATTATTGTGGCTAAGGAAGTAGAAGAGGGTGATTAGTCAGTCCTGATCATGTGCTCAGCTCTAGCTTTAGAAGATGGTGCTATCCAAACTCCATGAATGAACAGTGAAGGAAGGACCATTGTTCAAAAGTAAGTGGAAATGCTGTTTCCAGGAAAGCAGAATGGGAGGAGGAAGTGGGGGGAGGGGGGAAGGGATTCAAGGGGTGGGAGCTGGAATGGAATTAGCCCTAAATAGTTGGAGTTTGGAGGGTGTAAGTAAGTGTGAGCTGAATGCCGAAAGCAGAGTTTGCAAGATGGTGTGTCAGCCCAGTTCTGAGAAACAAACTCCCATACAGGTTTACACATATGTGATTTTTATTAAGGGAAATGCCCTTGAGAGAAAGCAAAGAAGGTGCCACATAAAGCTGGGAGAACCTGAGACAGTAATGCAAGTCTGACTCTGAGTAAAAGAGAGAGGAGAAAAAAGTTAGGGTGCGAACACCATAGGGAAGTCCCTAAGCCAAAGCCGGGGACAGGGGAATCCTGTGTCTCCTGGGGAGGGGTCTGCTTTAGTGTCCCTGCCATGCTCAGTCATTAGCCAGGAGCACCTCATGGAAGGAAGCATATGGATTCCCCAGCGCAGCAGCTGGGGCCCTGGTTAATTACACTCCCAGTAGAGGGAGGTCGATGAGGCCCATTCTCAGGGCCACCACATGGTGAGCCATGCAGCACTGGCCTGGCAGAACATTTGTCTGGGTTCATACAGTATTTACATTAAAAAAAATCAGGGCTGGGTGCTGTGGCTCACACCTGTAACTCCAGCATTCTGGGAGGCCAAGGCAGGCAGATCACTTGAGATTAGGAGCTGGAGACCAGCGTGGCCAACAAGGGGGAAACCTCATCTCTACTAAAAATACAAAAATTAGCTGGGTATGGTGGTGCACCCCTGTAATCCCAGCTACTTAGGAGGCTGAGGCAGGAGAATTTCTTGAATGTGGGAGGAGGAGGCTGCAGTGAGCTGCGATCATGCCACTGCACTCCAGCCTGGGCAACAGAGTGAGACTCTTGTCTCAAAAAAAAAAAAAAAAATCAGTTGCCAGCATTCAACAAACTGTGTATTTTACATCTTTAAAAACCCCTGGATTTCCTGCTTCTCTTTAAAAAATAGTGGCAGTTTGGCAACATTGGGAGTCCATTCCACAAATCTTGCAAAATTAAGTCCTCGCTGCCTCCTTAGATAGGGTGTGTGCTCTCTAGTTTGCCACAGTCTCCACCAGACCCAGTTGCCCTAATCTGTACTCTTCACTCATTTGTGTTACTTGTCTGCCCATGTGTGCATTAAAGTTTGCAACCCTTGCCTTAAATTCATCTGAGAAACAAACTATGGCAGTCAGGTTCAGCCATAGAATCTAATGGGAAGGAGCAAAGCTGGAGATTGAGCGACTAAGCTAGAGGTTGATAAAGCAGGAATAGAGCAGGTAGCTGGAGTCTGAGCAGACAGACTTCAGGGCTTGTCTGCCTTCCTAAGAGCTCCTTTGCTGGCTGGGTGAAGTCACTGAGAACCTAAGCAGAGGGTGTCAGTTCTAGCCTTCCTGGAGAAATCTTAGTTGAGATGGATGTTTAGAGCTGGTGGACACTGCCTTTGTGTCAAGCCAGTCTAGGAGTCACAGCAATATTTGGACACTGGTTGAAAGTTGTTCCATTCCATCCCACTTGCTCAGCAATTTGGACAAGTGTGGGTTTAGGTTATTTTAATTGGTTAATACCCTTTTGTTTAGGTGGTCTCCTTTCCTCTTCCACATGGTTCAGTAAGGCTGCCAATTCTAGAGCTCTTTCTTCTCCTATGAAAGTCATGGATGTCTTAGGCTGGGTTTTCCCAGAGGCAGATCCTGTGATGAGGATTTCCATGTAATGGTTTATTTGTAGGGTGACTCTGGGAAGCACCAGTAGGAGAATGGGAGTGTATTAGTCAGGTTTCTTTAGAGAAGTAGAACCAATAGAATAGCACACACACATACACACACACATATGCATATACATATACACACACACACACACACACACACACATATATAAGCATATGGGGAATCCATATGCTTCCTTCCATGAGGTGCTCCTGGGTAATGACTGAGCATGGCAGGGACACTAAAGCAGACCTCTCCCCAGGAGACACAGGATTCCCCTGTCCCCAGCTTTGGCTTAGAGACTTCTCTATGGTCTTCATATATATATATATATATATATGTGTGTGTGTGTGTGTGTGTGTGTGTGTGTGTGTGTGTATACACACATATACATGTGTGTATATATACACACATATACATGTGTGTATATATACACACATGTATATGTACACACACATATATGTGTGTGTATGTGTGTGTATATATATATACACATACATATATGTATCTATATGCACTTTTATATACATACATTCACATACATATATGTATCTATATGCACTTTTATATATATGTGTGTGTGTGTGTGTATGCAATTATGGAGGCTGACAAGTCCTAAGATCTGCAGGATGAGTCAGTAAGCTGGAGACCCAGGAGACCCAGTGGTGTAGTTCCAGTCTGAAAACCAGCAGGCTTGAGATCCAGAAAGAGCTGTGTTTCAGTTTGAGTCTAAAGGCAGGAAAATTTTGACGTTTCAGTTTGAAGGCCCTCAGGCAGGAGGAGATCTCTCTGACTCAGGCAAGGGTTGGCCTTTTGTTCTATTTAGACCTTCAACTGATTGGATGAGGACCATGCACATCTGGAGTGCAACCTGCTTTCCTCCGTCTACCCATTTAAATGTTAATCTCGTCTGAAAACACCTTCACGGGAACACCCAGAATAATGTTTTACCAATTATCTGGGCACTCAGCGTCCCAGTCAGGTTGACACATAAAATTAACCATCACAGGGCAAAATGAGACAAGGAAATCTAAACCAGAATAAAGCAAGGTAATGAGTAAGTTACTTCTATGGGGAGCCAGGGCTTGGTCCTTTTGATGGGCTTTGGTTGATGGCATGGAACACACCTCAAATTGTCCCACCTGAGTGTTGAGAAAACTGAGATATTTATCTTTCATCACTCATCTGACATTGACCAAGGGATTCTCTCAGGGACTTTGACATCCTTGAACTTCTGGCCTGTCTTGCCGAGGCCGAGAAAAGGCCTTCAGGTGGGGAGTTGCAGGTGCTTGCAGAGGGATGCCTTCAGCTTGTATGGGATGGGGAGGGTCCAAGGGACATGGGTGGCCATTGCCAGTGTCTGCTATGGTTGGTAAGTGGCACATATCTGGTCAAACATCAGGATCTATCCACCCAGCAGTGTTGGACCTTGGAGTGGCACAGGCATCAGAATCTTCCCTGGGGATTAACTTATTGTGGTTCTTGAACAGAGAGGATATATATCTGGAGGTGCCAGCCTCTACTTGCCCTCCCACATGGAGAGAGATGGAGAATAAGGCTGAGCAAAGACAAACAGTGAAGAGAAATGGAGAGAGAGAGAGAGAGAGAGAGAGAGAGAGAGAGAGAGCGAGAGAGAGAGAGAGTATACATGTACTTTGAGGCAGTGAGTCCTGTTTCTAGTCCCTGGGGCTCTGGTTCTTTTCTCTTCCTGTCTTAGTCTGTTTTTGCTGCTGTAACAAAATACCCAAGACTAGATAACTTATAAAGGACAGAAACTTATTTCTCACCGTTCTGGAGGCTGAGGAGTCCAGGGTCAAGGCACAGGCACATTTTGTGTCTGGTAAGGGGCTCTGTTCCTTGCTTCTAAGGTGGTGCCTTGTGTCCTCTGGAGGGCATGAATGCTGTATCCTCATATGTGGAAGGTGGAAGGGCAAAAGGGCCTAAGTTAGTTCCCTCTACCCCTTTATAAGGCATGAATTCATTCCTTAAGGGCCAAGCCCTCCTGACTGAATCACTTCCTAAAAGGCCTCACCTCTTAATACCACTGCAATGAGGATTAAGTTTCAACATGAATTTTGGAGGAGACACATTCAAACCTTAGCACTCCCTTTCCGTAAATGACCTCAGCTGGATAAACCAGTATATTCGTTTCTTGATTAATTTAGCCAGAGTTAGATTTCTGGGCATGCAACCAAAAGCTCTTACTAACAGTTATTGTGGTGGGATAGGGATGGGGGAAAGGGAGATTGGGATTGAGAGAGATTGCCCTGGGCCTAAGAGCTTTCTCTCCTTATTACATCCCAGTGCCTGAGATTTAAGTTGCTAGAAGGAAGATGAGTTTATGGTGGAAATTTGTAACCGACCATTAACTAGAATGGCGCAGCTAAGCCCCTGTGCCTGACCAATTGTTAGGACTTAAAGAAATAGCAATAAGGAAAGAGCTTTTAGTTTCGGAGCTTAATTAGCCATTCTTTTCCTTCCTGACTTTTAGTTTTATGACTCTAGCTTCCAGGATAGAATTTTATTGTAGTCAGATACAAATTAAACCCAAACAAGGACTCTCCCGTGTTTCTGTTTCTTCAATTTAAATTTATTCTTTGTAGGGTGACACTAAGTACCACAGTATATGTCACATGTAAGAACAGTAAATTTTTAAAAAAGAGAGACAGGGCAAGCATTTATCATTGTGATCTCTTCTCTAAACATAATGGGAACTTAGGTTAATTAAAAAAAAAAGTTAATGCCGTTGTTTTTTGCCTTAAGAAAGGTAGGGTTTTTATCTGAAGTGCTCTGAGAATTGGCACTCTTAAATCTGCAATGATGAGAAATAACAGTAGCTACCATTTGTTGAAAATCTATTAGTAGTATGCTAGGTCCTTAACCTTCAGTATCTCTAATTACCCCAAGACACTTGAAGGATGGATGGTCTAAAGTTTCCATGTGTGCAAAATGATAGCTCTGAGAAGACTTAACCAATGTTTCAAAGATTTAAAAAAAAAAAAAAAAAGGAATTGGAGCCAGTTTGCATTAAGACCTTTTGAACTCCAAAAAATCTATCTATGTGCTTCCGACTTGAAAAGGGTATGTTTTGCATGCTGGATATGGGTTTGGTGGAGGTGCTGGTGTATACACTGTATGTTTCAATGCTAGACATCATGCTGGGTACTGCACTTAGTATGCACCTGATCGCATTTCTGTTCGGCAAATTCAGAAAATGTGAGCGACTGAAACTTCATTAGGTTGAAGGGGAATTTACCTTTTCACTACGTCTGAGCAAAGGGTTTATTCGGTAAGGTATATTTATATTATATTATATTATATTATATTATATTATATTATATTATATTATATTATATTAGTGCCCCATGGAAATTATATTTGTTTCTCTACAGATAACAAAGATTCTTATTTCTCTCTTAAAATTCAAAATAAAGAGCCTTACTGACATCTACCATAAATCCTCTGCTGTAACCAGGTAGAGTATAAATAACTCCATAAAAAGAGAGTAATGCTGTCTTGCGTTTGCACAGCACTTTACAGTTTAGAAAGTATTTGCTTGCCATGTCCCTTTCGATCCTCCTGATAGGCTTGCGGGGTAGGAAGGAGAGGTACTGTCATTTCCATCTTCCTGGTGGGAAACAAACATTTGGAGAAGTTGGGTGACTTGCCCCAAGGTGACACAATAGCGAAGGGTTCAAACCAGGACTTAGTTAGTTTGGGTGTCAGAATGGGTCAGAGTGGGTTTGTCTTAGTTAGTTTGGGCTGTGTATTAGTCTCTTCTTGCATTGTTATAAAGAAATACCTGAGACTGGGTAATTTATAAAGAAAAGAGGTTTAATTGGCTCACAGTTTTGCAGGCTGTACAGGAAGCATAGCTGGGGAAGCCTCAGGAAACTTACAATCATGGCAGAAGGTGAAAGGGAAGCTGGCATGTCCTACATGGCTGGAGTAGGAGGAAGAGAGCAAAGGGGAAAGTGCTACACACTTTTAAACAACCAGATCTTGTGAGAACTCACTCACTGTCATGAGAACAGCAAGGGGGAAGTCTGTCCCCGTGATCCAATCCCCTTCCCCCAGGCCCCTCCTCCAACACTGGGGATTACGATTCAACACGAGATTTGGGCGGGGACACAAATCCGAACCATATCAGGCTGCAATAACAAAATAGTATAAACTGGATGGCTTAAGCAACAGAAATCTATTTCTCACAGTTTTGGAGGCTGAGAAGTGCCACAATCTGGCTGATGTAGCTCCCAGCGGACCCTCCTCCTGGCTTGCAGAAAGCTGCTTTCTCTCTGCATTCTCACATGACGGAGGAAGTGGGGGGTGGGGGGAGCGGAGGTAGAGAGGGAGAGAGAGAGGGAGGGAGGGAAGAGGAGAGACAGAGCAAGAGAGCAAGCCGTCTGGTGTCTTTTCTTGTAAGGATGCTAATTCCATCACGAAGACCTCATCCTCATGATCTCATCTAAACTAATAGTCTTCCAAAAAAGCCCACCTCCTAATACCATCATAATGGAAGTTAAGGCTTCAACATATCAATTTTGAGGGGACACAGTTCAGTCCATTGGACTTAGAGTTCACACTTCCTGGACAAGATTTTGGAACGTTGTAAAGCTTTCTTCAGAAAAACAACTAGTTTATTTTCCCCCAAGCATTTATAGCCCACTTTAGCAGCACTCAACTGCATGCCTCTGATCTATATGCTAATTTTGGATCCGCCTTATCTCTTAAGTAATCCAAGAGTTTGTGTGTGTGTGGATGCTCCTTGATTTGAAATCCTTATGTGCTTAGAACTAATGGCGTTGTAAAACACACTCCACAATGTACCCTTCTCTAATTCAGCCTGATTTTCTCCCATCCTTCCACGTTAGCCGGGCTCCCATGCCCCTGTTTTTGATCACGATTGATTGTCCAGCTCCAAAGCATCATCTGAACGACTTATGGTCTTTCTCCCGAGTGTTGGAGCCCAGGGTAGGCAGATGGGAGAGGGTAGGGGATTTGAACCGGAGAAAGACATTTAAATTTCCTCCTGTTCATCTTAGCTTAGGAAGTTACCTGTTGTCTGAAGGGTGTATCCCTATTTTATTATTTATTTATTTTTACAAAACCAAGGGAAACCAGCAACGAAACGCAAGAGGAGCTCCTCTGCCTCTGATTCCAGTAGCTGTGCTCTCAGGTTGGAGCAGCCAACCCAGAAATTGGTGGCCAGTGGCTAGGGTCAGGATGAGCAGAGTGAACGCGAGTTCTATGTCTGATTATAAAAACTGTACTTGCTCCTTATGGAGAATTTGAAATCTAGGGAAATTATAAAAATGTAAAGTGTTATCAGTCCTTTGTCAGCCATTGGGCTGGTTGGTCAGAAGTCATCACTGTTATAGACCCTCATTGCTTAATGAAAATTAATTTGTCAAGTGATTTCCTTGATGATGCTAATATTTATTGAAAGGTTACCCTAGGCTGAGTTCTGGCTAACAGCTATATATATGTATACTTTTATTTTCCAAGTGAAGAAACAGGCTCAGAGAGGGTAAGAACTTACTCACAGTCACACAGCAACTGAGTGGGGCGGCTAGAATTTGGGTTCAGATAGTCAGACGTTAGAGTTCAGGTTTTTCATCCCTTCAACATCTACACATTTTTCAAGAAATAACAAGATTCACTTTTGGTTTGAAGAGGAGTGCATGGGAGAGAAAGAAAAGTACCAAATGGGAAAAAGAGAGAGCAAGGAAACCAAACTCCGTTTGTGGTCGTGAGCTACATTAAAAAAAAAAAAAAAAAAAAAAGCCAGGCCAGGGACAATGGCTGGATTATGCCTGTAATCCTGCCACTTTGGGAGGCCAAGGCAGGAGGATCACTTGAGGTCAGAAGTTTGAGACCAGCCTGGGTAATATAGCGAGACCCCATCTCTACAATTCTTTTCTTTTTCTTTTTTTTTTTTTTTTGAATTAGCAAGGCGTGCTGGTGTGCACCTGTAGCCACAGCTACTGGGGAGGCTGAAGCAGGAGGATCGCTTGAGCCCAGGAGTTCAAGGCTGCAGTGAGCTATGATCCCACCACTGCACTCCAGCCTGAGCAACAGAGTGAGACTCTCTCTGAAAAAACAACAACAGCAACAACCAAAACAAAGCAAAGCTGGTGGTTTCACATGAGTGTTGCTCCTTCTGGAAAGGCATCACTGGAGTGGGTGCCATATTTTGATGCTGCTGCTGCCAATGATGAGAACATGGGCAACCTCTTTTGCCTGTAATTTTTTTTTTTTTTTTTGAGACAGTCTCACTCTGTCACCCAGGCTGGAGTGCAGTAGTGCATTCTCAGCTCACTGCAACCTCCACCTCCTGGGTTCAAGCGATTCTCCTGCCTCAGCCTCCCGAGTAGCTGGGATTACAGCTGCCTGCCTCCACACCCAGCTAATTTTTGTATTTTTAGTAGAGATGGGATTTTGCCATGTTGGTGAGGCTGGTCTCGAACTCCTGACCTCGTGATCCGCCCGCCTCGGCCTTCCAAAGTGCTGGGATTACAGGCGTGAGCCACCGTGCCCGGCCAAGAGAGACTTTTCTACACTTTTTAATTATGTTATTTTTAAACTGAAAACTGTATTTCCTATTTCTTAGTGTTAGAAAGAAAGAGAAATCCCTCAGAACAATCAGCAGCCTGGAGCATAGTTTGAGACTCCCACTAACAGAGCCAAGAGTCTCAAACTAGGCCAACAGGTACCCTTGGGGAACCCTGCTGTATCCCTGGGACATAAAAAACTACAGTACAAACATCATCATCTTCCTGGAGGATGAATAAACTTTAGCAGAGTAATAGTAACTTAAAACACATGTGGCACAAAATAGAACGCAGAGTTCACAAATACCTAAGGTAAAATAAGACTTCAAAGAAAATTTCACCCTTGCAGAGGTTATTTTGGGCTACACTCCACAGAGTATGAATTCATTCTCTTTTCCTCTCAGGGATAGTTTGTTAAGAGTCTGAAAACCACTGCTCTGGGCAAACTGCCCTCCGGAGTCACACACAAAAAATCAATCTCGTTACTAAAGATAAATTTTATTTCAATAAAAATTGTAATGAGCTTGATCACCTACCCTTTTCACCTGACTTGGCTACAAATGACTGCCAACTGTTTAAAAAAAAAAAATCCAACCGACCCTCAGAGCTAATATGCTATTACTTTTAAAGATTACAGACAGGCCAGGCGTGGTGGCTCACGCCTGTAATCCCAGCACTCTGGGAGGCCAAGTTCCTATTTCTTAGTGTTAGAAAGAAAGAGAGAGAAATCCCTCAGAACAATCAGCAGCCTGGAGCATAGTTTGAGACTCCCACTAACAGAGCCAAGAGTCTCAAACTAGGCCAACAGGCACCCTTGGGGAACTCTGCTGAGGCTGAGGCAGGAGAATTCCCGGAACCCGGGAGGCGGAGGTTGCAGTGAGCTGAGATCGCGCCATTGCACTTCAGCCTGGGCAGCGAGAGCGAGACTCGGTCTCAAAAAAATAAAAAAATAAAAAAGCCTCTCTTGTGTCCTTGTCCCCAGCCTTCCAGCTCTCCTCTGAGGGAACCAGTTTTCAAGATGGCCCGCAACAATCCCTGCCTGCTGCCATTCACACCTTGTTTAGTCCCCTCCCACGCTGGAAAGATCCATGTTGGGGCTCGTGTGTGACCAATGCCGCAGAAGTGATGTTATGTCACTTCCGCGATTACGTCATGAAAGACTGCAGCTTCCATTGTTGGCTCTTTCTCTCTCTTTCTTGGATCAGTCGCTTTGGAGGAAGCCAGCTGCCATGTTTTGAGGACACTAAGGCACTTTACGGAGAGGCCCACGTGGTGAGGAATTGAGGTTTCTGTCTAAGAGCCAGTAAGGGATAGAGACAACCACACAGTGAGCCTGGAAGCCTAGTCTTCAGCCCCAGAAACGCTCAGATGACTGCAGTCCTGGCTGACATCTTACCTGCAGCCTCATGGGAGACCCTAAGCCAGAGCACTTAGCTGAGTTGGCTTGTGGGTTCCAAATCCAGACAATTAGATGATAAATGCTTGTTGTTTTATATTTAGTTTTAGTTTTTGTGACTACATCGTAGGTGTATATATTTATGGGTTACGTGAGATATTGTAGGCATGCAATGTGTAATTATCACATCAGGCCAAATGGGGTATCCATCATCTCAAGCGTTTTCCTTTGTGTTACAATCTAATTATTCTGTTTTAGTTATTCTAAAATGTACGATTAAATTGTTTTTGATTATAGTCACCCCATTGTGCTAGCAAATAGTAGGTCTTATTCATTCTTTTTTTTTTTTTTTTTGAGATGGAGTCTTGCTCTGTCGCCCAGGCTGGAGAGCAGTGGTGCGATCTTGGCTCACTGCAACCTCTGCCTCCCAGGTTCCAGGAATTCTCCTGCCTCAGCCTCCTGGGTAGCTGGGACTACAGGCGCCTGTCACCACGCCCGGCTAACTTTTGTATTTTTTAGTAGAGATGGGGTTTCACCATATTGACCAGGCTGGTCTCGAAGTCCTGACCTCATGATCCACCCACCTTGGCCTCCCAAAGTGTTGGGATTACAGGAGTAAGCCACCGCACCCGGCCTTATTCATTCTTTCTAACTATTTTTTTGTACTATCATGGTTCACTGCAGCCTCATTTTGACCTCCTGGGCTCAATTGATCCTCCCACCCCAGCCTCCTGAGTAGCTGGGACTGTATGCACATGCCACCATACCTAGGTAATTTTTAAAGATTCTTTTATAGAGATGGGGTCTTCTTATGTTGCCCAGGCTCGTCTCAAACTCCTGGGCTCAAGTGATCCTCTCGCCTCTGCTTCCCAAAGTGCTGGGATAACAGGCATGAGCCACTGCACCCAGTCGATGGCGTGTATTAAAAGGAATGATGATATAAATACTGATGACTAACGTTTATTGAGTGTTTTTTCCATGTCAGGCATTATATCAAGCACTTTACATGCATATGTCATCAGTAAAACATTTGCATTTTTATTTCTTATCACTAGTAAATCCTTCTCCTCCCAGAAGCATTTAAAAATCCACAAACCATGGCTAACTTCCTGTGAAATGGCTTAGTGGGCAAAAATTCAGAATAAGGGGAGTGTGAGTCCATGTCTCCTTTCCAGAGATGAAGAAGTTTCTCTTTTCTGTGCATGAAGAAGACAATGGGATATGGATGACACTAAACCTTTGAAAGTTCCTGCTAACCTCCAGGTGGAAGGAAAGGGCCCACGGTGATCAATAAATGTGTTTGCTATTTTTTGGGTGAAAGGAAGAGAGCCTGCACCTCTGTTGGGGTAGGTTATCCACGCTGTCTGCCTGGGGTCCAGATTCCTGGCATTGATATGACTTCTTGGCTCTCTTGAGCCCTGAATCTGCTTCAAATTCAGAAAGCCCCAAGACTTCTGGGCTCTATAATTACTCTGGGCTTTGGAGAATGGTTTCTCTTATAAGCAAAACAATGGTGGAAACTTGTACCAATGAAGGAAACACACAAGCGTGTAGAGGAACATTGCTGTTTGCTGATGATGCTGGTGGCTGCTTGGGTGAGAGATAAACTCTCCAAAGAGCGTTGGCCCTTTTGTGGCTGCAGGATCTGGGTGAAAGAGATTCTTGTAGTCTATCCTATCACTAGATACTATCTGTCTTAGTCCATTTTGTGCTGCTATAACAGAATACCACAGACCAGGTAATTTACAATGAATAGAAATTTACTTGGCTCACAGTTCTGGAGGCTGGGAAGTCCGAGGTTGAGAGCTTACATCTGGTGAAGGCCTTCTTGCTGCATCATGGTGTGACCCAAGGCATCACATGGGTGAGAGAGAGGGTGAGAGAGAGCACCTGCTCCTGTGAAAACCAGCCCGCTCCCATGATAAAGGCATTAATCCATTCAGAAAGATGATGTCCCCATGATCCAAACACCTCTTGAAGGCCTCACCTCTCAACACGGTTGCATCAGGGATTAAGTTTCCAGCACTTGAACTTTGGGGAACACATGCAAACCATAGCAATATCTGTGCCGGATATTTTGTATTTGCTCCTTTACATCCACTGTCCACCCCCATTTCCTGCTTTGTACCCCAGGAGGCTGACTTCTATGGACTACATCACATGTGGTCTCCCATCCTCTTGTGGCTGCTTGGGTTTGGCCAATGGGGTGGGGATCATAGAATACTAGAAGGTGGGAGGAGAGAGGGATTCGGATATTTATTTCTGTGGCTCCTTCCTGTTGGGTTGCCATAGGTTGGAAGCTCCTGCCAGGCAGCTGTCTTTCCCTGAAGACTGTGGCTACTCTCCTTGGGTTCCATAACTATTTCCCCTCCAGGTCTAGGGGTAGAAATGGCTCCTCACTGCTGCTAGTTAGGGCTACTGCAACCTCCCTTTTTGTTTTTGTTTTTTTTAATCCCACTTATACAGCTATATATAGCCCTTTGCTAAACTCTTTTTAGTTACCCCATTTGAGTTTACTATGTATTTCCTGCCACAACCTTGATTGATACAGCAGCCCAGAGAAGGGAAGCAATTAACTTTCTCACTCCTTTATTCATTCATCCAACCTCCCTTCAACACTTACTCTATGCCAGGACTTGTGCTGAGGCTTTTAAGAATGAGACATGATTTCTTGTCTATGTCCCTGAGTTCTCAGTTGTTCACCCCAGAAACTGACTCTTACCAAAGAAAGAGAACATGCCGAAGGCACTGCTGAAGGCCCAGCCTTGGAAAACACCCCATACAAGGTGACTCCAGATAGCTTTATAGCGGCAACTCCTCCAAGGGCATGCGTTAGGGATAGGCTGATCTGGGGACCCCTGCTCTCCCTGCAGAGAATTCATGGAAACCCAATAGGGCCTGTGTTCTTGCATCATGAGTCAAGGTGCCAAGAGAGATCACCTGATTGGCTGATCCAGAGTCACACGGTTGGGGGAGGGTATACAAAGTGGAGGGCTCACCACAGCGGTCAGAGATAAGGCTGCTCCTTGCAGCTCTGTTTTTTGCAATTCCTCTTGGACCCTCCCCAGTTCGGCCACCACCCTTGAGGCTAGCAAGGGTGAGTTGTGTCAGAAGCATTCCATGCAAGGAAATAACAACTTGGAATCCAAATATATTCATTAGTAAGTAATGGAAACCTGAAATTGCTTAAACAAGATGGGACATTATTCTCTCACATTAAAAGGAATTTGGGGGTAGGTGAGTCTAGGGTTG
This sequence comes from Homo sapiens, assembly GCF_000001405.40. Taxonomy (NCBI): domain Eukaryota; kingdom Metazoa; phylum Chordata; class Mammalia; order Primates; family Hominidae; genus Homo; species Homo sapiens. The sequence continues at coordinate 18,252,854 of NC_000016.10, read as the reverse complement.
GTTTATTCAGTAGTTCAGTTGTATCATCAAAGACCTGGGCTCTTGCCATCTTTGTGCTCTGACTTACAGAGCAAGGGCTTAATTCCAGTCTTTTCCTCTAATGAGCACAAAATGGGTGCCACAGTGCCTTACATCACATCCTAACACAATAACGTTCAATGTCCAAAGGTCAGAGGAGAAAATGTGTCTTCCTTGTGTCCATTGTTGACAGCAAGGAGGAAATTTCCATCAACTCTCATTGGTCACAATGGGTCACGTGCCTATTCGAAAGCAATCACTAGACAGGGGGTCAGTATTACTATGATTAGTTTAGGTCAGTCAAGATTCACTCCTTGAGGCTCAGAAGGGCAACTTCTCCTAAAGCATGTGACTGTTCAATACTTTAAAAATTGGGGTTCTCTTAGCAACGGAGAAGAGAGGCTCTTTTTTTGACAAGCAATCGTAGCATCTATCAAAGCATAAGAAAAGCTTGTGAGTGATGAGGTTGGAGACTGAGAAGGTTCCAGAACATGACATTCTGGTGAAGTAGGCAGGACCCAGGAATCTCAAAAGTGACCCAATGTCACAGAGTCTGTTGGTGGCAGAGGAATTGAGGCATCTAGAGGCATCTAGGCAGAGTGATTGAGGCATCTCACTTTCTACGCAGAAAAGGAGGCATTTGCTCCACAAAAGCCTCCTGCTAATTCCAGGGACCTTTCGCTGTAGAGACAACTTTATGGCATCAGTGACAACTTTGGCCTCATTGTCCTGACAGAGCCTAGAATGGTGCTATCTTTGGGCTTCATATCTGTGAGGCACTCAGAAATGTATGAAGCATTTCCAAGTCCATGGTCTCATTTGCTCTCCACTTTGCAGTGGGGAAACTGAGGTTCAGACAGGTGAAGAGACCCGATCAAGGTCACATAGCTGGAGAGCAGGAAACACTGAGCTCAACCCCAGATATTTTAACCAAAGGTTTTAGTTCTCTGCCTTCCTGCCTTCTAGATAACTCCATACAGTCTGCAGGGTAGATCCTCAATCATGATGTATGAAAAGCGTGAATGAATGCAAAAAAAAAAAAAAGGTTTAAAAAAGCTGTGCAAGCTGGGCACAGTGGCTCACACCTGTAATCTCAGCAATTTGGGAGGCCAAGGTGGGAGAATGTCTTGAGGCCAGGAGTTTGAGACTAGCCTGGGCAACATAGTGAGACTCCTTTTCTATAAAAAATTTAAAAATTAGCTGGGTATGGTGGTGTGCATCTGTAGTCCCAGCTACTTGGAAGGCCTAGGTGGGAGGATCACTTGAGCCCAGGAGTTCAAGACCAGCCTGAGCAACCTAGGGAGAGCCCGTCTCTACAAAAACTAATATAAATTAGCAAGGTGTGGAAGTGCATTTCTGTAATCCCATCTACTTGGGAGGCTGAGGTGGGAGGATTGCTTGGGCACAGGAGGTCGAGGCTGCAGTGAGCTGTGATCACACCACTGCACTTCCAGCCTGGGTGACAGAGTGAGACCCTGTCTCAAAAAATAAAGTAAAAAAGTTGTGCAAAGATAAAAACCCAGTTATGACTCCCATTGTGGACCCATAAATAAAGCAAAGTTATCAAATAGAGATGTGTGAGCTGCTGAATGGAACAGAACTCACTGGGTTTATGGGGCTGTGTCAGGCACCTCTGACAATGCCAGATATTTACTTTGCAGATGAATGACTTCATTGCTTGCCCCAAATGCATCACTGGTGGGTAATATTTATGCAGATTGGAAGCATTCTCCCTCCTTTATTTGGTCCTGGGCTGTTTGTAACCATTGGATTTTTTTACCTTTTGACTTGACGTTGTTCTTCACGGGACCGTGGTATGGGATGCATTTCAATAAACAATACCAAAGTGACAGATTTCGGCTTTAAATAAAATTGTGTTCCGTAAAGTGGGAGACAAAGGCTTATAACTCACTGTCGGCTGCAGACATTTTGGCAAAAATTATCTCTCCGGCTTTGATCTCCACTGTATCATTTTACTGAGTGGCCCCATGTGCTCTATCAATCAAACCCACTGAAGATGCAGGAGAATCACATTTAAAATCAAATACAAATTGTAGATTCATCTGCCCAGGAGGAAGAGAAATGTGACATGAATCCTGCCTTCAGTCTTCTATGATTACAACGGAATTAGTTTTTGAAAACTCCAGAGGATGGTTTTCCACTTCCCAACTTTCATATTATTATTATTATTTTTGAAGGGGGTAACATTAGATGGGTAGAGAGGTAGACTAAAGTGATTCAGCTGTGAGATCGGAGTCTCGCCTTCCATCTAACTGTAGGTTAGGGCCTTTTAATATTCCTCTGACAGAGATTCTTTATGTAGGAAGGGATGTTAAGAAGAAAGATGTTCTCTAACAAGAAAACATTTAGACAAAGAGGATATGACCTCCCTCACTCAATCTCGCCTGCTTTCTTGGCATACATGGGAAGAGAGGATGAACTAGAAAGGAAATATTATTTGCTGATCTCCTTTCTTTGTCTGAGGCACATTGCACAGGATGTCTCATTTGATATTCACATGCCCATGCGAGGTGAACAATCCACACCATGCTTTACAGAAGGGGAAACTGAGGTCAAGAAACATGCTCATGGGCCGGGCGCGGTGGCTCACGCTTGTAATCCCAGCACTTTGGGAGGCTGAGGTGGGCGGATCATGAGGTTCAGCATTCGAGACCAGCCTGGCCAACATGGTGAAACCCTGTCTCTACTAAAAATACAAACATTAGGCCAGGTGTGGTGGCATGCGCCTGTAATCCCAGTTACTCGGGAAGCTGAGACAGGAGAATCGCTTGAACCCGGAAGGCAGGAGGTTGCAGTGAGCTGAGATTGCACCATTGCACTCCAGCCTGGGCAAAAAGAGCGAAACTCCGTCTCAAAAAAAAAAAAAAAAAGAAAGAAAAACAAATATTAGCCGATCATCGTGGCACGTGCCTGTAATCCCAGCTACTCAGGAAGCTGAGGTAGGAGAATCGCTTGACCTCATGAGGTGGAGGTTGCAGTCAGCCAAGATCGTGCCACTGCACTCCAACCTGGGTGACAGAGCAAGGCTCTGTCTCAACAAAAAAAAAAAAAAAAAGAAAAAGAGAAAAGAAACATGCTTATGGCTGAAGAGCTGAGCCCAAGTCTATGTGATTCTGAATAACATGCTTTTAATTTAATTAATTAATTAATTAATTTACTTATTTATTTATTTGAGACAGGGTCTCACTCTGTCTCCCAGGCTGCAGTGCCATTGCACCATCATGGCTTGGCTCACTGCAGCCTTGACCTCCTGGGCTCAAGTGATCCTCCCACCTCAGCCTCCCAACTACCTGGGACTACAGGCACACACTGCCATGCTCAACTAATTTTTTTTTTTTTTTTTGCATTTTTTGAGGAGACGGGGTCTTACTATGTTGCCTAGGCTGGTCTTGGACTCCTGCATTCAATTGACCCTCCTGCCGCGACCTCCCAAAGTACTGGGATTATAGGCTTTAGCCACTGTGCCCAGCCTAAAACTTTTGAGAAAGAATGCTTCTTGTTGATTGTCTCCCCTCTCTATTACTTTAGTGTCTGGCATATAGTAGGTGCTTGAAAGCACCTGTTTAGTGCCTAAGCCAGGGGCTGACAACCTTACTGTAAAGGCCCAGATAGTGGATTATCTGAGGCTTTGGGGGCCATGTGCTCTCTTGCAACCATGCAACCCTGCCATTGTAGTGCAAAAGCAGCCACAGACAATACTTTATTTATAAACTCTGAAATTGGAATTTCATATAATTGTCATGTAATGACGTATTATTCCTTTTGTCTTTTTCCCACTAACTATTTAAAATGTAAGAACTAGCTGGGCGCAGTGGCTCATGCCTGTAATCCCAGTACTTTGGGAGGCCGAGGTGGGCGGATGACCTGAGGTCAGGAGTTCGAGACCAGCCTGGACAACATGGTAAAGCCCTGTCTCTACTAAAAATACAAAAATTAGCCGGGTGTGGTGGCAGGTGCCTGTAATTCCAACTACTCAGGAGGCTGAGGCAGTAGAATCGCTTGAGCCTGGCAGGCAGATGTTGCAGTGAGCTGAGATGGTGCCACTGCACTCCAGCCTGGGCGACAGAGCGAGACTCCATCTCAAAATAATAATAATAATAATAATAATAATAATAATAATAATAATAATAATAATATAAAATGTAAGAACCATTCTTTCTTAGCTTTCAGGCCATAGGAAAACAGGCAGCTCGGATTTGGCCTTCAGGCTGTATTTTGCAGATTCCTGGTCTAAATAATTACCTTAATTATCACAGTAGCAGATACTAGCAGATACTAAGAACTAGTGTATCTCCAAAGTCTAGTTTGGTGCCCGGTACAAACATTCTTTCCCCAAGGTGGAGTCCACTTGACCAGAGTGGAGAGTTACAGTGCTGGGGAAGAGTTGGAAGACATCTCTGCCTGGGGGTGGGGGGAAGGGCAGAGAAATCTCTTGGGGTTTGTTCTGGGGAAACTGGGAATTGTGGGAGAACTGAGGAGGCGGGAAAGGGGACTTTAAGAATATTATTGTGGGCCAGTCGTGGTGGCTCACGCCTGTAATCCCAGCACTTTGGAGGCTGAGGCGGGCAGATCACGAGGTCAGTAGATGGAGACCATCCTGGCTAACACAGTGAAACCCCGTCTCTACTAAAAATACAAAAAAGTAGCCGGCCATGGTGGCGGATGCCTGTAGTCCCAGCTACTCGGGAGGCTGAGGCAGGAGAATGGCGTGAACCTGGGAGGCGGAGCTTGCAGTGAGCTGAGGTCGCACCACTGCACTCCAGCCCGGGCGACAGCGAGACTCTGTCTCAAAAAAAAAAAAAAAGAATATTATTGCAGGTTAGGAATTGGACCTTTTATTACAGAGGTTCTCACTGGGGACTGAATTGTCCCGTGTGTGTGTGTTTGTGTGTGTGTGTGTGTTTGTGTGTGTGTGTGTTTGTGTGTGTGTCTGTGTGTTTGTGTGTGTGTGTGTGTTTGTGTGTGTGTGTTTGTGTGTGTGTGTGTTTGTGTGTGTGTGTGTGTGTGTTTTAAATCTGCAGAGAGCTTTTGGTTGCCCTAATGATAGGGATGGGGGAGTCATTACGGTGTGGGGTAGTTTTTTGAATATATATATGTGTAGATCCCAAATTCATATGGGTTAGAAGAACCATGATTATCAGAGTCTATAACCTTGTTCTATTTTTTTTTTTTTTTTTTGAAACAGAGTCTCACTCTGTCACCCAGGCTGGAGTGCAGTGGTGCCATCTCGGCTCACTGCAACCTCTGCCTCCCCGGTTCCAGCGATTCTCCTGCCTCAGCCTCCCGAGTAGGTGGGACTACAGGCGGGTACTACCACGTCCAGCTAATTTTTGTATTTTTAGTAGAGACGGAGTTTCACCCTGTTGGCCAGGATGGTCTTGCTCTCTTGATCTTGTGATCGGCCCACCTCGGCCTCCCAAAGTGCTAGGATTACAGGTGTGAGCCACCACGCCCGGTCCAACCTTCTTCTATTTTATCTGCCTATTCTATTTTATATGTTTACATGTTCTATTTTACATGTAAGTGTTGAATGAACACTGATGTTTCCAAGAATGTAGCAGCTATGGTGTAAATCAAGAGAAGATTTGACTCTGTTTGGTATGGGAATTTATCAAGAAAGAGCCACTCTTTTGAAGAACATGGCACTCTCAGTAAAGCCGATGCGACAACACACCACGCTGTCTGCGTTTGTGACTGTCACTGGTTATTCTACACACACGTGTGTGAGCACTTGACTGCTTCGCTCCGTCTTTCCTGGTGGAAACCCAAATCATTTCTCTATATATTATTTCATTAGAAATCCTCATCATTTCATTTCTCCTTTTTATTATAATTAGGGCACAATTGTGATTGGTTAGAAGAGTAGATGGGTTATAGGATCAGCACATTTTTTTTTTTTCAGGGTAGAAAAGAGAGCTTTTCAGCTGGGCATGGTGGCTCACGCCTATAATCCCAGCACTTTGGGAGGCTGAGGCTGGTGGATCATTTGAGGTCAGGAGTTCGAGACCAGCCTGGCCAACATGGTGAAACCCTGTCTCTACCAAAAATACAAAAAAAACAATGTACCGGGCATGGTGGCACGCATCTGTAATCCCAGCTACTCGGGAGGCTGAGGCACGAGAATCGCTTGAACTCAGGAGGTGGAGGTTGCAATGAGCCAAGATCCCACCACTGCCCTCCAGCCTGGACTATAGAGTGAGACCCTGTCTCAAAAAAAAAAGAGGGCTTTTCAATTGTTGGTTAAAACATGGGACATTGGATCTGATGGCACCAAGAATGCCTGCCCTGTAACACTGTTTGAGCTGATGTGTGGGGAACTGCTTTTGGATTACTTATGGGTTGCTGAAATATACTTCTTTGAATGCAGAGATTGGGCCCCTGATTATATTTGGGAGGCAAAACCATCACCTTGTAGGCACCTGGCAGGGTAAAATAAATGGATGCTTCTTAGAGGCCAACTGCTCTCTCACTTCCTGTTTCCGTTTTGTTTGCAGCGTAAAGCCAGATGCCTTTTATCTCTTGTATCACTGCTGGTTGTCTGAGAATTTTTTTTTTTTTTTTTTGGACAGAGTCTCGCTCTGTCACCCAGGCTGGAGTGCAGTGGCGCAGTCTTGGTTCACCGCAACCTCTGCCTCTTGGGTTCAAGTGATTCTCCTGCCTCAGCCTCCCAAGTAGCTGGGATTACAGGTGTCCACCACCATGTTCAGCTAATTTTTGTATTTTTAGTAGAGATGAGGTTTCACCATGTTGTCCAGGCTGGTCTTGAACTCCTGATCTCAAATGATCTGCCTGCCTCAGCTTCCCAAAGTGCTGAGATTACAGGCATGAGCCACCACGCCTGGCCTGGGCAGAGTTTTTAAAAATGCTTCAAACTCTCCTTTAGCTCAGTTTCGGTAGAGTCATTCCTTTACAGTATAGTTACAATGGAGCTGCCAATCAGCTCAGGCCACACCCAGCCCACAGTCTCAGAGGGGCTGGGTCCCTGCTCTTTCTCTCTCCCTGAAAAGTGGCTGTTAATTTTCTCCTTTAGTCTCCTTTCCCCAGAAAGATATTTCCCTTTACCTTATGGGAGTTTGATAAAACTGGCGTCTCCGGCCTTCTTTTCCTTATGTTGGTTTTTCTGCCACAAAAGGCCCAGAGACATTGTCTATGGAACGTTTGGCTGCAGCTGGGCAGGCATTTTATTCTATTGGAAAATTCCACTAGGATTTTCTATGATTACAATAGAGCATGGGTCCTCAGTCAAACCCTCCACCACTTATAAGAAGCTCTGTGACTTTGGGGAAGTGACTTAACCTCTCTGAGCCTCACTTTTTCTATTTGGAAAGAGTGATGGGTTGGTAGGTTTTATGTGTTAACTCTTAGGGATACAGGTGCACAGCTATTTGCCTAAACATCATTTTGGGTGTGTTCGTGAGGGCGTTTTGGGATGATTGTCATTTAAATTGGCAGATTGAGGAAAGCAGTTGCCCCTCCTAATGTGGGTGGACTTCATCCAATCCACGGAAGACCTGAATAGAGCAAAAGTCGGTCCTTTCCGAAGTAAGAGAGAATTCCTCCTGCCTGAAGGTTTTTAAACTGCACCATTGGCTTTTTTCTGCCTTTGTACTCAGACTGAAACACTGCTCTTTCCGGGTTTCGAGCCTGCTGGCCTTAGGACTGGAACTAACACCATCAGTTCTCTGGGGTCTCCAGTTTGCTGCCTCGCCCTGCAGATGACAGCACTTGTTAGCCTCCATAATTGCGTGAAATCTCTCTCTGTTTAGACATTGGTTCTGTTTCTCTGGAAAACCCCAATCAATACAGGCGGTGATCATATTTTGAGGATTAAATGATACAATGAATAGAATATGCTTAACACACAGTGAGTGCTTGGCACATATGATCTCCTCAATACACATCAGCTTTATCATGGAAATTATTATGTATCATTATACAAAATATAATAAGATTTCAAACTTGTGTTCTCTTACATGTCCTCTAAATTATTCAATGGAACAAAAAACTCTTCACTCATTTTTGTGTGTATGCAAACTTAATGTCTTTCAATAAAATTTTCCAAGTTATTGTATGTTCGCAAGGACATAATTCTGTTTGACTTCCCATCTTTCCAATACTAGTAGTGAGCCTCATTAGCACATGAATGCTGGGGTCTGTGAGATGTGCTTGCCTTCACTGTCCTGTTTGCCTTGCCCAAGGTGGGCGATGGAAAGGACAAGCCATCTATTATTGGTTGGAGGAAGGACCAACCATCTACTGTGGCAGTCTGCTCAGGCTGCCATACAAAATACCACATACTACGTGGCTTAAACAGGAGACATTTATTGTTCACTATTCTGGGGGCTGGGAATTCGAAGATCAAGGTGCTGGGTGATTTGTTTCTCCAGTGAGGGCCCTCTTTGTGGCTTTCAGTTGGAAGCCTTCTTGTTGTATCCTCACAGGGGAGAGAGAGAGCACGCCAGCATGAGAGAGAGTGCGAGAGAGAGAGGGAGAGATCAAGCAAGAGTGAGAGACAGAGAAAGATATCTCTGGTGTCTCTTCTAATATGGACACATCGCATCTCCAGGACCTTAGGCTTATGATCTCATCTAAACATAATCACCAAAGCCGCATCTTCAAATACCCAAATACCGTAACACTGGTAATTAGGGTGTCAGCTTCGACATATCAGTTTGGGGGTGGAGGCACAAACGTTCATTTCATAGCACTTCCTTTTCCAAAAATGCTCCTTAATCCCTCCCTGCCATCCTTGCTATTCTCATTTGACAGATGAGGAAATTAAGACTCCACGATGTGCCTTAGGTTGCCCATAGCTGTACATCTTATAAGTGCGAGCTCCCCAGATAATTGCATTCATCCACAAGAGCAGAGTTAACCGCAGCGTCATAGCCATCCAGGGAGCGTAATGCCCCGTTAAAAATAACAAAGCGTAGAGACCCAGCCTGAACTGAACATGTGTCTGTGGTTGGGGTTCAGGGTTCTTTGATTTCCAGATCTACCACCCAGATATTTGTCAAGTTACATCTACCTCTGGTGCTCATTTCCATATCTCTAAAACAGAAATAATAACTGAGAGGATTTTGTGGCGTCATGCAGATGAAGTGGCTCTCAAGAGCCTGACTTAGTAAATGTTGGCTGCGTGTTGGGCATTATTAGCTAAGATGTACAAACAGCAGAGGTTTGGTTTGTATGAGTAGATCATATTCCTGCCTGTTGCCACTGAGGGAGAGCAGAGTCCTAAGGGGAGGGGACACAGGTCAGGAGAATTCTAGGGGGTGGGGGATGTTTCTGATTTCTCAACAATGGGTAAATCTGGGAATCTCATGAGAGCTTCAGTGGGTAAATCTTGGAATCTCGTGAGCAAAATGGGGACGTGAAGAAGGAAGAAAAGCTGCTTGGAGGATTGGTGAAGGAGGAGGGAAAGGGGAAAAAAAAAAGGAAAAAAACATTTAGGTGGTGCTAAGTGCCACGCATTTTCCATTTTTGCATCAGTGAATTGTAAAATCACACTGCAAGGCTGGGGATATTATCCCCATTTTACAGATGAGAGAGAGGAGGCTGGGCAAGTTAATGAACTGGTTCAAAGTATCACAGCTAGAGAGTTGGAGCCAAAGTGAGATCGCACAGCTACGCAGACTCTAAAGCCCTTGTCTGTATATTGAATCAAATTTCCCCTTTTTCTGGCTTAGGTAAACTGAGGCAGGAAGTGATGAGAAAGGGTTAAGAGACGTCAGCTGCTCCTTAAACATCTCCCTTCCCAGTGTCATTTGCCATCCATAAACTCTTTCAAAATGTGATAACGGTTTTGATTTTCCTGACATCTCGATTTGATATGAGAAATTTGGGATTTCCAAATTGACAGAAAACTCGATTTTAAAGATGCTGGAAGGCAAACATCTGTGAAAAATCACAGGAACAATGTCAACATCTGTCCCTGTGAAAGGAAATTGCTGAGGTTCTCAATTTACAGCCAATCAATCAATCTTGGAGGCCAGGGTGCTTGCAAATTGAAATGCATGTTGAAGCTATAGGGATGGCTAATTAATTTAGTTTGTATGCCTACAAGATTTTTCATTGTTTCCTATTCAAAAAAATTCTCTTTTGAATAGGAAACGTGTGCATATGGTAAAAAAAAAAAATTAAACAGTACCAGAAAAAGTATACAGTGAAAATTAAGTTTGTTTTCCATCCCAACCACCAGTTCTTCTTCTCCAAGGTCACAAGTGTTGCTGGCTTCTCTTGAAACTTTCCAGAGATACAATCTTTATATAGAAAAACATATGTATATATGTCTCCTCCCGGTTTTATAAATGATAGCCCATTGTACATATTACACTGCATCTTGACTTCATTCAACAATATATCTTTGAGGTTTTTGCATAGCAGTCCATATAGACATTCCTTATTCTTTTTATCAGCTGTGTAGTATTCCAGTATATGGATGTGTATAAATTAATCAGTTCCCTCATGGTGGACATTCAGGATATTTTCTGTCATTCTCCACAATTTATGCTAGTATGTCCATCTTGGTGTGTGTTCATCAGTAGGATACAAATCTAGAGGTGGGCCTCCTGGGCAGATAGGATGTGCATTTAAGGTATGATGCCTTCATGTAAAAGGAAGGTTTTCTTTTCTTTTTTCTTATTTTATTAAGAGACGGGGGTCTCACTATGTTGCCCAGGCTGGTCTTGAACTCCTGGGCTCTAGCAATCCTCCTGCCTCAGCCTTCCAAAATGCTGGGATTACAGACGCGGGCCACCGTGCCTGGCCAGGTTTTCTTTGTTATCTTGGAGGGAGCATCACCCCCATCAAGGAGATCAGATTGGTGAAGGTGGGATGCTGTGTCTGAGAGCTTAATGACTGTTCACAGATATTGTGGCTGCCCTTCTCTAATGTACCTGCTTCTTCAGGCCCAAAAGGTGGAAATGATGTTTGTTTCTTACTTCTTTGGGGCTTTGACTGTGCCATTGAGATTTTGTGCTCAGGGATAAACTACCGTGTATTTACAGTTACCTCAACCTGTGAGGTTTGATGCCTCTTTCTTTCTTTCTTTCTTTCTTTCTTTCTTTCTTTCTTTCTTTCTTTCTGTCTGTCTCTTTCTTTCTTTCTTTCTTTCTTTCTTTCTTTCTTTCTTTCTTTCTTTCTTTCTTTCTTCCTTCCTTCCTTCCTTCCTTCCTTCCTTCCTTCCTTCCTTTCTTTCTTTCTTTCTTTCTTTCTCTCTTTCTCTTTCTTCTTTCTTTCTTCTTCTTTCTTTTTCTTTCTTTCCTCTTTCTCTCTCTCTTTCCCTCCCTCCCTTCCTTCCTTCCTCCATCCCTCCCTTCCTTTCTTGCTTTTTTTTTTTTTCTTGCTTTGCTACCCAGGCTGGAGTGCAGTGGCATGATCATAGCTCACTGCAGCCTTGAACTTCTGGGCTCAAGCAATCTTCCTGCCTTGGCCACCCTGGGATTACAGGTGTGAACTGTGGCGCCCAGCCTTGGCCACTTTCTTTATTCTAAACTTCTTTGTTCCATACTTTGCTTCTTTTCCCTGGATCCATCCCCACCAGCCTCCCTTGTCACTCCAGTGATAGGACACTCAGTCTTGCCAAGTCAATGTAAACCCAGACCCTTCTCATTTAAAACCTAGTCTCTTTGGTAAACAGTCAATTCAGGATTCTCACATCAATCTGAGTTTTAAATCTTAATTAGTTGAAAGATTTTCATATCTCTGTCTTTCCACTTTGGTCACTAGCTTCGCTGTCGGTGCTATACCACTCAGACCTCTGTGCAGGACCACCGAGGCCCTCTGTCCCCCCAGCTGCTGGGAGACCTGGCTGCTAACAGCTCATAGCAAAGTCCTGCCTCTGGCAAGAAGGCACCTGTAGGAAGCCACCTAGTGCTGGGAAATCCTCCTCCCCTCCTAGGCATCCCATAATCCTGGAGGGTTACAAAGGCTCTGTCCCTTGCCCCTCCATATGGGAGTGTATTAGTCAGCATTCTCTAGGGGGACAGAACTAATAGGACAGATGTATATGAAAAGGGGAGTTGATTAAGGAGTATTGACTCACACGATTACCAGGTGAGCTCTCACAATAGGCCATCTGCAAGCTGAGGAGCAAGGAAGCCAGTCCAATTCCCAAAGCCTCAAAAGTAGGGACGCTAACAGTGCAGCCTTCAGTCTGTGGTCAAAGGTCCAAGAGTCCCAAAGCTGAAGAACTCAGAGTCCGATGTTCGAGGGCAGGAAGCATCCAGCACGAGAGAAAGATGAAGGCTGGAAGACTCAGCCAGTCAAGCCCTTCCATGCTGCTCTGCCTGCTTATATTCTAGCTATGCTGACAGCTGATTAGATGGTGCCCACCCAGATTGAGGGTGGGTCTGCTTTTCCTAGTCCACTGACTCAAATATTAATCTTTTTTGGCAACACCCTCACAGACACATCCAGAAACAATACTTTGTATCCTTCAATCCAATTAAGTTGACACTCAGTATTAACCATCACAGGGGGTGTCTCAGGGGTCCTGGCGACTGTTCCACAGTGCCACTCCCCTCTCTGCCCAATGCTGCTTCCTTGCTTTCCAGCAGGTGCTCCTCCCAGTAAACCCCCTGCACCCAGATCTCCATCCCACAGCTTGTCTCTCTAGAAACCTGACCTATGACAGGCTTATAAACACCACAACAGGGCATGGGTATGGGCCAGGAGAGCTACTCCTCTCATCTGCTGAGGGTCCTACCCCAGGACCCCTGGGGAGGGATGAGGTCCCTGTTGTTCATCTGGGTGATCATCTAACTCCTGATGAGCCCAGGAGTTAGAGACCGGCCTGGGCAACGAAGTGAGACCCCATCTCTCCAAAAAAAAAAAAAAAAGTCAAAAAATTAGCCAGATGTGGTACATGCCCCCAGCTACTTGGGAGGCTGAGATGGGAGGATAGCATTAGCCCGGGAGGTTGAGGCTGCAGTGAGCTATGATTGCACCACTGCTCTTCATCCTGGGTGGCAGACTGAGACCCTGTCTCAAAAAAGTTGTCATGGTCCTATGACATTTTTTTAGGTCCTATGCAGGGGTGCAGGTGGAGGTGGTTTCTGGTTCTACCTGACTGTCTTCGTTCAGCCTGGTCCATTTGTTGACTCTGCTACCCAGAAGTGAAAGAATATGGCATCTTTCTCATCTCTATATGGTCCCCATGCAGTAAGGAGTTGACTCAGCCGGTCTGGGGAGTTCAAATCCTGCACATTCCAAAGAAAGCTCTGGCCCTTGACTGGCTCCTGGGAGATAACCGCCAAGTCTTTGGAACATTCTGCCTGATAAGAGTGTCTTTGTTTACCTATGGCCTCAGGCTGAGCTAGCTAGTCCATGCTAACAATGCAATTTATGGTGAGTGCCTGTTTTTGTATGTGTCAGTTTGACCTCTAGAGGGGCTGGAGACTGAGTAACAAAAGTCACCCATGCAGGTGCTCCATGCCTGGGTGATGAAATGCTGATAAAACCCCTGGACACCAAGGCTTGGGGGAGCTGCTGTGGCTGGCAGTACTTTGTATACATTGCTAATTGTCTCTTATAGCTTGGCTGTGTCCCCACCCAAATCTCATCTTGAATTGTAGCCCCCACAATTCCTACGTGTTGTGAGAGGGACCCAGTGGGAAGTAATTGAATCACAGGAGTGGTTTCCCCCATACTGTTTTCATGGCAGTGAATAAGTCTCACAAGATCTGATGGTTTTATAAGGAGAACCCCTTTCACTTGGCTCTCATTCTCTCTTTGCCAGCCGCCATGTAAGACATCCCTTTGCTCTCCCTTGCTCTTCTGCCATGATTGTGAGGCCTCCCTAGTCACGTGGAACTGCGAGTCCATTAAACCTCTTTTTTTTTTCATAAATTACCCAGTCTCGGGTGTGTCTTTATCAGCAGCATGAAAACAGACTAATACAGAGCATTAGGAGCTATCCTTCTAACTCCACTGGGAGAAAACTACTGGAAACTTACCCCTGGTCTCTCTTGGAGAGACCTATGCATCTTGTACCTTGGTTGATTTTAATCTGTATCCTTTTAGTGCAATAAACAATGTTCATGAGGACAATGGCTTTCCTGATTCTGTGGGTCCTTCTGGCAAATCAATGGGCCTGAGGGCGGTCTTGGAGATCCCTGACAAAAGTCACTGTAGCCAGGGACCATCTTCTGTTGAGCTTATTTCAGAGGAAGATGTCATAGGTAACGGGCGTTGGGGGCACCCTGGTTCCATTTGTTGACTCTGCTACCCAGAAGTGAAAGAATGTCGCATCTTTCTCATCTCTGTATGGTCCCCTGCAGTAGAGTTGACTCAGCAGGTCTGGGGAGTTCAAATCCTGCACATTCCTAAGAAAGGTCTGGCCCTTCACTGGCTCCTGGAAGATAACCACTAAGTCTTTGCAACATTGTGCCTGATAAGGGTGTCTTTATTTGCCTTTGTTCTAGTTCTTGTTCTAGGTGCTGGTGATAGAACTGTGAACCAAAGGTCATTGCCTTCAAGGAGTTTATATTCAAGTGGAGAAGATGGAAAACCCTCCCCTCACGAACAAACAGACTCTGAAACCTGATAAATAAATATTAGCATTCAGTGAAGTGTTAATGAGTTTCTGTGAGCACATACAACCCTTACCAGAGTTTATCTCATCCTGCCTGAGCTAGCCCCTGCCTCCCTCCCCAGCCCACATATTTTGCCACACCCTTTTCATTCCTCCCAACATTCCAATTCCTTCAACACATGGAACTCCTTCTCACCCCAGGGCCTTTGCACATGTTACTATCTCTGTATAAATGCATTCCTCTCACTTGACACCTGGATAACTCCTCATTGTCCTAGTCTTAGCTTAAATGTCATCATCTGGCCAGGCATGATGGCTGACACCTGTAATCCCAGCACTTTGGGAGGCTGAGGTGGGAGGTTCGCTTGAGCCCAGGAGTTAGAGACCAGCCTGGGCAATGAAGTGAGACCCCATCTCTACCAAAAGAAAAAAAAATCAAAAAATTAGCTGCATGTGGTGCTGCATGCCTGTAGTCCCAGCTACTTAGGATGTTGAGGTGGGAGAATCATGTGAGCCTGGAAGGTCGAGGCTGCAGTGAACTGTAATTGCACCATTGCACCTCATCCTGGGTGACAGAGTGAGACTGTCTCAAAAAAAAAAAAAAATTCATGACCTTGGGGAAGCCTAGTTGGATACTCTCCTTTTTCCCCAGACCAGCTGGATCTACCATCATAGGCTGTTATAGCATGCATCCAATTCTCTCTTTCTCTTGCTCTTTTTTTTTTTTTTTTTTTTTTGTAGAGATGCAGTCTCACTATATTGCCAGGGCTGGTCTTGAATTCCTGGGCTCAAGCAATCCTCCCACCTCGGCCTCCTAAAGTGCTGGGATTACAGGTGTGAGCCACCATGCCCAGCCTGTTACCTTTCATTTTTATTTCAGTCATCATTCTGAGTGGCTGAGCATATGGATGTGTTGATTGTTGAAATAAATCATTTAGGCAAATTGTTACGGGCCCCATCTAAATTCAGAATCCAGCCCTGGATCTGGTCTGTAATTCTTCCCAGCCACAGTCTTCCCTGTTGGAGTCCGAGTTCTCCACTCTAGACCTGCAGCGGGAAGCTTTCCAGGGACCAGCCAGTTCCACCGCCTCCAGAGCCACCCCTCACCTGCTGACCTCTTCCTATGTTAGCTGCCCCTCTCGCTGCCTGCTGCCCTTCCCCGGGCCAGCTGATACGAGAGCTGGCGATAACTTGAAATGCTCCCCGCAGAAGATAAATGAGAGGGGAATCTCAGCAGGCATTGAGCTCTGTACCTAACGACTGGCAGTTGGGGCTTCTAATTTTAGGCCTGGGGAGGAAGCTGATTTCTGTGATTAAGGTGGCCACACGCTTTATCAAGGGCCAATTTAGCAAAAATCTAAAATGTATATGAAGCCGTGGTAAGTCTGGATTTTCTTGGTATTTATGCTGGGAGGTTACTTATGAGCGTTTGCTGTGTGACCACATTGCGGTATTAATCATAGGTGGCATTATAATTCTCTAAAATAACAGCCATAAGGCATCAGGGCAATTGAGGCTTGTATTAAGGGAATGGTCCTTTTTTTTCTTGCTGAAGTTAGGCAGCATGAGGCTAGTGTGTTTTTCCTTAAGGCACCAAGGCATCTGAGGGTTTGCACTGGGAATCCCTGGGCTCTCTGGGCCCTCTGGGTCCCTAGGGTCTTCTACTTGCCAACACAGCCTTGGGTTCTCTGCTTCCTGTTGGAGTGACAGGAACACATTGGTGGTCTCTGATGGATATACCAGGTGCTCTGCATAATTTTTCTTCTTGCTTCCGGGGGTAACTCCAGCCCCATCCCTTGAAGGTGAATTTTATGTTATATATATATTTTTTTGCTTAGGCAAGTTTGATTTGGGTTATATTTTCATCATAAAGAATCATGACTATTGCAAATCATTATATAGAAAAGTAATTTTATTCTTGAGCCTGAGATATTCACAGTGAAAATGACAACACATTATTTCTGAGACACCTGCTGGGGGCATCCACCACTTTCCCCCAACCCATTCTCTCTATTCACCTCCAACCAATTTTATCCAAAAGCCAGCTCAGCTGACTGTACAACCACAAGGGATTTGGAGTTAGATGGATATGGCATTTATCAGCTGAATGATCTTGGGCATAATACTCAAACCTTCTGTGCCTCTGTTTTCTCATCTTTAAACGGGGATAGCACAGGGTTGGTGTGAGGAATAAATGAGTTATTATTGTCATAGTAATATACTAATATATAGTTAAATATAATTCTATCTGTCAGATGTAGACAGGGGTGGAGAATGCCTTGGAAGTCATTTCCTACAGAATAAGTGATATGGTTTTGCTGTGTCCCCACCCAAATCTCATCTTGAATTCTAGCTCCCATAATTCCCATGTGTCATGGGAGGGACCCAGTGGGAGATAATTGAATCATGGGGGCAGTTCCCCCATACTGTTCTCATGGTAGTAAATAAGTCTGATAAGAGCTGATGGTTTTATAAGGGGTTTCCCCCTCTGCTTGGCTCTCATTCTCTCTTGCCTGCTGCCATGTAAGATGTGCCTTTTGTCTTCCGCTATGATTGTAAGGCTTCCCCAGCCATGTGGAACTGTGAATCCATTAAACCTATTTTTCCTTATAAATTACTCAGTCTGGGGTGTGGGGGTATGTCTTTATCAGCGTGTGAAAATGGTACCATAAGGAAGTACCTTAAGGTTAGACAATAAGTACAATAAGGAAGGAAGACCGCAATCCAGTCTTGTCTCCCAGAGCCTTGGCACAGAAAGATGGTAACCAATGCTTTGTCTTGGACAATCCCTCCTACCTGCTGGGGAGACAAAGGAGCAAATCCAGCAGAAGATGGAGGGGAAGTGCTGGTTGAGTTGCTTGGCACCCCTTGCCTTTTTTCACCCTCTTCCTCAGCTCCCTGATCACCATACTCTCCCTGTGTCTTTTGGCTCCTGAGATCAGTTGTTGATGAAATGCTGGGCTGGGCTCACTCCCAGAGTGGGAGGAAATGGATGTGGGAACCCTCTTGGGGAGATGGGCAGTTACCGGGGCCCAGAGAACCAATGAGGGCTTTATCCTGCAGTCAGAGTTCAACACCAGCCCTCCCCAGAATCAATCACACCCTCCTTTCCACTATTTCACTGTCTGCCGTGAACTAACAGACAGTGGTTGTGTTGCCCTCAGATTCATAGGCTGAAGTCTAACCCCCAGTGTGATGGTATCAGGAGGTGAGGCCTTTGGAAAGTAATGAGATCATGAGGGTGGAGCCCTCATGAATAGGATTAGTGCCCTTGTAAGAAGAGATATGAGAGAGATGATACCCGTCTCTCCACCACATGAGGACACAGTGAGAAGGCAGCCATCTGCAAGCCAGGAGAGAGTCCTCACCAGACCCTGACCATGCCAGCACCCTGATCTCAGACTTCCCAGCCCCCAGAACTGTGAGAAATAAATTGCTGTTGTTTAAGCTTCACAGTCTATTATAATTTGTTATAGCAGCTCAAGCTAACTAAGACACTACCCTGACACTCTATTTCAGAAATGACAAGGTTTGGGCTGGGTGTGGTGGCTCATTCCTGTAATCCCAGCACTTTGGGAGGCCAAGGTGGGTGGATCACCTGAGGCCAGGAGTTCAAGACCAGCCTGGCCAACATGGTGAAACCCTGTCTTTACTAAAAATATAAAAATTAGCAAGGTGTGGTGGTGCACACCTGTAATCCCAGTACTCTGGAGGTTGAGGCAGGAGAATCACTTGAACCTTGGAGACGGAAGTTGCAGTGAGCCGAGATCATACCACTTGTACTCCAGCCTGGGTGACAGAGTGAGACTGTCTCAAAAAAAAAAAAAAAAAAAAAGATGAGATTTGACTTCACAAACTAAAACTTTTGTTCAGAGAGAAGAGGAAAATGGAGGGTGGGGGAAACCACCCATGCTCCCAAAGATATGAGACATAGAATTGATCTAAGTGCCACAAAGCAGAATTTTTCTGACTCCATTCTGTTTCTCCTGTGATAATTCAGCTGCTTTCAAATTCCTCTCCTCTCAGACGGTCCTGAGAATCCAGTGGGAGTTTTCTCTGTGCTCCAGAACATAGTGGCCTCTTGCATTCATTCCCTACCAGAAATAATGTCTCGTTCACCAGCTATTTTCTCAGCCAATAATTTTTGTCCACCCCCATTCCTCCTTCAGAAACTTGCCCTTCCCAGAGCCCTAGGAGATCCAGAACCCCATAGGATTCTTTTGGCTCTGGCCATGGCTGTGTACCAAGGGGTTGGATATGGGATTACAGCCAGGCCATGTGGACTCTCTCCCAGAAATTTGGAGTTGAAAATCTCTGAGCTTATCTCTGGAAGGTGCTTGAAACTAGAGGGGGATAGAAAGTTGGTGACAATATAGTCATGTTTGGCCTGTGGACAATTGCAATAGAAAAAACTGATATGCAGGGTGATATGGTTTGGCTGTGTCCCCACCTAAATCTCAAATTGTAGCTCCCATAATTTCCACATGTCATCGGAGGGACATGGTGGGAGGTAATTGAATCGTGGGGCGGGTTTTTCCCATGCTGTTCTTGTGATAGTGAATAGGTCTCACGAGATCTGATGGCTTTAAAAAGGGGAGTTCCCCTGCACACACTCTCTTGCCTGCCACCATGTAAGACGTGACTTTGCTCCTCATTCGTCTTCTGCCACAATTGTGAGATCTCCAAAGCCATGTGGAACTGGGAGTCCGTGACCACTCTTTTTCTTTATAAATTACTCAGTCTTGGGTATGTCTTTATTAGCATTGTGAAAACAGAGTAATACATGGGGGGGCGGAGAGAGAGAGAGGGAGAGAGGGAGATGGGGAGCGAGAAGATGGGGGAGAGAGAGTGAGAGAGAGAGAGAGAGAGAAAGAAAGAAGAGATTGAGGACACAATACAGACTTAGGAAGGACAGACCGGGAGCTCCCAGAAAGACAGAGACAGGCTGTGTTGACTCCTGCTATCTTTCTATCCCAAAACCCTGCTGTGCTTTCTGACTTTGGTTTTGTGGGATGCTTTATTTAATAGGTTGAACTGTGTTCTCCAAAGAGATATGTTGAAAGCCCTAACATCTCAGTACCCCAGAATGTGACCTCTGTTGGAAACAGGGTCATTGCAGATGTAATTACGAAGATGTGATACTGGAGTAGGGTGGGCCCTTAATCTAATACGAGATTGTCCTTAGAAGAAGTAGGAAATTTGGACACAGACCCACAGGGAAGACCCCCTTGTGACAATGGGGATAGCGATTGAAGTTCCATTTTAATGTACGTGCTGCCGAAGTGAGCACAAGGTAGAGATTGAAGTGAAGCTGCTACAAGCCCAGGAATGCCTATGGTTACCAGAAGCCAGGAAAGGAAAGGATGGGATCTTCCCCAGAGGCTCGGGGTACAGCTCTGTGAACCCCTTGATTTTGGACTTCTTCCCTCAAGAATTGTGAGAGAATAAATTTCTCTTGTTTCAAGCCACCTCGTTTGTGCTGTTTTGTTAATCATCCTTAGGAAATCAATATGCCCCTTATCCTTCTTGAATGAGCTCTGTACCTTATAATGAGATTATTGCAGTCTAAAAGTCTAGAACTAGTTGCAGGAACATCACAGACAAGGGAAAGTTTGAACCACACCATGGATGAGTGACAAGCTTGGAAAAGAAGGGCACTTCACCTCTGTGGTATTCTTTGCAAAAACTCATGACCTGAGTCTAATCATGAAAAAAGAAAAAAATCAGACAAACTCAAATGGAGGCTAATACGGTTTGGCTCTGTGTTCCAAATCTCATCTTGTGGCTCCCATAATTCCCACGTGTTGTGGGAGGGACCTGGTGGGAGATGATTGAATCATGGGGACAGGTTTTTCCCGTGCTGTTCTCGTGATAGTGAATTAGTCTTATGAGATCTGATGGTTTTTAAAAATGGGAATTTCCCTGCACAAGCTCTTTTTGCCTGCTGCCATCCACATCAGATGTGACTTGCTCCTCCTTGCCTTCCACCATGTTTGTGAGGCCTCCACAGCCACGTGGAACTGTAAGTCCAATAAACCTCTTTCTTTTGTAAATTGCCCAGTCTCAGGTATGTCTTTATCAGCAGCATGAAAATGGACTAATACAGAGATATATCCTGCAAAATCCGTCCCCAGTACTCCTGAAAACTGCCAAGCTCTGTAGAGTTGGAGTTAGAATACCTTTTGTTGTTGAAGATGTGAGGGAAGTATGCATGTGAATTGACTGCTGAATTCACTTTTGTGCCATTTTTGTAAATACAATAGTTTTGTACAACCTTAGAAAAATAAGGAAAGGCTGAAGAAGCTACACATTTGGTTTGTGTGGTTTCTAATGTAGTTTTATTTTACATTAAAAGATTTAGACAATGGGTCCTCATGGCAGTTGCTGGTGACTTACCTTGTAGTTGTAAAGCTGGGTTCTTGTTTTCTTTTTCTTTTAAATAAAATTATTATTATTATTATTATTATTATTATTATTATTATTATTATTATTATTTTGAGACAGCCTCTTGTTCTGTTACCCGAGCTGGAGTGCAGTGGTAAGTTGTAGCTCACTGCAGCCTTTAACTCCTAGATTCAAGGGATCATCCCATCTCAGCCTGCCAAGTAGCTGGGACCACAGGCAGGTGCCTTCACGCGCGGCTAATTTTTAAATTGTTGGTAGAGATGAGGTTTCTGTATGTTGCCCAGGCTGGTCTCTAACTCCTGTGCTCAATCGATCCTCCTGCCTCAGCCTCCCAAATTGCTGGGATGATAGGTGTGAGCCACTGCACCTGGCTGAGGCCTTGTTTTCTTGCTGGCTGTCAGCTGGGGACCTCTATCAGCTTCTAGAGGCCACCTGCATTCTTTGACATGGCCCTGTCACAACATGGTAGCTTACTTCCTCCTAGCCAGCAAGGGAGTCCCTAAGTCTCCTAAGGGGAAATCTTATTTGATGAAATATGATCAAGAGAGTGACATTCGGCACCTTTGCCATATTCTGTTGATTAGAAGCAGGTCACAAGTTCCATCCTCTCTCAGGCGGGGAGGCTTGTACAAGGGAGTCACCTTAGCTGTGTGCAATCAGGAATACAGCCCAGGGGCCATGCCTGACAGTTAAGAGGACTCAGTGTGATCAAGCTGATCAATATGAAGTGGGTTAGGCAGCTGCCACTGCTAAATTCTGTTTGGGAGTTTTCCAAGAACCAGCCCTACCCATGAGTATCTCTCTGGGTAAACCTCCTGCAACTTGGGAGTCACCTTAGCTGTGAGAACCGTTTTTCGATCTTACCAGCAAAAATGACAGCCCAGGGTATTCCAGGCAGCTGCTTCTCCAGCTCCAGGCAGATGATTTTGGCCCTGCCTTGCAACAGAAATGGAATCGTTTCGAGGGGATGGTCTCCTCGCTCTGGATCCAGCAGCAGCAGATGCTCCAGCCGAAGACGTGTGTCCACTCTGAGCAAGGTTGAGAGAATCAAATTAATTTCTTTTATGACCCGAGGCAAGCTTGAAATTGGCTCTTCCGAGATGAAAAAGGAGAGGCAGGAGTGGCTTGCCCGGCTCCCTACTCTCCTTCTCCTCCCGCCTCCACCTCCTTCCCAGCAGGGCTCCAGCAATTTAATTGGGGTGGGATTCCTTCCACCAAGCAAGGCAGTCTGTCACGCGCCGCTGCAGTAGGGGCCATGCCAGAGACAGCTTTTCGAAGCGGCATCTGTGGGCAGACATTTGGGCAACCCCACTAGGCTGGCAAGCCCTGGTCGATTTTTAGTGACCTCTTAGAAGTAGATGGGAGGGACTGTCAGCCATGCCGGAAGTGGGAGAGAGCAGAAGGGGTCAAAGACAAGCCTCGGCTGGGAAGAGCATCTCTGTGGTCCTGTAATTGATGATTGGGGTGGGGAGCATTGAAACGTTTCCCTTGAATCACAGCCTTCAGTGAGAATGGCTTTGCCTTCTGTTTGGACGGTGTGTTGAGAGTAGGGTAACCATATGTCCTCATTTGCTGCAACAGTCCCTGTTACGACTGCTTTCCTGGTTTTGCCTGTCTCGAAAGCATTCTGGTTTGGGCGATAACTTATAAGGTCATCCTAATTCTGGGTTTCACAGTCTCAGCACTGTGGACATTTTGGGCTAGATAATCCTTTGGGTGAGGGTTGTCCTGTGCACTGTAAGGTGTGTAGCAGCATCCCTACACTCTGCCCACTAGATGCCAGTAGCACAACCCCCTGCCCCATTGTCATTGCCAAATGTCCCCTGAGGGGAGGAGGAGGAATCACCCCTGGTTGAGAACTATGGCCCTTTTTTAAGGGCACTGTTGAATCCTTCCTTCTGATACCATCTGGGGGTAACTTGAGTACTTGGTTCATGTTCTGGAAGGAAAAACTCCACATAGTGCTTCTGGGTTCATTTAGCCTATGTAAGCTTCGTTTTTCTGTTTCTTAGACCAGTATCTCACTTTTTTGGGGGAGAGGTGGGACCTCTCCTCCATTCTCAGCCCATGTGTTTTGGGTGACTCGAGAGACTGGGCTTGGCAGATGGGAGAATGCCATTCTCCTGGCTGTTGTGATTGATTCAGAAACCTGCCTTTAAGGTGGTTCAAAGAGCATCAGTGGCAGGACTTCTGTTAGGTGGATAGGGAAAGAGGGGTTCTCTTTTTGCTGGGGTTGCAAACCTGGTAGGGTGGAAACCGGGAGCTGCTGGTGGTCATCTCATCACCCTGGGGGAGAGCCTGCCTGAGAAGGAAATCACAGGAGAGCCGAGCTGAGAGAGGAGAAGGAAAGCCGATCACACTGCCTAACAGCCTGTATCCCCTCCAACCTGATGACAGATCTCACCTAGAGTGAATTTCTCAGTGAAGCCAGTTTGACTTGAGTTTCTGTCAACTTGCAACTCAAAAAGGCCATGTGTTGCCATGAGGTATTTCTCTGTTCCCTTTCCTAATCTAGAGATTAGGTAACTTTAATTCTGCTAATGCTGAGTTTTGTCTCATCAAATGGAAACATCACAGAAGTCTCTGATCTTGCCCCATCAACCCTTCCCATTACCTCTAGGGCTCAGCCAATGCTGCTGGTATCTTTTGCTTCATTTTTTCTTTTCTTTTCTTTTGTTTCTTTCTTTCTTTTTTTTTTTTCTGAGGCAGGGACTTGCTCTGTCACCCAGGCTGAAGTGCAGTGGTGTGATCACGGCTTACTGCAGCCTCAACCTCCTGGGCTCAAGTGATCCTCCCACCTCAGCCTCCTGAGCATAGGTGCACACCACCATGCCTGGCTAGTTTTTTAAATTTTGTTTGTAGAGAGGGGAGTCTTACTCAATCATTCAGGCTGGTCTCAAACTCCTGGGCTCCAGCAATCCTCCCACCTTGATCTCCCGAAGTGTTAGGATTACAGGTGTGAGCCACTGCATCTGGCTGCCTCATTTTTCTTAATCTTTCAAGACTCTGTAGAAATAATACCTACTCCTTTTCATTCCTCCTTATCTCCTGTCTTCCTTTCCAACACTATAGCCCTCTTTTCATTATTACCCACATTTACAAAAGGTCTTTGTAACTTAATGGCATACCCAGACAGAAATAATGTTCTCTGGGTTAATTATCTAGTTTGCCACAATCTCCTGTACCAGATTCTACCCAGCCTGCTCTGATTATAAAGGGGACTATTGAGAAATAGCTGCAAAAATGCACAAAACCATAAGAATTCCCATTCTAAGACCCAGAGCAGATGGCTTTTGGATTATTCCCTTCTCTTTTTCTATCATATGTTTACATAATTGAGTTCATCATCTATATGAAGTCTTACATACATATATTTTTATAAAGATATAAAATTATACAATCACCCCAATTAAAAGGCATGAACATTATTTTAATAATTGGAAGAAGATTTCATTGTACGAACATAGTGTAATTTCAGAAACATTTTTCTGTTGGTTGACACTTCATTTTTTACCATTTGCAATAATGTGATGGCTTCCTTGGGCATACATCTTTGTCCTCAACTGGATGTACTCCCCTAAAATAAATTTCTAGGAGTGGACCTTCTGGGTCAAAATGGGTGCGTATTTGTAAGGCTCTTGATACATATTGCCAAATGACCTTCCAGAAAAATTGTGCCTGTTTACATGCCTACCAGTGGCATGAAAGGGTCAGATGTCAGAATCATGATTGCAATTATTGATAAAGATCCAGCTAGTTCCAGTTTTGCCAACAATATTAACGCCACCAGCACATCCACCAATAATAATAATAACAATAATGGTATGATAAATAAAATAGGTGATATGGTTTGGCTGTGTGTCTCCACCCAAATCTCATCTTGAATTATAATCACCAGGTGTCGCGTCGAGGGAGGGAGCTGTAAGCCCCATGTGTCGAAGGAGGGATGTGATTGGCTCATGGGGGCGGCTTCTCCCATGCTGGTCTCATGATAGTGAGTGAGTTCTCATGAGATCTGATGGTTTTAAACGTGGCAGTTTTTTCCCGTGCTCTCACTTCTCCCTCCTATCGCCTTGTGAAGATGTCTGCTTCTCCTTCTGTCATGATTGTAAGTTTCCTGAGGCCTCCCCAGCCATGCAGACCTGTTGTGAGTCAATTAAACCCCTTTTGTTTATCAATTACCCATTCTTGGCCAGTTGTTTATAGCAGTGTGAGGATGGACTAATACAATAGACTTATTGGGAGCTTGTAATATTCTAGCTATGTTACTAAAAATTTCACACATTATTTCATTTAGTCCATCCAGTAACCTAGAGATTAGGTATTATTATAATTCCCCCATTTACAAAATAGGATAATAAGGAACAAAGACGTTAAGCATCTTGCCTAATGACCACAGCCAGTAAATGGTGGATCTTAGATTTGATGCCAGGCATCTGACTTCTTCAAGCATTGTTTACTGTTTTAGTATGACGGAGATGACTAGTTGGATGTAATTCCACCTGAATGGCTAGCTTTACTGTGTACAGCTCACCAAAGATCTACCTTGAGGAAAAACATTGCTATACATTGCAAATAATAGCCAGGGCTCTGGTATTAATGTTTCCCAGTCTCTCCCTCCTAAGGACATTGTCACCCTCCCAGCCAGGTGTGTGGTAGAAGGAAACGACTCTCTCCTGATGCTATGAATTCCAAAGAATTCCCATTAACCATATTTCTAAGCCAGTTTGCTTTCTTTCAATGTGCACTTTCTGCAAAATGCCATCTGCACTTGTTTCCTGGGGAAACCATCTCTCTGAGGTGGGTAAGTTCTCATTGTGAAGATGGGGACTTGCCTAATGTTTGGCATTCCCTTTTTGGGGGCACGTACAGTGATTTCTGAACTGACTTGAAAGGCCATTAACTTGGTTTTTACTGCCTTTTCTGGCTTGCAAATTTAATGCCTGGCTCCCAACATGTGTGAATGGACAAACAGCATCAGCATCATCTGGGAACTTGCTAGAAATAAAAATTCTCAGGCTTTACCCTAGACTTACAGAACCAGCAACTCTGAGGGTAGGTTCCAGAAGTCTGTGAGTTTACAAATCTTCCAGGTGATTCTGATCCATGCTAAAGTTGGATCTACTGCTCTAAACCTTAGTTTCTTCCTTTATAAAATAATAGTAGTAGTAGCTGTAGCAGTAATAATAATATTGGCTTCATGGTTATAGGGGGAATTCCATGAGTAATTTGAGTCCTTGGCACTGTGCTTGGCATACAGTAGGTGCTTAATAAGTGGTAGTTGGCATCACTATCTCTGAACTGTGAAGGTCGCTGTGCTTAACCTATGTAGTATTTATCAGCCCCGCATCCCACTCCGTTCAGGGACGGCCCTTCTCCTGCCTGTGGGTCTGGTGGGACCACTCTGCAGAATTTCTTATGCCCAGATCTTCTATCATGGTGTGACAAAAGCATGGCCCATCAAATGCCTGCCTTCTGGGAATTTGCATCTTAAGGAGAGATCATCAAGGATGTAGAGTGATTAGAGTCCAGTCATTCCATGACCCTGCAGCCTAGTGCTTCTCAACCTTTAATCTGCTTAACGCTAACTGGAGGATCTTGTTCGAGGGCAGATTCTGACTCGAAAGGTCTGGGGTGGTTCTGAGAGAGAGTCTGCATTTCTGACGAGCTCTACTGGAGATGGTGATGCCAGTACTGCTGGTTTCTGGACTCACGGTGCAGTTGCATCCCGAGAGTAGTGAATCTCATTTTTCAACCTCACCTTAGAATCACCTAGGGGAGGTGTGAAACAAGACAGACCTGAGCCAGTTAAATCTCAGTTTCTTTCCTTTTTGCCTTGCCTTGCTCTGCCTTGCCCTGCCTTGCCCTGCCAGGGTCTCACTCTGTCATCTAGGCTGGAGTGCAGTGGTACAATCTCGGCTCACTGCAATCTCCACCTCCTGGGCTCAAGCTATCCTTTTGCCTCAGTCTCCTGAGTAGCTGGGACTACAGGCATGCGCCACCACATCCAGCTAATTTTTGTATTTTTAGTAGAGACGAGGTTTCGCCATGTTTCCCAGGCTGGTCTTGAACTCCCGGGCTCAAGTGATCTGCCTGCCTTGGCCTCCCACAGTGTTGGAATTACAGGCATAAGCCACCATGCCCGGCTTAAATCTCAATTTCTGAGGGTGAGGGCCCAGCATCAGTGGTTTCTAAAAGTCTCTTTGGTTGACTGTTGGCTGCAGTGAGGGTTGAGATCCACCACCATACAAAGATGGTCCAACTGGAACCCCCTCAAGTCTGGGAACTCTATTCTTTCTCTGATCCTGTAAGCTCCCCGCTTTTTAATGTAAAGATTTGGTTCTGTTGGCTGGGCATGGTGGCTCACGCCTGTAATCCCAGCACTTTGGGAGGTCAAGGTGGGCAGATCACGAGGTCAGGAGTTTGAGACCAGCCTGGCCAATATGGTGAAACTCCGTCTCTACTAAAAATACAAAAATTAGCTGGGCATGGTGGCGTGTGCCTGTACTCCCAGCTACTCAGGAGGCTGAGGGAGAAGAATCGCTTGAACCCAAGAGGCAGAGCTTGCAGTGAGCCGAGATCGTGCACTACACTCCAGCCTGGGCGACAGAGTGAGACTTTGTCTCAAAAAAAAAAAAAAAAAAAAAAAAGATTTGGTTCTGTTGCTTGCAAACTAAGAACCTTAACTGATAGAGCCTCAGAAATGAGAAGAGAGTCAAGGTGAGTGTTCATTGCCTCTGGGCTCTTCAGCTGCAGATCCTCTTGCTTCTCTGTGCTTCTCTTTGGGATGACACCACAGAGACATTAAACCTTTTGGAGGGCCCATACAGTAATTTCTGAACCAACTTGAAAAGCCATAAACTTGGTTTTTCCTGCCTTTTCTGGCTTGCAAATTTAATGCCTGGCTCCCAACATGTGTGAATGGACAAATAAAAGAGGAACTGTCCCTTCCTCTCTTTGCCCCCATCAAGGGCCACCTGAGAGACTGTATCTCTTTAGGATCGCTTAGCTCTTTCCTCAGTCCCAGGTCTGGATTTTGCGGGTGACAGCTTCACCAGTATGTGACAAGCCATGCCAGGTGACCAGAGTGTGAACCAGCCTGCTCACCTGTCAGGTGGTGGTAATGAAAACCGATGGACCTGGTGCTGTGGCTCAACACCTGTAATCCTAACACTTTGGGAGTCTGAGGTGGGAGGATCACGAGGTCAGGAGTTCAAGACCAGCCTGGCCAATGTGGTGAGGGCCTGAAGTAGTGGGAACAGAGGGTGACTGAGGCAGAGTCAGCCTTAAAAGATCAGTCGCTAAAAAGGACTTCAACTGCCTGCCTTTGGGGAGAGGGATTTGATGGGAGAAGGGCTGGGGTAAGACAGCTTTGTTTTCCATTTCAAGTCATTTGTATCATTTGCTTGTACTGCTTTGATAAAGAGAAATCTGAAATTCTAGAAAAAATTAGAAGTGAAAAAAAATTCCTTTATAGCCATGAGCAGAACCGTTAACAATAGCAGCCGGGTATGGTGGCTCACGCCTGTAATCTCAGCACTTTGGGAGGCCGAGGTGGGTGGATCACCTGAGGTCAGGAGTTCAAGGCCAGCCTGGCCAACATGGCAAAACCCCGTCTCTACTAAAAATACAAAAATTGCCAGGCGTGGTGGTGGGTGCCTGTAATGCCAGCTACTCAGGAGACTGAGTATGGAGAAACACTTGAATCCAGGAGGCGGAGGTTGCAGTGAGCCGAGAGCGCTCCATTGTACTCCAGCCTGGGTGACAGGAGTGAAACTCTATCTCTAAACAAACAAACAAAAAGCAATAGCAATAGCAATAGTAATGACACTAACTTATATTGATGTGCTAGATTTTATCCATGTCACCTCATTCACCTTTAGTTCTCACTACAACCTTGGGTGACAAACTTGTGTTGGCTTTAGCACTTACTGGATTTGACACTGAGCGTTCCCTATACCTGGAACCACTTCGGTCCTAGATAAACCAAAGAGGATGGCTGGTCACCCTACTACAGCCCCAGAGGCAGCTGCTGTTAACCAATGCATGCTGCAGGGGAGGAAACTGAGACCCTGAGAACTTCTGTAACTCGCATCATGGTCACACAGCTAGTTAGTGGTAGAAACAAGTTACATACCGACTCGGTGGTGGACACAATTAAGGGTCCCACAGTCAGTTAGTTGTAGAAACAGTTAAGAGTCACACAGCTAGTCAGTGGTTGACATAGTTAAGGGTTGTGCAGCTAGTCAGTGGTAGATACTGTTAGTTAAGGGTCACATAGGTAGTCAGTGGTGGACACAGTTAAGGGTCACACAGTTAGTGATAGATTTAAGGGTTACACAGCTAGTTAGTGGTAGATACAGTTAGTTAAGGGTTACACAGCTAGTTAGTGGTAGACACAGTTAAGGGTCACACAGCTAGTCAATGGTAGACAGTTAAAAGACACACGGATAGTTTAAGACACATGGATAGTTTAGTGGTAGATACAGTTAGTTAAGGGCCACACATCTAGTCAGAGGCAGGTATATTTAGTTAAAGGTCACAAAGCTAGTCAGTGGTAGGTACAGCTAGTTAAGGGTCACAAAGCTAGTCAGTGGTAGGTACAGTTAGTTAGGGGTTACACAGCTAGTCAGTGGCAGACAGTTAAGGGTCACAAGACTAGTCAATGGTAGACACAATTAAAAGACACATGGATAGTTTAGTGGTTGATACAGTTAGTGAAGGGTCACACGGCTAGTCAGTAGTAGGTACAGTTAGTTAAGGGTCACATGGCTAGTCAGTGGTAGGTACAGTTAGTTAGGGGTTACACAGCTAGTCAGTGGCAGACAGTTAAGGGTCACAAGACTAGTCAATGGTAGACACAATTAAAAGACACATGGATAGTTTAGTGGTTGATACAGTTAGTGAAGGGTCACACGGCTAGTCAGTAGTAGGTACAGTTAGTTAAGGGTCACACGGCTAGTCAGTGGTAGGTACAGTTAGTTAGGGGTTACACAGCTAGTCAGTGGCAGACAGTTAAGGGTCACAAGACTAGTCAATGGTAGATACAATTAAAAGACACATGGATAGTTTAGTGGTTGATACAGTTAGTGAAGGGTCACACGGCTAGTCTGTGGTAGGTACAGTTAGTTAAGGGTCACACGGCTAGTCAGTGGTAGGTGTAGTTAGTTAAGGGTCACACCACTAGTCAGTGGTAGGTACAGTTAGTTAAGGGTCACACGGCTAGTCAGTGGTAGGTACAGTTAGTTAAGGGTCACACAGCTAGTCAGTGGTAGGTACAGTTGGTGAGCCATCTCATCACTCGTTTAGTAGTAGAGCTTGGATTGGAACCAGGTAGGGCTCTGTCTGTTACATTACATCACGTGACATGGAGTCTCAGAGCTGAAAGGACTTTAGGGTCGCCGTGTCTATTCCCCTTGTTTGTAGATGGGGAAACTTGCCTGAGTGGCGGAACGCCCTACCCAAGGTCGCATGGTGAGTTTTGGGCTTCTAAGAGACCACTGGAGGAAGTCAGGGAGACATGCCCTGGCAGGGACCCGTCCGGAGGCCTGCCAATTGGCTTTGAGAGGAGCGCGTCTTGCATCTCCCAGGAAGGATTGGCAGAGGGAGGGCGGGCGTCTCGGGCCGGGGGCTGGTGCCCGGGGCTGGGGCTGAGGGGAGGGGGAGGCTGCTTCTCTTTGTAATTTACATACACAGCAGCAACAGCCTGAGGGAAAACAACTCAAACAAACTCTCAAAGGATGTTTTGGACTTAATCCCGGGATCGGAAGCAGCTCGGTAAGATAAATAAGATAAAGTTGGTGTGCCTCTTAAGGTTGAACGATCATATCACTATTGCATTTGAAATATTCATGAGGGGAAGGGAGGTATGAGAAACAGCTACAGAAACATATTCTGCTTTGAAAAGGCAGAATTCAAAGGCATGAAAAATGAATCAGGGGAAATTAATGTCGAGGTTGGGAGTGGGGTGGGCTGGTGGGGGGACAATTATTGCCCAGAAGGAATAAGGAAAGAGATGTGGAGGAGATGTTTCAGACTGGGCCGTGATCAGAATTCTGTATCCTGCCTGGAATATTTGAAATGTCAATTGTCTCATATATCATTTGAAGTCAATACTTGGTCGCAAAATGGATGATTCTAGCAAGGATTAAAAAGCAGGGTGGGCTGGGGGATATGGGATGGGGAGGGTGGAGTGGGGTGGGGCAGGGAGATGGAAAAAGATGGGTAAAGTGAACTAAGTCCTATAAATTGTGGACGAATTACTGATCACTCAAAGAGGGCTCTGGAGGAGTAAGATGCAAAGAAACGGGAATTTCTTGTGATTTCTTGCAAGTCTCTCAGTCTTGGTTTCTCCCTTTATAAAGCCAGGAGGTTGGGCTGGATGTTCTTCTAGATGGTCCCACTTTGCATTGTGGAGGGGGTGGGGCTCTGATTTGGAGATGTGCTTGGAAATAGAGGGTTCCTGAAGGCAAGAGGGTCAAGGGTATTGACGAACGGTAGCAATACGGACATGATGCTTGTGGTTAATGGTGGCTCTCAGCAGAGCCCTGCAAGTCTACACCGTGTTAGGGGGGCCAGTGGGGTTTGGCCCCCTCTAAAAGCAAGCCCTTGGACTGTGGACTGGCGCGGTCATTCTAGAGAGATCTGACACTAAAGCAAATGAAGGCTGCATATTCTCTGTGGTCCCAGACCAGCAGCATCAGCATCACCTGGGAGCTTGTTAGAAATGGAAATTCTCGAGTCTCCTTCCAGACTTCTTGAGTCAAAATCTGCCTTTTAACAAGATCCCTGGGTGAGTCCTGTGCATATTAAAGACTGAGCAGCAGCAATTCCCCTCCTGGATTTATACCCCAGAGAAAGTTTCACCCAAGGATGTTCAAGGAGGTGGGTTTGTGGTAGCGGGGTATTGGAAGCCACTGCTGTGCGCATCAGAAGGGGATAGATAAGCAAAGCATGACAGATACTCACTGTGGGATATGACTGCGGTAGTTAGAAAAACAGGTCTGATCTTCACATGCCAGTATGGACGGATCTTTTATTTTATTTATTTATTTATTTATTTATTTTGAGATGGAGTCTCACTCTGTTGCCCAGGCTGGGGTGCAATGGTGCAATCTCGGCTCACTGCAACCTCCGCCTCCTGGGTTCCAGCAATTCTGCCTCAGCCTCCCGAGTAGCTGGGATTACAGGCGCCCGCCACCATACCTGGCTAATGTTGTATTTTTAGTAGAGACAGGGTTTCACCATACTGGCCAGGCTGGTCTCGAACTCCTGACCACAGGTGATCCACCCACCTCAGCCTCCCAAAGTGCTGGGATTACATGCGTGAGCCACTGTGCCCGGCCTGGATGGATCTTAAAAACAAAGCACAAGGGGAAAAAAAGTGAGCAACAGAATCAATTTATAGCAAGTGTCTTTGTTTGTGCTGCTATAAAGGAACACCTGAGGCTGGATAATTTACAAAGAAAAAAAGTTTATTTGGCTCATCATTCTGCAAGAATCATGGCACCAACATCTGCTTCTGATGAGGGCTTCAGGAAGCTTCCACTCATGGCAGAAGTGAAGAGGAACTGGTGTGTGTAGATCACATGGTAAGATAGAGAGAGAGAGAGAGGGAGAGAAGAGGGGTATGAGGAAGGAGGATGAGAGAAGGAAGAAGGAGACAGGGAAGAATAGGAGACAGAGGAGGGTTCCAGGTTATTTTTAACTATCAGTTCTCGGCCGGATGCAGTGGCTTATGCCTGTAATCCCAGCACTTTGGGAGGCCGAAGTGGGTGGATCACTTGAGGTCAGGAGTTCGAGACCAGCCTGGCCAACATGTCGAAACCCTCTCTGTACTAAAAATACAAACATTAGCCAGGCATGGTGGCTCTTGCCTGTAACTCCAGCTACTTGGGAGGCTGAGGTGGGAGAATTACTTGAACCCAGGAGGTGGAGGTTGCAATGAGCCGAGATCTTGCCATTGCACTCCAGCCTGGCTGACAGAGCGAGACTGTGTCCCAAAATAAATAAATAAATAAATAAATAAATAAATAAATAAATAAATAAATAGAAAAAAATAAAAACACAAAAATTAGCTGGATGTAGTGGCGGGTGCCTGTAATCCCAGCTACTCGGGAGGCTGAGGCAGGAGAATCTCTGGAATCCGGGAGGCAGAGGTTGCAGTGAGCTGAAATCATGCCACTGCACTCCAGTCTGGGCAACAGAGCGAGATTCCATCTTGAAACACACACACACACGCACACACAATCAGTTCTTGCAGGAACTAAGAGTGGGAAATCACTCACTCTTGAGAGAATGGCACCCAGCCATTCCTGAGGCATCTGCCCCCATGACCAAAACACCTCCCACCAGGCCCCACCTCCAACACTGGGGATCACATTTCAACATGAGACTTGGCAGGGGCCAAAACAAACCATATCTAGACCATAGTATGACACAATTTTTATTGGTTAAAAATGTATTTGTACACAAGACAGTATGCTTAAAGCTACAAGAGGGCAGGGATTTCTGTCTATTTTGTTCACCGCTGTCTTCGTGCCACATTCTGAACACTCAATATTTGATGAGCAAATGCACTTCACAAGAATGCGCACACATTCAAGAGAAGAGGAATACCTCAGCTGAGGGGGTTTTGCACTGCACCGTGGTGCCATGCCAGAAACTGAGGAGTAATTCACTCCACTTTCCGCACCTGGGGTGAAATAGAAGTCCAATCTTGTGTGAGAGGTGAGGGGGAGGGTGGCCGGGCTGGCCTCCGTTTGCAGAACTTGTTCCACTTCACAGTGGCTTGGCTGCCCTGCCCTTGGTCCCTCCAAGGTCCTGCTTGCTCAGCTCTTGGCTTGCCACCTTCCTGCTCCATCTCTAAGGCTTTATTGGCTGTTCCTGTAGAAACAGACTCTCCAAGTCATGGCTTTTTCTCAGCATTTTGCATGTACCACCTCCCTTATCCTCACAACACTGCCTACGACACTGGTTCTCAACTGGGGACACTTCTATCCCCATAAGGGACATTTGGCAATGTCTGGAGACATTTTTGATGGTCACAACTAGGGTATACTGTGCTACTGTCGTCCAGTATGTAGAGGCCATGGATGCTGCTAAACATCCTACAAGGCACAGGGCTGTCCCCAGACTCCCCAGTAAAGAACGATCAGGTCCAAAATGTCAGTGGTGTTGAGGCTGACCTAGGGTAGGGGGCTCTAATATCTCTATTTTATATGTGAGGAAACGGAAGCATGGTGAGGTTGGGTAATCCTGTGTGAGGTCCTGCAGCTGGTAGGCAACGGAGGTGGGGTATAGACCAAGTGAGTCTGGCTCTAGAGTCCTTGCTTTTAACCACCATACATGATTGCTTCTCAGAAGTGGAAAACGCTGAGACAGGCACAGCTTTTTATACCTTTACTCACTTATGTTACGGCGAGGGTGACCAGCTGTCTTGGTTTGCCCAGGCCTGAGCGGATTCCCAGAGTGTGGGACTTGCAGTGCTCAAGCCAGGATGGATAGTCACCCTAGTAACCTCCAGACTCTGTAGACATCTGTGTTTGTGATCTGATTGTTACTTTCAGTCTGTTGAGTTCATATTACTGATGTAAGAGTTAAGAAGAAATTATTTAGGCAGATAGTGAGGGTAAGGAAGTCCTCAGTAAGGTTTTCCTTTTAATGAAAAGCAGTCCCCAAATCATTTTTCTTTTCTAACGGAGAGCATCCTGTAAAATCAAGCTGCAGACATAGGCAAGCAAGCTGGAAGCTTGCACGGGTGAATGCCGGCAGCTCCGCCCATAAGAAAAGGCTAGCTGGGGCTAGGCACGTCCAACACGGCAGTTCCATCTTCCCTTCTCTTTGCCAGCCATGTGTACAGTAAGGAGCAGGCAACAAGGAGCCAGCCAGGCAAAGACCCCATTTGCATAGTAACACTAGGGTGGGGCGGCCAACTTCCCCATGCGCTATGTAAATGTCACACCTGGTGCAACCAATCTTTGGGCCCTAGTAAAT
The DNA here is from genome assembly GCF_000001405.40 of Homo sapiens. Classification (NCBI taxonomy): domain Eukaryota; kingdom Metazoa; phylum Chordata; class Mammalia; order Primates; family Hominidae; genus Homo; species Homo sapiens. The sequence continues at coordinate 18,217,879 of NC_000016.10, read as the reverse complement.
CAGGCACCGCCTCCCCAACCCTGTAAAATCTGGTGCACTCTGACTTGGGCCAGAAGTCCCACTGGGTGCCCCCCTCTCGGAAGAGAGACAGTGTTCTCCTTTCTCATTCTTTTGCCTATTAAACCTCTGCTTTTAAACTCACTCTTTGTGTGTGTCTGTGTCCTTAATGTTTTTGGTATGAGGCAACGAATCTCAGGTATTACCCCCGAGAGAATGACGCTGCTTCACTCTGTGCTAATCACAATTGACACAAGGGCCGAATCCCAGTCTCAAGTTCACCTACGATGACTTTATCATCCACATGGCTCAAAGCTGTGGTCAAGTTTCCTCCTGTTTTGAAAATATGTGCTATGCTCCAGTTAAGTCAGCACAGCTCTAGGTAGATCAAAATTCATCTTTGGAGGATTTCTGAAATTCACTTGAGGAGTAGATCAGTTGGGGATGGTGTGATGGAGGAAAAAGAAAATCCCAAGATTTGATGGCAAGGTTAGAGTGACCTTCTGACCTTGAGCAAATGGCTTAAGCTGTCTGGGCCTTGATGTCCTCGTTTATAAAATGAGTCCGTAATAAAAGCCACAATGATGAGCATCAGGCACTGTGCTGAGTGTTTGCCATCTAAGGGGTTATCTGGTTATCTCATTTAATCATCACAACCACGGGAGGGGAAGCTCCTGGGGTTAAGTGTCTCGCCCAAGGTTGCAGCTGGTGGGGAATAGTCTGGTTGCAAACCCAGAGACCACACTTTTAACTGCTATGGAATGTTGTCTCCCGTGGCTGTTTCTGAGGAGACAGAAAAACATGCCAATTAGGGCCAAAAAAACGGGAGGTGGCCTCAAGGGCAGTGCATTACATTAAGAGTGTTTGCAAAGGCGTGGGTGTTTCTCCACCCGCGAGTCGCTGCTGACTTCCCGACACCTACATGCAGGGTCACCCTGCAGCTTCTGAGCACCTGGCCGGCTCCCCCCAGCAATGTGTGTTTGATGTTATCAGTGGGTTTGAGGCATGGCTGAGGCCCCAGGAATCTTTCTCTTTCATGGAGAAGCCAAGCTCACATCTCCCAGTGGCAGCTGGTGCTGGCGTCTGGCTGGAGTTGCAGGGACTATGTGTCAGCTATAGCAGTTCCTGCGACTGTATTCACCTACTGAAGGTCCTTGATCTATTGCTGGGGTTTGCCAAGGGTCTCAGGGGTCTGCTGCGGAGCAGAGAGACTGATTATTGTTTTTTAAATCTCCAGCTGACCCCCTTGTTCTCACGTTAATCACTTTGAGAATAAAAATGGCTACCAATAATTGAGCACTTACTACGTGCCAGGCACAGGCACATCCTATGCCTGCCTCCCTCCTCCTCCGGGGCTGCTGGCTCTCCTTATCCTTTTTATTTTTGCTTTTTTCCCCACAGCTAGTAACTGTGTTCTAAACACCAATAAGAGGGCCTGGCAAATGTGGTTACTCAATAACATTTATTGAATGAATGGGTGTGAGCGAGTGTGTGTTAGGCTCCCTGCTAAGCCCATTACGTGTATTATTTTACTCAACTCTCACAGTAATCCTATGAGATAAGCTTCATCTTTATCTCCATGTTACAAAGGAGAAAATGTGCTCAGAGATGTCAAGTAATTTCCCCCAAAATGCACAGCTTGTGTCAATGCAAGAATGCAAATTTAGCAGTCTCCAAATTCTACCTCATTTACTATCTCCCAAATAGATATGTATAAATATCCCACATATGGAGATACATTTTAAGGATTTATATGTATCTATTTCCATGTAACACGGCCACACATATGTATCCTATATAATATGCACATGTATAGTATGTGCACATATTCACGTGTAAATGTATCAGTTACCTGTAGCTGTGTAACAAGTAACACCACCCTCATGGTTATAAAAATAAACACTTTTTTTTGCTCATAGGTCTGTGGTTTAGCTGGAGAGATTCTGCTTTAGGCTGTGGGTTGAGTTCAAGTCTGATTCTTACATTTATTTCTGAGGTCCAGATTGGAGAAGCAGTGGTACCTGGTGAAGGTTGGCAGCTTCCAGAGAGGAGTGAGCAGAAATACTCAATGCCTTTTAAGGTCTAAGCTGGGAACTGGTGCACCGTCAGCTCTGCTCATGTTCCATTGGCCAAAACAAACCCATCACTAACGGGGCAGAGGATTCTGTTCTTCCCATGGTGAAGGGAATGAGAGGGAAGTAAATATTTGTTAAACAGGAAAACACACCACTATCATATTTTAATTATATATGGATGTATTTGTATTTTATCTTTTTTTTTGAGATGGAGTTTCACACTTGTCACCCAGGCTGGAGTGCAATGGCACGTTCACGGCTCACTGCAACCTCTGCCTCCTGGGTTCAAGCAATTCTCCTGCCTCAGCCTCCCGAGTAGCTGGGATTACAGGCACCTGCCACCATACCCAGCTTTTTTTTTTTTTTTTTGTATTTTTTTTTACTAGAGATGAGGTTTCACCATGTTGGCCAGGCTGGTCTTGAACTCCTGACCTCAGATGATCCACCTGCCTCTGCCTCCCAAAGTGCTGGGATTACAGGCATAAGCCTCGGCGCCCAGCCTATATTTATCTTTTTCACCCATGACCCCAGCTTCAGTGAGGAGTTCTGTTACTTTGTACTTTTACTGGGCATTCGTTTCCTTGTTTGGAAAATAGTGACTATAATTAATAAAAGTGTTTGTATTCTTGCAAATTGCCAAGAGAGTAAATTTGAAGCATCCCCACCACTTGTTAATTAGCTTGATTTCCCCAGTCCGCAATGTATACATATTTCAAAACATCAGGTTGTACACAATAATTATAGACAATTTTTGTTTGTCAATTCAAAAAGTAATAAGTAAAGGAAAAGAAAAATGTAAGATACTTTAAAAAATGACTGGCTCGTGTTGAGAAGTAACTTTTACTATTTATTTGTTTTTTTGTTTGTTTGTTGGTTGGTTTTTTTTTTTTTTTTTTTGAGACGGAGTTTCGCTCTTGTTGCCCAGGCTGGATGGAGTGCAGTGGCACGATCTTGGCTTACTGCAATTTCTGTCTCCCGGGGTTCAAGCAATTCTCCTGTCTCAGCCTCCTGAGTAGCTCGCATTACAGATGCCCACCACCATACCTGGCTAATTTTTTGTATTTTTAGTAGAGACAGGGTTTTGCCACTTTGGCCAGACTGGTCTCAGACTCCTGGCCTCAGGTGATCCACCTGCCTTGGCCTCCCAAAGTGCTGGGATTACAGGCATGAGCCACCGTGCCCAGCCTAACTTGTACTATTTATTTGAGTTAAGCCAACACACACTTGAGTTCCCCACATGTCATAGAGTGATGTGGACAAGCCCTTGAAATCTGGCTTTCCTGATTACCTGGTTGACCTTGTAGATGCCTCTCTGAGCCTCAGATATGTTCTCTGTGAAATGGGCATGAATCCAGTACCCACTTTGTAGAGCACTGTGAGGATTAAGTGAGAGGATACGTGCAAAAGTTTACCACAGTGCCTGGCTCCAGAAGCCACTCAATATATATTAGCTGTTGTTATTAATATTGATACTATTCTTACAACAAAAACAGCACAGATGTTCTAATGATCAATTATCCTAGCCTGTCATCTGCTGGTCCCCAGCCCATGTTTCTCGGACCCTGTCTGTGTGTGATTTATGATCCGACTCTCTCTACACTTTGTGTTGGGGTTTGATTTTTCCTGCTTTGGCTCAAGACCCCCTTCCTACAGAAATGTTTGGACCCATCTTACAGACTTGTGCCTCCTTGGCTGTCCTGCCTGGTCAGCCCCTTGGAACACAGGGCTGGCCCTAAGTTGGTCCTCCCATCCCAGCAAAATGGTTCACTGGGGCATTGCAGGTTGATTGTGGAATTTCAATAATAGCATGGGTGGTGGGAGAACCTTCGGACGTCCACAGACAGCAGCCTGGATGTATAAGAGATGGGGGTGGTGTTCTTTCCATCTGGAGTCCTCCGGGAGCTGTCAAGCCTGGAATCTTTGCAATTTAGGCAGTCTGTTTGTAATGGTCTCAAGAAAACCCATTCTGCCTACAAATGCGGTGACCTTTAATTTTTTTTTCTCAGATTTTTCCAAGATGCACATTGACTCTTCCTGTCAACGTGGAAGGCTCTAATGCCGCCTGGGGCATTTAGATTGCATTTGCCAATCGCTGACTGCTGTAGCCAATTTGTTCCTGATCTCAAGGTCGATTTTGAATAACTTTAGCTGGGCTAAGTCTCTTGCATTGAATAACTGGGAAATAACCTATTAAGGTAGCAGGTGGGCGGGGGCAGGAGGGGGCAGGGGGCTGTTTCTATTTTGTAGAAGTTCTTTGATTGTGGGTAAATGAGAAGGCTTCTAGCTCTGCCAGTCATGGACTATGTGGCCTTGAACAAGGGAGGGAAAGAAAGAAACACATGCCAAGTACCTAGCATATGCTAGACACAGTGCTGGGCACTTCACACATGCCAGCTGCTTAATCTACTCTGCGAGGTGAACATCGTGATCTCCATGTTACAGATAAAGAAACGGAGTCCCGGCAACTTGCAGGGTTGAGCTTGGATCTGTCTAAAGCCCTGCCCCTCCCCTTTTTTTTGTTTGTTTGAGACCGAGTCTTGCTATGTTGCCCAGGTTGGTGTGCAACAGCGCAATGATCTTGGCTCACTGCAACCTCCGCCTGCCAGGTTCAAGCAATTCTCCTGCCTCAGCCTCCCGAGCAGCTTGGGATTACAGGCACGTGCCACCATGCCCAGCTAATTTTTTATATTTTTTGTATAGACGAGGTTTCACCATGCTGGCCAGGTTGGTCTCCAACTCCTGACCTCGTGATCCGCCCGCCTCGGCCTCCCAAAGTGCTGGGATTACAGGCGTGAGCCACGCGTCAGGCCTAAAGCCCATGTTTTTTTCACTCTCTCTTTCTTTCTCCCGAAGGCCAAGGCTGGAAAGCCTGTCTCCTTGATGATGCTCTTTTTAAACTACCCTTATGAGTGTATTTCAGCAACCTCCCCCGACCCGAATTACAGTACCACCGGCTGCGTCCTAATGCTGTGCCCTCTCCTGATATGGTCTGGCTGTATCCCCATCCAAACTCACCTTGAATTGTAATAATCCCCACGTGTCAAGGGCAGGGCCAGGTGGAGATAATTAAAACATGGGGGCAGTTTCCGCATACGGTTCTCATGGTAGTGAGTAAGTCTCACGAGATCTGATGGTTTTATAAATGGGAGTTCCGCTGCGCAAGCTCTCTTGCCTGCCGCTGTGTAGCATGTGACTTCGCTGTTCTTTGGCCTTCCACCATGATTGTGAGACCTCCTCAGCCATGTGGAACTGTGAGTCCATTCACCCTCTTTCCTTTGTAAATTACTCAGTCTCGGGTAGGTCTTTATTAGCAGCGTGAGAACAAATACACCTCCTGTCATCTTCTCTCCTTGGATTCACTCCTCTAGTCTGAGATGTCTGGTTCGCCTTGTTTCCCCAGCGGTGGGCTCATGCCGGCAGGGGTTGGCATCAGCAACTGTTCTTTGATCCCATGACTCTGATTTTGAGATGAACCTGGTGCAGCTTGCAGCTTGGTGGCCCTTTGGAAGGAGAAAACCTGGTCCGAATCCCTGCAAGTTGTGTGACGGGTTGGGTTCCTTGGAAGCCCGAGAATGAGATTTGGGTAGGTGCGGTTTATTCAAGGTGGGGGTTCTCAGGAGAAGGAAAGTGAGGGAAGGAGGATGATGGGGGAGGGGACAGAGCCAAGCAAGAATGGGCTCTCAGGCTAAGGCTAGCCTTGATCTCACGTGGGTCTCTGGAGTGTATTCTGCCTCGAAGCAGGAGGACTGGACTTTTGTGTGACTCCTCTCGCCTCATATCGCTTAGTCATTGGCCAGTTCAGCATGTGAGAGCATAACTCCCTGGGTGAAATGGCTTTTGCTAGCTAAGGAATTCTCCGGAGAAAGTATTGGTATAAGCCATTAGGCACAGATCAGCAAAGGCTGAATGATGAATGGTTTACTGGCAATGAGGATCTGGGTGAAGCACCAGGAACAGCTGCGACGTTGTGCAACTGCTCTGCCTCAGTTTTCCTCATCTGTAAAATGGGGATGTTGATAAAACCCATCTCTGAGCGTTGATGCAAGGGTTAGATGAGATACTTGCATTTGTGTTACTGATAATGTGCCTGTCACTGGCCAGGTGCAAAGCAAGGGCTCAACGAAAGCATAAGCTATTATTATTATTATTATTGTTATTACTGGCAGTTTTGGATCCATAGCAACAAGCACATATAAACAATGCTCACTTCTCTAGTTTAATTCTTATAACTCTTCTAAGTTCTACTTCTACCCTGTTTTACAGACATGGAAACTGAGGCACAGTGAGGTGAAGCACTTTGAGCTCACATGATGGGGCTGAGATTCCAATTTAGGGAGTCCAGTCCCAGAGCCCCCAAGTGAGTGCTGGTTTGGGACTGTCTCTTCTGATCATGACAAATCTTTTTTTTGAGATCACTCTCAGTTCCTTGAATGTATCCATCTTCTCTGTTGTTTCTGGGTCTTTGTATATTCTATTCTCTGTACTGGCAACAGCTTTTCCCCTTTAACCTGATCTGCCCTGGTTCATCCCTTGAGACTGAGCTCTGAGCTCATATTTGGCCTTTTTTTTTTTTTTTTTGAGACAAGGTCTCACCCTGTCACCCAGGCTGGAGTGCAGTGGTGCAATCGTGACTCACTGCAGCCTCAACCTCCCAGGCTCAAGTGATCCTCCCACCTCAGCCTCCCGAGTAGCTGGGACTACAGTTGCATGCCACCATGCCCAGCTAACTTTTGTACTTTTTGTAGAGATGAGGTTTCGCCATATTACCCAGGCTGGCCTCGAACTCTCAGGATCAAGTGATCTATCTTCCTGCCTCAACCTCCCAAAGTGCTGGGATTACAGGTATGAGCCACGGCGCTTGGCCCATGTTTGGCCTTTTCCAGGAAGCCCTCCAGGTTGCCTCCTTCCACAGCCCCTTGTCTGTTCCCCAAAGTGTCTGTTAGGATGTATTACACTTGCCTAGTCACTTGTCTGCCTCTCCCATTAGTCTATGGCTCCAAAGAATTGAATATTTTGCCCGTCTCTATCATTGTCACCCCTGCAAGTAGCATTTGTCTGGCACATAGTAGGTACTCAATAAATGTTTATTTTGTGGCTGAATGAGCATTCCAGATTCAGAACTGGAAACATTGGAGGCTTACAAAAGTTCAGAACCGCATACATTGGAGGCTTACAAAAGTTCCTGTTGAGTTGAATTAATTCATTTTGAAATGACATGGACTAAGTTCTTTCTGGGAAGGTTTCCTAACTAAATCCGTGGGCATGGTGGACTGGAGCGTTCCAGAACCAGTGCAAAGAGTCCCCTGTCCATAGGTATGAGATGAAGGCTCAGGGACTTAAAATACACTTCTATTGTGGAAAGTTCTTCAGAGAACCTTCTGGCATTTTCTTTAATTGATGCTCGGCTCATTTATTTTATTATTTTATTTTTATTTTTTAATTTTTTAATTTTTTTTTTGAGACGGAGTCTTGCTCTGTCACTCAGGCTGGAGTGCAGTGGCGCGATCTCAGCTCACTGCAACCTCTGCCTCCCAGGTTCAAGCAATTCTCTGCCTTAGCCTCCCGAGTAGCTGGGATTATAGGCAAGTGCCACCATGCCCAGCTAATTTTTGTATTTTTAGTAGAGACGGGGTTTCACCATCTTGGCCAGGCTGGTCTTGAACTCCTGACCTCGTGATCTGCCTGCCTCGACCTCCCAAAGTGCTGGAATTACAGGCGTGAGCCACGGCGCCCAGCCATTTTCATTTTTTTTTTTGAGATGGAATGTCACTCTGTCACCTAGGCTGGAGTACAGTGGCGCAATCTCGGCTCACTGCAGCCCCCACCTCCCCGGTTCAAACGATTCTCCTGCCTCAGCCTCCCAAATAGCTGGAACTACAGGCACACACCCACACACCACCACACCTGGCTAATTTTTGTATTTTTGGTAGAGACGGGGTTTCACCATGTTGCCCAGGCTAGTTTTGAACTCCTGACCTCAGGTGATCTGCCCGCCTTGGCCTCTCAAAGTGCTGGGATTACAGGCATGAGCCACCACGCCCGGCCCAGTTAATTTATTTTATGTAAGGAATGTATTTCTTTTCATTAGGAAAGTATGAGAATCACGTTGTTGAAAATGTGGGAAACCTAGAAAAGTAGAGAAACCCACCCACTATCATTTGGTAGGTAAATTTCTTCAGATTTTTCTCCTCCCATATATGTTTTTCTCTTTCTTTATTAAACATACTTATGACCATACTATTAATATAGTTTCGTATCCTGCTACTTTTTTTCCGTTTAGCAAAATGAGATTTTTCCAGGTTTAATTACATAGTTTTAAAAATAACCATCATCATTTTGTTCTTATTTTTTTCCCTTTTGAATTTAAAAAAAAAATCATAGTAATATGAGCACATCGTACAAAGTTAAAGTACAGAGGAGCTGCCAATGAAAGCAGCGGTTCCTGGCCCCTTCTCTCCTCTCTCCCCTCCTTAAGTCTTATTTCCCGGAGGCAAGTGCTTGAAATGTTGTTTCCATTTTTAGGTCTTCAGTTATTTATCTCTGTAACTCCAAATAAGATGCTTATGAGGCTTTTTCTTGATTTATCAATTTAAGACATTTTCTATTGACTCTGTGCCATAGAAGATGAGGATTCAGCTTATTGACATGGTTCCTCCCCACTTTTTGTCCTTCCCCAGTTTTTATTTGAAAAAAGTCAGACGTGCACATGGAAAATGATGACCGGAGGATGAAGGAGCCCCTCTTACTCTAATGCTTCAGTCTTCCACCCACCCCTCCTCCCAGTTCTTGTGTATCTGTGGCAGGTCAAAGATGAGTGCAAACTGTTTGATACCCCATGCATTCAGAAATGGGGTCTATTTCCCTTTTCCTGAGCCTGGGCTGGCCTGTGACTGCTTTGACGAATAGATTGCCATAGAAGTGACACCATGATGGTTCTGGTCCTGGCATTTAAGGGATCATGCAGTTTCCACCTTACACCTCTTGGAACTCTTGGTTTTAAACCCCTGATCCACTGTGTAAGAAATCTGAGGGCTTTTGCTGGAGGGAAACCTGGAGAGACTCTGAGATGACATGGAAAGGGAGAGAAGTTGCTCTGAGCCCAGCTTCCATCCTGTCCCACTGATATGGTTTGGCTGTGTCCCCATCCAAATCTCATCTTGAATTCTCACATGTTGTGAGAGGGACCTGGTGGGAGGTAATTGAATCATGGGGGTGGGTCTTTCTCATGCTATTCTCATGATAGTAAGTCTCATGAGATCTGATGGTTTTATAACAGGGAGTTTCCCTGCACAAGCTCTCTTTTTGCCCGCTGCCATCCATGTAAGACGTGACTTGCTCCTCCTTGCCTTCCACCATGATTGCGAGGCTCCCCAGCCATGTGGAACTCTGAGTCCATTAAACCTCTTTCCTGTAAAAATGACCCAGTCTCAGGTATGTCTTTGTTAAGAGCATGAAAATGGACTAATACACCCACCAAGGTGCCTGGCACATCACTAAAACTGCACTAGACCCTTCAGAGCAGCCCCGAAGCCCTCTGAATACTACTGAGTGACCTCAGATGATACTGTGTGAGCAGAAGAACTGCCCAGCTGGGTCCTGCTTAAATTCCTGACCCTCAAAATCATGATCTATAATAAAAACAGTTGTGGCTTTAAGCCATAATGTTTGGGGATTAACTTGAATGGCATCCTTCAGGAGATACCCCATGTGTCATAGGTTTTGGGGATGGAGGTTATCTTAGCCTACCAACAGTGCCTGATACAAATATGCAAATGTTTCATTGGGTCACGCAATCTCAAGAAAGCAGGGATAAGGGAAAGAGAGAAAGAGGAAGAGCAAAACCAAAGAAGTGTATATTGCCTAGTGGAGTTGCAGTTTCCCAGAAACACAAGCATGGGATAACTCTGGAGTCAGTCATCTGCCAGCTCCTGCTGTTTCCTGTCTCTTATTGGTCAAAGCTTGCTCCACTCTGCACTTCTGAGTAATGGCCCTCAGCCCCTCCTAGCAGCTTCTGGGGGATCCAGGACCTCTGGGAGCTGATAGGTGTGATAGAGGCCAGCCCTTAACCCCACCCAGGGTAGGCTGAGTCACTTTTATTTTATTGTAAAATTGATATTTATTTACTTATTATTTTAAGGTAATTTTTTTTGAGACAGGATCTTGCTCTGTTGCCCAGGCTGGAGTACAGTGGCACAGTCATAGCTCACTGCAACCTCAAACTACTGGGCTCATGTGATCCTCCTGCCTCAGCCTCCTGAGTAGCTGGGACTACAGGTATGCACCACCATGCATGGCTAGTTTTTAAAAAGTTTTTTTGGAGGGATGGGGTTTTGCTTTGTTTCCCAGGCTAGTCTCAAACTCTTGACCTCAAGAGATCCTCCTGCTTCAGCCTCTCAAATTGCTGAGATTACAGGCATGAGCCACTATGCCTGGCCTCTATTATTATTATTTTGAGACAGAGTCTCACTCTGTTGCCCAGGCTGGAGTACATCGGTGCAGTCTTGGCTCACTGCAACCTCTGCCTCCTGGGTTCAAACAATTCTTGTGCCTCAGCCTCCGAGTAGCTGGGACTACAGGTGTGTGCCATCATGACTGGCTAATTTTTGTGTTTTTAGTAGAGATGGGGTTTCGCCATGTTGGCCAGGTTGGTCTTGAACTCCTGACCTCAAGTATCCACCTGCCTCGGCCTCCCGAAGTGCTAGGATAACAGGTGTCGGTCACAGCTCCTGGCCACTGGCTTCTATTTTTTTATTTTTTGAGACGGAGTCTAGCTCTTGTTGCCCAGGCTGGGGTTCAGTGGCGCGATCTCGGCTCACTGCAACCTCTCAAGTTCAAGAGATTCTCCAGCCTCAGCCTCCCGAGTAGCTGGGATTACAGGCACGTGTCGCCATGCCCAGCTAATTTTTGTATTTTCAGTAGAGACAGGTTTCACCATGTTGGCAGGATGGTCTCGATCTCCTGACCTCATGATCCACCCACCTTGGCCTCCTAAAGTGCTGGGATTACAGGCGTGGGCCACGGCACCTGGCCCAGCCTCTATTTTTAAAGTAACTTTTATGGGATGTCAGACATTGTAAATTTTACCTTGGTGGGTGCTGGATGTTTTTGTGCCTGGCACAGTCCTAGGTGCTGAGGACCTAGCATTGAACAAAAACAAAGATCCCTGCTCTTGCTGAACTTCCATGCTACTGTGGGGAGACAATCAGTGAACAACAAGCATAATTTAGGTTTGCTCTTATTATACTGTTGCACACGTACCTTTTGTATATGTACTCTTAAACGGCCATTGTTTTTAGTGATTTGATTGAACAGATATATTTGATTGAACAGATATATCCTTGCTGAATGAGCCATTTCTTTATTGATGGGTAATTATATTACTTTCTCTAATAAGAGTCATCAGAAGCTTAGAGGCTTAAGAATCTAAGCTCAACAAACAGAGGTTGGAGAGGTTATTATAAAGTCCATTGTGGGAGCAGCCACTCCTAACCTTGGGACCAAAGATTGGTATTGTGTGACCTGTGAGCCAGAATTACCCTGGATTGGACTGTCCTACCAGGTGGGCCCCTGGCCAGCAAAAGAGATGATGGGGGTTGTTAGAATGTCAGAGAGGGCCTTAGACACCCCTTTTCCATATAGTCTCCAGCTCTTTGACTAAAACCTGTACCCCAGTATATAATCAGTCACCCAGGCCTAGAGTCAAGGTCTTTTATATCATGTAAATTTATTTTTTATTTTTAAAATTTTTTATTTCCATAGGGTTTTGGGGAACAGGTGGTATTTGGTTATGTGAGTAAGTTCTTTAATAGTGATTTGTGAGATTTTGGTGCAGCCATTATCTGAGCAGTACACACTGAACCCAATTTGTAGTCTTTTATCCCTCACCCCCTCCCACCCTTTCCCCCGAGTCCCCACAGTCCATTGTATCATTCTTATGCCTTTGCATCCTCATAGCTTAGCTCCCACTTGTGAGTGAGAACATACGACGTTTGGTTTTCCATTCCTGAGTTACTTCACCTAGAATAATAATCTCCAGTTCCATCCAGGTTGCTGTGAATGCCATTAATTCATTCCTTATTATGGCTGAGTAGTATAAATATACTGCTGGTATATGGCATATATATACCACAGTTTCTTTATCCACTCGTTGATTGATAGGCATTTGAGCTGGTTTCATATTTTTGCAGTTGTGAATTGTGCTGCTATAAACATGCATGTGCAAGTATCTTTCTCATATAATGATTTCTTTTCCTCAGGGTAGATACCCAGTAGTGGGATTGCCAGATCAAATGGTGGTGCTACTTTTCTTTAAGGAATCTCCACACTGTCTTCCAAGGTGGTTGTACTAGTTTACATTCCCGCCAGCAGTGTAGAAGTGTTCCCTTTTCACCACCTCCATGCCAACATCTATTATGTTTTGATTTTTTGATTCTGGTCATTCTTGCAGGAGTAAGGTGGTATCGCATTGTGGTTTTGATTTGCGTTTCCCTGATCATTAGTGATGTTGAGCATTTTTTCACGTGTTTGTTGGCCATTTGTTTATCTTCTTTTGAAAATTGTCTATTCATGTGGATTTATACCTTCCCCGTATTCCCATGCCTTTGTCTTCAATGGGACTATTATTTTTTGTCTAATGGCTTTGAATTAAATCTTCTGTCTTCTATTCCACTGATCTCCAGTCTCCAGCAATAATTATGCTGTTTGCATTGGGGAAGGTGGCAGATGTAGTTGTTGCCTTGCCTATGTCCTCTGGGTACTCACCATTCCTACTGCAAGCATCTGCAATACTGCCTGGGGCTTTGTCTCACTGCCATAACCTAGGCTCTTGTGGGGCAGGCTGGAAGTGCAGAGAAACCAACACAGGCACATCTCCCCCAGCCAGCTGCTGAGGGCAGTTGCCCTGCCTTCCATACCTTAGGGTGAGGCAGGCGCTATGCTGTCTCCCAGATGTCCCCAGTGGGATTGAACCCCAGTTGCCCATAGTAGCAGCCTGCTTATAAACATGACCTGGATTAGCTCCTTTCCCTTCTCTGTCTCATTTCCCTATTGTCATCCCAGTGTTTCCTGGGCTCACTTTCCAAATCAACCCACTTATCTTCAAGTCCTTCTGTATTAGTCTGTTCTCATGCTGCTAATAAAGACATGCCTGAGACTGGGTCATTTATAAAGGAAAGAGGTTTAATGGACTCACAGTTCTGCATGGCTGGAAAGGCCTCACAATCATGGTGGAAGACAAGAAGGAGCAAAGCCACATCTTACACGGCAGCAGGCAAGAGGCTTGTGCAGGGGAACTCCCATTTATAAAACCATCAGATCTCATGAGACTTACTCACTATCAGGAGAACAGTATGGGGGAAACCACCCCCATGATTCAATTATCTCCACCTGCCCCCGCCCTTGACACATGGAGATTGTTACAATTCAAGGTGAGATCTGGGTAGGGACGCAGCCAAACCATCTCACCTTCTCTTAGGATTTGTTTCTGGGGAAATCTAACCTATCTAAGATGATGAAAAATACAAAGAACCAGGAAAATCCATAAATAGATTTAACAAGAAAATTTTACCTAGTCTTGATGAGTGGCAAAGCTTGACTGCCCTGAGGAAGTGACTTTGCTGAGCTGAGACCTGAGGATGAGTAGGAGTTAGCTAAGCAAAGCAGCACTGGAAGAACAGCAGGGGAAGAACATTCCAAGCATAGGGAAGAGCATGTGCGAAGGTCCTGGGGCAGGAATGCTAGTGTGGATGGGGTGCAGAAAGAGAGGCAGAGAATGGTGGTTATCTTTGGAGGATATATGGCCTGAAAGTGAATTTGGGTCCCTGACTTTACGTCTCTTTCCTCTGCAGTTTAGTTATGTCTATACACTTTTTTTTGAACCCCATTATGGTCTGGCTTCATTTAAATGCATCTGAAATGAAATCTCTAATGTTAACAGTGTTGTCAGATGTGAAGGCTTCATTTCTCTTTGGTTCTTTTTCACCGAATGCTATCTGTGAGTTTCTGGGGAGGATATGAGGATTTTGATTGTTTTGATTGTTTTTTTTTTTTTTTTTGTATGACCACATTATGTTAATTTCCCCATTGTCTTAGAGTATGAGAACATAAAAGCAATAACTCATTTATATGAAGACTGAATGTGCTGAGAGGTTGTCATGGAAACCTCTCATGTTGGCTTGAGTAAATTGAATAACCCCTGTTAAAAGATTGAACACAGATAACTGGCAGGCTTTGTTTCAGGGCAAGAGTTCACAAACTGGGGTCCACAGATGCTCAAACATTCTATCATGAATAGAATTCGGAGATCCCATGATCTTGGACAGTTAAAAATACATCTTATATTCTTTTATCTCTACCTGAAGTTTAGTCTTTCTTTCCATTGTGAATGAATAAAGCAATAAACAAACAAAAAAACAAAAGATTGAACACAGAACTTATTTACCCAATTGCGTGGCATTCACAAGAGATGAGAAATTCAACATGATAAATGAGATTTTTCCCCCCCGCAGGGGCAGGGAGGAGGATGAAGAGGGTGAATGAATGCTAGGAATGTATTATTTTTATTTAGACAGTGATTTCTATTTTTCTTTCAAAGATTATATTTTTGTTTCCAAATGGGAGAGGTGTTATGGGGCGATAGAGAAAGGATCCAGGGAAAATTGCATGGTAAAATTGCTCCTGGGAAAGACCAGCTTAGGGTATCCATGATTGTCGCTTCTGTAGCCCTGAGCATGTTTCTCCCCTTGGAGCATCCTCTGAAGTCTTGGTCAGAGTCGTTGAAGAGACATGAACCTTTTCAGCATTTTCTGCTTTGCTTTGGCAGGATTGTTTACTGCCTATCAAGCTGACTTACAAAAAATACTAGTTCTGTTGTTTTTCATTTTTAAAAGCAAATTGCTTCAGCTCTTCGTAAATAACTCCTTAAAAGAAAAGCCATGGATGACAGATGAGGAAGCATAGTTGGGAACAGAGCGCGGCACTCGCTCACGATCATAGTGTCAGGTCACAGGAAGCCCTCTGAGCCCCAGGGGTGGGGGCAGCCTCTTTAAAGTGATTATGGAGCAAGAGGAGCTTGAACAGTGGCACTCTGAGGGTTGTCTTGGGCCAGCTTGGAGATCAGGTCCTGGGCTCCAGAAGACATCGAGGCTGGTTCTACCTGGATGTTGCATCCGTAGGTATCAAAGTAGGAGATGCTTTCGAGGGGTGAGTTTTTCATCAGTGGCCTCCACCCCAAAGCACCATAGTCCTACCTCCTTGTTGTATGTCTTTCTTCTCACAGGCTGCTTGTCAGACTTCAGAATTTCATGGGCATGATGGGCAAATAAGCTTGATTAATGCTTCATGCTTGCTATCCACTAAATGTGTTCCCACCATGTGTTGAAACCTAATCCCCAGTGTGATGGATGGTATTAGGGGGTGGGGCCTTTGGGAGGTGATTAGGACATGATGGTGGGGACTCCACAAGTGGGATTCATGCCTATTTATTTATTTATTTGAGACAAGAGTCTCACCCTGTTCCCAGGCTAGAGTGCAGTAGTACCATCTAGGCTCACTGCAACCTCTGCCTCTGGGTTTAAGTGATTCTCCTGCCTCATCCTCTGAGTAGTTGAGACTACTGGATAATTATCTACCACACCTGGATAATTTTTTTTTTTTTTTTTTGTATTTTTAGGGCGATGAGGTTCCACCACGTTGGCCAGGCTGTCTCAAACTCCTGATCCAAGTGATCTGCCCATCTTGGCCTCCCAAAGTACTAGGTTTACAGGCGTGAGCCACTGCGCCTGGCCAATGCCCTTTTAAAAGGGGTCCCAGAGAGCCCCTTTGCCCTTCCATGATGGGAAGACACAGTGAAAAGAGGGCTGTCTATGAACTAGGAAGAAGGCCTTCCCCAGACACTGAATCTGCCTGTGCCTTGATCTGGGACTTCCCAGATCTTCTGGAGAGAACCGTGAGAAATAAATGTCTGCTGTTTGTAAGCCACACAACCTATGGCATTCTCTTATAGCAGTCTGAATAGACTAAGATAATACCATAAGGATCTACCTTTGGGACTGTGTGCTGTTATAATAAAGGCTCTGATAAGTCCTGCTAACGCCATTTAGACCAGGGGTTTCTAAACTTTTTGACCACACAAGTTGTTATTTTTCCCTTTGCAAGCACCTTACATGGAAATCTTTTGGGAGGCTGAGGCATGAGAATTGCTTGAACCCATGAAGCGAAGGTTGCAGTGAACTGAGATCATGCCACTGCACTCCAGCCTGGGTGATGGAGTGAGACTCTGTGTCAAAAAAAAAAAAAAAAAAAAAAAAGAAAAAAGAAAATATTTTCAAAATGATGCCATGGATTAAATCTGATAGTCACAAAGGATCCTTGTCTGGTGTTACCTCCATTTGATGGGTGAGGAAACAGGAGTCCTGAGAAACCAAGTAACTTGCTCAGGGTCATGCTGTTAGGATGTAGCAGAATCAGAACCAAAACCCTAAGTCCCAGACAACTAAAATCCACCACTCCAATGGAGAGGCCCTTACTGCAATGACCTGTTCTGAAGGAGCGAAACAAGGCATTTATTGCAGCATCATTTAATTAGGAAAAAAATCTGGAAAGACCCTGAATGTCCAACTAAAGGGAAATAGTTGATATTTATGATACTTCCATACAATGGAATGTTATGGGGCATCAATAATAGACATGAAGCACAGTAACATGAGGTGGCACATATTATAATGTAAAATGGGGAAATAAAGCAAAATGATAATCATGCAAATTAAATGCATGAAACTAAAAAAGAAATACAAAATAGTAGCTGTCTCTAGACGGTAGGTGAGTCAGTTCAGGTCCTCTGAGTAGCAGAAGGCAAAACAGAATTAATTGTACAAGGTCCCAGTCTCCACTGATTTCAAATCCACTTCTCAACTTCTGTATGAAGTTCTCATTCTCTTACTAATTTTTTTTTTTTGAGGCGGAGTCTCACTCTGTTGCCAGGCTCGAGTGTAGTGGCGCGATCTCGGCTCACCGTAACCTCCGCCTCCCGGGTTCAAGTGATTTCCTGCCTCAGCCTCCCAGGTAGCTGGGATTACAGGCGCATGCCACCATGTCCAGCTAATTTTTGTATTTTTAGTAGAGACGGGGTTTCACCATGTTAGCCAGGATGGTCTCGATCTCTTGATCTTGTGATCCACCCACCTCGGCCTCCCAAAGTGCTGGGATTACAGGCATGAGCCACTGTGCCCGGCCCTCTTACTAATTTTAAATAACATGTCTCCTGCAGCTTCTGTATTGCAAATATAGGAAGTGATTTTGGCGAGCATTTGAATTATGGTAGCTGATCTGATCTGTTGTGTCTCCTTACTTTCTAATTCTTTCTTTACTTTCTCCTCTTTTCCTCCCTCTGCTTATTTGCTTCCTCTTGCTCTCTTCCTTTATCTCCTCTTTTCCTACAAATTTCTAAAATGATAGCTGATGAGAAGGAAGATCACTCTTACATAATTTGATTCCTCAGTTTCCATTTTCTTCTTTTTACAAGTATAACATTCTATATTTCTTTTTTTAAAAAAATTATTTTTTAATTGAAAAATAATGGTACCTATTGATGGAGTACGTAGTGATGTTTTGATATATATAATGTATAGTGATTTGATCAGGGTAATTAGCATATCCATCATCTCAAACGTTTCTCATTTCTTTGTGATGGTAACTTTCAGTATCTTCCTTCTAGCTATTTGAAACTGCATTATTATTACTATTATCATTTTATTTTATTTAGACAGAATCTTGCTCTGTCACCCAGACTGATTTGTAGTAGCATGATCTCTGCTCAATGCAACCTCTGCCTCCCAGGTTCAAGCGATTCTCCTGCCTCAGCCTGCCAAGTAGCTGGGATTACAGGCACGCTCCACCACGCCCGACTAATATTTTTTTAGTAGAGATGGGGTTTCACCATGTTTGCCAGGCTGGTTTTGAACTCCTGACCTCAAGTGGTCTGCTCGCTTCAGAGTCCCAAAGTGCTGGGATCACAGGAACGAGCCACTGCGCCTGGCCAAAACTACATATTGTTAACTGTAGTCATCCTACAGTGGTTTACAACATGAAAGAAAACCAAGTATTAATTGTGCAGGAAATTCATTGAAGAAAATGCCTGTGAAGGGAAATGGGGAGGGAGCAGGGAGAGATTTCAGACCGTAATGCAGGTCTGACACCTCTGAAAGCAGAGTGGGAAGGAAGAGAGATAGTTAGAAAGAGAAAGGCTTCAGCACAACTCTGAGAATGTATCAGCCAGCCGTAATAGTTCCTAAGGCAACTCTCTCTGTTGGACAACTCCCAGTTGGGTTAGAATCACCTAATTCCATTACTTCCGCTGTGCCCAGTCACTGGCTGGGAAGATCCCCAGGGAAGTGCAGCCTAGCATGAACACCTCGGTGGGTCAAAAGGTACAGCAGCTAGAGGTTGTCAGTTAGCTCTGCTTCCAGAGCAGTTCACCTTGAAGGAAGATTTGAGCACAGAACTTCCATGACTGAGAGCTTCTGGTGCACTTTACAGCAGAGGAATTTGTGAGGCAGGTTCACTGTTCACTGGCTACCAACTTGTCCAGTGAGACAGAACACTCCCACACAACAAGTTACATGAGGTAGGTTTATTACTTACAGATAGGCAGCAAGAGATGGTAGAAGCCTAGGATTCATTGTGAGCTATTCCTCCAAGTCCCCGGAAACCTGCTGAGGGTAAGTAGAGTCATATCTGTGCATGCCTCACTTACACAGAAGCTCAGATACCCCAGAAAGCAGCTGGTTCTGTGTTTTATACCCCAGGATGTGTGATTTGCTGGGCTAAAGTGTTTAAGACATTTTGTTTCTAGGGGTGGACTGGAACAGAGGTTGGGTCGTTCTGGCCAGTCCCTCTCTATCTCAAGATGTTGCATTTCTAGCACATTCTTCAGTTATTCTTAAGAACCATGAGTTGGGGAAAGAGGGAAGAACTGGGTAGGCCCAAGGCCACCCAGTGAACTGTCTAGCAGCATTTTGCATTTTGTAAAAGCACATTAACAATGGTTTTGAGAAGCTGAAGTCTGTGGACTGATTCTCCCTGTAAATACAGGCCT
Organism: Homo sapiens; assembly: GCF_000001405.40. NCBI lineage: Eukaryota > Metazoa > Chordata > Mammalia > Primates > Hominidae > Homo > Homo sapiens. The sequence continues at coordinate 18,198,715 of NC_000016.10, read as the reverse complement.
GCTTTACTAGCACCTGCACTTTCTGGTTCTTATGCCCCCTCAAAAGTGTGCTGAGTCGTTTGAACAGAAGGAGACTGCCCCTCCAGCTCCCCACAATGGGAAATTGTCATCACTGCCACAAAATGAATAGAAGGACTTGGCCAAGTTCATCTTCCCTGGTTTACTGCCTGCACTTCATCCCATTTGGAAGAGAGAAGCAATAGCATTGAATGGTCTGGCTTTTTTTTTTTTTTTGTAATCATGGCTATACAGCAGGGTAATGAAGGTCAGAGATGGGGGCTTGAACCACCTGCCTGTGGTTTTGAGGTTTCCCCAAATACTCTATGGTTGTTAAGTTCCATAAGAAAGGGACTTGTTTTTCATTTTTATTTTCTTTCCAACTTTTATTTTAGGTTTGGGGGGTACGTGCGCAGATTTGTTTCATGGGTAAATTGCATGTTATGGGGCTTGGTGTCCAGATTATTTCATCACCCAGGTAATGAATGTAGTACCTGGTAAGTAGTTTTTCAATCCTCACCCTCCTCCCATCCTCTACCTTCAAGTAGGACCCAGTGTCTATTGTTCCCTTCTTTGTGTTCATGTGAAGTCAGTGTTTACCTCCTAAGTGAGAGCATGCAATATTTGGTTTTCTGTTCCTGTGTTAATTTGCTTAAGATAATGGCCTCCAGCTCCATCCATGTTGCTGCAAAGGTCATGATTTCATTCTTTTTTATGGCTGCATAGTATATTCCATGGTGTATATGTACCATATTTTCTTTATCTAGTCTGCAATTGATGGGCATCTAGGTTGATTCCCTGTCTTTGCTATTGTAAATAGTGCTGCAATGAACATATGTGTGCATGCATCTTTAAGGTAGAATGATTATTCTTTTGGGATTTATACCCATGATGGGATTGCTGGATTCAACCTTAGTTCTATTTTAAGTTATTTGAGAAATTTCCAAACTGCTTTCCACAGTGACTGGACTAATATACATTCCCATCAACAGTGTATAAGCATTAAAGGGACTTAACTGCTGAATAGTCTTCACCCAACTCAAAGCCTGGCTCTCAGTAGATACTCAATATATTGCTTATACAATTAAAGGAATGGTTAAAAGGAAGGAAGATGTATGCAGAATCTGTGTACTGCTAAGTGAGCAAACATTTGCTGAGGGTCTGTTGAATTTGGTCCTGCTCAACATTGAACTTGCCCACTTCTCACCACCATTAAGGCCCCAGAAAATTTGTTTATCCACAGCCTTCTTCTTCTACCTTATTACCTTGTCATTTCTTTGAGACCTAATATCCATTCCTCCTGATCTCCAGCTCAACTCCCTAGAATCCATAGCTTCTAGAGTTTCGTTTATTTATTCCATTTTTATTTATTTGATTTATTCCACTTTCATTGAATATCAAGACCTCCAGGCATAGTTCCAGGCACCTGGTATGCAGCAACAAATATGATGTTCAGATAATCTCTTGCTGCATAAAAAAGAGCCTGATCCCACAGTGGCTGGAAACAAATATTTGGTATTATTGCTCATGACTCTGTGTTGATTGGGCTCACCTACGTGGTTCTCATTTCAAGTCCTATGCAGTTGTAGTCAGATAATGACTGGGGCTGGAGTCATCTGAAGGCTTGACTAGGCTGGCCATCCAAGATGGCTGAGACACATGGCTGGCATGATATTGGCTACTGGTTAGGAGCTCAGTTGGTGCTGTCGCCTGGAGCACTTTCACGTGGCCTTTCTATGTGGTTTGGGCTTCTCGTAGCATAGTGGTGTCTGAGTTCCAAAAGTGAGTATTTCAAGATATAGGAAGTAGCGCTTGATAGTCTTTTAAAACATGGACTGGAAAAGGGCACAGTATGATTTCCACCATATTCAATACATCAAAGCAATCATGGAGGTCATTAAAGTCAAGGGAGAGGGTGTAGATCCCAAGAGATTATTGTGTGTTTTTGTTTGTTTGTTTTTTGTATTTTTTTTGAGACGGAGTCTCCCTCTGTCACCCAGGCTGGAGTGCAGTGGTGTGATCTCGGCTGGCTGCAACCTCCGCCTCCTGGGTTCAAGTGATTCTCATGCCTCAGCCTCCAGAGCAGCTGGGACTACAGGTGCCCACCACCACATCAGCTAATTTTTGTATTTTTAGTGGAGACGGGGTTTCACTGTGTTGGCCAGGTGGGTCTGGAACTCCTGACCTCAGGTGATCTGCCCGCCTTGGCCTTCCAAATTGCTGAGATTACCGATGTGAGGCACCGTGCCTGGCCCTAAGAGATTGCTTTGATGTAAAAAATGTACAGCCATTTGAAAATGGCCACAGGTGGTCTCTGCTGTTAAGGACTTCAGAGTTGATAAAGAGATAGTGATGAAACCTATAGTAGGCTGAATCATGGCCACTCAAAGATATCAGGTTCTAGTCCGCGGAACCTGTATATGTTAAATTATAAGGAAAAGGAGTCTTTGCAGGTATGATTAAATTAAGGATGTTGAGATGGGGAGATTATTCTGGATTATCTAGGTGGGCCCTAAATTTGATTGCAAGTGTCTTATAAGAGAAAGGCGGAGAGATATTACACCCAGAAGACAAGAAGGTGATATCCAGACGGAGGCAGAGATTGGGGTGATGCCACTCCAAGCAAGTTAATGCTGGCAGCCACCAGAAGCTGGAAGAGGCAAGGAACAGACTGTCCCCTAGCACTTCTATAGGGAACGAGCCCTACTGACACCTTGATTTCAGTTTATTGCAACCGATTTCAGTCTTCTGACCTCCAGACCTGGGAGAGAAGAAATTCCTGTTGTTTGAAGCCATTTAGTTTGAGATCATTGTTACAAAAGTCTCAGGAAATGAATTCAAACCCAGACAATGACAAGCAAGGGTGGAGGTGATATGGAGGAAGCATATAGGAGGCACCTGAAGCCCAGCCCAGCGGGGAGAGAAGAGAGCAGGAATGCTTCTTTAAGCTCTGATGTTCAAATGAGAACACATGGACACACGGAGGGAAACGACACACACTGGGGACAGTTGGAGAGTGGGGGGTGAGGGGTGGGAGAGCATTAGGACAAATAGCTAATGCTTGTGGTGCTTAAAACCCAGATGATGGGTTGATAGGTGCAGCAAACCACCATGGCACATGTATACCTACGTAAGAAACCTACACATTCTGCACTTGTATCCCAGAACTTAAAAAAAAAAAATTCTGACGTTGATTCATCCCTAGGAAGTGTGGCATCATGGTGATGTTCATTCATCCCTAAGAAGTGTGGCATATGACAACATGTGGAACTTGAATCCATTAAACCTTTTTTTCTTTACAAATTACCCAGTCTCAGGCATGTCTTTATTAGCAGTGTGAGAATGGACTAATATAAATATTATGATGAATGAGGACATTCTCATATCTTCCACAAAACCATCATGGAAGACATTATCCATCATTTGGTTACATTTCCCTTATGTAAGGATCCAAGGGGATCTGGAGTACTGCTTTTCTGTTTGCGTCTCAACTCTGCCACATACTAGCTGGGTTTATAGGCTGCTGTGAGGTTTCAATGAGTAAATCAAAACCTGTAAACACTTGGTGCATGCATAGTAAGTACTTAAAACTGGTATTGTTATAATTTTCGGGATATGGTAAAGGATATTGTTTTTCTGGGGAAAGACACTAGGCCCATCATGGGGGTAATACCCTCGTGACCTCGTCTAAACCAAATTACCTCCTCCAAATGCCATTGCACTGGGGGCTAGGGCTTCAACGTGTGGATTTGGTGGAGAAAGACAAAGACATTCAGTCCATAACAATTTTCCTTGGATTTTTATGTATACGATCAAGTCACCTAGGAATGATGACTGTTTCATTTCTTCCTTTCTGGACATTTCCCCCCTGTCTAACTGCACTAGCTAGGATATCCAGGACAATGTGGAATGGAAGTGAGGCTTATGGGTATCAGTGCTATGATACCATCCACAGGGAGAAACCTTTGGCTTTGTATGAAAAGCTGATGGTTAGGGATATTGATATGGTTTGTCTGTGTCCCCACCCAAATCTCAACTTGAATTGTAGCTCCCATAATTCCCATGTGTCATGGGAGGGACCCAGTGGGAGGTAATTGAATCAAGATGGGGGGTCTTTTCCATGCTATTCTTGGCCAGTTGTCAGCCTGCCCAACATATTGTGAAACCGTGTCTCTACTAAAAATAATAAGCCCTCTCTTGCCTGCTGCCATGTAAGATGTGACTTTGCTACTCCTTTGCCTTCTGCCGTGATTGTGAGGCCTCCCTAGACATGTGGAATTGTGAGTCCATTTGTGAGTCCACCTCTTTTTCTTTATAAATTACCCAGTTTCAGGTATGTCTTTATTAGCAGTGTGAGAATGGACTACTTCAAATGTCATGATGAATGAGGACATTCTCATATCTTCTGCAAAACCATCATGGGAGACATTATCCATCATTTAGTTACATTTGCCTTATGTAAGGATCCAAGTGGAATTTTTTTTAATTCTATTCTAAGAAAAATCATTTCCTTTCCTGTGAACAGCTATACTTCCCTTTGTTAAATGATGATATTCATGTGTCCTTTATGTTTTCTTTTTCTTTTGCTCTGGCTATTAGGGAGCTAAAACCCAAGAGCACACGCAATCAAAATAACCATATTAAATGAGTTTTCTTATGTATTTGATAAACAAATAATTTTTCTTTTGGTTTCCCTTTGGGTGTACCTTTTATTGCAAGCTGTCTCAAGAAGTTTTTTTCACAGTAAATGGGGATAAAATTATTTTAAAAGAATAATACCTGACCTGATTATTACCTGGGTTTATTTCATTGACTGAATGGTGAGACTAATGAATGGACAAGAGCTTTATGAACTGTAAAATGCCATGTCTGTTATTAACTAGGGGAAGAACATGATTGTCCTTGACTTTAACCAATGTACCTTGTGTCTTCCTTAGTTGGCACTGATGGTTCTGAGTTAGGTAACCATGCTCCCTAAAGCCTCTGAGATTTCCCCTGAGCATCCTGGCCACTCAGTGCTTATTTTGCACCACTCTTGTGTGTCCAGGATGACTCCTTCAACTTTATCTTTCTTCTAGAAAGTTGCTATCCATTGTTTACATCCAGTGGCTCATGCATTCATAGACTGCAGCAGCATTTTCTAAGCACCAGCTGCTGGGTATGTATTGGTTACCTGCCCAGCAACCCTTTTCTCTTCTTCTTTGCTGAGACCATCCCATTTTCATTCATGCATCAGTTGGCAATATGCCCAGAGAAATGGAGCCCCTTCCTTCCTCATGCTCTTAGGCATGGAACTCAGTTGGCCCAAGCCAGGCATGCTCATCTTGTTTCTCTCACTGCTGACTGGTTTAGCCTTGGGCACATGACCTGGTTCTCAGTAGTGAGCTAGTAAGGATCAGAAAAACCGCAAAGCCATGACATTATTGAATTAACCTGTCTGGACCACCTACGCCTGGATTTTGTGTGGGAGATACAATAAATCTGGATTATAGGTTGGTGCAAAATTAATATTTAAATCACCTGTAGTTCAACTCTGTGTTGCTTGCAGTCAAGAGTATCCTTATCAGGCTGGGCACAGTGGCTCACGCCTGTAATCCCAGCATTTTGGGAGGCTGATACAGGCGGATCACCTGAGGTCAGGAGTTTGAGACTAGCTTGGCCAACATATAGTGAAACCCTGTCTCTACTAAAAATAAAAAATTAGCTAGGCGTGGTGACACGTACCTGTAATCCCAGCTACTCAGGAGGCTGAGGCAGGAGAATCGCTTGAACCTGGGAAGCGGAGGTTGCAGTGAACTAAGATCCCGCCACTGCACTCTAGCCTGGGTGACAGGGCGAGACTCCATCTCTTGCAAAAAAACAAAAAAAGTCCTAATCAACTGTTTTAGTTTGGATGCTCACTGAAGTAGACTCTGAGGCAAGGATTTGAGTGCCAATAGTTTATTAAGCTTGAGGAGGTGGGGGAAAGGGGACAGGCAAGGGAGGGAAGTGGCAAGAAAGATGCATTATCATGTCAGTTACCAGTGTGGGGAATCACAGTTTAATCTCTCTGGCGAACTCTGGAAAATGACACAGAGCAGGGATTTGCAAACTATTGGCCCATGGCAAACCTGTTCTGCCACCTGTTATTTCAATAAAATGTTCCTGGAATACAGTCACACCCTTTCATTTATGTATAGCCCATGGCAGCTTTTATACAACAGCAGCAGAGTTGAGCATCTGTGAGAGACAATATGACCGGCAAAACATAAAATATTTACTATATGACCCTTTTTCAAGAAGTTTGCCAACCCTAGTGTTGAGCATGTAGCTCAGAATCACCCCCTGGAGGAGTGAAGGAGCTGGGATATTTATACATCCCTCCAGTTAGTCACTGGTGAAGACCTAATGCAGGAGGTATGTTAATTCTCCAGGACTTCTGACCTGTCCTGTGCACAGGCATTGTGGGCCCTGGCCAAGCAAAGAGATGTAAATACCGATTGTTGGGATTTGTGCAAGTATGGACCCTACTGGTCCATACCAGTACACTAACAAAGATGGCCACATCAGTGCATCCAGAGATGGCTGAGAAGTGCACCTGTCCTCCAGGAACCCATAGTCTGAAGGCAAGGTTGGAAATGGCCAAACATTTTTATTTTTATTTTTTTTGAGATGGAATCTCACTCTGTCACCCAGGCTGGAGTGCAATGGAATGATCTCGGCTCCCTGCAACCTCCGCCTCCCAGGTTCAAGTGATTTTCCCTCCTCAGCCTCCCAAGTAGCTGGGATTACAGGGACCTGCCATCATGCCGGCTAATTTTTTGCATTTTTATAGAGATGGGGTTTCACCATGTTGGCCAGGCTGGTTTTGAACTCCTGATCTCAAGTGATCCACCCACTTCAGCCTCCCAAAGTGCTGGGATTACAGGTGTGAGCAATCGCACCTGGCCTTTATTTTTATTTTGTGAGACAGGGTCTCACTCTGTTGCCCAGGCTGGAGTACAGTGGCACAGTCATAGCTCACTGCAGCCTCAAAATCCTGGGCTCAAGTGATCCTCCCACTTCAGCCTCCCATGTAGCTGGAACCACAGGCCTGTAGCATCCTACTTAGCTAATTTAAAAAAACAAACAAAAAAAAAACAAAAAAAAATAAAGTGTGTAGAGACAGAGTCTCACTGTGTTGCCCAGGCTGGTCTCAAACTCTTGGGCTGAAGCATTCCTCCTGTCCCCGCCTCTCAAAGTGCTTGGGATTACAGGTGTGAGTCACTGTGCCCTGCTCAAACATTTTATAATTAAGTAGAATAACCGACATGTCAGCTGGGGTCCCCTGAATCCTCAAAGATCTAGGTAAGATCTTCTATGCAGGCTACTTCCTGCTAATCTGGGGAGGGCGACCTTCTCAAGGTCGTATCTGCCTCTGGCCCTGGTGCCCCCAACCCACGCTGGCTCTGCTTTTTCCCCTACAGGAGCTTAAGTGCAGAACTTTGCGTCTCCCATTGCCTGCAGGAAACCTACTCAGCTATTGAGTTCATAGGGCTTCACTGAAGACTGGGGGATTCTGGAGGGGATGATTTTCTGGCACATTCAGGCTTCTAGAACCCTCTATTCTTTCCCCAGCTCTGCTTCTCATTTTTTTTCTTGTCTGGCTCCAAAACCTTACTCCTTTTATTGAGCACATTATTTCTCTCCAGTTCCCACCTCTGAATTTCCTTTCCTGAATGCTTCTAGGGCCTCAGCAGAACAAGGAACGCCTCATTGATGACGTTAAAAAACAACAACAACAAAACAACCCAAGACACAAGACACAGACAAAACTTTTTTTTTTTTTTTTTTTTTTTGGTATTCTCCAGACAAAACGTTTGCAGCATGAGATGAGGCCCCCTTTGGAAACATCTCCCCACATTCTGTGATTCTGCCAAGTCCTCTAAATTTTGTCTCCTCCTTCATCCACCAGGTGGATTTCAGGACTCCTACTGTCAGAGGCTTGGAATAAACCTCTTGCATGCTTTGCTTCTGTTTTGCTTTCTTTCTTTCTTTTTTTCTGAGATGGAGTTTTGTTCTTGTTGCCCAGGCTGGAGTGCAATGGCGTGATCTCGGCTCACCACAACCTCCATCTCCCAGGTTCAAGTGATTCTCCTGCTTCAGCCTCCAGAGTAGCTGGGAAGCTGGGATTACAGGCATGCGTCGCCACGCCCATCTAATTCTGTATTTTTAGTAGAGATGGGGTTTCTCCATGTTGGTCAGGCTGGTCTCAAACTCCTGACTTCAGGTAATCTACTCGCCTAGGCCTCCCAAAGTGCTGGGGATTACAGGCATGAGCTATCGCATCCGGCCCTGTTTGGCTTTCTAAAATAGACTGTGTGTCTCACCCAGCATGACGTTAGATCTGTTTAGCATGACAGCATTCCATTGAGTCAACTCCTTGGACATACTATATGTTTTGTTTCCCTGGTAGCTAATTAAATAAGACAACTAAGTGCAGTCTAGAAAGTTCCTCTCATAACAAAGTTCCCAAGAATTTACATCTTTGCTTTACTTACTTACTTTTTCGTGGTAGTTGAAGTTCAAGTGGAAACTGATTATAAAGGAGAAACCTAAATCAAGTTAGGTGAATTCTGCAGTATGAACTGTGCTTGGAAAATCTAACTGGTAACGTATCCACATTGGGAACTTGGTCCTTCCTCTCACAAAGAAAATTCCAGGTCAATTTCATCCCCTATGCTAAGCATTTGAGTGTTCAGGAATGTGATTTTAGTTTTATAAAAATTGTTCTTTTTAAAATTCCTGTCAAATAATCAGATTTTTTTCTCAGCACATTTAGAAGTAAAAATGGAAAGTTTAGAGCATTTTGATATTTTAGTATTTATTTCCATGAAGTCACTTAACCCTCCCAGACTAGTTTCAGAGTTTTGTCTTCCAACCCATCTTTGTGTCTCACTGTACATTTTCTGCATGTACAATGAGAGGTGATTTTTAATTGGAATCCCTTAGATTTTTAGAGAGAAAGCTCTCCTCCTTTATTCTTCTTCCTCTCCTCTCACTGTCTCTCATTTTAATCCAGAGAATCAAAGTGTCTCTTACAGGCTTGGATATCAAGCTGAACTGTTAAAAACAGTGGGGTCCAGGAACCTGAGTTTAAAACAAGCACCTCTGATTGTCTAAGTGGACTTAGAGAAAGACAAATGCTGTGTGATCTCACTTATTTGTGGAATTTAAAAACGTTGAACTCATACAAAAAGAGTAGAATTAGCTAAGTGAACTAATTCAGACAGAGAAAGACAAATGCTGTGTGATCTCACTTATCTGTGGAATCTGAAAATGTTGAACTCAGAGGAAAAGAGAGTCGAATTAGAATGGTTGCCAGGGGCTAGGAGGAAATGTTGCTCAAAGGGTACAGACTTTCGGTGATAAGATGAATAAGTTCTGGGCATCTCATATTTGGCACGGTAACTATGGTTAACAATACCATATTGCTTACTTGAAATTTGTTAAGAGAGCAGCTCTTAAAATTTTTTTTTTACTTTTTGTGGGTATATAATAAATGTATATATTTACGGGTACATGAGATGTTCTGATACAGGTATGTGGTGTGTAATAATCACATCATGAAGAATGGGGTATCTATACCCTCAAATATTTATCCTTTGTGTTACAAGCAATCCAAATACACTCTTTCAGTTATTTTAAAATGTACAATTAGGCCAGGCGTGGTGGCTCACGCCTGTAATCCTCACACTTTGGGAGGCCGAAGCAGGTGGATCACGAGGTCTAGAGTTTGAGACCATCCCGGCCAACATGATGAAACCCCGTCTCTACTAAAAATACAAAAAATGAGCCAGGCATGGTGGCATATGCCTGTAGTCCCAGCTACTCGGGAGGCTGAGGCAGGAGAATTGCTTGAACCCAGGAGGCAGAGGTTGCAGTGAGCCCAGATCGCGCCACTGTACTCCAGCCTGGTGACAGACCAAGGCTCTGTCTCAAAAAAAAAAAAAAAAAAAAAAAGTGCAATTAAATTATTGACTATAGTCACTCTGTTGTGCTATCAAGTAGTAGGTCTTTTTTTTTTTTTTGGAGTGAAGATCTCATTTCTGTTACCCAGGCTAGAGTGCAGTGGCATGATGACAGCTCACTGCAGCCTCGACTTCCTGGGCTCAAGTGATCCTCCCACTTCAGCCTCCTGAGTAGCTGGGACTACAGGTGTGCCCCACAATGCCTGGCTATTTTTTGTATTTTTAGTAGAGATGGGGTATTGCCATGTTGCCCGGCTAGTCTTGAAATCCTGGCCTTAAGCGATCTGTCCGCCTTGGCCTCCTAAAGAGCTGGGCTTACAGGTGTGAGCCACCACACCTGACCAAGTAGTAAGTGTTACTCATTCTTTGTAACTATTTTTCTTGTACCCATTAACCATCCCTACATTCCCCAGCCCACTACCCTTCCCAGGCTCTGGTAATCACCATCCTTTCACTAAGAGACCAGATCTTAGGTGTTCTCATCACATAAACATCCAAAGACAACTATGGGAGGTAATGAATAGGGTAATTAGCTGGTTCATGGTGATCATTTCACAATTTGTGTATACATATATCTCCAAAGATCACATTGTACACTGTAAATGTATTCCATTTTTATTTGTCAATTTTACCCCTCTAAAGCTGGGAAAATGAAATAAAATAAGCATCCTGGGCAGGACTGGCTGCATAGTTTTCAGGGCCCAGCACAAAACGAAAATGTGGGGATTCTTGTTATGAAAATTATAGGAATTCTGGCTGGGTGCAGGGGCTCACACCTGTAATCCCAATACTTTTGGAGGCTGAGGCTGGGGAGTTGCTTTGAGTCCAGGAGTTTGAGACCAGCCTGGGCAACATGGCAAAACTGCATCTCTACAAAAAAAAAAATGAATAAATTAAAAAAAAAATAAATAAATAAATCAGCCGGGAATGGTGGTATACATCTGTGGTCCTAGTTACTCGGGAGGCTAAGGCAGGAGGACCGCTTGAGCCTAGGAGGTTGAGGCTGCAGTGAGCCATGTTCATGCCACTGCATTGTAGCCTGGGTGACAGAGAAAGACCTTGTCTCAAAAAAAAAAAAAAAAAAAAATTATAGGAATTTCAAAATGCCAGCATCACAGTGGGGTCGTCTAATTATGGGGCCTTGTGCAGTTACCCCAGGCAGCATAGCAGGAAGCCTGGAAGAGCTTTGCTGCAGGATTCAGATCCCAGACCATGGTGCCCATGAGTTTCAAGATCTTGTAACATGAAGGCGTGTCTTCAACAGACTCTCTCCAAAGAAATCCTCTCTTGCTCTTGGCCCTTCTTTGTGCCTGAAAAGCGTGAGAAGAGGGTGTAAGCAGGACAGAACCACTTTTATTTTTATTTATATATATTTTTTGAGATGGAGTCTCGCTCTGTCGCCCAGGCTGGAGTGCAGTGGCGCCATCTCGGCTCACTGCAAGCTCCGCCTCCCGGGGTCACGCCATTCTCCTGCCTCAGCCTCCCCCGAGTACCTGGGACTACAGGCGCCCACCACCACGCCCCGCTGATTTTTTTTTTTTTTTTTTGTATTTTTACTAGAGACGGGGTTTCACCGTGTTAGCCAGGGTGGTCTCCGTCTCCTGACCTCGTGATCCGCCCGCTTTGGCCTCCGAAAGTGCTGGGATTATAGTCGTGAGCCACTGTGCCCGGCCAGAACCACTTTTCAAAGATTTTGTTTGAAAATCTGCCTTTTGATTTTGTACTTGATTTTGGAATTCTTTATTATTATTATTATTTTTTGAAACGAAGTCTGGCTCTGTCACCCAGGCTGGAGTGCAGTGGCGTGATCTCTGCTCACTGCAAGCTCCGCCTCCCGGGTTCACGCCATCCTCCTGCCTCAGCCTCCCAAGTAGCTGGGACTACAGGCGCCCGCTACCACGCCCGGCAAATTTTTTGTATATTTAGTAGAGACGGGGTTTCACCGTGTTAACCAGGATGGTCTCGACCTCTTGACCTCGTGATCCGCCCGCCTAGGCCTCGCAAAGTGCTGGGATTACAGTCGTGAGCCACCGCGCCGGGCCTGGAATTCTTGATGCTTTAAACAAAACTTAACATCTTGCCTGACATGTTTTTGTAGCCCAACAGGATAACTAAAACGCCAGCATTAAAACTCAGTCCCTGGCAAGATGTTGTCTGTGATCTCCTTCATCTTCACGACAAGATCATCTAGGGTTGTATGCTGAGGTTAGCAGCAGAGTCTCAGTGGAGTCGACCCTGCAGGTGGGAAGCCACACTTGGAATTCCTCCATCGTGCTTAGTTCACCTTGAGGACTAGGTAGCTATCTAATGGCAGAATGGTTTCAAAACCCAAGTATCTGTGAAGAGCTTTCTCTTTTGTGAATTCTTCGGTCCAGCTCAGTGACTTCCAACTGTTCGAGGGGCATAGTTATGACTTAAAATGATTACATACACAAGTACATGCGCACTCTATAAATTATGGTTGATTTAAAGGAATCTCAGGAGTAATTTTGACCACAAATAATTTTTCCTCTTCTGTACTAACTATGGAAATGAAATGTTTGTGTAATATATGATTTCATTTTGCCAGAATATATGAATACTTCTGTGAAAGTGTCCTGAAATAAATGAAATGCTGTCTCTGCAAAAAAAAAAAACCTAAAAAACAAAAACAGTTCTTTGGCTGTGACATGGACATGAATAAAAAGGTTATAACTAGCATCAAATTCAAGCATTTGGTTTTATTGCTTATGTGAACACAGCATGGAACATCTTTTGATTCACGTTTTCCCCATTCTTAGTCGTGTTATCTGTTCGTGACTATGCAAGTGGTTTTGTCTCTCAGGGACATTTGGTCATGTCTGGAGACATTTTCAGTTGTCACAACTGGGGATGAGGAAATGGTGCTACTGGCATCTGGTGCGTAGACTTCAGGGATGCCAGTAAACATCCTGCAGTGGGCGGAATAGCCCTGCACGGTAGAGAATGATCCACTCTAGATGGTGTCAGTGCCCTCTAAACATTACGTCCTGGGCTGTACCCACTCTTTGGATGTGAAAATGGAGGCCTAGGGAGGCTAAGCACTTATTTATTATTTCTTTGTAGTTAAAAAAAAGTCCATCTTGTTCCAGGAAGGAACAATTTACTTTCTAAACATGAGGCATAAAACAGAAATAACTAGGAAATCGGTGGAAATGTGTTTTCATGGGGACCGTGTAGACTGAGGACAAATTTTCAGGCTTCTATTTGTCCGGTGAGGTTAGTGCTTGTGCGCTGGGCCAAGTCAACATCCTCTTAGCGGTGTCTTGTCTCCTTCCTGATTTAGAAAAGGCAAACCCACCTGCTGTCATGAAAAATACCTTCTAGAAGCTACCGGGTAATTGGGTGATATTTCTGGATTTGTCTCCCTGTCTAATGTACATCAGTTAAACTTTTGACTCTTCAGTGCCTTCTGGAGAAAGTAATAATCGGAAACTAAATCGACTTGGTTTTTTCTCTCCCCCTTTGCCCCGTATTTGTAAAGATTAATCTTCAGTATCTATGAGTGCTGGGTGATTTGCGGAAACTGCAGCTGCTTTGTCAATATCAGCTTGGCCTCCATTGATCAAACCCTCATTTAGGCGTTCACTGCCGTCTGCTGGAAACAGCCCAGGGATGAGGAGGGAAGGGAAAAGGCCACTTCGGGAGGCCACCTTGCCTTGGAGTTTCCGTCGTTTTCCGAGGTGAGCTTGGATGTCACTGCTCAGCACAGTTGATTAAAGAGGTTGGTGCTGTGAGTGAGTCACTGTGTGGGAATCAATCCCGATGGTGGCAGATATGAATAAAGCGTCGGTGTAACTGTCCTGGCTGGATTGTTTTTCTCCGTCTCACCATACTGTTTTCCCTCTGCACGTGTCTGTGACCTCCGGCGGGCTTGCAGATAAAAGTGATGCATCTTCATTTTGTCGGAGGAGTTAATTTTGTGTGTATTCCAAGGTAAGATGATACTCACGGTGCTTATATCTTGGGCACCCACTGTGCATTGGACACTTTCCATAAATTAACTCAAATTTTTCTTAGCAGCTTGCTATGGCTCTTCACTGTTTCTCCAATTCGATTTACAAAACCTTGATTTCAGTGGGATCCCTGTTTGCTCTTGCAAACTCTTCACTCACCACCTGCTTTTTGCCCACTCCACTTCAGCTGCCCTGAACTTTGTGTTGCTGGAATTGACTTTGCTCACTCACACCTCTGGTCCTTTGCACATGCTGTGCCCTGGGCTTAGTACATTTCACTTTCATCCTCTTAACCTCGTTCATATCTTGCTTGGGACAACAGATACGGCTGTAAGTATCAGAAAACTCTATTATCATGGCTTGAAGGTGCAAGGGTTTATTTGGCTTACACAATAAGCTAAACAGTAGGCAAGCCATGTTGGTAGAGTGAATCAAAGAGACCATCAGAAACCCCCACTTTTTTCATTTTCTTGCTCTGCTGTGCAATTTCTATCCTCATGGTTACAAAATAGCTGCTTCATCTCCAGGCATCACGTCAGCAGGCATAGAAGCCAAGGGAGGGCAGCAAGGCAGAAAACTAAAGGTGCGCTCTCCCTTCTTTTCACTGGTCACAACTACGTCAGATGGCCAGCCCTAGCTGCAAGAGATGCTAGTGAAAGATGATTTTTAGCTGGATACATTGTTGCCCTCAGCAAAATAAAGATGCATTTTTCTTATTAGCAGAATCCTAACAATTAAGATTCAGTGCTCAGTTTTGATGCCACTCAGCTGAGTGGTCCTCCCTGAATCCCTGTGACAGAGTTGGGACACACAGGTATTAGGCAATCTCATAGATGGCATTGGAGTTACATGAAATTGTGGTCTTGTTTCCCTATCTGGATTGAAAGCTCCATGAGGAGGACTTGGTCTACCTTTCACACAGTTGTATCTCTACTACCTACATAGTTCCAGATATATAGTAGATGCTCAATAAGTAATAAATGAAGGAGTTACATGAAATTGTGGTCATGTTTCCCTATCTGGATTGAAAGCTCCATGAGAAGGAGGACTTGGTCTGTCTTTCACACAGTTGTATCTCTAGTACCTACATATATAGTAGTTCTAGATATATAGTAGATGCTCAATAAATACTTAATAAATGAAAAATAGCTACTATTTTGCCCCTTTGTAGTTGACACCTAGAGCTTTAGGGAGATAAGATAACTTGCCCTAAGTAACACATGTACTCCTTAATTCCTCCATTCAGTAATGTTTATAGTGCACCTTCTATGAGCCAGGTCTTGTTTCAGACACTTGGGATACATCAGTGAACAAAGCAGATAAAACGACTGCCTTTGAGACCATTATCCCTAATATTTTATTACAAAAAATTTCACACATACAGCAGAGTTAAACCAATTTCATAGGGAACACGTGTTCAGTTACTACCTAGGTTCTACCAGTCACTGGGGCACATTGATACCAGTGGGGGAAGGCACACAGTAAACCGGAAACAAAACAAGTAAATTACATGGCATTGTAGAAGGTGGCAACTGCTATGAGAAATACAGAGAAGGTAACGGGGTGTAGGGCGTGCAGTTCGGGGTGGTGGTGGTGGCCAGGCTTGGCCTCATTGAGATGGCGACAGTTATGCAAAGACTTGAAGGACATGAGGGAGCAGTGTTGATATTGGAGGGCAAAGCAGTTCTAGGTGGAGGCAACAGCCAGTGCAAAGGTCCTGAGGTGGGAATCTCTGTTCCAGGAGGGGCAAGGTGGAATGTGTGGTTGGAGGAGGAGCGTTGATGGTGGCTGGGTTAGTAGAGGAGGAGGAGTTTGGGGAAAAAGATCAAGGGAACTCAGCTTTGGACAGGCTATGCTTGAACAACTCAGGGGCAGAGCTGGGATTTAGATCCCAGACCTCACAACCTTCCTGTATTAGGGTTCTCTAGAGAAATAGAACCAGTAGGATATATATGTCTGTTTATTATATGGATTGGTGTATGCAGTTATGGAGGCTAGGTTCCATGCTCTGCCATCTGCAAGGTGGGGTATGAGGAAAGCCAATGACATTAAGTCCCAGGGTAAGTCTGAAGGCCCAAGAACCAGGAGCTCTGATCTCCAAGGTCAGGAGAAGGTGAATGTCCCAGCTCAAATAGAAAATGTACACTTCCTTTGCTTTTCGTTCTGTTTGGGCTCTCAACAGATGGGATGATGTCTGCCCACATGGGTGAGGGTGGTCTTCTTTTTTTCTTTTTTTGAGACGGAGTCTTGCAGTGTTGCCCAGGCCCGAGTGCGGTGGCATGATCTCGGCTCACTGCAAGCTCCGCCTCCCAGGTTCACGCCATTCTCCTGCCTCAGCCTCCCGAGTAGCTGGGACTACAGGTGCCTGCCACCACGCCCAGCTAATTTTTTGTATTTTTAGTAGAGATGGGGTTTCGCCATGTTAGCCAGGATGGTCTCGATCTCCTGACCTCGTGATCGGCCCACCTTGGCCTCCCAAAGTGCTGGGATTACAGGCGTGAGCCACCGCACCTGGCTGAGGGTAGTCTTCTTTACTCAGTCTACAGATTCTAATGCTAATCTCTTCCAGAAATGCCCTCATAGACACACACACCCGGATGTAATGTTTTACCAGCTATCTGGGCATCCTTTAGCTCAGTCAAGTTGACACATGAAATTAACCGTCACACTTTACCATTTTGCCACATCTGTCCCCCAGTCATTCAAAGACACTGTGACCAGCTGGCCAGGTGGCAAGAAGTCCTAGGGCACAAGCCTGAAGCCTTCGGGAGAAACTTCAGCTTTACAGGGGGCAGAATGTTTGGTAACTATTTAGATTTAAAGCAGAAGCACTTTGGATTGAGCAATTTCATATGTGACAACTGTCTTTGCCACAAGCAACAGCAGAGACCTGCAGATGAGAACACCTTTATGAAGAGCAAGACCATGCTTTGAAGTTGGGCAGAGATCTTGGTTCAAATCCTGGCTCTGCCGCTTGTTAGCTAAGTCACTTCAGGTAAGCGATTTAACTTCTTTGGGCCTTGCTTTCTTGATCTGTCAAGTGGAGGTTCATAATAGTATCACCCCTTGAGGGCAGATAAACTGATGTATGTTTATGCATACATAAACTGATGTATGTGATGTAATTTAGCACGGTGCTGGTCCACAGGTGAATGGAGATGATTTTTGACTTTCTGTCTCGCAGAAAGTCTGTACCTCCCCAAGGACATCTCATGCCCACAGCAGCCCAGCAGTGAGTCCTCACCAACCCAGACTGACTTTCCAGCCTCATATCCTCAAAGGATCTGACATTTTCCAGCCACCAACCTTGGTTTGCACTATGCCCTTCATCAAAAATGTCTTTGCTTCTCTTTGATGCCTGGGTATCTATTCCTTTAGAACCCATTTCAAATTTCTCCTCCTTAAAGATGCCGTTGGTCACTGTTCCAATCTGTAGGATACTCTGTTTTGCCCAGATCCCTTTTGCACTGCCTTCTGGGACTCAGATACAGAGGGGGCAAAACATCCCGGAAGGGGTGGGGCCCATGGACTGCTCTTGGAGTGGGGACAGAGATCACCACGAGATGGCGCTATTGAGCCATCACTGTCAACTGGTTTTTCTCTGTTTTCATTTTCTTACTTGATGAGAAATGTGTGATTTCCAAATAGTCCCAGAAGGAATACAACTGTGACTGTGTCCCACCACTAAAAAGGTGGTTTTGCATATCTCTGATCGTCCTATCACATCGCCCACTGTTAAAAATTCCATCCCCACACGCAGGGGATTTAGAAGGAGAATATCACACACTTGCTACCACCCCCAATCCATGCAAATACCTTGGTACTTGCTATAGACACTTGGTACACAAATACTGCCTCAGTCTTTTATTAAATTATATTTTATATATTGCATCAGAGTATTAAGCCCTTAAGGGTAGGACCTGGGGTCCATGCCAACTTACTAGAACGGTGTCGACTTCTCTAGGATATGGAATCCACACAGCTCCTTGGAAAGCTGGAAAATGCAGTTTTGAAGCAACCCTGCTTCATTTCCACACCAATGGAAAGGAAAGTGATAAATCCTTTATGGCCAAGAGTCCGTTCTGTTTATTTCTTCCTGGAAATGCTATTGATGGTGGCTGGGGAAGTTGTTTGTTTTTTAATCTTTCCCTTGGCAAGGTCTCCTTACTCATAGCCCTTCCTTATGTTCCCCAAATGGTGCAGGGGGCAGTGTTCAGAAGCCCAGTATGCAGGTCTTGCACAGAGGAGAATTATGGCTTAAAGAAACTTGGCTAAGTGTGGTGGCTCACACCTGTAATCCCAGCACTTTGGGTAGGTCAAGGCAGGCCAGATCGCTTGAGTCCAGGAGTCTGAGACCAGCCTGGGCAACCTGATGAGACCCCATCTCTACAAAAAATTAGCCAGGGATGGTGGTGCATGCCTGTAGTCCCAGCTACTCGGGAGGCTGAAATGGGAAAATTGCCTGAGTCCGAAAGGTGGATACTAAAGTGAGCCGAGATTGTGCCACTGTACTCCAGTCTAGGTGATAGGGTGAGACCCTGTCTCAAAAAAACAAAACAAAATAAAAACCAACAACAGAAAAAGAAACTTGGGTGGGATCATGTGTCCAGGCCTCAGCACTGTTGTCCCTTACTCTAACTCCTGCAGAGAGGTCCTTGAACAGACGTAAGCGGACACACCTTGAAGTCAAGGTGCTCTTTGCAAAGCAACACAATGTTATTGACATATTCCATTTGAATAACCAAATTTTGTAGTTGATTGTGCACTAAGGTGGATACGCATTACATTATGTTCTTATGTAGGGAAGTAGAAGTTAGTGCCGAGATTTAAAGAAAAATCAGTGGGGAAAATAACAGTTGAATCTTATTTGTTTAAAAACTTAGGACTTATTTATTCTTCTGTCCACCCATTCATATATACATTTAACAAAAGTATTTGAAATTAGTTTTATATTGCTATTTATTTTAAAAATAGGTATTATACACGTATGGCTCAAAATTGGAAAGATACAAAAGAGTGTATAGTAAAAGGTAGTTTCCACTCCCATCCTTGTCCTAACCAGTTTGTTTCTTCACAGAAATGGCAACCACTATTGATAGTTTTCTATGTTCCCCTTGAGAAATATTCTATATTGTAAATGTATATTCATGTATTCATTTATTCACCCATCTATCCATTTATTCATCTACCCATCCATTTATTATCTAGCCACCTATCCATAGATGGATCCATTTATGCATCCATCAATTTATTCATCTATTTACCCATCCATCCATTCATCCATTTATCCATCCATCTATCTATTTACTTTCCATTAATCTATCCATTCTTTCATCCACTTATCCATCCATCTATCCATCCACTTTGCATTCATCTATCCATTCATTCATCCATCCATTCATCCATTTATCCATCTATTCATTTACTTACCCATTTATCCATCCATCTATCCATCCACACACACATCCATTTATCCATCCATCCATCTATTCACTCATCCATCCATTTATCCGTCTAATCCATTCATTAATCCATTTACCCATCTATGTCATTTTTTTCCAGGAAGAGGAAAAGGGCAGCCATTATTTGGTTTTAGATGGTAGACCAAATTTGTGCTACTGTTCCACTGGAAAAGAGATTTGGAACCACTCCTTGGCGTTAAGCCAGCCACTCCAAAGCTGTAGTGTTGCAATGTCATACATCTGTCAGGGAAGGCTGAACATTTTAAAAACAATTGGGTATGGCCATTCAGATTTTATTTTGGCCCAGCATAATGAGTTTGTGTTTGATTCTGAAGGAGAGGGAGATTTGTAATAAATCAGCAAGTGAAATTAAAAGTGAGCCAGTGAGGTGCCATAAAAGGGTGGTTGGAATCAGACATTCTCAAATCCATATCCTATCCCCACCCATGTTAAAAGCTATATAGGAGGTTATTTAACTTCTTGGGAGTCTCAATTTTCCTCTTATGTTCTGAGATGGGGATAATTGTATTTTTCTTTGCAGGTTAAAGGCTAACACAATGCTTGGATATAGTCAGTGCTCATGTGGTAACTGCCCTTAACATTATTAAGCCCACATAATTCTCTTCTTTTTTGTAAGCAGTTGAGATCTTTAGGTTGAAGATTCAATATACAATGTAACAGAGTCAGAGGGTGGGTGGCAAAAGGTACATACATACTGCAGGGCAGGGACTTGGAGTATGGAATGGAGAAATAGCAGAGGACATCTTCCAGCTGCAGTTGGGATGGGTGCTGAGCTACAAAGCTACTAGAGAAATAGGAAACTCAGGTCTCATCATTGCAGGGACCCTTGTTTCCTGCAAAGAATCCTTGGAGAAATCTCTCCCACTGTCTCTGGGCATTGTATTCAGAAATGTGTGGCCTGGATGATAGTCTTCCTGCTTTTGGCCTCACCCTCTATCCACTGTCCTCTGCTGAATCTTTCTAAAATGCTTGCTTAAAACTCCTTATCTCCTTCAGGAGAAAGTTAAATCCTTTACCACACAAGGCCATTACCTGGGGGCCCTTTCTAACTCCTCCCACCTCAATTTTGTCCTCTTTATGCAGGTATCTAAGTGTCATGATTTAGATGTCCTGGCATGCACTGTGCTCTTTTTCTGGAAGCCTCCTTTCTTTCTTCATCCAACTACCTCCTCTTCTTCCTTCGAGATTCAGCTGAGACTCTCTTGAGCAAATTTTCCAAGACTCCTTAAGGGGAAGGACCTGGTCCAAGTTGACTTGGTGTCTCCGTCATCAAGCACAATGCCTGGTTCACAATGGACTCTTCATGCATCTCTTTCTACAAGATGAGAAGGATCAGAGGGTGAGGATTGGAGCTGGGTGTCTTAAAAATCTGTGAGAGTGGAAGCTAAGCCAGTGATGTTTGCTTTGTAAGCTATTCTTGTGATATTACAATCCTTCAGAGTGGTGAGGTTGGTGGGAGTGGTAAAAACAAACAAACAAACAAACAAAACCTAGTTTCTTTGTCTTGGATTTTCCTGTGTCAGTTTATAGAGAGAGACTATCCATCATATTTTATTTTAGCTTAACCAAAGTCCTACTTTTTGTTGTTTCTTTTTTTCTTTGCTGGGATCTTAAAAGAGATTGAATAAAAATTCAGTTGTAGGAATGGCTTTACCTTCCTCTCTGGTCTTGTTGTTTTGTTTTTAGACTATGATATCACATGTCAAGACTATGATATCATATCAGGACTAGGATATCAAGTTTATAATAGAACAATAATTATGTATTATTTAAACTTATTTTCATCAAACTATAACTAATACACAATGGATTTTTTAATGGTATATACAGATATTTAAAATTTGAAATAATTTTAGATTTATAGAAAAGTTACAACGATACTATAGCAAGTTCCAAGAAATCCCTTCTCAGTTTCAGTTTTTCTTAAATTTTGTTGTTGTTGTTGAGACGGAATCTCGTTCGATCACCAGGCTGGAGTGTGGTGGCACGATCTCGGCTCACTGCAACCTCCACCTCCTTGGTTCTAGTAATTCTCCTGCCTCAGCCCCCTAAGTAGCTGGCACTACAGGCACACGTCACCTCACAGCTAATTTTTTTATTTTTAGTAGAGACGAGGTTTCACCATGTTGGTGGTCAAGACCACCAGGCTGGTCTTGAACTTCTGACCTCGTGATCTGCCCACCTCGGCCTCCCAAAGTGCTGGGATTACAGGTGTCAGCCATTGTGCCCAGCTTCTTTAATGTTAAAAAAATGTTAATGTCTTTGTCACAACTTTGGAAACTATTAATTGCATTCCAAATTTTATTTGAATTTCACCAGTTTTTCTACTAATGTCTTTTTCCTGTCCAGGATTCAATCCAGAGTTTCATGTTGCATTTATTCTCACGTCTCTGTAGTCTCTTCTGGTATGGAACAATTTCTCCATCTTTCCTTATTTTTCATGATCTTGATAGTTTTGAGGGGTACTGGTTAGGGATTTTGTAGAATTGGACTTGGTGATTAGAACCTAGGTCTGGCCGCCTACCCATCACAGTATCAGTAAAAGCCTCCCTTGAAATTGACCAATGGCATGAACATTTCAGATGAGTCTGCCATCTTTGGTGCTCCTGGGACACGAGAGAGACCTGTCTTGGAGACAGAGACCTCACAGACTCAGAGATTCAGGTGCTTTTTCTGGTAATGATTTTGTCTGCGGGCTGATCACAAAGGTGGATGAGACTTTGGCCAAAGCTAAGGCTGCAGGGTCTGGGCTAAAAAATTCCAGAAAAACTACCTTGCCATGGGAGGCTGAGTTCCAAATCGCAGCCCGCATGCAGCCTGCTTTACCAAATAATGAGGCACTGGGTGCTTTTTAAGGCAGCTGACCTTTGGAGCAAATTATCCAAGGAAATCTGATTAGCTAGTTCACTGGGTTCCTGCAAAATGGAGCTTGGTGTATTTCTGCAGCAGAAATGTCAGCATAATTGGAGTTTCTGGAGCTCAAAGAGCTTCTTTCTTATTGTTTCCATCCTTTGGAGGAAAAAAAAACACCCCAAACAAACAAAACCCAAACCCCCAAAGAATTGTTCTTTGACTTACATTCTTTGCTTTTGCACATGGTTCAGAAGCTGCTCCTGACTGTGTTTACGACTTTATTAATCAGGGGAACAGCCCGAACATCATTTAAACAAACAAGGCCAAAAAAAAAAAAAAAAAAATCCATCCCTAAACAGATGATGTGAGCTTAATAGAGATGGCCAAGCCAAAGACCTTAAATAAATAAACTGACTTTAATTTGTAGGAAGGAGCATGGGGTGGTCATTACTTGAGGCTGTGTGCCATGCGATGTAACCAAATTCAAAACTCGCTAATTTCATTATTTTAATGGAAGTCTGCCTCCCATTCATTAGGCTGACATATGACTAGCCATTAGTAACAGTCCATTTCCAAAGCTATGGTGGATAAAGGGTGATTGGAAATGAGCAAGGGCCAGGCCTGGTGGAGGCTGGCAATTTCAGAAGGGAACTGGTGGGTGGGATTTATGCAAGAGGCAGGGAACACAACTAGGAAAACTGTCAATGTGGATGGAGGCAGCAAACCATTGAGTCCAAATACAGGCTTGAGAGACCTGGGTTTGAATTCTGGTTCTGCCACATACTGGCTGTGTGACCTTGGGCAAGTTATACCCCCGCACTGAGCTTCAGTTTGCTCATCTGTGAGATGGGAGTAATCATAGTTCCTATCTCATAGGGTTGCTTGCGATGACTCAATGAGGCAAATTCTTAGGAGGCTCCAGTATAGGGCTTGGCAAAAGTAACCACTTAATAAATGGTAGCTATGATAACGTTGGCCAAAGTCCCCAGTATTTAGGGACTTGGAGATTTTGCTAATGAAGAAATGAAGGCTGATAGAAATAAAGTAAGGTATCCAAGTTTGCCCCGAACTTGGACTCAAATTTCTGATTCTTAATCCTATACTCTTAAAAAAAATCCTATACTCTTAATCCTATACTCTTAAAACCCGTATTTTCAAAATTGTTTCATTTCTTGAACAGGCCGGTCATTCATATGATTGAAAAATTTAAAAACAAGAGTATGCTAGAATAGTCAGTGAAAATTGTCCCTTCTGCCTGGAACATTTCCTTTTCACAGACAGCCATTGTTATGTGTTTCTTCTTTATCTTTGCAGAATTTCAGGTATGTACAAGCAAATACAAATGTATATGCACTTCTTTTTTTTTTATTACACAGTTCTGTATCCTGCCTTTTAAAACTTATATCCTGCTTATCTTTCTGTATCAGGGTATAGTGAGTTCTTTCATTCTTACTTATAATTATATGTTTTTCTATTATAATGGCTATATTATGTCTTATTTAATTATTTCTCTCTTGATGAACAATTGGGAAAGTTCTCATCTTTTGCTATTACAAACCACAATGCGATGAATAACATTGCATGTATGTCATTGTGTACAGGTGTACGTATATTCTAGGATAAATTTCCAAAAGTAGAATTGCTGAGTTACAGGGTGAATGCATTTCTGATTTTGACAGTGCTCAAAGGTCTGGGGGCACATAGAGATGGTGCTTTAGCAGTGAGCTTAGGCTGACAGCGGTTAAGAGAGACCTGCCTCAGGTTGCCAGTTAAAAAAGAAATCTGCATAATGTGTTGCTTAAAGAATGTGGTAAGGTGAAAGTTTGGAAATACTGGTGTCATTGGAAAGACAGAAATAAGACAGAGATTGTGTTGGGAAGAGAACATGGAATTTCGAGTAATTTCTGCCTGGGTTTGCATCTTGACCCTGCCACTCCTGGGTGCATGACCTTGGGCAGGTTGCTTCACATCTCTGAGCTCAGTATCCTCACCTGTAAAATAAAGACCATGATAACTTCCATTATAGGCTGCTGGAGGAAGTAAAGAAGAAAATATAAACAGCAGTTAGCATGATGCCTGGCACATGGTGTGCATTCAGGATATAACTGGGGCCTTTGGGTGAGTAACTAAGTTCATAATGACTCATAACTAGCTAACATTATTATATTATATATACTATACTGTATTAGTGGAAATAGCTAACATTTATTGAGTGTTTACTATGTGGCACGCACTGTGCTTACTGCCTCCCATGAAACATTCCACTTATCTCTCATAACAACTCTGTGAAGTATTCTTGCTCACCTCAGCTTACAGATGGGGAAACTGAAGCAGGACACTCAAGTACTTTGTCTGGTGAAACACTGAACAAACGACAGAGCTTATATTTGAACTGAAGCCACTTGTCTTGGAGGGCTCCTCTGATCCCACATCCTGTTCTTTTCTTTTTTTTTTTTTTTTGGAGATGGAGTTTTGCTCTTGTTGCCCAGTCTGGAGTACAGTGGCACAATCTCGGCTCACTGCAACCTCCCTCTCCCAGGTTCAAGCAGTTCTCCTGCCTCAGCCTCTGGAGTGGCCGGGATTACAGGCACCCACCACCATGCCTGGCTAATTTTTTGTATTTTTAGTAGAGATGGGGTTTCACCATGTTGGCCAGGTTGGTCTCAAATTCCTGACCACAGGTCATCCACCCACCTCAGCCTCCCAAAGTGCTGGGATTACAGGCGTGAGCCACTGCGCCCAGCCCATCCTGTTCTTTTGATCCACATATTATAGCATAAGAGGCTGACTTATTCTGAGACAAGGACATCATGGGTGGAGCCCCCTTCTCATCTCAGTGTGACCTAGTTCAGCTTCCCCATCTCTTAGGCAGATACCATTGGGTTCAGAAAGGTTCAAGGGCACTTTTTCTCCTCTTAGCTTAGTGCTTTCTCAAATAGTCCATGACTTATGACCTTATGACGATGCCGTGTGGTGAGTCTGAAATCAGATGAAGATTTTTATCCTGACATGATGAACACAAGCATTGCATAACCTGACTCTGGTTACCCAGGATCTATCCTCTGCTTGTGGTCACCACTGCTAGGATTTTGGAAGAACCCTCTAAAAACTAAGCTCTCTGAGGACCAGCATTTTTGTTTGGTTCACTATTGTGATGCCAATGATTAGAAGAATGCCTGGGCCCATAGGAGGGACTCATGTTCAATGCAGAGGTGGATAAATGAGAAAGAGACTGTTTGCCGCAGAATACTAAGAGATTTTATTGTTCTTGTCATAGGAACCAGGCAATATTCCAGACACACATGACATCAGTAACATCCATATGTCTGTGATGGGGTAGGAGAGAAGACTACTTTTCAGGTGGGACATTTTGATTGGAGAGGGTCTCTGATTCAGAGAGTGAGGTGAGCTATTTTCTTCTTGGGAGTTCTTGGCATTTGATAATCCTTGGTGTTTATTTCAAAATATGGAAGAATTTGAGATTTACTTAGACATCTTGGCATGCAGTGCTAAACCTCAGACTTCCTGAATTTATTTACCAGCTAGGGAAAGCATATTCCCAACTTTAATTTTATTTACAAAGGGCTCTAATCTGGTGTGAAGTCTGAAGGCATATTTGTTGTAGGAGTTACTCAATTAGCCAGTGAGAAAAGAACAAAGGAAAAGTCATTATGCAGATGTATGCCCATTCAAAGCTATTCCGCCTCTAGATGCTTTCTTCGTAGTGGATGGAAGACCTCCAGTCTGCAAGTCTCTCTTCTCTGCTGTGTTTTCTGCTAATTCTCTTCTAATATTAGGCCATGAATGATTAATAATATTGCATTTTGACACTGTTAGATTTTGTCAATTTTTTTCAATATAAAAGCAGATAATTACAGATTACTTTAACATCCAGGAAGTGAAATCAACCATGAATTACACTCAGACTCATCCACAACCCCTTGAATATATTTCTTTTTTTTTTCAATAGGAGATTGAAGTTTCTTTAGTCATTTACACAAGTCATGTCTGACAATTGAGAAAATGCTGTTCACATAAAACATCATAAATTAAAAATATACAGTGTTTGTATTTTAATACAATAGGGTCCCAGGATTCAAACAAAGAATTTTGATCTCAGAGGTTGCATTATGTAGTTATGTGTTCTGCTTTAAAGAACTATACTGGAGGTAAACTTGAAACTGCCTTTGCAGAAATTATAACTGAGGAAATTATGACAGTGAAAGAGATCAGACCTAACCAACTACACCTTGCATCTAATCTTAAAGCTATCCCTATTCATTCCTGGGCATAGGCCAAAATAACCTTGGGAAGGAATTTAGTTTACAGTTTGACTCTGAAACAAAATTGTTAATAGCCCTTTCCTGAAAAGACCTCCTTCTTGCCTGGTGACCAGTCTGCCTTTGTAGGACTAACAAATTGGCTACAAGATTGGAAATTATGGTTTAGGGGTCATGCAGCCCCTGACTCCAAGAGTCTGAACCTCCCCAGATTGCTCCTAGGGATAGCGTCATTATTGTAAAACTTAAGATCAGTGCTTGAGATATTTTGCAAACCCTGCACTCAGTGGATCAGCTGACACCACCCAGACTGGTAACTTGGCTCCCAGTTCTGCCATCCCACCCAGGAACAGAAGACCACAAGAAAACCTCACTTCGACCCCCTATGATACCATCTCCAACCTGACCAATCAGCACCACTTCCTGAGCCGCTACCCACCAAATTATCTCTAAAAACTCTGATCCCCAAATGCTCCAGGAAGGCTGATTTGAATAATAATAAAACTCAGGTCTCCCGCACACGTGGCTCCGTGTGAATTACTGTTTTTCCACTGCAGTTCCCCCATCTTGCTAAATTGGCTCTGTCTAGGCAGGGGGCCAGGTGAACCCACTGGATGGTATATTTCTCAAGAGTCAAATATTAATAGGTTTAACATGTAAGACTTACATATGTGTGTGTGTGTGTTTACATATACATATATTTCAATAGCTTTTGGGGTTCAAGTGGTTTTTGGTTACATGGATGAATTATAAATTATATAGTGGTAAAGTCTAAGATTTTAGTACCTGTCACCTGAGTAGTGTACACTGTACCCAATATGTAGTTTTTGTATCCTTCATTCCCTTTTCATCCTCTCCTCTTCTGAGTCTCCAGTGTCCATTATATCACTCTGTATGCCTTTATGTACCTATGGCTTAGTTCCCACTTATAAGTGAGCATATATGGTATTTGGTTTTCCATTCCTGAGTTATTTCACTTAGAATAATGGCCTCCAGCTCCATCCAAGTTGCTGCAATGACATTATTATATCATTATTTTTTCATGGCTGAGTAGTATTCCATGGTGTATATGTACCACACATTTTCTTTATCCACTCATTGGTCGATGGGCACTTAGGTTGGTTTCATATCTCGACAATTGTGAATCCTAAATTTTACATGCAAGGTTTTGCATCTGTAGAGGAAGACAGGATTCTCAGTGCATGTGCCAATTTTTGGGTTTTCCACTTGAGAATCTTCACCAGTTTTCTCTTCAGAATCAAATTCCTGACTATCTGGTGCTTCAGAGTTATCCAGAGGTTCATCATTCAGTCTCTGGGTTGCCTCTGTCATATACTGTACTCTGCCGCTTTTGCCAGTTGTTTACTCTCCTTTTCCAAGTGGTCAATTTCATTGTTCTTTCTTCAATTTCTCTGTGAAGCTTCTCATTTTCCTTAAGTGTTTCATAGAGGGTGTTCCTTTGTTCTGCTACTTCTCTCCAATATTGAGGGGATAAATTTCATTTAATCCTAAGATCAAATGCTTCTTGGGTGACTCCTCCAAGATTTTAATTGTCACTCTATTCTGGGACAATGACAACTCTAGAGTGGGAAGTCCTGGCTGTCAACTGGTCATTCCAATGCTTCCTCTTGGATATGCTTTGGGCCAGTCACTTTTTTTTTTTTTTTTTCCGACAAGAGATCTGGCTTGGAAGGATGAATCATCTTCAGAGTTCTTCTTGGGGAGAAACTGTTCTTTACATTCTCTTTGATTCCTCCTTGTTTCTACTTTATCCTAGGATTCATTATACAGCTGGTAAAGCACAAAAGATGGGAGGAGAGGATTAATGATCATAGTGAATTCAGGTGGCTGTGGCACAGCCAACCTACATTGATCCCCACTGTCGCTGGAGTGGCTGGGGCACACTGCTGAAAAGACTTACTCCTCTTGAACATACTCCTTTGAGTAGTTTTTGTATATGTAATTTTGCATATTTTTTTCATTTTTTTTATTATTATACTTTAAGTTTTAGGGTACACGTGCACAACGTGCAGGTTAGTTACGTATGTATACATGTGCCATGTTGGTGTGCTGCACCCATTAACTCGTCATTTAGCATTAGGTATACTTTTAATCGTAGTGCCATACAATTGTATTGCATTTTCCATTTATAGCATATTATAATTATTTTGACTTTTATTATGAAACTTTCAAACAGAAAAGTAGATAGTATAATAAAATAAAATAAAAAGTATATATATAACAAGTATGTCGGCTGGGTGTGGTGCCTCATGCCTTTAATCCCAGCACTTTGGGAGGCTGAGGCAGGCAGATCACTTGAAGTCAGGGGTTCGAGACCAGCCTGGTCAACATGGTGAAACGCTATCTCTACTAAAAATAAAAAAAATTAGCTGGGTTTGGTGGTGGGTGCCTGTAATCCCATCTACTCAAGAGGCTGAGGCAGGGGAATCACTTGAACCTGGGAGGTAGAGGTTGCAGTGAGCCAAGATCATGCCACTGCACTCCAGCCTGGGCAACAGAGCAAGACTCCATCTAAAAAAAATTATATATATAACAAGTATGTAAACAAAATACCTAAGTAAAAGGTAGAATAAAAAAAGATAGCATAATACACACCCATGTATTTATCGCTTAGAATTAACACTAATATTATATTTTCTTTGTGCATTTTTTTTCTTAAGTGGTTCAAAAGAAAGTACAGACATCATGATATTAAACCCTAAATCAGTGGCTCTCAACTGAGGGTGATTTTGACCCTTGTCCTCCGCAAGAGGACTTTTGGCACTGTCTGGAGACAATGTTGGTTGTCACAAAAGAAAGCATGCCTGCATCCCTGGTAGAGATCAGGGATGTTACTAAACATACTACAATGCACAGGACTGCCCCCTCCAAAACAAAGAATTATCTGGTTCTAAATGCCGGTAGTGCTGAGGTTGAAAACCTTTGGTCTAAATGATTAAGAATGTGTTTCTTAAAATGCAAAATTTCACATAACCACATAGCACCATCACTTCTAACAAAGAGAAAAATAACTCTTTAAAATTGTCTAATAACCAGTCCATGTTTCCCCACCATTCCCCTAAAATGTTTTTTACAGCTGGTTTTAGCAAACACTTTCCATTTTATTAGCACTGTTAATAGAATCTCATTCTAAATGACTACAGAATAGTCTGTTAAATGGATTCCCTGAAATGTAGTCAAAGGATCTATTTTTGGATATTAGTTTTGCTTCCAGGTTTTAGACAAATTATGTTTTTGTAAATAATGACAGTTTACTTCTTTTCTAACTTTGTGCCTTTTCTTTCTTTTATTTGCCTTATGTTCTGGCTAAAAACTTCAGTAAATACTGAACACAGCATATGAGAGTGGGCATCCTTTTGTTGTTCCAGATTTTAGGAGAAAAAGATTTAATATTTTATTAATTATGATATTAACTGTAGGTTTTTAAAGATGAACCTTATCATATTGGAGATGTTCCCATCTATTCCTAGTTTCACTGAGTGTTTTTATCATAAAGAAATAATGATTTCTGTCAAATTTTTTTTCTGTGTATTTTGAAATGATCAAATGGTTTTCCCTCTTACTCTGTTATAGTATGATGAATTATATTGATTGATTTTCATTAAACCAACCTTGCTTTCTTGGAATAAACCTTGCTTGGTCATGATGTATTATTCTTTATATGTATGTATGCATATATATCTATAGATACATATAAATGTATCTATAGATATATGTATCTATATATATCTATATATATACATCTATAGATATACATGTATCTATAGATATATATATAGATATGTATACATATATATAGAGAGAGAGCTGGATTCTGTTTGCAAATATTTGGTTTAGAATTTTTGTGCCTATGGGCTGGGCGCGGTGGCTCACACCTGTAATCCCAGCACTTTGGGAGGCCAAAGAGGGCAGATCATGAGGTCAGGAGTTTGAGACCAACCTGACCAACATGGTGAAACCCCGTTTATACTAAAAATACAAAATTTAGCTGGGCGTGTTGGTGGGCGCCTGTAATCCCAGCTACTTGGGAGGCTGAGTGAGGAGAGTCGCTTGAAACCGGAAGGCAGAGGTTACAGTGAGCCGAGATTGTGCCACTGTGCTCCCACCTGGGCAACAAGAGTGAAATTCTGTCTCAAAAAAAAAAAAAAAAAAAAAAAAGAAATTTTTGCCTATGTTCATGAGGGATTAGGCTGTTATTTTTTTACTTGTAATAGCTTTGTTATATTTTGGGGTCAGGGTGATGCTGGCCTTCTATATTAAATTGGGAAGTGATACCTCTTCCTCTATGTTCCGAATTTGTGCAATATTGATATTTCTCCCTTACATGTTTTGTAGAATTTACTAATGAACCATATATGTGGAAAATTTTCTTTTTAGAAAGGTTTTACAAATTTAATTTCTTTAATAGCTATGGGGTTATTTATTTTCTGTGTCTTCAGTTGTTAGTAATTTGTGATTTGGATTAATTAATATAAGTTGTTGAATTGTTAGAATGTTTTAATATTTATCCCTTTTAACATTTTTTAGAATATGTAGTGATGTTTCATTTTTATTTATGTGGGCAATTTGTGCTTTCCCTCTTTTTTTTGTCCATTGTTGTTAAGACTTTGTATTGCCACTTTACTATTAGTATTTCCTTTCTTTTACTTGCTTTAGGTTTACCCTCTTCTTCTTTTTCTAGCTTCTTAAGATGGAAGGTTGTATATACCTTTCTTCTCCAGTGTAAGTATTTAAAGTCATAAATTTTCTTCTAAGCACTGCGTTAGCTTTATTTCACAAATTTTGATATATTTTCATATTATTCAGTTCAAAATATTTTACAGTTTCCTTTATGATTTCTTTTTTGATCTATGGGTTATTTAGGAGAGGGTTGTTTTATTGCCCAATACTTAGGGGATTTGCTAGATATCTTACTGTGAATGATTTTATTCTATCGTGTTACTCTGTATGATTTCATTCTTTGATATTCATTAATACTTTTATATGATCCAGAATATGGTCTATTTTGCTGAATGTTCCATGACAACTTTAAAAGAATGAGTTTTCTGCAGCTGTTGGATGTAGTAGTTTAAAATATTATGTCAGTTTGGTTTACAGAGTTGTTCAAATAGTGTTTACTGAATCTTTGATCTGCTTGTTCTATCAGTTATAAGTTGAGCATCCCTAATTTGAAAATCTGAAATCTGGAATGCTCCAAAATCTAAAACTTTTTGAGTGCTCAGAGTAAATGCTCATTGGATTTGGAGTTTCATATTAGGAATGCTCAACCAGTAAGTATAATGCAAATATTCCAAAGTCCGGAAAAATCCAAAATCCTTCTGGTCTCAAGCATTCTGGATAAGGGATGTTCAACCTGCACCAAGAGGGTTTACATTCTCCAACTATGATTGTGAATTTTTTTTTATTTCTCCTTTCAGTTCTGTCAGTTTTTCCTTTGTGAGTTTTGGAAATGTGTTGTTAGGTACGTCTATATTCATGATTGTTTTCTTCTCAATTATCCTTTTTTTATTATTTTGAGGTATTCTTCTTAATATCCAGTCATACTCTTTGTTTAAATGCTACATTGTCTGATATTAACATAGTCATACCAGATTTCTTATTTTTGGTGTTTTCATACTATATCTTTTTCTATCCTTTTACTTTCTATTGGCCTGTATCTTTATAATAAAATTGTGTTTCTCAAAAACAACCTATAGTTGGGTGTTGCCTTTCATATCCAATTTACTAAGCTCTGACTTTTTATTAGAGGAGTTAGTCCATTTACATTTAAGGTAATTATTGATATGATTCAACTTATGTCTCCCATCTTGGTATTTGTTTTATATTTATGGTATTTATTCTTTATTCCTTTGTTCATTTTTGTCTTTTCAGGGGAAAATTAAGTATTCTTAATATTACTTTTATATCCTCTGTGGATAGTTAGATTATATTTCCTTTTTAAAAAATTTAGTGGTTACTATAGAAACTACATGTAAATGTTCACAGTATACCTTCAAACAATGTTTAACCTAATTCACAGTATAAAAATCATGCTGCAGTATAATTCCACTTATGTCCAATCCTGCCTTTTGTGCTCTTGTTATATTCTGTGTTACAGTGACACATATGGTATTAATCCTATCATACGTTATTATTTCCAGTCTACACTGTAAATAGTCACTTAAATATTTGAGAAATTATAAATGTAAAAATAAAAGTCAAAAAAGGTCTTTTCCATTTATACAAATATTTACCTTTTCTGGTGTTTTTAATTCCTTTCTGCACATCTGGGGTTCCATCTGATATAATTTCCCTCAGCCTGAAGTATCAGCAAGTATCTCAGATTTTGTCTCTCTAAGGATATCTTTATTTCATCTTCATTTTGAAGGATATTTTTTGCTAGACATAGAATTCTCTGCTTCCATTTCTTTTTTCTTGTCGTACTCAATGATGTCATTTAATTGTTTTCTGGCTTTTATTCTAGATTCTGATGAAAAGTTAGCCATCATAAATTTTTTTCTAATGTATTTAATGTGTCATTTTATTCCTATTGCTTTTTAGATTTGCTGTTTATTGTTTTATGTGATTTTTGGTTGTTACATAGCTAGGTAAGGTTTTCTTTATATTTATCTTGCTTAGGGTTCACTGAGCTTCTTGGCTCTACAGGTTTATGTCTTTCATCCATTTTGGAATGTTCTCAGATGGTTATTATATCAAATATATTATCGATCCAGTTTTTCTCTTCTCTTTCTGGAACTTCTGTTACATCACTTGATATCATGTTAGATTCATTTATACTGTCCAACAGATCTTGAATATTCTGTTGTATTTTTTCCACTATTTTTGCCTTTTGTGTTTCAGTTTGGATACTTTCTATTGATCTGCCTTTAGTCCCTGATGCTTTCATCTGTTTTTTTTCCAGTGTGCTGTTAAGTACATCTGATGTTATTGATTTCTAATACTGTATTTTTCATTGCTACTTATCCCATTTGATTTTCTTCTAATGTTTCCTGGTGAACGTGTCTTTAGGAAATTTTCCATTTCTTCATGCATGTTATCTATATTTTTCGTTAGGCTTTTGGCATTTTTATTATAGTTATTTTAAATTCCCTGTCTAATAATTCCAACATCTGAGTCATCTGTGGATCTGTTTTTCTTGATTGTTTCTACTCTTAACTATAGGCCACTTTTTTGTTGTTCTTTAAAAAAATATTAATATGTCTTCTAATGTTTGATTGTATACTGAAAATTCTGTATAAAAGAACAGTAGAGACTAAAGTAAAAAATATTTACATCCAAAAGAGCATGCTTTTGATAAGACCTGTAGTAAATCTCTCCTCTCCTCTAAAATGATCTTCACTTTGTGGAATTTAGTTCATTTGGATTTTTCTCTGTCCTTAGTTCACTGAAGGTTTTTTTTTTTCCAAATAGCTTTGTAGCTCATCTAATTTGTTTTGATTATTTGCATGAGAATGGCATTTTCTGTTGACTTTCTATTTCTGAATTCAAAGTAGTATGCAACCAAATATGCTTCAATAAAGATGTGCATTCACAAAATATTTTTTTAAAAATTTACAATAATTTCCTTAACATAAATTCTAGAAGGTAGACATTGATCAAAATATCTAAAGATTTTTTATGGTTCTTAATAAAATATGGTCATATTACATCTCAAAAAAACAAGGAAGTTATACCTATTTTTAATGAGTGCAAATAACCATTTTGCTTCATAAGCTTTAAGTGTTATAATTAATTTGACTTTGCTAATTTATTCAAAAAATATTATTTCATATTACATACCTTTAACTTCAAGCACTGTACAGGATCAAAATCTTATGTTCATTTTTTAGCAGGACTGACTTTACCTGGAGAATAAGTGAACCCATTAAACATCAGAATTGTTTGAGTAGATAGATGGTAATGACTGATATTTATTGAGTGCTTTTTATGAAAAAAGTGGTGTTTTAATTCTCACAGTGACCTGTGAAGAAGGTTATCATTTCATCACTCCAGAAGGAGGGTTTATTCCCTACAGAGGAGAAAAGAGAGGCTCTGATATAATGGGACAGGATTAAATTCAGGAGAATCTGAGCCCCAAACCTCAGTCTTGCAACTTTGATGTGATTTAAATCATATCTGAATGCAACCAATATTGCTATCTGTATTAGTCAGCTGTTGCTACAATAATGCCATATAACAAACAACCCCTAAACTCACACTTAAAACAATAGTTTTGTATTCTCATTGAGCTGCAGTTTGGCAGTAGAAGTTTTGCTTTAAAACTCCCCTCTTAGTCATTTATTGAAGAAAAACATAATGAATACCTCTTATTTTCCAAGCACTCTTCTGGGCTCTGGAGAAACGACAATGAATAAAATACACATAAATGCTGCCCTTAGGAAACTTCCTTTCTTGAGGGAAGAGACATACAGTGAATAAGTAGACTATATAGTAAGTAAGATGCTGATAATTTCTTTATTTTGTTTATTTTTCTTTTTCTAAATTGGTTTCCTCAGATTGAAGATAATTTATTTCTTTTTTTTTTTTTTTGAGACGGAGTCTCGCTCTGTCGCTAGACTGGAGTGCAGTAGCGCAATCTCGGCTCACTGCGACCTCTGCCTCTTGGGTTCAAGCGATTCTCCTGCCTCAGCCTCCTGAGTAGCTGGGACTACAGGTGCACACACCACTACACCCAGCTAATTTTTCTATTTTTAGTAGAGACAAGGTTTCATCATGTTGGCCAGGATGGTCTTGATCTCTTGACCTTGTCATCTGCCCGCCTTGGCCTCCCAAAGTGCTGGGACTACAGGTGAGAGCCACAGTGCTCGGCCAGATTAATTTCTAATGACAGCTATAAAGTAGTGGAAGAGGAGAGGACGGGCTGTCAGGTGAAGAACAGCAACAGGGATTGCTGTTGCAATGTGCTTTCTCTTATCACTGCGCTTCCTAGCATACCGCCAAACCCTGGCATCTCTGTTCATTTTTACAACGCAGAGCTATTTCACTACTTCTTTGTTTCACTGTCTTCTTCTAAACTGTGCCCTGGGGGGCCTCACATTTCATAACCAAAGCTGCCTATCAAAGTATTTTGCAAAAGAAAATATATTTAGTCTGGAGAGAAATAATGTGTCTCCCTTAGGGACAGAAGCAGCTGCAGTCAGTAGTAGTTTTAGATAGCATTTTTCTCCTCTGTCACGCAGCATTGCAATCTCTGCTTTATTTACAAGTTGAAGGTCAGAGGTGAAGATGTGTGGAAACTTACTGAGGAAAGGAGACATTTGCAGAGCACCCACTATGTGCTAGATCTGGTGCAAGCAGATGTCTTCCAAATAATCCTTGAATTAGACATTATGATTCCTATTTTCCTAATGCAAAAACTGAGCTGTATGCAGGCAAAATAATCCACTCTCGGACACAAAACCAGCAGTTGCAGATCTAAGTTTTAATTCTTGAGTGTGTCCTTCCAGCCTCCACCCAACCACCTTCTCGTTGCTTTGGATTGGATGTAGAGAGCTGCTTATTTTATAATCTTTGTGGCTAGACCTGGAATGCTGGCTTTGTATTTCTGGGCCTCTCTCCCGCTTCATGGCTAGTCTGTGTGGTATAGCCCAACTGCTGCCCCAGTAATAGGAGGAGGCAGTCAGGTCTGGGGGGAAATGAAAGAATTCCCAGGGCACCCGGCAAATCAATGAATTCCACTGATCTTGTTTGGTTCCTTATGGGATCATCCATCATGATTTAACAACTTGCAGCCCAGGGTAACTACAGGCATGCTTCTTGCCCAAAGCCACAGACACAGTGTAATTCATGGCTGAAAAACAGATTTGTTTTTCTGTTATTATTACCTGTATCATGCCCATTATACTATATTATATGCTGTGTTATCATGTAATTTAGTCCTCTGTCTGCCGCGTTGACGTTTGCTTTTGAGAAGACTCGGCTTTTCTCATTCTTTTGTAATGCACTAAAGTAAACAAATTCCCTGGCTGTAATGTAAGCAGATATTTGTTGAGGGCCCACTGTGTGTACAGTAGATGGGATACAGAAAAGCTCTGGTTTTGCTCTTGTCCTCGGGAAACTTACCCTCCTATTGTTTTCTGCATTTAATTTTATTTTTAATTTTTTTCTGAGGCAGAGTCTCACTCTGTTGCCCAGGCTGGAGTGCCCTGGCGTGATCTCGGCTCACTGCAACCTCTGCTGCCTGGGTTCAGGCCATTCTCCTGCCTCAGCCTCCTGAGGAGCTGGGATTACGGGCACTGGCCATCACACCTGGCTAATTTTTTTTTTTTTTTTTTTTTGTATTTTTAGTAAAGACGGAGTTTCGCCATGTTGGCCAGCCTGGTCTTGAACTCCTGACCTCATGCCATCTACCTGCCTCGGCCTCCCAAAGTACTGTGATTACAGGCGTGAGCCACCATGCCTGGCCTATTTTTAAATATTTTTAATGCAATATTTGAAACACACAAATAATATATATATAACATGTAAGTTATCAAACATATCAACAAAATGAAGACCCATAAAATCATTGCTGTCTTAGTCCATTTGTGTGCTATAAAGGAATACTTGAGACTGGGCACTTTATTTTAAAAAGCGGTTTATTTGGTGTATGGTTCTGCAGTCTGTACAAGAAGCCTGACACTGCATCTGCTTCTGGTGGGGCCTCAAGCTGTTTCCACTTAGGGCAGAAGGGGAAGTGGAGGGACTGTGTGCACAGATGACGTGGTGAGAGAGGAAGCGAGAGAGAGAGGAGGAGATGCCAGGCTCTTTTCAGCAACTAGTTCTCCTGGGACTAAGAATGAGAACTTTTTTTTTTTTGAGACAGGATATCCCTTTGTTGCCCAGGCTGGAGGGCAGTGGCATGATCTTGGCTCACTGCAGTCTCCACCTCGCAGGTTCAAGTGATTCTTGTGCCTCAGTCTCCTGAGTAGCTGGGACTATAGGCGCCTACCACCACGCCCTGCTAATTTTTGTATTTTTAGTGGAGGCAGAGGTTCTTCATGTTGGCCAGGCTGGTCTGGAACTCCTGGTCTCATGTGATCCTCCCGCCTCTGCCTGCCAAAGTGCTGGGATTACAGGCATGATCCACTGCACCCAGCCCAAAATGAGAACTCACTTCTTTGAGAATGGCAGCAAGTCATTCATGAGCAATCAACTCCCCTGCCCCAAACACCTCCCAATAGGTCCCACCTCCAACATGGGGAGAGATTTCAACACGATGTTGGGAGGATCAAATATCCAAACTACATTAAGTGCCTAACTGATTGACTAAAATGAACAGTTCTACTGGATCCATCTGGATGAAAAGTGCCTCTTGCATCCCCCATCCTATCCCCATGTGGAAATCTACAATCCTGTTTTGTGTTTATCATCCCCTTTCTTTGCTTTGTTAGCTTTACCACAAAGCTTTATCAGTTTTGCTTGCTTTTGAGCTTTATAAAGATGGTCTCATACCTTAAATAATTTTTTTTTTTTTGAGACAGAGTCTTGTTCTGTTGCCCAGGCTGGAGTGCAGTGGCACGATCTTGGCTCACTGCAACCTCCACCTCCCAGGTCCAAGTGATTCTCCTGCCTCAGCCTCCTGAGTAGCTGGGATTATAGGCATGTGCCACCATGCCTGGCTGATTTTTGTATTTTTAGTAGAGACGAGGTTTCACCATGTTGGTCAGGCTGGTCTCGAACTCCTGACCTTGTGATCTGCCTGCCTTGGCCACCCAAAGTGCTGGGATTATAGGTGCGAGTCACTGTGCCTGGCCTTAAATAATATTTTAAGACTTGCTTTGTTCACACTATATGGTTTCTAAGATTTATTCCATTTTTCTTCATGCTTCTTTTCTTTCTTTTCTTTAAATTGAGGTTTTTTGTTTGTTTTTGTTTTGTTTTCAAACTCTGCTTTTCCCTTTACTTGTTGGAATTCTAAAATTCCAAATTCAAATATTAAGATTCTAAAAATTCTAAAATTCCAAAAATTTAAAACCTCTTTTCTATCATCTCTCCCTTGAAATTTTATTGTGTGTATCAAGGAAAATTGAAAGCCCATAAATATCTTAACTTCCCCTTCCAAATACTATAAGGACTTTATGATACTTTAATGTCAATGACTTCCCCATTACTTAAATGTCAATGTTGTCAGTAGTTTCAATCTCATCTTAAATTCTCACAAATCAGATTGTTACTATTAATATTTTACACAGATAATGTTTTAGATTTATCTCTCAGTTTGTAAGCTTACTTGCTAACTATTCTTACACTCGAAATTTTTTTTTCTGGGCTATTTTTTTTTTTTTTTTAGTATTCTTTTAGTGGGAATTTATCAGTGGTAAAAATCTCTCAGTTTTTGTTTATATGGAAGTGTCATCATTTCACACTCATTCTTAAAAGACACATTTGCCTGAAGCGCAATTCTAGAATGATGGTTGTTTTCTTTTAGAATTTTGGAGATGTTATTCCAGAGTCTTTTGGCTTCTATTGCTTTGCCTGAAAACTCAGGTGGTGATCTAAATGTAGTGTTTTTGAAGGTTATCTGCCCCTTTCCCCTGTGAGCTTTTAAGTCTTCTCTGTCTTTGATGTTCTGTGGTTTCACTGCAATATGTCTAGCTATGAATTTCTTTGCATTCATCTTGCTTATATATGCTGTGCTTGGACCTGAAGATTTTATGTGTGTGTTAGTGTATATGATGATCTATCTATCTGTCTATCTCATCATGCCTCACTTAACAATCGGGATATGTTCTGAGAAATGAGTCATTAGGTGATTTCATCATTGTGTGCATATCATAGTGTCCTTATACAAACCTAGATAGTGTAGCCTCCTACACACCTAGGCTATATGGTATAGCCTATGGCTCCTAGGCTACATGACTGTACAGCATGTTACTCTACTGAATACTATAGGCAGTTGGAACACAATGGTAAACCTTTGTCTGCCTAAACATATCTAAACATAGAAAAGGTCCAATAAAAATACAGTATTACAATTTTGTGGAGCCACTGATGTATGCAGTCTGTTGACCAAAATGTTATGTGGTACGTGACTGTATTTTACCATTTTTACAACATTTCTTTTCCCCTCCCCTTCCATCCCCTCCCCTCCTCTCCTTTCTCTCTCGGACAGAGTCTTACTCTGTCGTCCAGGCTGGAGTGCAATGGCACAGTCTTGGCTCACTGCAACCTCCTCCTCCTGGGTTCAAGCGATTCTCCTGCCTCAGCCTCCTGAGTAGCTGGGTCTACAGGCATGTGCCACCGTGGCGGGCTAATTTTTGTATTTTTGGTAGAGACAGGGTTTCACCATGTTGGCCAGGCTGGTCTCAAACTTCTGACCTCAGGTGATCCACCCACTTCTGCCTCCCAAAGTGCTGGGATTACAGGCATGAGCCACCCTGCCCAGCCTTTGCAAAATTTCTATCTATTATCACTTTTAATATTGCCTCTTATCCAGTCTCTCTATTCTCTCCCAATAGTATGTCTAATATATTAGACATACATTAGTCTGTTTCTTTCTGTCCTCTGTATCTCCTAACTTCTCTTTAATAGTTTTAATCACCTAATCTATTTGTGTTGTTGCACCCTAGATAATTTCTTTAGACATATCTTCAAGTTCTAATTCTCTTTCCTGCTATTTTTAATCTGAATTGAGTTTTTATTATATTTTTCATTTTTTTGTTATATATATATTTTTGAGACAGATTCTCACTCTGTCACCCAAGCTAGAGTGCAGTGGCATGATCCTGGCTCACTGCAACCTCCACCTCCTGGGTTCAAGCGATTCTTGTGCCTCAGCCTCCTCAGTAGCTGGGATTATAGGCCTGCGTCCCCAGGCCCGGCTAGTTGAATTGAGTTTTTTACTTCAACAGTTATATATTTGATTTCCAAAATTTTTATTTGATCATTTTTCAACTATACCTCATAATTTTTTTATAAACGTTGATTATTTTCCCATTTTTCTAATTCCATCTTTTATTCATTTAAATATTTTAATCAGAATGATTTTATATTATGTATCTGATTATTTCAATGGTTCCAGTATCTGAAGTTTGTGGGAGTAAAAATTTGTTGTTTATTAATTCTGCTGATTCTCCCTCATGGTGGCTTATTTCCTAATGAGTTTGGTGGCCTTTGATTATAAGCTTACAGAGGCTTGATCTTAATCTATGGAAATTCTTATGACCCAAGTAGAAAATGCTTTCACACAGAGAGAATTTTCATTTGCCTCCATTAGGAGCCTAAGACACCACCAGCATTGTCTTCCTTCAAAATAACTAGCCTTACATAGGAGTCTCAGATTCCCCAACCTTGTCACAGTCAGTGACTAGTTGTTAATTTAATCATAATCACTTGATTTATTTTTTTAATGTCACACACTGTCCTGTGTGTTCCACAAACATTATTTCTAACTTGCAAAATAATCTTGTAACCCACTTCACTGTTGAGGAGATAAAAGCTGGGGGAGGCCTTCCACACAATCTACTTCCCACAATTCTCCTACACTTCTACACCGTCTCTGCCCATCAAAATCCCTCCCCTCCTTCTACACCCTCCTCAAATGCTGCCTCCTCAGGGACACTATTCTTGAGCCACAAAGCTGAGCTTAGGCTTTTGCTCCTGTTTATTTGTTTGTTTTTTGAGACAGAGTCTCACTCTGTCACCCAGGCTGGAGTGCAGTGGTGTGATCTCACGTCACTGCAACCTCCGCCTCCCAGGTTCAAGTGATTCTCCTGCCTCAACCTCCCTCCCAAGTAGCTGGGATT
Organism: Homo sapiens; assembly: GCF_000001405.40. NCBI lineage: Eukaryota > Metazoa > Chordata > Mammalia > Primates > Hominidae > Homo > Homo sapiens. Next base: position 18,157,392 of record NC_000016.10, on the reverse strand, counting down.
ACAGGTGCCTGCCACCACACCTGGCTAACTTTTTTTGTATTTTCAGTAGAGATGGGGTTTCACTATGTTGGCCAGGCTGGTCTCAAACCCCTGACCTCAGGTGATCCGTCTGCCTTGGCCTCCCAAAGTGCTGGGATTACAGGCGTGAGCCACCGTTTGTTCCTAGAACACATAATTTATATCGGTGATTCAAGTAATCATCCCATTTCACAGATGAAGCATTTGAGGCCCTGGAGTTTCATTTGTAGGCATTTGTGCGGATCTACCTAAAATGTCATCTGGCTGCAAGGCCATCGCTTCAGTGTTATTTTTGCATTTATCCTTCTCCATCCCTCCTAGGCAACCCCTAGTTCCTTACCTTCCTCATATACGTACAGAATGCAAGACTAAGAGGAAGGATTCCAAAAAGTTGGATACATTAAATTTAGGTGGAGAGATGAGGAACATATGGAGAACAGGCCATCAGCTTAGTGATTGTCAGGCGATTCCTGTCATCAATATGTACCCCCGTGGCCCATGTTAAGTCCCTTACTCATTGGGACTGCCCTGGTCCTCCGTTGACCTCAGGTAAACAATCATTTAAGTGGGATTTTATTCAAAAATTGCACTTAGAGTGGTTTTAGTGGGTCACATTGGCTCTTCCATGAATTCTTTGCATCTTTTTTAGCCAGATCTTTGGCATTTTATCAATCTTTGCTTTGGCATCACGTTTGAGGATATATTCAGGGGATTTTTTTTATTTTTAAAAAAACTCTTTTGTTTATTGACAGAAATAGCATTTCTACTAATACCTCAAGAGCAAGTACTATCATGAATTTAAATTATTTTTCCCCAAATTTAATCAAGAGTACTTGAGTTACCAGCTTCCAGGTTGGCCAGAAGTCCTGAATTACCTTATTGAGACTTTCTGCTCCAGTTCCAGGGTTCTTGTATAATTAGGAGTCCTCACAACTTGTACTCCCAATTAGGGAAAAGCGCTGGTATTTGTCAGCCTGTTTGGGTTTCCTACTGAGAGAAGATGGCACTGTTGAACACGGAGCCAGTGCTGCTGGGCTACAATGTAGTGCAGGCTGGTAACTCTCACGGTAACCCCTCTTAGAGGTCCTGTTCTGGATGAGGTTTGTTTATCCACTCACCGTGGTCCCCACAACTCCAATGCCTTTTCCAATGACAGCAGGTGAATGAGACCTACCCAGGATCAGGCCATTTTTACTTTCAGCCCCTGAGAGAGAAAAGAAATTAATTTGGTTCTCTTTTCTGAACAATAGAGATTTATTCGTTCTAAAAATTCTACAAACCATATCCAGCAGGCAAAGAATGCCTGGACTTTAGATAAACCAAAAGGGCAGTCATCCTTTGTGGCAGAGTGCTAATTTTTCTCCAGTATTTATTTTCTCTTTCATTTTGTTAGCAGTAGAACTTCTCAAGCTTTCACTCTGTATGTGACCATCTAGGTAGAGACTACCTTTCTTAGCTTCTCTTGCAACTGTGTGTGGACACGCAACTAAATTACTGCCTCCAGGGTGTGAGCAGAACGGATGCGTGCAGCTTCAAGTCACAGCACTGGAAAGGAAAATACTTGCCTTTCATTCTCTATTTCCTCTTTCTACACGTTGGAATTTGACGGAGTTCTGGCAAGTCTACTTCAACCATGTGGATGAGGACAATACTTCAGAGGAAAGAAGAACATTAAAATGCAAGGAACCAGATCCCTAGATGACTGATTGCAAGGGGCAAAGAAACTATGGCAGCCCTAGACTATGTACCTCTGGACCAATCTGTGAAAGAGAAGTAGATTCCTACTTGGCCTGAGTCACTGTGTTTTTGGATCTCTTGTACCAGCAACTCAGCTGGTGTCCTAAATAACATGCATCCTCCCTAGTGGGACTGGAGAGCTTATAGGTTCAGTCTCACTGATGATCCAACCTCTTTAGAGCAGGCAAGAGGAATTTCATGTACCTCTTGATAAAGCGGTAAGCAAAACACAAATTCAGTGGGACACTCCACTGCAGGTGATTTTGAGGTTCTGCAGTCTGTCTATCAAGTTAAATGAGAAAAAAGAAGATAGAGGATCCTGGCTGCATAATCACACATGCACGGAAGGCAAAATCATTTGGACAGGAGCCTTGAGTGGTGGAGAAAGCAAGGGCTCTGAGCCAGATATTTCAGAATTCACATCAGTGTGTCTTTATAATTTAGTTGTTTAAGTCACTACTTTCTCATCTGCAAAATGGGAATTGCAATGCATATTTCATGTACTTGTTCCAGGAACTAAATGAGATAATCTATTTAAAGGTCCTGGCACAGGGTCTGGTAAAAATTAGGTGTTAAGTGAAAGTAAGTTCCCTTCCAATGTCTGGGCTTTTGATCATTGCACCAAGCTGCCTCTGCAAGGCACACAAGACTCTAGGTGATCTGATTCCTCCCTTTTTCACCCCTTCAGCTTCATCTGGGGCCACTTTTCCCTTGCCCATGACTCTCTGACTCCTAAGCCCATGACTAGTTTCCCTTCAGTACCAAAGCCATTCTAAATTCTCTCCTGCCTCTGGATCTTCATACTTCCTTTTCCTTCTGCTTGCAACCCTTTCTCATGATCACATTTCAGAGAAGCCCTCCTGAGGACCACGCTATCTAAAGTAGTTTCTTGTCCACTGTGTTCAGCAGAATAATGACACCCCGCAAAGATGTGGTTTTTATGAAGACAGAAACATCTGTCTTATTTACCAGCTCACCTGCTACAGTATGGATTATGTAGCACATACTCAATATTTATTGAATGCATATATGAATGAAAAATTGAATGGGAACTTTGAAATTCATCCTCATCCCTGGAACCCAAGAGTATGTTAAGTGACATGGCAAAGGGCAATTAAGGCAGCAGGCGAAATTAAGTTTACTAATCAGCTGACCTTAGGGAGCTATTCCTGGAATATCTGGTTGGACCCAAAGGAATCATAAAGATCTTTAAAAGTGGAAGAGAGAGGCAGAATCGAAGAGTCAAAGGTAGGAGTGTGATGACGGAAACAGGTATGTTACTGCCCTTGAAGATGGAGGAAGGGGCCACAAGCCAAAGAAAGCAGGCAGCCTTTAGAAGCTGGAAAAAGCAAGAAAATGGATGTTCTCTAGAGCTTCCAGAAGGAGCAGCCCTGCTGACATCTTGATCTTTGCCCAGTGCCTTGATTTTAGCTCAGTAATTTTAGCCCATGTTGGACTTCTGAAGTACAGAACTGTAAGATAATACGTTTGTATTGTTTTAAGCCACTAAATTTGTGGTAACTTGTTCCAGCAACAATAAGAAACTAATATACCTGTATGCCAGCCCAGTATCTAATATATATATCGCCCTCTTTATTTGCTGCCTAACACTCAGCACGATCTGCAATTATCTTATCCATTTATGTGTCCTCTTGACTTAGTCAAATGGGGCTTTTATGAAGACACAAATGTCTATCTTATTTACCAGCTCACCTGCTAGAGTACGGGTTATGTAGCACATACTCCTTCTTTATTCATTTATTAATTATACTTTAAGTTCTGGGGTACGTGTGCAGAACGTGCAGGTTTGTTACGTAGGTATATACGTGCCATGGTGGTTTGCTGCACCTATCAACTACAGTAAGTATTTCTCCTAATGCTCTCCCTCCCCAGCCCCCCACCCCACCAACAGGCCCTGGTGTGTGATGTTCCCCTCCCTGTGTCCATGTGTTCTCATTGTTCAGTTCCCACTTGTGAGTGAGAACATGTGGTATTTGGTCTTCTGTTCTTGTGTTAGTTTGTTGAGAATGATGGTTTCCAGCTTCATCCATGTCCCTGCAAAGGACATGAATTCCTCCATTTTTATAGCTGCATAGTATTCCATAGTGTATATGTGTCACATTTCTTTATCCAGTCTATCACTGATGGGCATTTGGGTTGGTTCCAAGTCTTTACTGTTGTGACCAGTGCCGCAATAAACTTACGTGGGCGTGTGTCTTTATAGTAGAATGACTCCATATTTTTTTAATGCATGCATGAATGAAAAATTGAATGGAAACTTTGACATTCATTTTCTTCATCTGCAGGGCTTGTTTCTGAGAGTGTGCACGGAGATTGAAGGGCAGGGGCTCATGTGACAGTGTGAAGCAGGAATTCTGACCGTTGGCCAAACCAAGCCCTGAAACTCAAGTTCTGTTTGGGAGTGAGAGGCAGGTTAGGGGAGATAAACACCCAGCCTTTTAATTTTTTTTTTCCAGCCTGCTTTAAATCACCTGTAAATCTTTAGTGGCCACCAGGAGGTGAATGACTCATGCTACCTTTTCTCAGCAAAGGCTCTTCAGGATGGGACACTCCAAGTTTTTAACTCCCAGCAACAGTTCGGCTCACAGCGAGACCCGGCCCTCTGCTGTCACTGAAGTGTGTGTTTGTTTAATTAGGGCGCCGAGTAGAGCCTCATCCTGGTGGCAGATGTTGCCATGTGTAGTATAATAAATAAAAGTCTTTATAGGACCCAGCAGGCAGTAGAGCCTTCAGTTAGCAGATGGCGAAATATTAAACTGGCAGAGCAATAACTTAACTGCCTGAATCAGCTGGTCCCTGCCCGGATTTGCTCCAACATGAATCAACTTCATATAGGAGGTGTCGCTCAGCCTCAGATGTGTACCCTCACCTGCCCTCGCTCCTGGTCCCTGCTAGGACCATGTTTGCCTTGGCATACCACTATTAAAGTCAGATTACTGGGTTTAATACCATTATTAAAGTCAGATACATAAGTTTTTTTATAACCTTATTAGCTGGTCAAAGAGAGGTGCTTGCTGGGCTGGACCGTAGGGTTCTTTTACAGGGGAAGGAAATGCAGTAAGCCTGTGGATGTCCTCTGTGCCAGTTTCTGCTTGGCTCCAGATTAGCCAGACAGTATGTTACCTGGCCCCTGGGCCCTCGTGGTGCAGGAGAAGGATCCCACTTGGCTCCAGGAATCCTCCTGTTTAAGACCAGGAGGATGGTTCAGTTAGCCCAGGGAGACCCCACTGGAGGAGAGAACAGGGGTTTTTGTTCTGAAAAGACCCAAAAAAGGGATTGACTGACATCTATTACATTGCTGCGGGGGTGGAGTGAGGGGCATTGGACTTGTTTACTAAATTCCTGATTATACGACTGATATTTACAGAGGGCTTGCTACGTGTTGGGACTTTGGATAAGGGCTTTGCAGACAAACAGAAACCCACCCCATCTTTACCATAACCCTGTGAGGCAGTAACAACGAACCCTTCTAGGGCTGTGTGCCAGGCCCCGTTCCAAGAGCTTAATGTACATTGACTCACTCAACTCCCCAACGTGAAACATTAAACCCATTTTTCACATGGGGAAGCTGAGGCTCTGAGAGGTGTGATGATTTGTTCAAAAACACACAGCTAGAAGGTACCAGAGCTAAGATGCAACCCAATTGTGTCTAAACTCAGAGGCGGCAGTTGCCTTTGACTCCAGGAGGCATAAAAGTAAACTTGGACAGAAGATGGTGAACCCGTAGGCAAAATGCCACCTAGAAAATGAAGTGGGGAACTGATACTAGGAAAGAGGATATAAAATTTATATTTGTTGCCATTTATTGACATAAATTCGGCTACTTTTAAATAGATATCTGAAATAATTTTCTCCTTTAATTCTTACAGAAAGCCTTGGAGGCAGCTTCAATTAGAAGCTAATTTTACTAATTAGAAAATTGGTATCAGAAGGACGATTGAACGTGTCCAACGTCACACAGCCAGTAAGGAGAGGGGCCTGGACTGGAGCAGACCTGTCTGATTCACTCAGACAGGACTGGAGCAGACCCTTGCTTTATTCACTCAATAGTTTTTTCCAAAGGCTTTTTAAGAAGAGGACTTTGGAGTTGTAAAGAATTTAGATACGTGGAAATGAGAGAAAGGCCTTCCAGGCAGAGGAAACAGGATGAACAAAGTCTTGGCAGGTATGGACAATAGTTGTGTGTGTGTGTGTGTGTGTGTGTGTGTGTGTGTGTGTGTAGGTAGGTTGGTTGATGGAGACAGACCCAGGGAAGCCTTGAATGCCATGGTGAAAGAATTGGTCTTTCTGCCCGGGCTTGGTGGCTCATGCCTGTAATCCCAGCACTTTGGGAGGCCGAGGCAGGCAGATCACTTGAGGTCAGGAGTTTGAGACCAGCCTGGCCAACATGGTGAAATCCTGTCTGTACTAAAATTACAAAAAAATTAGCCCGGCGTGGTGGTGCATGGTTGCATTCTCAGCTACTTGTGAGGCTGAGGCAGGAGAATTGCTTGAACCCCGGAGGCAGAGGTTGCCGTGAGCAGAGATCATGCCACTGTACTCCAGCCTGGGCAATAGAGGGAGACTCCATTTCAAAAAAAAAAAAAAAGGTGCTTCTTTCTCTGGCAAAGGAGGATGCTCAAGTTTTCTAAGTCAATAATTAAGCTCATGCAAACAAAGGGCCCTGTCTGATCACCATGGTGGGTTTCCACTGCCTGCTTCTCCGCTAACTTCTATAACGAAAATGATACTGAAGACTTTTCTTGCCATCATGGTCAATAATGTGAGGGTTTGAGCACATCCTCAGAGTTAGGCTTTGGAATTTCTTGAATTCCTGCTGTGTGGGGCGTGTTGGGGAGTCTTTGGTCTGAGGGCTGGCTGCTGCTCGCTTTGGCCCTTTGATCTCCCGGTGCCCGGGATCTTTTAGTCTAGCTTTTCCTGTGTCCTGCATTGCCAGTCCCCCCACCCTCTGGATCTGTCCCCTTTTTGTTGTCTCTGAGCTAATGGGACAGATTCCATGGATGCTGGCCTGGACCTCTCTTTCCTCAGCCTGTCTCATGACCTCTAAGGCCTGGCCTGAGGAGGAGGCATAACTCTAGGAGGTCGAGGTGAGCCTGGCGCTGCAAGTATGCCCCTAATTTGTGAAACCACAGTCGTAGATATCACAGTTGGTTAATACACTCGTCCTTGGATTCTTTCAAATTCATTGCTCCTGTTCAAAAAACATTTCTCTTTTTACTTATTGCAGTAGTAATACATGCTTATTTTATGTTATAAAGAAGATGCAGAAAAATATAAGTGATGAAATGACAGCCCATAATAATCCCACAACCCCAAGACAATCATTACTAACCTTGGGTATATTTTCTTACGGTCATTCATACAGACGTATACAAAACACACATGTCTGTCTATACGAAATACTTACGTACTTAAACTCATGCCAGATACATGATTTTGTATTCCATGTTTCCATTCTTATAAAATCAATGCAATTTTTTTACATTGCTAAACCTCTTTGTAAAAATTTATATAGAAAAACACTGTAGGCCAGGCACGGTGGCTCATGCCTGTGATCCTAGCACTTTGGGAGGCCGAGTCGGGTGGATCACCTGAGGTCAGGAGATCGAGACCATCTTGGCCAACATGGTGAAACCCTGTCTCTACTAAAAGAAAAAATTAGCCGGGCATGGTGGCACTTGCCTGTAATTCTAGCTACTTGGGAGGCTGAGGCAGGGGAATTGCTTGAACTCATGAGGCAGGGGCTGCAGTGAGCTGAGATCACACCACTGCACTCCAGCCTGGTGACAGAGCAAGACTCTGTCTCAAAACAAACAAAACACCATAAAACAATATTAAAGGGAAAAAAGCAGAATTTGAATTCATATGTTTAATATAATTTCATTTATGTTAGCTAAAAACACATAGGTACACAATGCCCATGCACTACAAAAGTACCACACAGGATGGAAGCAGAGACTACAAAATATTAATAGAGGTTATCTCTAGGGGATGTGTTTTATTTTATTCTTGCATCTTTCCGTGTTTTCCACGTTTTTCCCACATATTAATAATGAATTTTTCTAATGAGAAAATTTTGCATAGCTACGTAATAGTCCAAGATATGAATATACCAGTGTTTATTTAATTATTGGCCTACTAAAGGCCTTTGGGTAGTCTCAAAGTTTTTACAATTATAAAAATGTTGTGTTAAATGTTCCTTTATCTGTTCAACAAATATTTGAGAGTCTATGGCATGCCTTGTATCTTGGTGCATATATCTGCATATGTTATATAAATAATATTTTATTTTTGTGGAAACTGAAGAGCAAAGAAATCACCGAGTTAGTTGGGGACACGGATGGTTCTGTGCTTTTAGGTCTTTCAATTCTGAGGATTTATCTTTGCCAGACTGCTTTCCTCAAACCTCTAGCATCCCTTTGGCAGAATGGCGGCAAATTGGAGGTTCTCTTGGGTATACTGAGTCACAGATCTCCTTGAATAGTGTGTGACACTACTCAAGAAGTACCTACCTGGCCCCCAGCCTATTGCCTGGTGGCCTCCTTCTTGCAGATGCACCCATTTTGCAGATGGGTCAAAGCATGTAGTCTTACAGCACAAATACTTGTCTTTGTGGAAAGTCATCCTCCCTCTGCTTGGCTGCTAGACTTTCCTGTGTGTCCATCATAGGTGTGGCTTTGTGGCACCCAGTCAATCTGATTAAGATGGTTCTTGCTTATCAGCTTGGTGCTATTTGACATGACACATTGGAAGTCCACCTCAAATATCACCTCCTCCCTGAAATTATCCAGATACTCTCAGACAAAGTTCACAGCTCTTTTTTGGATTTTTTTTTTTTTTTTTAGTATTTTGTGTATGGCCTTATTTTAAAAACATATCTCTCCAAACCATGGCTGTGTCTGTACATCTTTTTCTCATCAAGTAGGTTATTAGCTCTTTAAGGTCAGGGACCACATGTTATCCACTTTGGTACCCTGTCCATTTGCTTCTGTTTCTCAGTCTAGCGCTTGCCTTCATCTCCATTGCCACTATTCAAGTGCACACCTTCTATCACCACCCACCTAGAACACTGAACCAGTGTCCGACCTGCTGGGACTCCCTGCATCTGCTCTCGTGCCACTTACAATCCAGTTTTCCCATAGCAGTGAAAGGGATTATTTGAAATCACAAATCAAATGTGCCATTTCTTTCCGTAGCTCAGCAAGATCTGGCCCTCGCCTGCCTCTCTGACATCATCCCAGTGAACTCATCCCCATTCCTCACAGCACTTCTCTCTGATCCCTTTTATCACATCATTCTGCATAACAGTTTGGATTATTGCCCAGCAAGTGTTGATGGCCTCCCCGCTCCAATTGTGGATGGTATTTACTTCCCTACCACATGATTTTGGGCTTGGCCATATGACTCGTTTTGGCCAACAGGATATTAGTGGGTAGAAGTGAACAGAGATTTGAAATGTGATAGAGTGGTTGGGCTCACCTACTTTAGTTCTTCCATGGCCATGAGGGTAACATGCCCTGGGTAACCTGTTGGTCCCAGAAGAGTGAGAGATGCAAGGAACAGACATGAACTAAACATGTGGCCTGGAGCCAAGCCCAGCCTAGATCAGCCAAACCCAGGACAAACCATAGTTGCATAAATGAGGTACACATGCTTGCTGTTGTGGAGTTACTGGCTGTATGCTACCCAGCACTGCTGTGGCATAGTTGACTAACACACCCTATTTTATGCACTTCATAATTATTATTTTGAACTTTCCATCTTTTCTAATCAGGACATAGTTTCTATGATAAAAGAGACATTGCCTATTTTGCTCTATAATTCCAGCTATATATATGAAATCACCAATAAATATGCATGTATGTGTGTATGTATGTATGTATTTTTGAGACGGAGTCTTGCTCTGTCGCCCAGTGACGCGATCTCGGCTCACTGCAACCTCTGCCTCCTGAGTTCAAGTGATTCTCCTGCTTCAGCCTCCCAAGTAGCTGGGACTATAGGCACGTGCACCTTTTTTTATTTTTGTATGCCTGGCTACTTTTTGTATTTTTAGTAGAAATGGGGTTTCCCCGTGTTAGCCAGGTTGGTCTTGATCTCCTGACCACGTGATCTGCCAGCCTTGGCCTCCCAAAGTGCTGGGATTACAGGTGTGAGCCACTGTGCCTGGCCTGCCAATAAATATTTATTAAATGACTGAATACCCCCGGCATGCTTAGCACAATACCTGTGCCCAATCAATATTTGCTGAATGCAGTTGGTGAACCATCCAAAGCAGCCTGTATTGTGTCCTAACATGTATATCTTTAAACTCAACTTGGCACGTGGGTGACACCTCTATCCCCTCTCTTCCTCTCTCTGATCACATAAAAGATCCTCCTTGTAAGAATACACACACTGAAAACAGATGATGTGTCAATGCCGTAATTTAAACCATGAATCTGTACTTGCTTAAAGATGAACTTGTTTGGAAGAAAAATGAGGAAAATGCTTGTGCCCGTCCAACAGAGTCCCCGGATAAGTACATCAATTTTGCTTCTTAGCGGATCCAGCACATAATAAAAGAAAACTGCTGAGGTCAGCAGCAGCAGAGAAGCCACACTTCTTATTTTCACAAACACAGTTTTGGGGATGGTAATCATATCTATTAGCAAGGGTGACACCACTGTGGGCCTGGCAGAAAAATGAGCTCTCCCGCATTGCAAAATGAGCAAAGTGGAGATCGATAAATCATAAAATTAGTTGAGACATCATCTATCTTTCATGGCTTTCCCTTTATTCCTGCCACGGTCCCTCAGGACACTCATTCATTTACTGCATTTTATTGTTGGGAAAACACGTCAAGGTTTGGAGGCTGCATTCAGTTAGGGGAGCAGGGGCCATAATGTGTGTCATTAATTAGGCAGGTTTGGGAGGTTCAATCCAAAGTCTGGTCTCAACTGACTTCCATAAATTGAGTTTTAGGACTGCTTCTGCGTCTTGTGTGACTTCATCAAAAAGAGAACGTTATTGAAATATGCCCTGAGAGGGAGAGAGAGAGAAAGAGGGACATGTCTGCTCACTCTGTAGAAACGATAAATTTAGGGACAAACCAGGTGATAAGCCAGATGCAATCTGAGTTGTCTAAAGATTCTTGCTGTTATCTACATGTGATTGAAATAAATGTGAGACACAGAGCTTGGAGTGCATAGATACGTCATCTGGTACCTATATTCTTCATGTCAAGGCATATAGTAAACAGATTTTTTTTCAAAAAATTATTGTGATAACACTTAACATGAGACGTACCCTCTTAACAAATTTTAAGTGCACAATACCTTGTTGACTCTAGGTACATAATGTGCAGCAGAGCTCTAGAACGCATTCATCTTGCCTGACGGAAACTTCACGCCCATTGATGAGTAGCTCCTCATTTTCTCCTCCCCACAGCCCTGGCAACCACCATTACACTCTTTTGTTCTACGCATTTGACTATTTCACATGACCCCTGTAAGTGGAAATAAGAAATATTTGTCTTTGTTTGACAGATATTTAACTTACCATAAAGTCCTCAAGATTTAATTCTTGTTCTCACATCTTGCAGAATTTTCTCCTCCTGCTCCTCCTCCCCCTCCCACCTCCCCCCTCCCTCCCTTCCCCCCCACTTCTCCTCCTCCTCCTCCTCCTCCTTCTCCTTCTTCCTCTTGTTCTGATGGAGTTTCACTCTTGTTGCCCAGGCTGTAGGGCAACGGTGCGATCTCTGCTCACCGCAACCTCCGCCTCCTGCGTTCAAGCAATTCTCCTGCCTCAGCCTCCCGAGTAGCTGGGATTACAGGCATGCGCCACCATGCCTGGCTAATTTTGTATTTTTAGTAGAGATGGGATTTCTCCATGTTGGTCAGGCTGGTCTTGAACTCCTGACCTCAGGTGATCCACCCGCCTTGGCCTCCCAAAGTGCTGGGATTACAGGCGTGAGCCACTGTGCCCATCCCAAATTTTCTTCTTTTTGAAGGCTGAATAATATTCCATTGCGTGTATATACCACATTTTCTTTACCCATTAATCTGTCATTTAGGTTTTTTCCCCATTTTGGCTGTTGTGAACAGTGCTGCAATGAACATGTTAGTGCTAATATTTCTTCCACATTCTGATTTTAATTTTTATGGGTATAAATCCAGAAGTAGGATTGCTGGATCATATGCTAGTTCTATTTTCAACTTTTTGAGAAACCTCCGTACTGTTTTTCTTAGTGGTTGTACCATTTTGCATTGCCAATAATAGTGTGCAAAGGTTTCAATTTTTCTACATCTTCACCAACATTTGTTGTCTTTTGTCTTTTTGACACTAGCCAATCTGACAGGTGTGAGGTGATTTCTCATTGTGGTTTTGATTTGCAATTAGTGATACTGATTATTTGTGGTATTGGACATTTTTTCATAAACTTGTTGGCTTAACTAAGGAGGTGAAAGACTTGTATACTAAAAATTATAAAACCTTGAAAGAAACGAAAGAAGGTGGCCCGGCATGGTGGCTCATGCCTGTAATCCCAGCACTTTGGGAGGCTGAGGTGGGTGGATCATGAGGTCAGGAGTTTGAGACCATTCTGGCTAACATGGTGAAAACCCATCTGTACTAAAATAAAAAAAATTAGCCAGGCATCATGGTGCGTGCATGTAGTCCTAGCTACTCGGGAGGCTGAGGCAGAGGAATCGCTTGAATCTGGGAGGCGGAGGTTGCAGTGAGCCAAGATCACACCACTGTATTCCAGCCTGGTGACAGAGCGAGCCTTTGTCTCAAAAGAAAAAAAAAAAAAAGAAATGAAAGAAGGTATAAACAAATGGAAAGACATTCCAAATTCATGGATTGGAAGACTTCATATTGTTCAAGTGTCCATACTATGCAAAGCAATATGCAGATTCAATGCAATCCCTATTAAAATCCCAAAGGCATTTTTCACAGAAATAGAAAAAATGAGTCTAAAATTTGTATAGAACCACAAAAGGCCACAAATAGCCAAATCAACCTTGAGAAAGAAGAACAGTGTTGGAAGCATCACACTTCCTGATTTCAAAATATATTACAAGGCCACAGTAATTAAAACTGGTATAAAATAAAATATGGTACTGGCATAAAGACAGACATATAGGCCAAAGGAATACAATAGCAAGTCCAGAAGTAAATCTACACATATGTGATCAAATAATCTTCAACAATGGTGCCAAGAATATGTAATAGGGGAATGATTGTCTCTTTAATAAGTGATGCTGGGAAAACTGGATAACCACATGCAAAAGAATGAAATAGGATCCTTATCTAACACCATACATGAAAATCAACTAAAAAAGGACTAAAGACTTACAAGTAAAACCCGAAACTGTAAAACTCCTAGAAGAAAACATAGGGGAAACACTTCATGATGTTGGTCTTGCCAATGATTTCGTGAATATGACACCAAAAGCACAGACAACAACAACAAAAATAAATGATGAGAACTATGTAAAACGAAAAAGTGTCTGCACAGCAAATGAAACAATCGAGTTAAAAGACAACCCACAAAATGGGAAAAATTATTTGTAGACCATCTATATAATAAGGAGTTAATTTCTAAAATATATAAGGAATTTCTACAACTCAATAGCAAAAAAAAAACTCTAACAATCTGATTAAAAAGTGGGCTAAGGACTTTAATAGATGTTTCTCTAAAGAAGATATTAAGTAGGTTTCTAAAATCGTGATGTGTTTTTCATTTGATGTGTGCATTTAATTGACGCTCATTACTCCATCAAAAGCATCCTGAAATCAAGGAAACAGTACTTATTAGACAGAATGTTTCAGTGATCGATTTCTGCCTATTAAACCACCCCAAAACTTAATGCATTAAGACTAATTTATTATTGCTGTGATTCTGGGACAAAACATAACTAACTTTTTATTCCCCTTTCAAGGTGTATTTTCTGCAGAACCCCCATCTCAGTAAATGCCACTATCATCCACTCCCTTGCTCAGCTCCTTAAACTTGGAGTCATCCTTGACATTTTTCTTTCTCTCATGCCCCTCATCTAGTTTATCCACAAATTACCAAGAAACACCCACAAGCCTCCTCTCTTCAGCACTACCCCCGTAATCCAAGCCACCATCCCATCTCCCTTGGGCTATTCTGGTAGCCTTTATAATCGGTCCCCTGCTTTACCTCTTGCCTTATTCAGTCTATTCTTCATATAGAAACCAGAATGATCTTTAAAATAAATATAATCAGAGGATGTCAACCTCCCCACCACCCGGACCCCACGGCTTATGACTATCCAGCAGCTACCTGTTGCATTCAGAATAAGACCCTTATAAAACCACTTGCTGTAGTCTACAAAGGCCCTGCCCTCCTCTCCTCCCTTAGCTCATCTCTAGCCACACTGGCCACACTGGCCTTCCTTCTCCCCTTTAGCATGCATGGACGTTTGCACCCCAGGGCCTTTGCACCTAATGTATGTATATATATATATATTTGTTGTTGAGACGAAGTCTCGCTCTGTCACCCAGACTGGTGTGCAGTGGCGGGATCTCGGCTCACTGCATGCTCCGCCTCCAGGGTTCACACCATTCTCCTGCCTCAGCCTCCCGAGTAGCTGGGACTACAGGCGCCCGCCCCCATGCCCGGCTAATTTTTTTGTATTTTTTTAGTAGAGATGGGGTTTCACCGTGTTAGCCAAGATAGTCTCAATCTCCTGACCTCGTGATCTGCCCACCTCGGCCTCCCAAAGTGCTGGGATTACAGGCGTGAGCCACCTACTGTTTACACCGAAAAAAAATAGTAGGCTCTGGAGATGCAACAGACCCTGCTTTTATGGAGCTTTCAGAGAGGGAAGACAAGTCAACACATGAATAAATGTTAAGAGATAGTGAGCATTAAGGAGATAAAGTAGGTATAGAGAATGGAGAGAGATGGGAGGTGTGACCCGGTTTTGATAGGGTGGTGAGTGAAGGCCTCTCTGAAAAGGTGGCTTTGAGCAAACGCCCAAATAAATGGAGGGGCTGAGCCGTGCAGATATCTGGAAGCAAATGGGGCAGGGGAAGGAGCTGTTTCAAAGGATCCAAGATGGGCAAACACCTGCAGGGCTTAGAAATGGTGGCTATAATCAGAAAGCATGTAGCAATAGAAGCCTTGCAGCTGAATACATGCATTTGAGGCAGCAATGACTTCTTTCTAGGGGGTTTATATGAAGAGGGATTTTTCTTTTTGGGAAAAACCCTGAGGTACACGTACTCAAAGGAAATATTTGTTGACTTGGATGGAAAGGGCCTGTCTTCAGCTTTCTTTCTGCTCTGCCCGGCTGCCTCTCAGTGTTAGGTTCAATGCTTGAGGCTGTGCCAAGTTGATTTCCCTGTGAGAGCAGACGCCTGATAGAAGGGCACAGTGCCAGTCCCGTTGATAATGAAATCTTTGCATCCCCGTTGACACTTCTATAAAGGACAGAAGAGGAACTGCAAGTTCCCATTCTGATCTTTTATTTCTGTTTTGTCACCCTCAAGAAGATCTGTCAGAAAGCTTTTGGGATCTGGACTCAGATGGACCTGAATTTGAAGCCCACTGTGAATTTTACTGCAGTGGGATTTTGGTGAGAGCTGCTCAAACCTGAACTTGAGGCCAGGCCTGGTGGTTCATTCCTGTAATCTCAGCACTTTGGGAGGCCGAGACAGGAGGATCATTTGAACTCAGGAGTTCAAGGCTAGGCTGGGCAACATAGGGAGATCCTGTCTGTAATAAAGAATAAAAAATTAAAACCCTGAATTTGAGAGGAGCACGTGGTGACAGTGCTCAGATTTGGGTTATTCATGCCCAATATTGTGGCTCTTTCTGTTTTTGTTTTCAAATTTTGTTTTATATTTGTCTTTACAGAACATTAACATTGTTCCAAACTAATAACTAAATAAAAAAGCCATCCTCAGAGTAGGTACAGAGTGGTTAGTTGCCCTGGTTGGAGGAGTGGGAGAGTTCTATCACCAATATTGTTTAGAATTGCCAGTAATAATAAAAATGGATGACCTTTAATTGCTTTTTGTTCATGTCATAATACTCGTGTATGAAATTCATATATTTTTAGAAATCACGTTGTTTTGGAATAATTTTAGATTTGCAGAAGTTGCAAAAATAGCACAGATAATTCTTGTAGTTACCCTTCATCCAGTTCCCCCTAATGTTAGCATCTTACATCACCATGGTACATTTGTCAAAAGAAATTAATATTAATATAATGCTATTAACTATAGACTTTACTCAAATTTCATCAGTTTTTCCACCAATGTCCTTTTTTCCTGGATCCAAAATTTGATTTAGATACCAAATTGCATTTAATAGTTGATTGTATTACTGTTTTTTAAATTCTTTACAGACAAGGCACCTATTGACTGCACCTGGCAGAACAAAGCACTCCCACACTCCTCTTTCTTGGTTCTCCCCTCTTCTCAGCCTTAGAGAAGTCCCATTTTCATTCCTATTACCCTTCTTCTTCTCTCTCCACCAAAGGAAACTTTTTTTTTGTGGTTTTAGCCTTTTATTATTTTATTTCGCTAATATAAGCAAATATATATTCTAATCCCTTTCACTTCCTTATACAAAACAACATACTCTTTTCTGAAACCTTGCTAATTTCATTTGAATGAACTGGAAACTCCTCCATACTGGGGATGTAGAGGTCCTTCTCATTCTTTTAGTATGTTTCATAGTACTCTGCTGGGTGGCTATATCATGCTTTATTCAACCATTCCCCTATTGATGGACATTTGGGTTGTTTCTACTCATTGGGTGTTATAATACTGCAACAAATCAGTCGTGGTTTTCTTAGGGAGAAAGATGAGGGTGGGAGGGAGAAAAGTGACATTAATCTGTAAATTATGAATAGTTCCATAAAGAATAGAATGGAACTGGAGTGCCTTTTCTTTTTCTTTCTTTCTTTTTTCTTTTTCTTTTGAGATAGGGTCTCACTCTGCCCAGGCTGGAGTGCCATGGCGTGATCTCAGTTCACTGCAGCCTCAACTTTCCTGGCTCAAGTTATCCTCCCACCTCAGTCTCCTGAATAGCTGAGATTACAGGTGTGTGCCACTATGCTTACGAATTTTGTTTTGTATTATTTGCAGAG
Organism: Homo sapiens; assembly: GCF_000001405.40. Classification (NCBI taxonomy): domain Eukaryota; kingdom Metazoa; phylum Chordata; class Mammalia; order Primates; family Hominidae; genus Homo; species Homo sapiens. The sequence goes on along the minus strand of NC_000016.10, from coordinate 18,140,509 downwards.
ATGGGATCTCACCATATTGCCCACACTGGTCTCGAACTCCCAGGTTCAAACCATCCTCCTGACTCAGCCTCCCAAAGTGCTGCGACTATAGGCGTGAGTCATGGCACCTGGCCTGGAGCGCCTTTTCTATGGAAACCAGAAGACCCCTAAAACTCATCTTTCTTTTTGCCTGAGGGATTATCCCATTGTGATGACCTTGACTTTGAAGGTAGGTAGGCTTGGAAGCCCATATACTTGGTGATAATCAAGAGATTCTACAGTTGAGGTTTCAAGACTTGCACTTGCTTTATAACAATTGCTGGAGAAAAAAAATTATGCCAACTCAGGAAATGGACTCCAGTCAATAAGGCCTTCAGTGCAAATATTCTCTTGGAATAATTTATTAACTCCCTGCAGACCTTGTGGTCAGGCACAATTAGAGTCTTCTCCCACAGAGGCTGCGTGCCATTTAGCAGCCTGGGGCTATGGCCTGCAACATGGTATTGAGGAGGCCCAGGGGACATCTGAGAATTGGGGCTGGCGAAGATGAAATTGACGAGACAGCTCAATAAGGCAAACAAGCAAGGGATGTGCAGGTGGACAGGCCTGGGTTCAAATCCCTACTCTGCTAAATGTTTTAGCTGTGGTTCTTTGGGTGAGTTTCTTTACCTCTTTGAGTCTCCATTTCCATCTCTGTTAGATGGGGATAAGGATTACTGTGAGGTTTACATGAGCTGAATTTCTGCCCTTACAGGGAATACAAGTTGGCAAAGCCTCAGGCATTGAACTTAACACAGACAGACAGCAGGACAGGGCAAAACAAAAGCTGAGGATGGGCCTTTTCCATCCAAGTCAACAAATATTTCCCCTGAGCCCATGTGTCTCAGAGTTTTCCCTAAAAGGAAAATATGTAAAGCACTCAGCACCAAGTGTCTATTAAACGACAGTAATTAGTTTGGGGAGAAGTTTCAACTCCATGGGGTACAAGCATGAACTAGTTTTGTTTTTTTTCTTAAATATTATTATCAGTTGTATGTTCAGTCTTTCTACCCCAGTGGGTGCTAGGTCCCTTAACTTTCTGGCCACTTTCAGCTATTAAAAAACTTAGTTCAGTCTGACTTAAATCTCCAATTTCAGATCCAATGAAAAGTTCTCTTCTGGCCAGATGCGGTGGCTCATGCTTGTAATTCCAGCATTTTGGGAGGCTGAGGCAGGCAGATCATCTGAGGTCAGGAGTTCAAGACCAGCCTGGCCAACATAGTGAAACCCCGTCTCTACTAAAAATACAAAATTAGCTGGGCGTGGTGGCGGGCACCTGTAATCCCAGCTACTTGGGAGGCTGAGGCAGGAGAATCACTTGAACCTAGGAGGCAGAGGTTGCAGTGAGCCAAGATCGGGCCATTGCACTCCAGCCTGGGCAAAAAGAATGAAACTGCATCTAAAAAACAAACAAACAAACAAACAAACGTTATCTCTCTTCCCCATGGCAGGGACCTGAAGAGGCGCGTGCGAAGGGCATGTTTAGCTCTTTATGCATCTCCCATTCCTCTCTTTGTGTGTGGAGATGGGGAGGAAAGTGGGTCGGGGAGTTTAGGCTTATTTCTACTTAACTTGGCAAGGTCGTAGTTATGGGTGGCATTTCTGATCTTGTTCTGTGTAACACTGGTTTTGCTGCTCAAAACCTTTGCAAATGAGATGGTTCTGGTGTAGATCGTGTGCTTGGTTTCAATGTCATATGTGCCCCATCTGTCACTGAGACCCTTAGGGGAAGGCCAGCCTTGCCTCCCTTTGGCCCCTTTCAATCATCTGTGGCTCCAAGCCCCTCACTTAGTGGCTCCTTGGATAGCCTCTCATCTATATCTCTGGCTTCGTCTTCTACCATGAAATCACAGGCATCTGTGACGCACTCTTAGGGCACAGGGAATGAGAGGGAGATGCCTGCCCCTGTCCTTTTCCTACATTAAGCTTTGCTTAGAGTCAGCTTTTCCAAGAGTGTCCTCACTCCATCTTACTCAGATGATCGCACTAGAGGGGCTCATGGCTCTGCAGCTCAGGGATAGAGATGCTAGCCCCTCCTTCTTGCAATCAGCCCCCATGGCTCCATGGCAGGTGACCATATAATTGGCTGGTGACCATGACAGGTGACCATATAATTTGTTGCTCAGATTTGGACTGTTCTGAGTATGAAAGGGAATGAGAAGTTATTAATAGATATGTTAAGACAACAGGTATAAATTGGGATCATGCAGGGCAAACTGGGGATGTGTGATCACCCTCTTTTGGAGCAATTTCTCTTGGGGATCTCTCACCCTGAGCTAGGTACCAACTGTCTGCTGTAGTCATTGATCCAGAACAACTGGAGAATTCCTACTTGATGTCCTGTTATAGAAGCAATGGTGACAAAGTAGGTGGTGGTGAGGATTAAATGAGAGAGTGTATTTAAAGTGCTTAGCACAGCTGCTAGCACACAGTAGGTGCTCATAGTGGGTCCTGTTACCTCCGTTACCTCCCCTTTCCACCCCACTGTAGCTCTGCTGTGATGGGTCTACTCTCTGAATTCAAAATCAAGTGATAAGAGCATTAATTAAGCACCAACTACGTGTCAGGGGCTGTGCTAAGTACTTTATAGACCTTACCTTTCTCAGTCCTAAGAACAGTCTTAAAGTAGGTAAATATTATGTCCATTGTATAGTTAGAACAACCGAGGCTCAGAGAGGCTAAGTGCTTTCCCAAGGTCACACAGCATATAAGTGGCAGAGCTGTGATAGAAACCAGGACTGCTTGACTCCATGGTTCACTCCTGACATGGTTTGGATTTGTGTCCCTGCCTAAATCTCATGTCGAATTGTAATTCCCAGTGTTGAAAAAGGGGCCAGGTGGGAGGTGATTGGATCATGGGGGCAGATTTCTCCCTTGCTGTTCTTGTGATAGTGAGTGAGTTCTCATGAGATCTGGTTGTTTAAAAGTGTGTAGCACCTTCCTCTTCTCTCTCTTCCTTCTGCTCTGGTGATGTAAGACATGCCTGCTTCTCCTCTGCCTTCTGCCATGATTGTAAGTTTCCTGAGACCTCCCCAGCCATGCTTCCTGTACAGCCTGCGGAATCGTGAGCCTATTAAACCTCTTTTCTTTGTAAATTTCCCAGCTTCAGATATTTCTTCATAGCAGTGCAAGAACTAATACAACACCTTTAGCAACTCAGCCACATGAGGAGTTGAGAGTATGCAACTCTCAACTCTAACTCAAGTGTAGATGGGGCTGAGTCTGTTTTATTTCTGAGCAGACAAGGTAGGGATCCCAGGCTTGTAATTTCATAAAAGGAAGTATGGGAAGGCTTTCTTCGAATTGAAGTTGAGCCTTGCGCAAGCATGAGAGGTAAAAAAAATCCATTCTGGAGGGATCTAAGATGACCAGAAAGAACTCAACCATCTGGGGGAGAGTGGATGCTGCGTGGGAGATGAGACCAGGAAATTTGCCACTGCATCATTGGTTTTTGGACCTTTGGCAGATCTGATATAATGGAAGGCATTTAGAGCATCTGAATCTATTGACTGTCCAATTCAGTCGATTGATTGTTCAGTGTTGCCAACATTTTGACTTTAGTTCACAGCATTTCTCTTGAAATGGGTTGGCTATATTCCCAATCAAATACTGATTGACACATTGGCATCAAGCATTCTTATGTGCCCAGCTCAGTGGTGGTCACTTGGTGGAAGAATATGATCTATCACCAAGGAGTTACTACTTAGTTTGGGAGGAATCTTAAGTAACATGGAATAATTTGGTCTATCTTAGCCCCCCAAAAGATTGCTTTCATTTATTTATTTAGCCACGCTTTGGCGTAATTCTTTAACTTGCTATTGGGAGATATTTTGGTTACCCATTGTCAATAATGGGGCATAGTGAATCTTCCCCAAACTCTGTGGCATGCAACAGTGAACATATATTTAGCTCATGCATCTGCGACTGGGGGGTGGCTGAACCCAGCTGGGCTTGCTTATGCAACTGCAGGTCAGCAGGGGGTGTGCTGAGCTAGGCTGGGCTCAGCTGTGTGGTTCTGCTGTAGGCTACAGGTCTGTGGGTTAAGTTGAATGAGCTTGACTCCAGGTATTTTTTTACCTTCTTTGAACCAGAGGGCTAGCCAGGGCATGCTCTTCTCATGGTGATGGGAGAGATTCAGGAATTCACATCCAGCTGCACAAACACATCTAAAGCTCCTACTTGTATCATGTCTATCATCATTTCATTCACCAAAACAAGTCATGTGGCCAAGCTCAAACTTAAGAGATAGAAAGAAACTATCAAATTACATGGGAAAGAGAAAGAGAATGAGTTCTGGAAGAGGAAAAGAACTCAGAGGAAGTTATAACAACTAGTTGTGAAAGACTCCTGGTGTATTGGTGCTGTTGAAAGGGTTGTCCAGATGGGTGTGGTGGTTCATGCCTGTAATCCCAGCACTTTGGGAAGCTGAGGCGGGTGGATCATTTGAGCTCAGGAGTTCAAGACTAGCCTGACCAACATGGTGAAACCCCTTCTCTACTAAAAATATAAAAATTAGCTGGGCGTGGTGGCACACGCCTGTGGTCCCAGCTACTTGGGAGGCTGAGGCAGGAGAATCACTTGAACCAGGGAGGTGGAGGTTGCAGTGAGCCGAGATTGCGCCACTGCACTCCAGCCTGGGCAAGAGAGTGAGACTCCATCTCAAAAAGAAAAAAAAAACAAAAAAAAAGAAAGAAAGGGTTGTCCACTTCACTCTCACTATGGCCCAGTGCCCCACACCTCTCAACTTTAGAGAGAGCTGTGCTTCCCTTGAGCAACTGGGACATTTTTATTGCATGGATGCCAACCAGAAGCCCAGAGTCAAATTTCAGCTTATCTCTACCTTGTGGCTATAAAAATAATCCTAATAACTGCTCTCAACCCACCTATAGCTTCATCATAGCTGCTGCTTCTACGATACCTTCACTGATTTTATCCTGTTGCATTGAGTAAGTTTTTTTAAGTATCTACACGTCTTTTCTGGAATAAAATAGGGCAGAAATGAACACACCTGAATGCCAGATGCAAGGTACGGATAATTCATTCCACTAGTATTTACCAAATACTGTGTGTCAGGCTCTGTATGTGGTATCTGAGGTTATGCAGGTGAGTGTTACACATTCCCTGCCTTCGAGGAACTCACATGACAATAGACTATAGCAGAGTTTTTCAAGTTCAGTTACACTGATATTTTGGGCCAGATAGTTCTTGTTGGGGGCGGTGGGGGCTGTCTTGCGCATTGTAGGATGTTTAAGCATTCCTAGCCTCTACCCAGTAGGTGGCAGTAGTGACCCCCCCAATATGACAATTAAAATCCCCAGAATTGCCACATGTCCCTTGAAAAGCACAATCATCCCTGGTTAAGTGCAACTGTAGGAGGCTTGGGAGCTCAGAATAGACACGGAACCCAGAAAAGCTTGCCACTTTGATACCTGAGTGAAGGTTGGGAGGCTGGTTGCAGAAGCCAAGAGAAGGAGTAGGGAAAGGCCATTTCTGTTACGTGGAGTAGCCGGGGTTGGTGGACCTGCACAGGGTGGGGGCATGAATGTTGAGAGATGAAGCCAGAGATGCAGGCAGAGCCAGGTCTTGTGCCACAGACCTTGCATGAATGTGACTCTGTAGATCCCTACCTTCAGCATGTCTGAGAAAAGACACTTGTTCAACACGTGAATTCTTGGGACCCCTTCCAGGGGGTTAAATCCGGGAATCTCAATTTAATTTCCTGGAGGGAGTCCCGAGAATCTGCATGTGGAATGAACCTGAACTCATTAATTCCCTGGCAGGGGTCTGCAAGGATCTGAATGTCTCCAACGGGGTCCGGGAATCTGATTTTTTGAGGCATCTGTGACGATTCTGATACAGAAAGTCCCAGACTCACCTGAGTCCTTCATCTGCGTTATTTAACTTGAATTTAGAATGTCTGTAGAGGTAATGGTGAGCTACTGAAGCCTCATCTGCAGGGGTGACACAGGGTTAGGGTTATAGATGACAACTGCTGTGGATCAGGGCTCTTCGTCTTGGTTTGTACAATGGTATCACTCAAGAAGTCTTGAGCCAGACCTTTGTCAGGCTCTCCCTCAGATCAATTGCGTCTGAATCTCTGGGGCTGGGGCCCTGGAAACAGTATTTTATTTTTGCTGATTCTTACAGGTACTCATATATTCACACACTGGCACTTACTTATTTAGTAGCCTTTTGTGCCATGCTCAAAGCACTGGGAATATAGAAGTGAATGCGCCATAGGCTCTGCTCTCATTGAAATTACCTTTACTGTTGTGGTAGACAATAAGCGAATAAACACGTATTAAATCAGTATATTTATTTATGAAGAAATATATGAAGCCATATTGAACAATGAGGAAGTGATTGGAATGGGAGGTTTATTTTTTTAAAAATATAAGTTTTATTCAGATACATAATTCACATTCCATACAATTCACCCATTTAAAGTACACAATTTAATAGTTTGTCGTATATTCACAGAATTGTGCAACCATCACCACAATCGACTTTTTTTATTTTTTAGAGACAGGGTCTCACATTGTCACCCAGGCTGGAGTGCAGTGATGAGATCATGGCTCACTGCCGCTTCAAATTCCTAGGCTCAAAGGATCCTCCTGCCTCAGCCTCCTGAGTAGTTGGGACCACAGGCATGCACCATCACACCCAGCTAATTAAAAAAAATTTTGTTTGTAGAAATGGGATCTAGCTACATTGCCCAGGCTGGTCTTGAACTCCTGAGCTCAAGTGACCCTCCCACCTAAGCCTCCCAAAGTGCTGAGATTACAGGCATGAGCCACCACACTCAGCCTACAGTCCGAACATTTTCATTTCCTCGAAAAGAAACCCTGTAGTCACTACCAGAAACTCCCCATTTCCTCCCATTTCCCCTCCCCCAACCCCTGGCAACCATTAATCTACTTTACGTGTCTATGGATTTGCCTAGTCTGGACATTTCATATAAATGGATTGAAATAACATATGGTTCTTTGTGACTGGCTTCTTTCACTTACATAGCTTTTAAAGACCCATCTGTGTTGCAGTGTGGATCAGCACGTCATTCCTAGACCACATTTTGTTCATCCATTCATCAGTTGATGGACACTTCGGTGGTTTCCACTTTTTGGATATCCATGAATACTGCTATTATGAACATTTGTATATAAGTTTTTTGTGTGGATACAGAAACTATCAATTCTCTTACATATATATACCTAGGAGTGGAGTTGCTGGGTCATATGATAACTCTGTTTAACCCTTTGAGGAACTAACTGCCAGCCTTGTTTCCCAAGTGACTGTACCATTTTACATTTCTACCAGCGGTATTATAAGGTTCCAATTTCTCCATATTTTCATCAATACTTGTCGTTGTTCATCTTTTTAATTATAGCTATCCTTGTGGGTGTGGAGTGGTCTCTCATTGTTGATTGAATTTGCATTTCCCTGATGGCTAATGACATCGAGCATCTTTTTGTGTGCTTGTTGGTGAACAGTGTGGTATGAAGCTTCTTCAGGTTATTCTAACAGGTAGGCAGAGTTGCGAAGTCTACTTGTGTTTGAGGAAAGCAGAGATTCTTGTGGGTCAGTGGTTGTTGGGAGAAGCTTCCCGAAGGAAGGTATGTCACCTAGAGGGGTTATACTTGTAGGTGGACCTGCTGAAAGGGTGAGATCCCTCAGGGGCTCATGCAGGGCAGATTGGAGGGAGCAGAGCTGGACAGTGGAGAGCACAGTTAGAAGGCTTCTTCAGGCATCCAGGGGTCATAACTGGAGAGAGGAGAGTGGAATTGAAGAGGGCTGGATGGGACAGACATGAAGTTGGGATCGAGCCGACCTCAGGAGGATGAAGTACTGGGGGAGGGTGTGGGCAGAGGGGAGACAGGGAAAGGAAAAATCAGATGTTGAATTTGTTCAACTTCAGTGGCAGAAATGAGAAAACCATTTTGGGAAAAAAAAGATGAAGATGGACTAGGATCCGAGAAGAAGCAGGGTCACAAACAGCGTAAGCCCAAAGGACATTCCCTGCTGTTTCTGAACCCTCCTTGGCTGGCCCGTAAACTGGGCAGGGGTGACAGTCCTGTGTTGTAAAGGGCGTAGAGGGCTTAAGCGAGGTAATTGATATAGCCTGGAAGCTACACTGATTTGAACTTTGTTCATACATCTAATTAATTACCTGATATTATTATTTACATTTGGCTCTCTTGTCTTACTTATCTTTATAACTGTCTCTCTATTTGCTTAACCTCAGGACCTATAACAGAGCCAGATTTACAGTTTCTTTTCCTTCCCTTTATTAACAGCTGAGCACTCACTGTGTGCCAGTTGTTGTACATATGGGTTATGCAATGTCGGCTTCCAGCAGCCCTGTTTTACAGATGAGCCAAACAAACCCCCTCCCCGAGTTACTCGTCTGTAGACTGAGTTATGGCACTGTGACGGAAGGGGATAAGTTTGCTGACTGCATGCTATAAGCCCGTTTATGTCATTTTTCTTTTTTAATCTTCCAGTCTCCCAGTAAGGTGGGTGTGATTGTCCTCATGTTGCAGAAAGGCAATGAATTGCCCAAGACCCCACAGCCAGTGAAGTGTCAGGGTCTGATTGCAAAACCCATAACTCCCCATTGTAGCACATCCCCTCTTCTGAGACCTTGGGGCAACAGGAGAAGAGATGGATCATGAAGGGGAAAGTCTGCAAGGACCTGGAGGCGAAGCTCCAGGGCGGGAGGCTGCAGTGCCGCCCTCTGCTCCCAGATGGCGCTCAAGGCTCAGCTTCCAGAACACACTTAAGGCTCCAGGCTGCCTTTGGTAGGCTACTGGTTTAACGCAAAATGTATTTTAAACAAAGGAAGAGGTGCTTTGTTTTATTTTGTTGGTTTTGCGGGGTTTTTTTTTTGGTCATTGTTTTGTTTTTGTTTCTGCTTGCAAAGCCAATCACTACCTCTAAGCTTGCAGTTCGTCCGTGTACCTTACATCCGGCTAACATCCTAGCAAAACCCTAGAGAGGAAAGGGATAGGTAAGGGGCGAGGGAGGGGACCAGTCGGGTAAGCATTTCAAGAAGAAATTAGAGTGAAATGGCCCCATTATGGAGACCCCCCTCTTTCTTGACCGTTTAAGCCAAGTTGGCATGGTTCGTAGATACCAGCAAAATCCCCTACCCTGGAAAGTGGGACCTCCGTCAGTCAAAAGAAAGAACATTGTCAGAGGTGCAAAGAATCGTCATTCAGTGTCGGACCCCTCATTTGGTGGATTCAGAAAATGGACGGCCAAGTCATGGGTCCAAGTTCAGGTCTTTTGGTGCCATTTTACTCACCCCGTTAAGTTTTCTCTCTGTTAAAAAAATTGAAAAGTTAGGCCAGGGGTGGTGGCTCACGCCTGTCATCCCAGCACTTTTGGAAGCCTACGTGGGAGGATGGTTTGAGGCGAGGAGTTCGAGATCAGCCTGGCTAATATGGCGAAACCCCGTTTCTACTAAAAAAAAATAATAATCAAAAAATATAAGTATTTGTTGCCTAGCTGGGGTTTGCATGGGCATGAGTCAGGAAAGTGGGCTGAGTGCACAAAATGGGAGGTACCTTTTCTCCTCCAAGGCGGCCCCAGCTCCAGCTATGGGGAGATGTTATGTTGCCTATTTTTCTTTTCCACTTGTTTTTTTAAAAAGTGAGAGATCAGGATTTTTTATGTACAATTTCCCAATGTTTAACAGTTGCCAACTAAGTTTTTTTGTTTTTGTTTTTTTTAAGAAGGTCACTATGAGCCTTAGTCCTGTGGGAGCATCTTGGCGCCTGCTTTTTGTCTGGTTTGGGCAGCACCCTGAGGAGGGGGAAGTGGGTGGGGTGCCAAGATTGGGTATGGCGGGGTGTCAGGTCAGTTTGGAAGAGTCTTGGCCTGCTGGTTGGAGAGGAGGCCTGGCTGGATTTTATGCTGTTCAAATGAGAAACAGACCCATTCTGAGAAATTGAAAGTTGTGCCATCTTTATTTCCTATTTTCCACTCTGTGATTTTTTTTTTTTTTTTTTTTTTTAAGACAGAGTCTCACTCTTGTTGCCCAGGCTGGAGTGCAGTGGTGCGATCTCAGCTCACTGCAACCTCTGCTTCCCAGGTTCAAGCGATTCTCCTGCCACAGTCTCCCAAGTAGCTGGGATTACAGGCATGCACCACCATGCCTGGCTAATTTTTTTAAATTTAGTAGAGACAGGGTTTCATCATGTTGGTCAGGCTGGTCTCAAACTCCTGACCTCAGGTGATTCACCCACCTCAGCCTCCCAAAGTGTTGGGATTACAGGCGTAAGCCACCATGCCCAGCCTCTGTGATTAAAGTCAAAATGTGGGAATTATTTTCATGCACATTGTAGATATAGACACTAAATGTAATTCCATCTCCCGAACCCTCTATCCGCCTTTTTTTGTTGCTGTTGTTGGAGTCCAAATGCCTAAAAATTGTGCAGAGCTTAATGCCTCATATAGGTTTCTTTCTCCTCGGTCTTTCTTTCTTTCTTCTTCTTCTTTTTTTGTTTTTAACTTTTATTTTTAGTTCAGGAGTACATGTGAAGGTTTGTTCCATAGGTAAACTTGTGTCATGGGGGTTTGTCGTTCAGATTATTTCATCATCCAGGTGTTAAACCTAGTACCCATTAGTTATTTTTCCTGAGTCTTCCTCCTCCCACCCTCCACCCTTTGATAGGCCCCAGTGTGTGTTGTTCCCCTCTATGTATTCTCATCGTTTAGCTCCCGCTTCTAAGTGAGAACATGCAGTATTTGGTTTTCTGTTCCTGTGTTAGTTTGCTAAGGACAGTGGTCTCCAGCTCCATCTATGTCCCCACAAAGGATGTGAGCTCGTTCTTTCTTAATGGCTGCACAGTATTCCATGGTGTATATATAACACTTTTTTTTTTTAATCCAGTCTATCATTGGTAGGCATTTAGGTTGGGTCTTTATATCTTGTCTCATATATATTTTTCATTTTTCTCACTTTGTCTGTTAATTGCACTTTCCAATTTTGTTATGTTATGTGCATTTTTGGAAGCTGCCTCAAGAACATCCTGGAACGAATAAAAATGCTTGTGTAGCAGGACATTCTGGCTGACTGATCTGGAGGTCGAGATGCTTTGACTGTGGACAATACTTCCCTCTCCTCTGCCTGCTTGCATGCTCTGAGGCTTTTATTTTTAATGGAAACAGGGAGATAAAGGGAATGGAATAGGATCCGCTTTCTATTTGGCTCTCTGTGCTGGGTTTGAGGTCCTATGATTAGAGGGACAGACTGACAGCTGTTTTTCAGGGGACACTTGGTGACATCCTAAGCAAGGCATGATGGCCAGGAGTTCACATTGCCCTAGAGACAAGCAGAGTGGCTTCAAGGTCTGGGTGGCAATTGATGGCCAAACTCTGACTCCAGGTCTCTGCAGGGAAGTTGCTGCTTGTCATTTTCAGGTAGCTCAACAGACTGGAAGCTTTGCGGGGATCTGGAATAATCTGCTTTTTAGAAGCAGCAATGAAGCTTCCCTCAGCTTCTTTGTGAACGAATGTGTGCCAAGCAGACTGGAAAGTGCTCTGTGAACTCTGATTGCTAAATGCAGGTGGGTACATCACAGAGACCCGTTGTGTTGACCAGAGACCACTTTGAGGGGGCTCATTCCTGCAAACCATCCAGATAAATGGGGGCACATGTCACCATCATTTTTGTATGAGAGAAAGTAGGAATGGTTTGTCAAGATCTGCCAAAATTAAAAACACGCAACAATTCCACTTCTTGGAATCCATCCTATGGAAATATTCATATATGTGCAGAATAATATATGTTCAAGGTGTTCATTGCAGTATGTTTTGTGATAGAGAAAATGTGGGATAACCTAAATATTCATCAACTAGGGAGTGGCTAAATTATGGTATATCCGTACTACTGGGCGCCATGTAGCTGTTAAAAAGATAAGATAAATTGATAAGTGGCAACATGGAAATATCTCCCAAACACACCAACTTTACATAAACTATGTGTGTGCATCTATATACGTGTGTGTATCTATCTATCTATCTGTCTGTCTATCTACCTATCTATCTATCTATATTTGACTCTTGAACAATACAGATGTGAACTGCTTCAAAACCCCTGTGTAGATGAAGGGTTACTTTTCCTGTCCTTGAGTTCTGCAAGGTTGACTGCAGGTCTCGGGTAGGCACAGATTTTGGTACACCTGGGGGTCCTGGAACCAGTCCCCTGTGTATACCGAGGGATGGCTGTGTATAGTTCATATATATATATATATAGTTATAGTTTATAGTCTATATATACTCTATATAACTACATATATACTATGTACTATATGTAACTATATATTTATATATTTAATATATACATTTATATATTTACATGTGTTTACATATAGTACATGTTCATTTATATATTTACTAAATATATAAATATAGTATATATTTAGTACTAAATATGTACTATATGTAACTATAAATATTTATGTATACTAAATATACTAAATATGTATTTAGTAAATTTAGTATATACTGAATATATATTTAGTAAATTTAGTATATACTAAATACAGTATCTATAGTATATATAGTATTATATATAGTATATCGTATATACACACATATATAGTATATATTATATATACACATACTATCTATACATATATAGTATATTTAGTGCCAAATATATATTATATGTAATTATATCAATATTTATATATTATTATATATAAATATATATGGTATATATAGTATTTATGTATACTAGATATGTAAATACTTAGTATATATAGTATATTTAGTACTAAATATGTACTATATGTAACTATAGTTACATACATATAGTACATATTTAGTTTTAGTCCTAAATGTTTAGTACGTTAAATATTAAGTGTATAAAACTATATATAGTATATATACATATTTAATATATAGTTAATGGAATATAATATGAAATATAAATTTTCCATATTTTATATGGTTATATATAACTGTATATATACATAACTACATACATATACATGCAGTTGTGTATTTATATAGTGTGTGTGTGTGTGTGTGTGTGTGTGTGTGTGTGACATTGTGTATGTACAATCAATATCCCCCTCCCCACGGGAAGGCATCTGGGTTTGTAGACTGGCTGGTGACTAACGGATTATGGAAAGTTGTTGCCTGTGGTCAGGGTCGTGCTCAAAATGTTTGAGCACCGGGAGGGCATGAGCACAGATTCACCAGAGTGGATGCTGGAGCGGGCCCCGCAGGCCCTTGCTCGGCCAGGTGTTAAGCCTGGATAATGAGAGTGAGGGGCATGTGAGGTAGCAGGGGAGGTTGCTGAGCGACTGGCGTGGGAGAGTGTCCCTGTTTTGAACAACTGGTGTGGCCGTACTGAAAGCCCTAGTGAAATATCCGTCTTGCCGTTGGCAGTCTTATTTTAAAATTCTAATAAGAAAGTGGTGGGCTGTCTACACCCTGATTTGCAAGTGGCAAATTGGGAAGTGGGCTCCATAAATAGAAGGCCTTTGGGAGTTTATCCTGAACCTTGGACTTCCTGCTCCAGGGGTTGGATCCCAGACCCGGGTCCGACAGTGCCAACCAGTTCTGTTGTATCGTAATCTTGAAGGGAACTAACCCATTTCGGCAGAAAACTTGGTATAATTAGCGGTTAATAAGCAGGGCCCAGGTTCCCCACGGCCCAAATAGTTTCTGTATTGATCTCCGCCTGTGCACTGTCAGCACTCTGGAAGGATTGAACTTTAAGTGCTTAATTCAGCCCCATTCAACCGATAATTTTGGTTTTGTCCTTCAAACAAAAGCACCCTTGTTTATTCTTTTTTTCCACCCACAAATAATAAAGTCAATCCATTTCTCTCCCTTCTCCCGCCCAAAGCTAGTCTGCCCCTGTAATCAATACATCTGGAAATGTCAATGTATTCCTGAGTGAGGAGCTGGGGGTGCGTGAGGACGGGAAAGGGGGGCTTGATGGGGAAGGTGGCTCCAGAATCTCCTGGAAAACAGATGGCTGCTTAAATGCTATCACGGCAAATTCCCGCCTACGTCAAGTCTCTGAGCTTCCGCACCTGGGCACATGGTGTTGCACACGGCCTTTCAGGTGTGGTTGACAGAAATACACATCGAACACTTACACGTTTGCATCACAACCTCAAAACCAAACTGCTAAGCTTTCAGCTTTTTCGAAGTTATCAAGCAAACTGCATGGCAGTCATGCTCATTCTAACCTCGTCCCAGGTCACACTCCCTGAGCCTCACCTTATCCATGAGGCTAGAGTTGTGTGGGTGGGAGACATGGATGGAGACAGACTCAGAGCTAGTCTATTAGGTAAGCTGGAGCCAAGCGATACTGACATGCCTGAATCTCAGCCAGTCAGCAGACTAGTTACCCGGTTTAAGACATTAATACTATTCCTGAAGCATACAGGTCTGGGTAAGTGTTTGGAGAAAGAGACAATATCACTGAGTACCTACTATGTGTCAATTTAATTTTGTTTTTTTAAACTTTATTTTTTTTATGAGACAGTTTCATGATGTTGCTCAGGCAGGATTCAAACTCCTGGGCTCAGGCAATCCTCCTGCCTTAGCCTCCAGAGTAGCTGGGACTACAAGTGCATGCCACTGCTCCTGGTTCAATACTTTTGTAAATAGTCTTTTTAAATTACCACAACAAGTCTTTTCTTATTCCAGAGATGAGGAAACAAATAGAGATTAAGTGAATTGCCTTCAGGTCACATAGATGATAAATGACAGAGCCAGTTTAGGAACTGTGCCTTTCTGAATCCCAAACCCATTGTGTGTGTGTGTGTGTGTGTGTGTGTGTGTGTGTGTGTGTGTGTGTTTGTTTGTGAGAGAGAGAGAGAAAGAGAGATCTGTGCTTCATTTACCCCATCCAAAAAACAAGAGAGCAAAAATAATACTTCTTCCTGGGGTGGTTAAAAGGATTAAATGAGCTATGCCTATAAAATGTTTAGTCATATTTAGCACTTAAAATAGTTGATATTGTTATTATCGTTATAATTATCCCCATGGTATGCATTAAACAGTCATTTTCAGAAATTTCTGGCTTTAGCACAGTTGCCAAAACTTTATTTTTTCTTGATTTTTATCCTTAAAACCTGCATGGCATTGAAAATAAATAAGACAGGATCTCTCTATTCTCAAAGGAGTGACCATCTGGTTATGCGGAGGAGGGACAGAGAAAGAGGGAAAGAACAAGTTACAATAGACTGTGTCATATTTATTATAGTGGGAATATATTGGAACAGAGAGGAAAGTAGTAGCCTTATACAGCCTGGGAAGGGGGCTCAGTAATGGCCCATGGGGGGATTTGAACCTATGAAAGATGAGGATAAAGTATAGGATCAGCAGTCAAGGAATGGAGAGGGGGTTGGAGCAGAAGGAACAGCACCTGCAAAGGCGTGGAGGTTTGAAAGCACCTGGACCATTTGGGGATGTTGCAATTAGGCTGAGGAATCTAAAGTGAAGGGGGCTTGTTGAGAAATGGCTGGGCGGGGGCCAGGGCTCAGTTATGGTAGGATTTCCCAGCTGAGGAGCAGAGACTATATCCTGGAGGTTTTGTGAATTCTTGAAGGTTTTTAAGCAGAAAAGGGGCAGATTCAGGATTGTGTTTCAGAAAATGGCTTTTCGGCAGGGACTCTACTAGGGAAGAGTGAAAGTAATAAGACCGCCTTGAAGACTGCTGGAGGATTTAGAGGAGACACCATGAGCCCTGAGGATGAGTAGAAATCAGTCATGAATGGAGAAAAAGCTCTGTTTATAAAGATGGAAGAGCTTCTTATTTTTATTTTTTTTTCAAATCTAGAACCCACAAATAAGAGTTGGGGACTGACTGGATATGAGAGTGAGGGAGGGAAAGTCTCAAATGATTTCAGTTTGGGTTGGTCAGTGGAGCCTGTAACCAAGAAAGGAGACAGGGGAGAAGCATGTTTTAAGATGAAGTTGGAAACCAAGTGTTTTAGTTCTGGCTGCTTTAACAAAATACCATGGATCAAATGGCTTAAACAGCAAGCATTTATTTCTCACAGTTCTAGAGACTGGGAAGTCTGAGATCATGGTGCCTGCTGATTCGGTTCTTGGGGAGGGGCTCTTCCTGGATTGCAGATGATAGTTTTCTCCTGTGTCCTCACTTGGTCAAGAGAGAGTGAGCAAGCTGTCTAGTGCCTTCTTACAAGGGTACTAATCCCGTCATAAGGATCATCCTGATGGCCTAATCTTAAACCTGTGTACCTCCCAAAAGCCCCGTCTCCAAATACCATCACATTCTCCAATGTGTTAGTGCTTCAACATATGAATTTTTAGAGATACAGTTTAGCCCATGGCATCAAGCTTTGGACAGTTTGAGTTTCCAGTATCTTGGCCACCAAAGTGGAGATGAGCTGGATATGCAGTGCCCAGCTCTGTGTACAGAGCACAGTAATTGGTGATCAATAGATGATTAATACGTATTTATTGAGGGAATGATTCGATGGCTAAAACCATGATGTGGATGAGATTTTCCAGGCTCATCCTGATTATATTTCTAGAAGGAACATAAGCGGGGTGCAGTGCAGATAGTCTTGGGAGAACATTAACTATCCCAAGGGACTCCCCAATAAGGACTTAAGAGAAGCTTAAAATTCAGAAATTACAAGCGCACGGATCAAGAGAAGATTCAGAGTATGGTGAATAGTCATTTTCAGTACTGATGTTGACCTATAAAATTTATAGACTAGCTAACTTTTTTCCTTTTTAGAATAAATAACCAACATTTATTGAGTACTTGCTGTGTGCTGAGCCCCATGTCGAAGGCTTTACCTGTAATTTCTTCACTTCACAGCCACAACCTAATGAAAGGAAGACACTATGTTTGTATTTCCCTTCTAGAGATGAAGAAACCGAGGCTTAGAGATATCACTAATTGCTCAAGGTTTTGCAGCTGTTGTGCTGTGGATCTGGGATTCAAACCCAGGTCCGGTTGACTTTTGAGCTAAGACTATCGCTCTTTTGCCTCCTGAATTTCTAGTCATTTAAAAATCAAGGCTGAGGCTATCAAGCTGCGCAAAAGCTGTTTTGGCTTATAAGACAATCAGGTTGGGAGACTGAGACTACTTGGGAGGAAAAAGGGGGAAATACAAGTTGCAAGTGTGCAAGTTGCTACACTGGCCCTGTGTATCTTTGAGTTTTTGCAGGTACTCTATTCACCATCTGTCTCTCCTCATCTCTTGTGAAATGGAGTTGGTGGCCTTTAAAAAGCTGCCAGCTTTGAGAAAGGGGGGCTCAGTTTCCCAATCTTGGCCCAGAGGACTTCTCTCCATCTGGATGAGCATTGAGATCAAGGGTGAGCTAGTCCCAAGGTTAATTGGATGAACCGATCTTTTCTTTTGTTGGCTTGTGGAGGTCAATTAGTAATGTGGATGATTGGATTCAGTTAAATGCCTTCAATGAACTAGGTCTATAGGGGACAGTGATTGGTTCCCAAATGGGGTGAGGGACCCATTTGGACTAAACGTTTCACCTTGCCCTGGCTTTGGTGGCTTCAAAACCAAATGAATGGCCCTTTAAGCCATTAAGCAGTCGCAAAGAAGCAGGTCTACCAGCACTCCTGTTCATTGGTTTGTTTTTATTTATTTGAGCATTTTATTTTTATTTATTTATTTATTTATTTTTGAGATGGAGAAAGACTCCGTCTCAAAAAAAAAAAACAACAACAAAATAAAAAAAAACCCACAAAGAAGGCATTCCCTGTTGCTAAAATATAAAATTATTTATTTATTTGTATTTTTTTATTTGAGCATTTTATTCATTTGAGCAGTTTATTTTCCCCAGTTTCATCCCTTGTAGTGGAAAAAGCACAGTCTAGAGTCAGGAAGACATAGCTATGACTTCTAACCCTGTCTTTTGCTATATGCATGAAGTTGGGCAATGATATTAGTGTTTCTGAGCCTTAATTTCCTTGCCTGAAAAATGGGGCCTCCGGGCACAGTGACTCACGCCTGTAATCTTAGCACTTTGGGAGGCCGAGGCGGGAGGACCGCTTGAGCCCAGGAGTTCGAGAGCAGACTGGGCAACATGGTGAAACCCTGTCCCTACAAAAAATACAAAGATTAGCCGGGTGTGGTGGCATGGACCTGTCATCCCAGCTACTCGGGAGGCTGAGAGGTGGGAGGACGGCTTGAGCCTGGGAGGTTGAGGCTGCAGTGAGTTGTGATTGCACTACTACATTCCAGCCTGGGCAATTAAAAATAAAATGGAGCCGATAGAATTTACCTTGCCGTAGTGCTTATTGTGGATATGAAATGGAATAACATTAATATTTAAGGTGTTTATTGCTGGGCCTGGTACTAAGAATGTGAATCTCTTTTCCTGTAGAGAATGGAGGCTGTACCCTCTAGATAATTTGTAGCTGGTTTGTAGCTGGTTGTTTATTTCATTGCCCTAGTGATCTGGTATTTTCAGACAAATAAGATCTGATATTGAAATGATGCCCATATTGTGTCTCTGTGTTCTAAAAGTAATCGGAAGTTGTCCCAGGAATTCAGGTGTTATAACTACTTGCAAACCATTGCATCTTAACTGAGTCCAAGCAAATTTCACTAGAGCTCCATACATGTACTTCCATATTCTTTATGATACAGAATCACATGCGCTGGGTCCTGGTTTTGATCTCAACCTCATTTCCCTGAAAACAAACAAACAAACAAACAAACCATAAGCAGTACAAAATGAGTACTGATGAGAGTGACATTCACAGCCACACCTTGATCCTGCAGTTGAGGAAATACAGTCGTTACAGGAGCTTATGCTGAGTCTTCTGTGAGTCTCAGATATTTTGGATGCTGGCGACTTCTCACAGGTTGATGTCCAAGCCACTGCAAGGCTCATGTAATGGGCAGCTCCAAGACTGAAGTAAGAACAAGTTGCAGTAAGATAGTATGGGAAGAGTAGGTTGCCCTTTCAGCATGAACCCTTCAGGATGTTTTGCTAGGAATTTGCAATGCCAGAATAAAAGGTGTAGAAGGAGTATATAGAAATAAGACATGCCCTAGGCCCGGCACGGTGGCTCAAACCTGTAATCCCAGCACTTTGGGAGACCGAGGCAGGCAGATCATGATGTCAGGAGATCGAGACCATCCTGGCTAACACAGTGAAACCCCATCTCTACTAAAAATACAAAAAATTAGCCAGGAGTGGTGGCGGGCACCTGTAATCGCAGCTACTCAGGAGGCTGAGGCAGGAGAATGGCTGAACCTGGGAGGCGGAGCTTGCAATGAGCCGAGATTGTACCACTGCACTCCAGCCTGGGCGACAGAGGAAGAGTCCGTCTCAAAAACAAACAAACAAACAAAAAAACAAACAACAGAAGAACAAACAACAAAATAAAAAAACCTCCACAAAGAAATAAGGCATTCCCTGTTGCTAAAATATAAAATTAAAATGTAATGGATCAGAGTAGAGAAATGCAGGGTTGCTCTAACAACAACAACAAAAACGATGCGTAGTGATAAATGCGTACTATGTGTCAGATGTTTTTCTTGGCTGGAGAATTCATCTAAGTTTCAGAATATATTCTAATGAAGGGGGGATAGACAATAAAAAAGTGTATATGATTTTGTATATTAGGAAATGATAATTGCCAATGTGAAAATACAGGAAGGAAAGAGAATAGAGAGTGTGAGGAGTGGAGTGGATGCCATAATTTCAAGTAGGTAATTATGGAAGGTTTCAATGAGTAAATATAATAGCACTTGAACAAGACATTCTCTCATTTTCTGAGAAGTGTTCTAGGAAGAGAGAACCCCAAAGTACCTAGGCACTAAGGTATGAGCATTCCTGGAATGATCAAATAAGAACAAAAAGGGTCGGCCGGGCATGGTGGCTCACGCCTGTAATTCCAGCACTTTGGGAGGCCAAGGCGGGCGGATCACGAGGTCAGGAGATCGCGACCATCCTGGCTAACACGGTGAAACCCTGTCTCTACTAAAAAAATACAAAAAATTAGCCGGGCGTGGTGGCGGACACCTGTAGTCCCAGCTACTCGGGAGGCTGAGGCAGGAGAATGGCGTGAACCCGGGAGGCGGAACTTGCAGTGAGCCGAGATTGTGCCACTGCACTCCAGCCTGGGTAACAGAGTGACTCCGTCTCAAAGAAAAAAAAAAAAGAACAAAAAAGATCAATGCAGCAAATTCAGGCAATAATAGGGTGGTGGGAAATGAAGTCAGAGAGTTACAAGACAGATGGTTCCTGAGACAACCAACTTGAATTTATCCAATTGGAGAGTTTATTGTCATGCTCATCCTTCTTATGATTGTTTTCCTTGTTCTAACATCTTGCTGGGCACTTTGATGTGTATATTACCTGCAGGATCTTCTCAATCCTCACAACTACCTTTTGAGGCAGATAGTATATTATTCCCGTTGCACATAGAAGCAAACCAAGGCTCAGAGAGGTTAAGTAACTTTATAAAGCCACAGAGGACAGTGGCAAAGGCCCAGTGCCTTTTCTATCAGGCTATCTTGCTTCCATTTTCAAAGCAGTTTTGTGTCCCACCTTGTATCCTTTGCTCACAGCCTTGTCAATAAGAGCCTCCAGACAGCTCTTATTAGTCCTATTAATTGCTTCTTCCTAATTCCCGGGAATGGAATTGAATGGTAAAAATTGAATGGGTAGACACAATTTCTGAGACTCTTTTCTATGGAGCTATGTTTGTGTCCCCCACACAAATTCATGTGTTGAAACCCTAACCTCCAACGGGATGATATCTCACTGGGATGATATTAGGTAGGGCCTTTGGGTGGTAATTAAATCACAAGGGTGGAGCCCTCATCAATGGGATTAGTGTCCCTATAAGAAGAGAAAGAAGCTGGTGCTCTCTCCCTCTCTGCCAAGTGAGGACACAGCAAGAAAGTTGCTGTCTACACACCGTAAAATGAACCCTCACTGGAACCAACCATGCTGGCACCCTGATCTTGGACTTCCAGCTTCCAAAGCTCCGAGAAAGAAACTTCTGTTGTTTAAGCCCCAGGCTGTGGTATTTTGTTATAGGAGCCTGAACTGACGAAGGCACTCCAATCTATTTTGCACAATATTTCCTTCTTGGGTTGTGTCCGGGGACCTTGTTCATGGCACTGACCTTCCACATGTGCTTGGTGATTCTTGTGAAATCCTTTTCCATAACCCAGTTCTCCCATCAACATCACTCCCTTTGTCTCTCTCTTTTTGATCATTGCCTTCTAGATATTAATTTTTGTTTTCATGTTTCTCCTCTCTCCCCTGGTAGTACACAGAGGCCGGGCTTGGCCAGTGTTCATTGCTGCATATGGAAGCTTTCTTTCTCATCTTTCAGAAAGCTACTGTGGTTGGAATTTTCGTTGCACAACCATTTCTGGCTTGTTTTCCTTCTGGGTGGAGAATTGCACTTCTCTGCCCCTTGGCCTTGAGTTGTGCCACACGAGTGGAAGTGGCATATGTGACTTCTGGGTGGCAGCATTTAATTACTGGGGTGAGATCCTCCGGGGCTTTTTTTTTTCCCCCTGAATGAGGCAAGCTCTGAAGCATCTGTTGAGATGGAGCCTCATGAGGTGGAAGCAAAGTGGAGAACTCAGCCAGCACACAAAGGAGGGTGGCTGCCTGTCCTAGAAAGCTGCCAAGGCTGGAAGAAATAGCTTGATCGTGTCACATGACCGTGATTTGGATTTCAGTGTGTGTGTATGTATATGTGTGTGTGTGTGTGTGTGTGTGTGTGTTTTGTTACTGTATCATTACCTAGCCTATACAGATTGACGCTGCCTTATTCATCAACTCTAGGTTTGAAGTCAGGCAATGCCTTGCTTTTTTTGCTCAGCAGCCTGGTGTGAGGTTAGAACTGGGGGTTTGCAGGCAGATAGACTTGCCTTTTATGAGCTTGGGCAAGTTACTCTCTCCATTTTCTGGCTTTCTTTTCTGTGAATGGAAGTGACTGAAACCCACCTCCCAGGGTTGTTGTGAGAATTAAATGTAGTAACACACGTAAAGTAGGCGGCACACTGTAGGTTTTTAATGGGTGCTTATTTTCTTTCTTCCTTTCTTGCACCATCATTAACTCTAGGATTATGTGCCCATTTTTTTTTCTCCTAAGGATTCCACTTTTCTCATTAACCAGTGTTTCCTCGTTGCCAGGATTTAGTGGCAAGTAACCGTTTTCTCTGTCGCTTCCTCTGTCTTCTGAAAGATGAGATCGTCAGCAGGGCAAGGCGAGGATTTATCAGAAGAGACGCCCAACAGATGTCCAGAGAGCATAAATCCCCACTGCTGCTCCGTCTTGCCTCTGTGCCAGCTTTGTAATCGGTATTAGGGAAACATGGTCTGGTTGATTGCTCTGCGATAGACTCTTACAACATTAACACTTGTTTCCCTATATTCTAGTTCTCCAAGATATTTGTTTTCATTTTCAATTTTGATTCAATTCAATTCGATGCTTGTTTTGACTTGGGCACAGGGCTGGGCATAGAGGATACAAAGGTGGATTCAGGCATAGCCCCTGCCTATAGGAAAGCCAGTCGGGTGAGGGAGACTGATATATCAGCCAAACCAATCAACTAACCCAGAGACCCAAATCCCAGACGTTGCAATAATTATAAAAATGTAAGCATGTACATGCTATGGAGAGAAGACTAAGAGGAACGCGTGAATTCCATTGGGTCTAGAAGTGGGAGAGGGATGAAGACGACTTCTTTTAAAAGGTTATGTTTCATCAGGGTTTTGATGGATGAACAGGAGTTTGCTAAGTGGATTGTAGAGGAACAGCATTTGGGAAAAAGGCACAGCATTGCAGAGGCACAGCTGCATGGAACCTGAGACATAGTTCTGGGCAACAGAAGCGGTTTGATGTTTAACAGAGCAGAAAATGCGAAGTGGGAAGCAGCAAGAGATAAAGAAGAAGGTTTTATCCAGGCAGGCAAGGGGGAAAGGACATATTCTATTTTTTAAAAAATGATAGAGTTGAGACCTCGCTGTGCTGCCCAGGCCAGTCTCGAACTCCTGGGCTCAAGTGATCCTCCTGCCTTGGCCTCCCAAAGTGCTAGGATTACGGGCATGAGGCACTGCTCCCAGCCAGAAAAGGACATATTCTTGAGGTTGTAGGTATTTCTTTGACCTACTTCTCTTTGAGATTTACTCTATATTGCTTTATACTAGCCACAAACTCCAGTTGACACGGGTGTGTTTGTTGTCTTGCCTGATAATGTTGTTGAGTGTTCAGCACTCCTAGATCTGGATGGGGTGAAGAACTCACTGGAAAGAGCATGGAGTCAGGATAAGGACACTTAGTCTTCAATCCTGACTTTCTGCTTTATTATCCCCATGTTTTTAGGCAAGTACCTGAGGGTCTCCATTACCTCCCCTACAGAATGAGGAATATCATTCCTGCCTCACTGAGCACTTATGAGGATTAATAATTCAATAAATATTTAAAGTACTCAGCCCGGAACTTGGCATCCGTTGGGTGCGCTTCGCATCTTCCAGTTGGAGAAATCAGTTATCAGTGTTTGGGAATTGCATTAAGCTCATAAAGTAATGGCTGGAAATTATTAAGATTGATTTTTAAAAATACAATCATGCTTTTATTCTCTTTTGGAAAACAGAACTTTATTGCTTCTCACAACAAAACTTTCAGTGCCCTCCGAGGAGAAAAATAAACTTACAAAAGAAAAAAAAAAGAAACTTAAAAACAATATGGCACTTCTGTGGTATCAAGCCTCAAAGGTCTTACCTCGAGATTATTTTGGTAAATCCATTTACATTTTTTTAGTCTCCCTGCCCCTCCAATGTCATGTGTAAGAACACATAGATATTTTGACATCTCCATTGTGATATTTATTTTAAGCCATCAGTAGAGTTTTAAATATCTTAGAAGTGAACTCTGGCCTCTGTGGAAGGCAAACTAATTATTTCCCAAACTGTTCCATAAAGCCAGAACCTGGCATTTATTCCTGGCAGCTTAGAAAGGAAACGTGAAGATGCTGGCTTTCTAAGGAAGGGGATGTGCAGTCAAACAAGAGCTCAGAAACTTGGGGGCCCAAAGCCATCTTGGCTGCTATATTTTGCAAGGAAGCCCTGGTGTCCCTGGAGAGCAGCTGGGACCAGAGTTTCACACAAGCGGTTTTGCAGATGATCCCAGCGAAACAAAAGCAGTGGCGATGAGTGGAACAAAGATTTATTGTTACAGATATGTCCAGGACTGACAAAGGTCTCGTATGATTATGTCACCATACAACATCTCTACGAAGTAGAGATTCTTTAGTCCCCTTTTATTAGGTGTGGAAACTGAGTCTTGGAGAAGTTAAGTCTCTTGTCCAAGGTCACATGGCCAGGTGGTTGAGAGCTGTAGGCCTGACACCAGAAAGTCTGATCTCAACCATTCTGCTGCCTTAGTGTCTTCATGCTGTGTGTCCTTGGGCAGCTCACCTAACCTCTCTGAGCATCTCAGTTTCTCCTTCCACTAAATGGGAATGATAATACCTACTACCAACCTCACAGTTGTGCTGATCAGAAATGCTTCCAGAGGTGGAAGCACTTAGAAAAAATAAGTGAAAGCAGAACATCGTAATTAACTTGGCTTTGAGTAATGATATCTTCTATTTCTTACTGTGACAACATCCCTAGCTCTATACAGTCCCTTACCTGGCTGTCAGTTTTCTGTTGTAGATGATACCACCTTGGGCCACATACATACTCCTTCTTCTTTTGTCTTTAGCCATTTCCCCATCTCAGGCTTTTGTTTTCTCCCCAGTCATCTCACTTACAGGGTTCCCTAACTTCTGAAGCTCTCACTGATTTTTTTTCCAGAGAGTTTTATGGCGGAGAGGAGCACCAGGGTCCATGGAATTCATAGAAGAAAGTCCACCAACTAGCCTGTGGGTTTAGAGGGGCTTTCTGGATGATCTAACTCTTGCGAGATGAAGATGATGTAGGTTGAAGCAGAGAGGAGAGACGAAAGGGCATTGCAGACTTGTGCAAAGGCATGGCACGTTTTGGGATCCACAAGTATTTGCGTAAGATAGGGTGAATGTGGGTGGAGTGTTGGTATGGTTCGTTAAATATTGAATGAATGCTTTTCCCTTTGTTTCCTTAGCTAACTTAGTCTCAGGAGAACAAAGACTGTACCTTAATTTCATACCCCTCACAGTGCCCAATCTAGGGATAGACACAGAGCCAGCCCCAGGAAGTACTCAGGTTATTGATTTATTAACACTCTCATGCGGATGGGTTGGACTTTATTGGGTGAAATAGGCAGCACAACAATGCAGAAAGGCTGTAGAACTTGGAGTCAGACAGATCTTATGCAAGCCACTTAGTCTCTCTCAGCCTCAGTTTCTTCATCTGTGAGATGGGGCTAATACATACATACCTCATAGAATTGTTGTGGAAGTGAAATGAGACATGATATATGTGAAAGGATGAATCAAGCAGACTCAACACATGCTAGTTCTTGTTTTTGCTGACTGCCTGCTATCGTCTCAGTATTTGTCCCCCTAAAGCTCATGTTGAAGTTTGATCCCAATGTTGGATGTGGCAGACTCATGGGAGGGGTTGGGGTCATGGAGGCAGATCCCTCATGAATGGCTTGGTGCCATCCTCATGTTTATAAGTGAGTTACTGCTGTATTAGTTCCTGTGAGAGCTGATTGTTAAAAAGGCTTGATACCTCCCCCTCTTTCTCTTGCTTCCCCTCTCGCCATGTGATCTCTGCATATGCGAGCTCCTCTTCACCTTCCACCATGAGTGGAAGCAGCCTGAGGCCCTCACCAGATGCAGATACTGGCACCGTGCTTCATGGACAGCCTGCAGAACCAGTAGCTAAATAAACCTTTGTTTGTTTATAAATTACCCAACCTCAGGTATTTGTTTATAGCAACGCAAGATGGACTAAGACACCGCCCTCTGATCATGAGGTCAGGAGATTGAGACCATCCTGGCTAACATGGTGAAACCCTGTCTCTACTAAAAAAGACAACAAAAATTAGCCGGGCGTGGTGGTGTGCGCCTGTAGTCCCAGCTACTCGGGAGGCTGAGACAGGAGAATGGCGTGAACCCAGGAGGCGGAGCTTGCAGTGAGCCGAGTTTGCGCCACTGCACTCCAGCCTGAGGGACAGAGCGAGACTCCGTCTCAAAAAAAAAAAAAAAAAAAAAAAAAGACCGTCCTCTGTGTTAATATGTTAATCCTAACTGCTTCTTGGAGGCTCCAACTTTGTTGATGGCAGCCAGGAATAGGTGAATAGGTGAGTTATTTAAGTAGACAGTTGCCCACATTGGCTTCAGCTCAAGCTAACTCACCACAGCTACCACACCAGAAGATGCTCTACGCTCTGCTGTCCTGGAGATGGAAGTTTGCTCCCATAACAAATAAAATAGAGGAGGGCATTTGAGTGCAGGAAACATTTTGTTTATTTACACTCACCTCTACCAAAGGCAGGAGGAGGCTTGTAGGACATGGGAAATGTCCAGGCTCAATGCAATCCCTTTCATCTGTAGTCACTGACCTTCCTCTGATATGTCACTCTTCACCTGTTACAGGGTATACCCCACAACTGCAGGGATCTTTGCTTGTATTCCAAGCCTAGAACAGTACCAGACAAAGAGTAAGGGCTCTATAATTTCTGGAAAGAATAAATGCATTAATCCCACCAAGCCTCCATCCTTTATTTGCCTTCTAGATGGAATTGGCTAGATCATGTGTCATCCTATCATATCACTACTTTCTTCCTTTGCATTTGCTTGTTTTTGTGATAAAATTATCAGTGTGGAAGGTGGAATGTAGCTTAGGCAACAAGAGCGGAGTTCCTACAGGGAGGTCTTATTTACTGTCTGCTTTGGTCAAACTTGAAGTGGGTTCTTGGCTCATCTTGGTCTTGAGGGCTCAAGACCATTCATGCTGGTTGATGTTTGGTCAGCTTGTTCCCAATGTGCCTTTGATTCCCTGACTTGGCACACTTTGAAGCTACTCTCCCAAATAAATAGATTTCTCCCCCTCTAATAAAGGATCAATATAGCTATACTGTTAATATTATTGATAGTCTCTTCCTCCTTTCCATGCCAAAAAACTGAGCCGAACTGAAACTGGCCCAATTGTCCCATAGAACTGATGTTTATGGTTTCTTTTAAATACACATAGAAATTGGCCATCCCAGTCTTGAAACTTGCAAAAGTTACATTTGTCTTATCTGAGTTCCTTTCTCAGGCCTCCAACCATCAGGCTTCCCAGATAGAATCAAGGAGCTGAAACTCACCAGATCTCTGAATCTGGACAGTGAAAGCACCCGACCCTTCATCCGTCATGACTGCCTAAGCAACCACTTGCTTCTTGTTGACAAACTCCTCTTCCTTTCCTCTCCCTAATTCCTGTTTTCTCACAAATGGTTACATTTCTTCCCTGCTATAAAAATACCTAATTTTAGTCAGCTAGGGGAATGGATTTGATGCTGATCTCCCATCTTCTTGGCTGCAGGATCCAATTGAAGCCTTCTTCCCTGGCAATACTCATTGTCTCAGTGATTGGCTTTCTGTGCAGCAAGCATTAGAACCTAGACTGAACCTCTGGTGTTTCAGTAACAAGATCACCAGGTGTTACGAAGCACCTGTATGCATTGGGAAGTCCTTGCTCATTTCCTTCCCTCTTAGGCATAATGGATGTCTTCAGATACACAAGTGCAATCTAAGAAACAGATCCACATATCTAACTGTGCCTGCGTCTTGAAAGTCCACCCAGCTGATGTTTCAAAAGGCAATTGAAAAGATGGTAGCTAGACTCCTCTTGAAGCTTCATTTCCATTTTGATTTTCTTATTCAACACAATGTGATATTTTCTTGAAAGGGAGACTCCAATTGAGGGGCCAAGAGGTGGGTCAGCTTCACCAAGATAAGAGTAATTACTGGCCAAAAAAAAAAAAGAAAAGGAAAAGAATTTCAGATAGAATAAGTGGATGCAGCCTGTCTGCTTGAGCTTTGCTGCTAATTACCAGACTGCTATCCCTCATTCAGAGGGAAGAACTCTACTCCAGCTGAGTTTCAATTTAAAATATGAGGTTGGTGATCAAACACAAGCTTCACCCAAAACAATGACATTGGAAGAGATGGCTCCGATGAATGAAGGTAGCTGTGATGGAGCTTAATAAAATGAGGGTTTCAAGGATGTGGTATTTCTGTTTTCATTTCACAATAATAAAGTCATGAATGAGAGAAAAATATGCTGGTTACATTACTTTAAAATACCTTGGCAAAAATCTAATTTCTTATTGATTAGTTTCCCATCGAAGGGAAGGCCTGTAGATAAAAGAAAATTGACTGCTGAGAATTCTAAAATAAAGAAAGTAAATGAGGGAAGATGTTTAAATTTTTAAGAGGAAGAAAAAGTATAATCAATGTACCCAAATATGTCACTTGTACAAGTACTGCTGGGACTGAGAGCTAAGCTGTTCTTGATCTGATTGACTTACTTTCATTGACACCAATATTTAAAAAATGTAAAATCAACAGACTGGCTTTGGAAAGCAAAGCCCATAGAAAGATGTTCCAGGTACCACGGAAAGTAAAAGCATGTAGGAGTGAGAATTATTCCTGGAAATTGGGTAGGGAATTATTTGATAGGTTACTGTATGCTCGTGACTTTTGGTTGCAAGCAATAGGAACCTGAAAACTGGTTTAAACCAGTGGTTCTCAATAGGAGGTGATTTTGCCCCTTGGGACAGTTGGCAATGATTGCAGCTGTTTTTGGTGGCCATGACTCGTGGGTGAGAATGGCTCTAGAAGCCAGGAACATTGCTAAACATCCTGCAATGTACAAGCCAGCCCCCATCCAGCCAAACACTATCAATAGTGTTGAGGTTCAGGAACTCAAGCTTAAACAGAAAAAGTAGAATTTGTTGATTCACAACTGAAAAATCCAGGATGAATCTATTTGGATCCAGATGTTCAAACTGACATCAGAAGTGGCTTTTTCTCTCAGGCCTGCTACTTTCCTTGTAAGATTTATTTTTGGGGAGTTTTTTTCCCCTTGTAGTCCCAAGACAGGCTTCAGCAGCTCAGCTGAAGGCTGCTGCCAGGTTAGGGGTTCTAGTGACAGAAGAGCTTATCTTTCTCCTTGCTTCTCCCTAGGAATTCTGAGATATACTCTTATCTTTTTTTTTTCACCTTTTAAGTTCAGGGGTACACGTGCAGGTTGTGTAGGTTTGTTACATAGGTAAACATGTGCCATGGTGGTTTGCTGCACAGGTTATCCCATCACCTAAGTATTAAGCCCAACATCCCTTAGCTATTCTTCTTGATGCTCTCTGTCCCCCACCACTCTGACTGACAGGCCCCAGTGTGCATTTTTCCCCCCAGGTAACCTTGTGTTCTCATTTTTCAGCTCTTGCTTATAAGTGAGAAAATGCAGTGTTTGATATTCTGTTCTTACATTAGTTTGCTGAGGATAGTGACTTTCAACTCCATTCATGTCCCTGCAAAGAACATGATCTCATCCATTTTTATGGCTGCATAGTATTCCATGGTGTATATGTACCACATTTTCTTTATCCAGTCTATCATTGATGGGCATTTAGATGGATTCCGTGTCTTTGCTATTGTGAATAGTGCTGCAGTGAACATACAAGTGCCTGTATCTTTATAATAGAATGATTTATATTCCTTTGGGATATATACCCAGTAAT
Source organism: Homo sapiens (assembly GCF_000001405.40). NCBI lineage: Eukaryota > Metazoa > Chordata > Mammalia > Primates > Hominidae > Homo > Homo sapiens. The sequence continues at coordinate 18,110,823 of NC_000016.10, read as the reverse complement.
GGGATTGCTGGGTCTAATGGCATTTCTGCCTCTAGGTCTTAGAGGAATCACTACACTGTCTTCCACAATAGTTGAACTAATTTACACTCCCAGATTGACTCTCATTTAACTAAACTGTCACATGATCATCCCTGAACCACTCCTTGTGAGGATGGAGTATTCTGATTGACTAGGCTTGGGACACACATCCATCCTTGACTCTGGGGACAGAGGTGTTGAATTGATACCAGTTACACCAGTGTGCTGGTGGGCTGAGAGGGCAGGAAGGTGCTTTTCCAAAAGGAAAAATGAAGTGCTATATTCAGAATTAGAGAGTAGATGCTGAGCAGCCAACAATCAGATGCTCACTACATTTGTTTTCTGCAAAAATTCTGAGGAGTGATGGTGTGGGGGCCACTAGGACCCTCTACAACATCTCTCTCTCTTCCCCTGTCATCCAAAAAACCTTCAGAAATACACCTATTGTAGTCTCTCTCTCTCCTAACACTCACGTTGTTACATTGTCATAAACGTATTTATCTACCTATCCACCTGTTCCCTTAGGCTTTTCAAGACCTAAACACAGGGATGATGTCTAATTCATCTTTGTGTTTCCAACACCTTGCATAGAGTAGAGCACCTAGTAGGCTAAAGTGAAACTCTTCTTTTTCAGTAGAATGTCAATTTGATCCTTTTAGACTATCCATCATGCATTAATCAGATGTTTATTGTGCAGCTACTATGTGTCCCCCACTCAAACCCTGGGGAATAAGCAAGAAACAGGATGCAAGTGTGGAATGTCACATATGGTGGGGTGGCAGCCATCTTACGAGTGATCCAAAGTGAGTTACACAATGCAAAGGGAAGTCCTGAGAGCTATGGAAACCACAGCAAGGGTCCACTTTGGAGTGGGAGTCTTTACAAGCGATGCTCAAAGGGGGCAGCCTGGAAGAAAGTGAGATTTAGTTTTGCAAAAGGAGCGGGTGGAAGAGCTTTCTATGCAAAGGGAATAGCCTGTGTGAAGGCCTTGAGATGGTGGTGGGGTCCTCAGTTCCGGTATTATGTCCTGTTAGCAAGATAGGGTTACATTTTAGGTCTGATTTAAGGAAGGGTGGCCTCAGCTCTCCACTTTGATGGGCCTCTGAGACAGTGATAATTCAATTGCAAGGAATAGAAACCCATTCAAAGAGATTAAAGTGGATATGAAATTTTACTGTCTGGACACACAAGGCTCTCTGGAAATCCGACGTATGCAGCTGGACCTCATGGGACTTGGAATGTTGTTAATCAGCCGCTTTCTCCATTTCACTCTCTGGAGCTTACCTCTGCACATCTGCTCCATTCTCTTCTCTGCAGACTGGCGCCTGCCGTTGGAATCTCAGGGTTTGCTGTTTCCCAGTTTCTACTTGCCCAGGGCCCTGGGACTTCTTCTTCATGACCTTACAGCTCCAGCTTCTAATGCACTCTGATCAATTGCGCCTCTATCTGAATGTAAGAGTTTCCCAGGTGTAGGAATATGATAGGTCCGGGTAGTAGGAGGTGTACACTCTGGTCCAATCAGATGTGGCCAGGTGAAGGTGTCAGGTGGGTGCCTCTGCTGTGTGTGGGCTAGAGAGCATCTCAGAGAAGTCATGCAGGTAGGGAAGCACCTCTCTGGTTCTTGGTGGAGCTCTCTGGAGTGGTATGGCTAAACACTGAAGAAGATGATGAGGATGTCGCTGCTGTGCTCAAAAGGGCCCAGCCTTCTTGTCATAATCGTATACTTGTTATCCTATTTAACACTCATGATCATCCAGTGAAGGGTTAACACTATTCTACAGAAGAGACAACTGAGATACAGAAAGGTGGAAAAACATTGCTTCAAAAGTTATTTTTATGAAATGTTAATTGTCTCACATATCTGGATTCCAACCTGAGGGAAAATGTCACCCCAGATAATAGCCTGGAGTTCCATAGCCAAAGTAATTATCGCTTCTCTCTCCTTCTCACTTAACATACTCCAGCCACACAGGTATTCTTCTGGTTTCCTAAATACTCAGCCTTTGCATGTGCTGTTTTCTCTGCCAGAAATTCTCTTCCCTCCCACTCTTTACTAGGTTAACTTTTCCTTATCCTTCAGGTTTTAGTGTAGACATTACTTCCTCAGGGAGATTTTTCCTGACTCCCTGAGTAGAATCAGTTTCACCCTCTTTATTCTGGCTTATGGCACTCTGATCTCTTCTCTTAATGTTTTATCAGAATTTTAATCTTACAAGTTTTGCACAATTACCCTGCCTAGACTGTTAACTCCTTGAAGGAGAGGAATCACATCTGCCAGGCAACTAGTAGGTGCCCAGTAAATAATGATTAGATTGGCCAGGTGCAGTGGCTCACACCTGTAATTTCAGGAGGCCGAGGTGCATGGATTGTTTGAGGTCAGGAGTTCGAGACCAGCCTGGGCAAATGGACAAACCCTGTCTCTACCAAAAATACAAAAAGTTAACCAAATGTGGTGTTGCATGCCTGTGGCCCCAGCTACTCAGGAGGCTGAGGCAGGAGGATTATTGGAGCCAGGGAGGTGGAGGCTGCAGTGAGCTGATATCACACTACTGCACTCCAGTTCCGGGCAACAGAACGAGACCCCATCTCAGAAAAAGAAAAATAGTGGTTAGATAAATAATGTTAATGTAATTATCCAGGGAGAGGATCTTTTGCCAATTTTGTTTGGATAGAGTAAAAGCTTAAACTACTGCTTAAAATGATTCATTCTTTCTGTGGAGGTGGGGGAATGCCTTAAATAGAGATAACTGATGTTTGATAAGGTTGCTAAATGAAAGATGCCCAAAAAACCCTCACATTTAAGTTAGGAAGGTCATTTGGCTGCTTCCAGGTTTTTTCTTCTGTTCTTTTAGGATGATTCAGAGGGCCAAGCTGCAGCAAAATTTTGGGAAAGTGAAGGAAAAGTAGTGCTTATTGAGAAGCTACTAATGATCAGGCAGCATATTAGGTGCTTTGTAAACACCATCTCATTTGATTCTCTTGACAGCCCTGAATCATGTGGGTGGTGCCCTTTGTGCATGGGCTCCTTCAGTTTCCATTCCAGCCTCTGTCAACTGTGTCATTCTATACTGCAGAGGCTGGGTTGCTAAAAGGTCAATATACTGGACTCCCTTGCAGCTAGGATTCTGACTATGACTCAGGTTCTGCAAATCAGATACTCTTTGCGTCTTGAATTTATAACTGAGTTAAGAGGGGAAAATGGCATAATGCCATTCACTTTGCTCCTGTGGATCTCTGCAGAGTCTGGGTAGTTCTGCAGCCATTAGCTTCCTGATGTGGTGACTTCTCGTAGTGCAGGTAGCAGTTTTCACCATCATAGCAGAGGCAGAGTGATTTGGGGGACCAGGGAATTGTTCTTGGAAGCTCCAACTCTTTGGGTCCTTCCAATGGTTTCCTAAGTCAGCTTACATCTGGTAATCACTTCCCTTCTGCGTAAGGTAGCTGGAGTGGTTTCCATTGTCTGCAACTGAACACTCATTTAAAAAGTAGGCTTTCAGGTATATTTTCCCCTCACTTTGAGAAACTGAGGTGAGAGGATCAGAGAGTTCAAATCAACTTGACACAGGCTTCACAGCAGGGAAGTGATGGAGAATTTGAAATCAGAACGGACTTTTTCCATTTGTCTATCTTCAGCACTGCCACCAACTTCTCTTTTCTGTGGCCCCTTTCTCTCTTTCTTTCCTCCAAGATCCTTCCTCCATGACATATGTTGTTTCAAACAGTTAGGATCTGACAGTCAAATTCAATCCAAGGGCTCAGGGGCTTGGTGTAACCCTACCTGGGCATATGTCTTTAAGAGGACTGTGGTGAAGGGAAGATGGTGAGCTGTAAGGCATGAGTTCCAGGTACCGTGACATCTGCTTGAAGAGGAGGTTAAGAGGTTCATGGAGAAAGCTGGGATGGGATAGAGTGGAAGGAAGGTCAGGAAAAATGACTTGGGTTCTCAATTTGTAATTGTCCTGGCCTGATTTCTTGTGCTAATCTTGCCAATTTGCTAAGAGAGGCTTGCTCCAGGTGGTAAGCCTCCTAAAGCTTTGGATCCAGGTTTTTAAGCTGGTTGGAGCTCACTCCTCTTCTGACCCATCCCCAACAGCTCTCCTGTCAGATTTTAGACATGCCAGCTAATTCCTTTCTATAGATTCGCCTGGCTTTATTAGGAGTAATGGTATCGAGGGTATTTTTCTTTATAGACGTTATAATTAGTAATTGTTTTGAAGGGCAATTGCTGTTAAACTACATATTTTTTCTTTTCCTGGAGGACAGGACAATTTCCAAGACTGATTATTTCACAATTGAAATTCCATGTCTCCCAGAGGTAAATTTTTATAGCAGTTGGTGGAAGTCAAATCCTCTCTTTTTATTTTTTTCCCCATTGCACATTCATATGCAGACACACAAAAAAACATTTCTGGGAAAGGAAGCGGAAAGATGAAGCCTCCACTGAGTGTTCAACAGCTTTTATAGACAGTTCCCTGGCTCTCTGGCTAATGTGATAGATGATAAATGCTCCCGAGATACCATTTCAGTCAATTAATTAGTTAATGTTTGAAGATGGAAAGTGTCATGTAGATAGAGAACATTATGACTCTTAATAAAAATGACTTAAACCAAGAAAAAATAGGGATGAGGAGATAGTATACGTTTTGCCTTTGAACTATAATTTCTCTCTTTGATTCTTGTAGCCACCCATGGGGTTGTAAGCACCTCCATATCGTTGGGTCACCTCCATAAAGCTTTTTCTTCTGGTTGGAAATTTTCAGCACAGTAAATGTGGTGAGCTAATAGATTATTTTCTTTTAAATAGAATGGGGGTAGTGTCTTAGTCCATTTGGACTGCTGTAACAAAATACCATAAACTTGGTAGCTTATAAACAACAGGAATTTATTTCTCACTGTTTTGAGGTCTGGGAAGTTCAAGATGAAGGTGTCTACAGATTCAGTGTCTGCTGAGGACCTGCTTCCTGGTTCTTACATGGCTGACTTTTCACTATAATCTGACCTGATAGGAGGGACAAAGATCTCTCTGGGATCTCTTATAAAGTCACTGATCCCATTCATGAGGGCTCCTGTCTTATGACCCAGTCATCTCCTAAAGGCCTCACCTCCTAATACCATCACCTTGGGGATTAGGATTTTAACAGATGAATTTTGGGGAGGGACACAAACTGAACTCAAACCATAGCAGGTAGGCATGTCCAGAGCTAGCTTGTTGTTTGGGGCTTTGAAACTGTGTTGAGCAATTCCCTACATCAGCCATGCTCAGAGATGACTGGAAGATGGGGAGTGGATATAGTAGATATAGACTTTTTTAGGGGGTTTCCCCAAGGATCAAGATCCAAAAAGTAAAACCCAGTTCTTTATGGTGAGGCTTTTGAGCTTTGAACTGAAGACAAGAATTACAGCAACGAATGAGATGCCCAACGGAAATGAATATGGGAGTACTCCCAAAGGTATCAGTAAAAGAAGAGGGTCCCAGAAAAATGGCCACCAGCACAGTTGCAGGGCCCAGTTCTCACAATGTTGTAACACTGGCTTCCATGCTGGCGGGAGGTCACGTTGGTGAGAAGGTTTGGGGTGAGGACAGACATCCCTCACCAAATATAGGGCTTATCAAATTCATGCATTCCAACCATCCTAATAGACAGATGCGTGCCTCACCCATTCTATTGCTGGGATCTTCTCTGCCCATTGAGAGGATCCAAAAGAAACAGCTGCATCAGAAATAGTGTCTTCCTAAAATTCAATTCTATTCTGATATTTGACAAACTGGCAATGTTTGATGCAGAAGATATATCCCTGCTCTGTCACACTCACAACTGTGAGCTGATAAAAGACTTTTTTCCTTGTCACAGCTGCCCAGACATTTTTCATGAACAGAAGTTAGAAAACAATTGATTAAGGTATAATCTCCTGTCTTCCCACACAGTGTCTAGGAATGATGGAGAATGCACGCACTGGAGTTAGACAGTTCCGTGGTTGTAAGATTTGCTCTAGCACCTTCTAGCTGTGCAAACTTGTGAGATTTCCTAATCTGCTTGGAACCTCAACTTCCTTATCTGCTAACGGGGATAATAACAATATTTATCTTGGCAGGATTCAGAGAGAAACTTATTTATTCATCCACTCCAGAAATGTTTTTAGATTCTATTATATGGCAGGCATGTACTAGCATGTTGGTTTCACAATAGTGAGTAAGTCAGGAACACCCTTTGCTTTCATGAAGCTTATATATTCATGGGGAGGCAGGCAATAACTAAGTTAATTTAAAATGGTGATGTGTTATGGAAAAAATACAATAAAGGAACAAGATAAAGAATGACTTAGCATGGGAGGTGGACAGCTTAGTTCGGGATTACTTTTTGGAGGTGGCCTAGAATTAAGAAATGAGGAATGACAAGGAGTGAGCCACGCACATATCTGGGCAAAAGCATTCTCAGCAGAGAGACCAGCAAGTGCAAAGGCCCTGGGGTAGGAAGAGCTTGGCATGCTCTAGAAAATAAAAAGGGCCAGTGTGGGTATAGCATATTAAGTGATGTGGGGGCATGGTCAGAGGTGTAGTCAAAAAGGCAGGCAGGGACCAGATCGTGCAGGGCCTCAGGCTATGATTAGGAGTAAAAAATGCATTCTCAATTCAGTGCCTGGCATAGTCAGTGCTCAATAATCGAATGTTTCCTTTCTTTGCAATTCCTTTCCCTTAAAACAGAGTTGAAACTTGGCTAAGTTATTGAGTGACCATTCTGGTGGCTCCTTCTTCCCCTGGAACTGAAAGGATCTGTTAGTTGCATAACAAGAAAGGTTTTTCTTTTTGCACAATGCCGTAGACCTTGAAAAGGTTCCAAGTAGGAGTTTCATGTCTCAGAGGGAGGAGGAAGATGATGAGATGCTTAGGAGACTATGAGAACCCATTGAGTAGATAGAATAGGAAACTTCAGTTTAATAAGCTTGAGCTTAGATGCCTGTGACAGTCTCTGTCATATAAATAAGAATATGCTACAATTTATATGAACTGGACTTTAGGAATCTGGAACACTTGAAAAATGAGAACACACATTTTTTATACTTTGCTTCTGGGAGAAGGGCAAAGACGGGAATATAAGTGATAGCAAATAGTGTTTTAAATAAAAATTCCACATGCCAAAGATCTCTGCTGATTCAGTCTAATTTCTAACACTATCTTTAGTCCCAGAATACACAATTCTTAGGCCTGCAAGAATGCTCATCTTTCCAAGAGAGACTCAATTTCTTTGGGGGAATTTATTGACAGTGGGTAGCAATGTGGGCTAACCTATTGATTCTTTTTTTCTGTTAATAAGGGAGGAAATAAATGGGATTTTCAGTTTCATCCCTCTGCTAACTGGGGGGAAAAAGCCCTCTGCCCATGTGCACTGAGTCCTGGTTAATCAAGTTTTTGCTGTGGTTGGCAGACAAAAGCTGAGCAGATTTTTTTCCAAGTGTGGTGCAAAGTAGGGCTGGATTTTGCTGTAATTTTGTCATTAGACCCAAAAGAAGAAATGATATTAATCAGAGATAATTTTCCTGGGCTTCCCAGAGGGGTATGAAAGGCAGAGTGAACTCCCCATTGCTCTGAAGTGGCAGAGAGTGACCATCCAACAGATGAATTGAACAGATGGGAGGAAGTGTCAATGTACAATTGATAAGCACCCTGGTGATGGAAAGGAAGAAACTGCTTAGAAAATGATGTGGGGGATGCATGGAGTAGAGATTTTGCTGAATATTGAAGGCCTCCCTTACCCTTGATTTGGCATCTGGAGAATAATGGTATATAGGGAGGCACTTGGCCAAAATCTCATATGGAAAACAATTAACAAATCAATTACTTTAATATACATTTGTTAAGCATCTCCTATATGATACTATGCTTAGATGATGAATAAAGAAATATATCAGACCTTTTCTCTCTGAAAGCTCTGCCTTCAAGGTGATCAGTAGGGGAGAAAAACATGGGGAGGCAGGGTATATTAATTATTAAATTCAGGATGATGAAGACCATGACAGAGGTGACAAAAATGCCCTGGTCTGGGAGCTCAGGAATGGCTTTCAGGAGGAGATATCTAGGATGGAATATTTTCTAATTATAGAAATATTACACATCGTCTTATGTTGGGGTCTGGTATTAGTTATCTATTGCTACATACCAGGTGACCCCATGACTTAAGCAGCTTGACTGACCCACATTTATTATCTTATAGTTGTGGGCCAGGAATATGGATGCGAGTTAGCTAGGTCCTCTGCTTCATGGTTTTGCACAAGGCTATAATCAAATGTTGGTGCAAGGTTGTGGTCTCACGTGAAGGTCTGACTGGGGAAGTATCCATTTCCAAGCTCACTCAGTAGTTATTGGCAGCATTGAGCTCTTTGTTGGCTGTTGACTAGAGATGACCTTCATTTCTTTGCCATGTGGGTCTCTTCAATGTGGCAGCTTGCATTATCAAAGCACACAAGGAGAGAAGACAAGCTAGAGAGTCTGGTGGCAAGATGGAAGTCAATCTCTTCTATCCCAATCATGGAAGTGACACTCATCACTTTTGGATTTAGAAACATGGCACACTCATGGTGAGGGGATTGTATAAGGGCATTAACAGAAGGTGCTGGAGATCATTGGAGAACATGTCAAAAGCTGTCTATCAAAGGTCCTAGAAGCAGATCCTGAAATGAGGGCTCATTTAAAACCAGTTTAATAGGAAGTGTTTCCAGGAAAAACCCAAGCAGGTGTGTGATAGCAAACAAAGTCTAGCAGAAGATAACTGTGGCTCAATCTGCAGGGGAGATCTGGAGGCAGCATATTTTGAAGTAATTCCCGTTAAGAAGCAAGGGAGGTGAAGTATTTAAACTCCTCCACCTGTCAATCATTGGCTAAGGGCTGCTCTTGGGCAACATAAATTCCCAGGTGCTTCTAGCTCTCCGTGCATTCAGAGAAAGTGGATTCCAATATTCTGAGGCTGTTGGGAGTGAAAGCACATGGGAAACTGGTGTGCACAAAATCATCAAGGGAGCTGAGGGGATGTGGGAGGGCACTGACAGCATCTGCTGCTCAGGTTCATTGTAAAACATTGTGACAATATGGAAGAGTAAAAAGAAATAGGTAATTCTGCAGGAATGACTGCAACTAGAAGCTAGTCTTAAAGGTTGGGCTGGAATAAATCCAGGAAAGGAGACAGAGAGGAGTAACCTAGAGAGAGGAAACATCGGGGAGGGATATTTGAAGGGGTGCGAGCATAGCACCTTTTAGTAAATCTAAGTAATTAAAAAATAGAGTCTAAGTAAATCATAGAGATCTGAGCCACAGATGGGCATTTTTCACAAAGTGTTTAAGCATTTTTAAGCTAACATTGAAAAATGGCAGGTTCTACAAAAAAAAATCTTAATTTCCTGATTCTTTTGAAAACTCAGAAGAGCTTGCAATGCTGAGTCTGCATTTCTGCTGGGCAAAGGGGCTGGACCTGTGAAGTTGCTCAGTTGTTGAGTTGGGGCATGCCCTTGTGGTTTTGTCCTGGCCCAGCACACTCCACTGAGTCCCTATATGCCCTTGAGATTGAAACCTCTGGTCTGAGTGTGTCTGGCGTTGTGTAAGGTACAGCTGGCAAGAGCTATATTATTAAAAGCCTCAAACATCAAGCTGAGGACTAGGAATGTGTTGTAGGGAAATGGGGAGCCATTGAAGGTTTTAAGTATCTGTATGACATCCGGAGATTTGCTCTCTAGGAAACCCATGTCATTTGGCCCCATTGATGCCCCAAATCAGATCTGGGGATGGGCGATTGTTTAAATCAAACTTTAAAAATGATTCTCAGCCAGACACAGTGGCTCACACCTGTAATCCCAGCACTTCGGGAATCTGGGGCAGGAGAATGGCCTGAGCCCAGGAGTTTGAGGCCAGTGTGGGCAACATGATGAGGCCCCTATCTCTACAAAAAACAAAAAAAATCCTCGGATGTTTAGAATTAGGTTAGTTATAATCCTTGCTCATGACATACTGTCATTATTTCTCTGAGAATGGATCTTTTAGTTTAATTGATTAAAAATTTAATAATCTAATAAATACCCCTGATCTCATCATTCAACCAAGAGCAATCACATTGACAGTAACACACATCTGTTCCTATTTCACTGTGTAGTGGGTTTCTGCTGTCTTTGCTTACTCATCAACCATTCTCCATTGTAGTAACCTAGTGAAAATTAGATGAGCTTAGACATCATCTAGGACAACCATTTTTAAAAGAATCTCCCTTTTAAAGAATTTCTCTAACCAGCGATGGGAAATTCACAGCTCCAGCAAGCAGCCAGTTTTATGATAGCTGTTAGAAAGCGGGCCCTGCCTGTAATGCCTGCCCACTGTTTCCAGCTGGGCTGTCTTTTAATTTCCTTCCATTTACCTGGAACCTGGTAAACATAATCTTCATTCAACCTGTATCAAGCACCTGCCTTGTATAAGGCGCTGCAGGGAATACAAAGGTGGTTAAGACAAGGTTTTTTCTGCCCCTGTGGAGTTCATAGTTTAGCAGAGGAGATAAGACAAATACACAAATAATTATAATACAATGTCAAGAGTGCTGTGTACTATAAGAGAGAAACAAGCAAAGTGTTATTGAAATTCAGAGAGAGAGAGAAAGAGACAGAGATTAATTCCAGGTAGAGGAAGTTGGAAAAGCTGCATGCAAGAAGTAGCACTGGGGCTGTGCCTTGATGGGAGGTGAAGGTGATGGTTTTACAGACTGGGGAGAGGGAACCAGAGAGTGCTATCCATACAGAGGAAAAAACATGGACAAAGATGTGGAGGTGGGAGAGTGCAGGGCTGATGACCCCCAGGGACTGTGGACATAGATCCTCATTGGCCAGGAGTCTCACTGTAGAAGTCAAAGTCTAAAGCAGATGCAAGGGTACTGGGGCCACAGCCTCTCACAGTATGAATTGTTCACCTGCCAGTATTCAACATTACTAATTCTTCCTCATCCTCCTCCTCCAGGAAGCCTTTGATACTTCCCCAGGTTGGCTTAGGCGCCTCCCTGTATACTCCTTAATTTCCCTGGGCTTATGTTTGTCATAGGCTTTAGCTCTGTCCTGTCCTGGTCATGGCTCTAATGTGATTGTGTCTTGGCCTCCTCCCTAAGACCATGAGCAATTGAGGGCTGGGATAATGACTTCTACACCACCGCCTCCCCAGTGCTTAGCACGGTGCCCGGCGTAAGGTAGGTCTTCATTATACAGTTACTAAGTGAATGAATGCTATTTTGGTCCTATTGCTGCCTACCTCTGTCCCTCATTATCCTGCCCATTAGACTTGGAATATGTATTTAGCTCTCTCTACTTTTTTCTCAGCTATCATTCAAGGTCTTGACTTTGCCTTTTTATAGTATATATTTTCATTTTATGCATTACCTATGGAATCAGATTCAAACTCTCATTCTGGTCCAACCTGCAAAGTCACAATCTGGATAAAGCCCATTTCTTCAGCCGACCTGGTCTGCTTTGAGCCCCAATATACCCCTCCTTAGGCATTTTTCAATTCAACGATTATTTATGGAGTGCCTACCCCATGCTGGGAACACACAATGAGGGCAGTGTTAGGATGTCCCTGGGTTAACTCACATTTGGCTGTATCTCTGAATCTCACTAGAAAAACTCAGAGGCTGGAGAAAATGGCAAGTTCCCACGGAGGAGAGAGGTCTGATATATCAGCCAGATTAATTCTTCCAGTGCCACTATTAGATGAGTGCTTGGGTCCATCAAGCAAGTCCTGATGGCAGCTACCTCTTCCGATACTCATCTGGGAATCTATCTGGGCTCTTTCAGGGGGAACAGGAGATTGTAATTCTGAAGTGGAACAGAAAGAAATGTAATTGGATCAATGGGCTATTAATGATGCTATTGAAGAGTGCTCTGCCAGAGCTGTGTTGTGAATGGGGCTGGCCACAGAGAACCCGGCCACGGCCACGTGCGAGCTCGACTTTGACACAAAGCCTTCTGCACACTGTGAAGGTTTTTTTTTTTTTGTATGTGTGATCTCATATAATTCTTTATAATTTTCCCTGGCCAGAAAGACTGTTTTAGTGGGGTCAGGTAAGGCCTGCTAGGCATTTGGCTATGTGTCTGCGGATGGGAAGAAAGATTCACATGGATATTTGTGCTGTATAGGGTGGTTGCAGGCATCAGATGACCTCCTGTTTGTGGCTGAGTTATTTCTGACGGGCAGAAATGGGAAGCAAAGTGAGTGCTCATCCATGGGGGAGTGGCTGACTAAGCAATGGGGCTTCCACCTATGGACTGGTACGTGCCCAATAAGGACAGTGAAGGTGAGTGATATCAGGGGTATTGGGGGCTTTCTTTTCTTTTTCTTTTTTTTTAGTTTAATGGGGTACACCTGCAGGTTTTTTACATGGGTATCTTGCATGATGCCGAGGTTTGGGCTTCTGATGATCTCGTTGCCCAAGTAGCAAACTTGGTACTCAATAGGTAATATTTCAGCCCTTGCCCCCTCCTTCACTTCCCCCTTTTGGAATCCTCAGTGTCTCTTGTTCCCGTCTTTCTGTCTTTGTGTACCCAGTGTTTAGTTCCCGCATGTAAGTGAGAATGTGCAGTATTTGGTTTTCTGTTTCTGCGTTAATTTGCTTAGGATAACAGCCTCCAGCTGCATCCATGGTGCTATAGAGAACATCATTTTATTCTTTTTTTGTGGCTGTCTAGTATTCTGTGGTATATATGTACCATATTTTCTTTATCCAGTCCACCACTGATGGACAGCTGGGTTGATTCCATGTCTTGGCTATTGTGACTAGCACTGCTATAAAGATATGAGCACAAGTGTCTTTTCGGTAGAATGACTTATTTTCCTTTGGGTACATATCAACGATGGGATTGCTGGGTCCAGTGAAAGTTCCATTTTTAGTTCTTTGAGAAATCAACTTGGAGGGCTTGCAACAAGGAATTGTTGAATACATGGGAACGGTTGGTAGAATATGATCCCATTTCTATAAAACAATGATTGCCCACACTCATGTGTGTCTGTATGTCTGTCTAGAATTAAATGAGGATGGACACTATATAGAAGACCACTGACTGGACTGTCAGTACAGGTTTTCTGGTGGGGCAGGTGTTGGAGCAGGTGGGGAGATGGCAATGGGGGTGAGAATAGAGGGGCAGGGCAAATGAGCCAAAATTGGTAGCAAAAAAAGTTTGCCGTCTCTCTCTCCCTGTCTCCTCCTCTCTCTCTGTTTCTGCCTCTCTCTCTCTCTCTGCTTGTCTCTGTCTCTTTTTCTCATACACACACACACACACACACACACACACACACACAAAGGAATGCTCACTTTTTATGCATTTATGTAAAATTTATATATACATGGATATATATGTAAGGCTAAATAATTGGAAAAAGGTACAAACAAGAATCAAGGGACATATTAACATTTCATTTATAATTGACACATATAATTATACATGTTTATAAGTATAGTGTAATATTTTGATACATATATACATTGTATAATGATCAAACAGGGTAGCCAGTGTGTGTCCATCACTTCAAACCTTTACCGTTTCTTTGTGGTGATCATTTTCAAGCTCCTCTTCTCTGACTATCTTGAAATATGCAATGTATGGTCATTAGCTCCAGTCGCCCTACTGTGTAATAGAACACAGGAACTTATTCTTCCTGATTAACTTTGTACCCCTTGGCCGACCTATCCCCATTGCTCCTTCTATGTCCCTTCTCCTGCCTCTAGTAAGCATCAAGTGACATTATTTATTTTTATGCACAAAACATGTATCGGTGGCACACTCTGTGCCAGGCATTTTGCTTGGTATGAGCAATACAGTGATAAGACCCAGGATCTATCCTTTAGAAAGTATTTTGTAATCTCTCTCTCTATGTATAAAACAACTAGCAGGGTGCAGTGGCTCATGCCTGTAATCCCAGCACTTTGGGAGGCCGAGGCAGGTGGATCCCTTGAGGCCAGGAGTTCGAGACCAGCCTGGCCAACATGGCTAAACCCCGTCTCTACTAAAAATGCAAAAAAATTAGCCAGGTATGGTGGCACATGCCTATAATCCTAGCTACTGGGGAGGCTGAGGCAAGAGCATCACTTGAATCTGGGAGGCAGAGGCTGCAATGAGCTGAGATCGTGCCACTGCATTCTACCCTGGGTGACAGAGTGAGACCCTGTTTCCAAAAATAAAAATAAAAAAAAATTAAATACAAATTAGAGTGGTTTCCAATTCTGCCTACACGTTGGAGTCACCACTGAGGGCTGCAGCTTTAAAAAAATACTAAAGGCCAGGGTCCCACCCTAGACTAATTAAATCAGAATCTAGATTGTAGGGACCTGAAGTTTCAAAAATCTACCCTAATGTAAAGATTGACAACGGTTGAGGGTGATTGTCTTAGAACCTGAATTCTAATACTGTAAGATGTATTATCTTAGACTCAAATATCTGTTAGTAACTTTAGGCTAGGCTTTTGCACAGATTGCTTTTATTTAATAAAATGCAAATGCAATTTCAGCCGTGTGGAAGCAGTACCTAAATGGCTGTGTGGACCCATCATTCCCAGGGTGCTGAGCTAAAGGGGCAACCAGGGAGGATGCTAAAGGTTGATGGCTAAGGGTGGTTTGATCTCATGACCCCTCCCTGTGGTTTCTCAAGGCCGCTCCCTGCCATCTGCTGAAGGTTGGTTGTTTGGCTTGGTGACGTTCAGAAAAAAGCAGTACCCCCTTGGACCGCTCTCTTATGTGGCTGAAGCAGTGTGGTTCTGAAATTAACTGGAGGATTTACCTCCTCTGAGATGTTGGCACTTCCTAATGAATTGTTTTCCCACTTAAAAATACACACTCATGTCATTTAAGGAAACTCAACAGGTGAAGCCCAGTAATTAAGGATCTCTGCAGGAAGAGGAAACTGAAAGCAGCAGCTGGATCTCTTCTTAACAGCACCATTAATCAGCACCACCTGCACAGGGAAAGCCAGGCATCAATTGCTATGCAAGCCCAGAGGGCCAGGCTAGTGTCCCAGTCAGGATGGTCACTGTCCAGCATGCATTTCAGGTTTGTGGAAGAGAAGGTACAGGGCCCCAGCTGTGGTGAGGCAAGCGGGGTGCTTAGGATGCAAATTAAAGCTGCATTCACCCTGCACTTGCCTGAACTTGGATTCTAGGTACCCTGCTCTTAAGGAAGTACCCATTCTTAGGGTCATGCTTGTGCAGTCAGCCCCTGAGAGTGAGTGCCACCTTAAGTGTTGCACTTTCTTGCCTGATCATAGTTCAAGCACTGGAAAGGCGTGTTGGTTTGGGGACTGTTTGAATCTTCACTTTTCCACTTTCTAGCTCAGTGATTTAAAGCTAGTGATAATGTTTCTCTCTGAGCCTCAGTTTCTTCATTTGGAAGATGAAGAAATGAATGTAGCATATCATATGCCAAGGTGCAGGTTTAATAGTTGACATTACTATTATTTAATAGAAAACTTCTATTTCAAAAGTTGGCTGCTGTTTGAATTAGTTGACCTAGGAGTATCATGAGGAATCCTTCTGAGACAACTGCATATTTTCTTTTCCCAGAAAAAATACTTTAATTGGTGTGGTTTTCTTATTTGCAGGGAGGTTTCCTCTGGAGTACGGTAGAGATGAGAAAAGCTTAGATTAAGAAGAGTTGCATTGGTATGCATGACAAAAAAATAGTAATTTGAGGTCTTTTCCCAGCTCAGGGAAAGAGGGTCTTGGGTGTACTGACCATTGCGAAAAATTAGAAGGAAATAGAGAAGAGACTTGGTAGAGGACCCCCCCACCCCCCACCAAAATGACAGCAGTTGGGCTTTAAGGAAAGGTTGGGGAATGTAGGATTCAAGAGACTTAGTAGAGGATCCCCCCAAAATGACAGCAGTTGGACTCTGAGGAAAGGCTAGGGAATGTGGAATTCAAGAGACTTGGTAGAGGACTCCCCAAAAATGACAGCAGCTGGGCTCTGAGGAAAGGCTAGGGAAGTGAAATTTCCTACGGCAGGGGTGAGTGAAGAACTTCAAGACAGAGATAAGTAACTTTGTGGAAGTCATGGCTTATTGCATGCTGTAATCCCCCTCCATATCCTGAGAGCTTCAGTAAAGTCAGCGGCATGAGACAGCTCTGTCTTAGAGATCATTGGGAGAAATGAAGGAAGAGACAGGTTCCATGTGAGTTACAGCAGGATGGAGAGAGGCCATCAACAGAGCTCACTACAGAGAGGTAAGAAATCTTCAGGAGTGGGAATTCAGGCTGAGGTGTGAGTTTGAGCAGGAAACCCTTGAAAACTGGGCCAAACCAAGTTGGAATGAGCAATTTCATACGTGTATCCCAAGCACTTAGGATAATGTCTGGTGCCTAGTAGGTGCTTTGTAATTATCGGTGGAATTATTGATGTTAACAGAGGGCCAAGAGGGATTAGTGAGCAGGAATTTCAGGCAGGCAATTTTCAGCCTAAAGTAATGTAAGTTGCTTGGAGAAGTAATGACTTCCCTGTCACTAAATAGGTGAGGTGCATGAAAGGCTGGACTAGCTGAGTTCAAGCTTGTCTGGACTAGATAGCTTCTAAACTCATCTGTCAGTTGGATATACACTGGTTCAGTCCATGTTTTTAAGACTGGATGGGCCTGAGTTAAAAGACTGACTCCTGCAACTAGCTGTGTGACATTGAGTAAGTCACCCAATTCCTCTGAGCCTCAGACTCCCATTTGTAAAATCAGGAAGGTGGGAGTGCCTACCCCCTCGAGATGCCTGATGCCTGGAGGGTTAAAAGAGAAGATGTCGGTAATGTATGTAAATGGCTTAGAGCATTTCCTCCCTGCCAGTAAGTGTATCCTTAAGAATAAATAACACCTCAGAGATTGTACAGCTCTGTTACTCTCATTTCTAAGGCTGGGGCTGGTGAAGTATCTTCCCACAAGTCTGAGAATGCACAAATGGAACCTAAGTTTTCTGACTCCCATCCTACTCCTCATCCACTTCACTGGCGTGACTCCACCACACAAAGAGGAATGGATTGGCCTGCTAGGGCTGGGTGAGGGGCAGGCATTTCTCAGAAGACCCAACCTCCTGAAGGCCTGATGACAATAGAGGTGCTATCCAGTGAAGTCATAAACAACCAATAGTCTAGATTTTCTGAGTTATTGGAAGGGCACCAGAGGAGAAACAGTGGTCACGAGGAGTTGCATTTGTCCTCACTGGAAGGAGAATCTTTAGTTAAGGGACATTAGTTTGTTTCTTAAACAAGGATGGATACACAAGGGCAGACCATCACCTTATGCTATGGTGGAGGAATAGTTTTGTCTGGAGATATTTCGTCAAGCAGTGGCTGTAAAGGTTGCTTATTGTGAGCCACTAGGCTGTGTGTGCATAGAGTAGGAGCTCCATAAGTACTTGTTTAATGAATGGATAGTTTCCACTACTAATTGCTTCATCTGTCTTCTTGACAACCATAGGCATAGGAAGAGACTTGTAGCTACCATCTGTATTAGTTATTTATTCCCGCATAACAAATTATCCAAAACTTAATGGCTTAACACAACCACCTTGTTGGTTTACTTACAATTCTGTGAGTCAACAATTTGGGCTGAGCTCAGGTGAGTGGTTCTTCTGTTGGTCTTTCCTGGGGCTATTCCTATTCTGCACACATCTGGGGACTCCATTAGAGACAGATTGTCTATGATGACTTCACTCCCAATTCTGGCATTTGGGGCTGTCTATTGGCCAGACCTTGCTTCACATAGTTTCTCACCCTCGAGGAGTCTAGCCCAGACTCCCCATATGTCAATCTCAGGGTAGCATTTCAAGAGGGATAAGGTAGACGTTTCTGGCCTGTTGTGGTGTAGTCTGTGAATTACCATAACATCACTTCTTTGAGATTTTCTTGGTCAAGGCAAATCACATGACAAGGACTCAAGAGGGTAGAGAAATAGGTTCTACTATTTAGTGGAAAGGACAGCAAAGTGACATCACAAAGAGGAATGCATATAGAGATGGGGGGAATATGTGACCAACTTTAGTAATCACTGTAATTCTGAATTGACTCACAAACACTATCAAGACAGATCATTGTCATACCCTAGTTCAAAAAGCAGTCCTTGCAGCAATATAGAACAGATAGAAGTGAAGAGAATGTGATTTTGCTAAAAATGACATATTTACATGACCAGTGATGGGTGAGACCTATGAAAAATCCCCAGAGAATCTCAAGAACTCATAAAGTGCATTTCCATATTTATGTAGAATATCAATCTCCTGCTGTCTTTAACTTCACCTAGTATATTCCTAGGTATGTGTATCTAAGCCCAAGTTGGTCTCACGTTTTTGCCTACTTCCGAGTCAATATGTGACATGCCATCCCATCTTTTTGTGTTACCACATTATTATAACATAAGAGGTGGTTATGTTTCCTGGTTATCTTGAGCTCGAGCAGGTCCTTCTTGGTGATAGCCCATTGGTTTCTTCCAAGTGTGCCCATGTCATGCTATTTTTCTCCAATCTAAATCTTGCCAGGAACTAAGCATTATGTCATCATCTCCTTTACATACCTGTTGGTGTTAAATCAACTTTTATAATTTTCCCTTGTCCTAGTATTTTTGGGATATGCCTGTTTTTTTCTCAGGTAGTTAAGTCTGTCTATTTAAAAAGTAATATTGAACCCGAACACTCTCATCTCTTTTAGGTCTTCATTCAAAAGTCACTTTTCTGGTGAGTCCTTTCCTGACCCTATTCTTTAAGAACTGGAACTCTTCCCAGCCGGTCCCAAGACGCTTTACTTGATGTTGCTCTCTCCATAGCACTTAACACCATCTATAATTCTATATATTATTTTTATTTTTTATAGTCTCTCTCTAAGCTCCGGGAAGGTAGTGGATGTTTGTTTGTTTTTGTTACTGTTATAACAAACAGTTATAAGCTGGAGCAGTGCCTGACCTAAAGTAGATAATAAATACTTGTTGCAAAAATAAATAATTACCTCTCTCTCTCTCTTTAACGATGTCTCTATTTGTCTGTATCTAGTTCTGTCTATATCTATCTCCATCTATACATCCATCCATCTATTTTTCCATCCATCCATCCATCCATCCATCCATCCGTCCATTTGTTCATCTGTCCATCCATTCATCCATCAACCTACCCACCCACTCACTCATCCATCCATCATGCTAGTGAGCCTGCCTGGTTAACACTGTCGCATGTTTTAAAAAATAGAATAACTGAAAACTAGGAGCAGATCAATTAATATCAGAGAGTTTCTGTGGATCCTCAGGCTCCTTTCTCTGACTGAGCATCTGTCTTTGAGGCAAGGGAAGTCTGTGGTGAAAATGAAGGCAATTCTTCAGTGAAAGAGAGACCAGGTCTTGCTACATCTGAGGGACATCATTAGGGAGCAAAAGCTCTTTCATGCCTGAAACTTTAAAAATTGAAACTGCATATATTAAATAATTTCTCTTTTTAATCTCAGAAGCTTTGGTGGCAGTGGGCTGGGAGAGTCATTGCAGTAGGGTGAGAATCTTTCATCTTTATTTTATTCTTGAGATTTGTGAGTTGTTCTCTGCCCCTGTGTACTTTGGGGGTCTTCTCTGTTTTTAAGCATTTGCTGAGAAAAAATTTTTTTTTTCTGGTGACTTTTGGTTATTAGACAGTCAGGCCAAAAGTGAGAGAAAAAATACATTCAGGTCAGTTTTCTGGGACTAGTTTTGTTTTAATAACAATGACATTCGAGGAATCCACTTTGTTTCCCTGTCACTGGTGGCCAGTTTCTGCCTCATGGGGTGGAGGTGAGGGCAGAGTTTCCTTGTGGCTGCATTCCTGAGAGCATCATTAGAAACAGAATGCTCAAGCCATTGTTTTGTTTGGCTCATACAGTATTGATTTTATTTTGCTTCTATCCATCCATGTGTCCATTCATCCATCCGTCCATTCGTCTATCCATCCATTCATCCGTCGGCCTACCCACCCACTTATTTATCCATCCATCATGCTAGTGAGCCTGCCTGGTTAACACTGTTGCATGACTTAAATAATAGAAGAATTGAAAACCAGAAGCAGATCCTAGTTTTAAAAAAATTATTTTATTTTATTTTTTTGGATCACAGGCTCGTGGCACATCCACATGGGTCTCTGCAAGGACCCAGGGCAAGGGAGAATTAACATAGTCAGCATGAGGTTGCCATCTTTAGAAAGGCTTGCTTTCAGGCTTGGCTCTTCACTGGCATCTGGGAACTTGGCTTTTGCATTGTTATCTAACTATGTAAAACACTGTTTTGCCCGCTTAGCGCCCAGAATACCTGCTTCGCGCCCAGAATACCTGCTTCCTTTCCAGGAGCCTGGAATTTCAATAGTTGTTACTAGTTTTTGTGCTTATGTGACCAGCTCTCAATAAAACACCCAAACTTTGAGCCTAAACGTGGGCTTCTCTAGGCAGAAACACTGAAGAGGTGTTGCTGAAAGAACATATTCACCGTGATCCCTAGGGCTAGAGAGAGGTGGGGAGAACACTGGGAGTCTGTGCATGGATTCTTCCAGATTCTACCTGCTGTGTGTCCCTTGCCCCTTGCCGATCCTGTAATAAACCATAGCTGTGAGTACAATCGCTTCTCACTCCTGTAAGTCTTCCTAGTTGCATTATCAAATGTGTCTCTCACTGATTTGTCTCTGGGTTCATTTCCTTTCATCCCCACCACCTCACTCTAGTTACTTACATTTCCTACCCTTAATAGGCCATCGTGTGTGCTTAATGTATATCTTTTGTTTGTGTATATTCTTGAAGAATATATATTGTGTGCGCGTATTTGTTTATTCCTAATATAGTTATTAATTGTGGAATATGACTCTGAATCAATATCTCATTTATTTTATACTTTAAGTACATATAGTAAAGTCGACTCTTTTTTTGATGCATGGTTCTATGAATTTTAACACATATATAGATTAATGTAACCACTTTGAGCACAATTAAGATACCGAACACTTTCATCATTCCAAAGAAGTCCTTCATGTTATTCCTTATAGTTGCATGCTTCCCCCACCCATAGTCCCTGGCAACCACTGATCTGTTTCCATCATTATGCTTTTGTCTTTTCAAGAAAGTCATGTTGTGGGCTGAATGTTTGTGTCCTCCTGCAAATTCCTATGCTGAAATATAATCCCCAATATGATGCTATTTAGAAGTGAGGCTTTTGGAAGATAATTAGATCATGAGGGTGGAGCCCTCATGAATGGGATTAGTGCCCTTATAAAAGGGACCCCAGAGAAGTCTCTCATGCTCTTTCTACCACTTGAAGATATAATGGGAAGTTGGCCATTTGCAACCTGGAGGAGGGCCCTCAATCTAGAGGAAGGCCCTCACCATGCTGGCCCCCTGATCTTGAACTTTTAGCCTCCGCAACTGTGTGAAATAAATTTCGTTTGCTTATAAGCCACCAAGTTTACGGTATTTTGTTATATAGCAACCTGAATGGACTAAGATAATAACCTTTTGAGGCTGACTTATTTCACTCAGGATAATGCCTGTGAGATTCATTCTGGTTATTATGTATCAGGAGTTTGTTTGTTGTTTAATTGCCGAATAGTATTCCATGGTGTGGATGTTTGTTTATCCACTTCCTCTTTGGAGGCTATTTAGATTTTCTCCAGGTTTTGCTAACTATGAATAGAGCGTCTATAAATTTGTGTATCTGTGTATAGGTTTTCCTTCCTTCCTTCCTTCCTTCCTTCCTCCCTCCCTCTCTTTCCTTTTCCTTTTCCTTTTCTTTCCCTTCCCTTCCCTTCCTTTTCTTTTCTTTTGTTTCTCCTTTTCTTTTCTTTTGATGGATTCGGCTCAGTGGCACCATCTTGGCTCACTGCAACCTCCACCTCCAAAGTTCAAGCAATTCTCCTGCCTCAGCTTCCTGAGTAGATGGGATTACAGACACCTGCCACCACGCTCGGCTAATTTTTGTAATTTTAGTACAGATGGGGTTTCACCATATTGGCTAGACTGGTCTCGAGCTCCTGACCTCAGGTGATCTGCCTGCCTTAGCCTCCCAAAGTTCTAGGACTACAGGTTTGAGCCACCCGTACCCAGCCCTGTGGATGGGTTTTTGTACAAACGTGTTTTTATTTCTTTAGGGCACCTGGGGGTGAGATTACAGGGTCACATTATAAGTGTATATTTAACTTTATAAAAAACCGCCAAACTGTTTTCCAGAAGGGCTATGTCATTTTGCTTTCCTACTGGCAGTATATGAAAATTCCTAATTACTCTGCATGCTTGCCAGTGCTTGGTATTGTCAATTGAATCCATATCTTTTGAAAGTCCTCCATCCTAAGTTTTATTTGTAGTTAAGGTATAATTAACATAAAGAGCACAGACCTTATGTGGACTGCATGATATTTTCTTAGATACGTATAGATCTTGTGTAATCACCACCTAGATGAACATATAGAATATTTCTCACACTGCAGGAGTCTCCCCGTCAATCCTTAAAGTCTATCCTTTCCAGCCGGGCGTGGTGGCGGGCGCCTGTAGTCCCAGCTACTCGGGAGGCTGTGGCAGGAGAATGGTGTGAACCTGGAAGGCGGAGCTTGCAGTGAGCCGAGATCACGCCATTGCACTCCAGCCTGGGCGACAGAGCGAGACTCCGTCTCAAAAAAAAAAAAAAAAAAAAAAAGTCTATCCTTTCCAAAGGAAACTAGTGTAATGACCTCTAACACTGTTGATTAGTTTTGCCTGGTTTTGAACTTCATGAAAGGAAGCATTCTGTGTCTATTCTTTGTGCCTGGCTTATTTTGCTTAATGGGATGTCTATGAGATGCATCCGTATTTTCATTGTTGTATTGTATTCTATTGTATGCATATACCTCAATTTCTTTATTAACAACTGGCTGTTTCTGGTTTGGGGCTATTATGGATTAAATGTGTACATGTCTTTTGGTGGACACAAACACTCATATCTCTTGAGTATAATTCCAGGAGTGGAATTTGCTGGTTCAAAGTATTTATATTGAGCTTTAGTAAATACTATCAAATAAATTTCCAAAGTACATGTGCCAATTTACTCTCCCAATGTGTACACTTTGAAAAAGATTGATGCATGTGGAATTGTATTAATCGTCTCATGCTGTTTTTTTTTTTTTTTTAACTCCCCCTCCTCACTCTCATTAAAGCTGTAAGGTCTATCTCTATTGCTATTTGTACATCTAAAATGTTACTTCTGGCCAGGCACGGTGGCTCAAGCCTATAATCCCAGCACTTTGGGAGGCCGAGGCAGGTGGGTCACCTGAGGTCAGGAGTTCAAGACCAGCCTGGCCAACATGGTGAAACCCCCCTCTACTAAAATACAAAAAATTAGCTGGGCGTGGTGGCAGGCAACTGTAATTCCAGCTATTCAGCAGGCTGAAGCAGGAGAATCACTTGAACCCAGGAGATGGAGGTTGCAGTGAGCTGAAATCATGCCACTGCACTCCAGCCTGGGCTGGAGTGAAACGCCGTCTCAAAAAAAAAAAAAAAGAAGAAAAAGAAAAATTAAAAAAAAAAGGTCACTTCTAATACCCCATGGTATTTGCTCATCCACTTTTATCTGCCTAGTTCCCCAATGATAGACAACCTCGTTACCTCCACCTTCCACAAATAACCTTGCAATGATTATTTCCGTATGTGTCTTTCTAAGGAGCTTTGTAAGACTTTCTTATAGAACTGCTGGTCCTTGCGTCTGTGAATCTTCCTTTGACTAAATAGTAACAGGTCACACCAGCATACCCTCCACCAGCTGTGCCTGAGGGTTCCTATGTCCCCACTTTTCTGCCAATATTTGTCCTTTTTGAAATTTGTCTGCTTGCGAGGTGTGAAATATCTCATTAATGTTTTAATTTGCATTTATCTGCATACAAATACATTTTAACATCTCTTTATATATATGTTTAATGTTTATGCAGGGTGAGCTGTGTTACTTAAAAGCAGCATTTTTCAACCTTGGCACTGTTGGCATTTTGGGCAGGAAAATTTGTTGTTGGGGACAGGGGCAGGCTGTCCTGTGCACTGCTGTATGTTTTGCAGCATCCCTGGCCTCTACCCACCAAATAGCAGTAGCACCATCCACCCCAGTTGTGACAACCAAAAGTGTCTCCCGATATTGCGAAATGTCCCTTAGGGAGCAAAATTGCCCCGGTTGAGAATCAGTACTGTAAAGGGACCAGATGGAGCAGACACTGATTAAGAATCAAATAGCATTGGTATAAGCCATTGAATTTAGCACTGGATAGTGGAGTTAGACGGGGATGGAAATTTGGGTTCCTAGGATGTCAAATTATTATCTTCTCTGACCTAACTAATACCAGTAGCATCAAGATCTGGAGTTCTAGTCCTTCACATTTTCTTATTCTCATTACCCATTGACTTCTGTCTTAGAGATTTGCAGCTTGAGAGCCAGGCAAACCTGGCTGACAGTGTCACTTAAGGGGATGGTAGGGCACAGAAGTGGGGGATTGAGAAGGTCAGGACGTACCCAGGGGAGCCAATCAGAGAACGATTCCAATTGCAGTTGAGGCAAAATGAGGCAGATGTGGCTGGAGAAGCTGTGCTCCTTTTCAGAGCTAGAGGTGAACCTTGGGGTCTGGAGTTGGGTAGATCAGGAGCCGAGAGGTGCAGGGAAAGTGGCCCTGTGTACCTTCGTGGTATTGGAGGCTTGCTTTTGGGGATGCCAGAGGCACCACTGGCCGCCTTCTTCTTTTTTTTTTGAGACAGAGTTTTGCTCTTGTTGCCCAGGCTGAAGTGCAATGGCGCGATCTCAGCTCACTGCAACCTCTGCCTCCCGGGTTCAAGGGATTCTCCTGCCTTAGCCTCCTGAGTAGCTGGGATTACAGGCCTGTGCCACCATGCCTGGCTGATTTTGTATTTTTTTAAATAGAGACAGGGTTTCTTTATATTGGTCAGGCTGGTCTCGAACTCCTGACCTCAGGTGATCCACCTGCCTCGGCCTCCCAAAGTGCTGGGATTAAAGGTGTGAGCCACCGTGCCTGGCGGCCTGGCCTTCTTTTATCTTTCCTGAACACTATGAGGTTGTTCCTGCCTCAACACCTTCAGGCATGATATTCCCTCTGCCTTGAAGGTTCTTCCTTTTAGGCTCAAGGTGGCGAAATTCTTCTCACCATTTGGGTTTTGGCTCGAATATCACTTTGGGCCAATCTATTGTTTACTGCCGTATTCCTAGCCTTGAGAACGGTGTTGAATGAATTATAAATTTACCATGATCGTTATTTTATAAATGAGAAAAAGATGTAGAGAGCTGAGATAACTTGTTTAAGGTCACATAGCCATTAAGTGGAAGAGTTGGGATTTGAACTCATGGTCTTCAAAGCTGTGGTCTTACCACTATACTATATTTAACCTCTGCGATGAAGGAAGAAGTATATATTTAGTCTTTGTCCTGGTTCCTGACACAGAACTTCTAAAACCCTTGGAATTTCCTGAATGATGGGTTTAGGGGAGCATCTTTTGTTGTTCATAACAAGTCCCTTTCAACGATTCCTGAGTTTTCGCAAATGAGGGGACTCTTGGTGAGCTCTAGATAGATTCAGGATGGGGCTGGCTATAGAGAAACCAACCTCATGATTAAAAGGTTGGAGGAGCTATTAGGCTCATTGCCCACCCCAAATCTTACTTCCCACCTCAAGGAGAGGAGAGAGGCTGAAGTCAACAACCATTGACCTAATCACCAAATAGCCAATGGTTTAATCACACCTATGTAGTGGAACCTCCATAATACTAAAGGATGGGGTTCAGAGAGCTTCTGAGTTGGTGAGCGCATGGAGCTGGGAGGCTGGTGTGCATGGGGCCCTTCTCCCATCCTTCCCCTATGCTTCCCTTCCATTGGGCTGTTATTGACTTTCATCCTTTATAATAAACCAGTAGTAGTAATTAAAACACTTTTCTGATTTCTGGGAGTCATTTTAACAAATTATCAAACCTGAGAGTGGGTTGCAGGAACCCCCGATTTATAGCTGGTTGCTTAGGAGTACAGGTAGCAACCTGGGATTTGCAACTGGCCTCAGAGGTTGGGGGCCTTCTTGTGGGTTGGAACCCTTCACTCATAGGGTCTGACGGTAACACCAGGTAGGCAGTGCCAAAGTTTAATTTAATTATAGAATACCCAATTGGTATCCACAGAGAATTGGAGGATTGTTTAGTGTGAAAATTCCTGTACATTAGGTGTGTAAAAAGTTCATAACTTCCATCTGTGAAATAAGATGATAACTCCTATCCAAATTAGCAAATATTCAAGCATGAGTCTGGCAATGCCCTAGACACTGGGATACCATGGGGAAGAAGAAGGCAAGGGCTCTTGCTTCGTGGAACCCACAGTCTGGTGATTCACTGCAAGAAGAGTGTGGTGAGTGCAGACAGGGGACACCTGGGGAGCAGGTGCTGGCCAGAGTTGAAGACTATGGCATGATGGAGAGGACTGTTCTAGGAAGAGACGTCATATGTGGCAAGAACCTGGTGACTTTGAGGAGCTGACAAAAGTTCTAGTTCACTGGAGGGTAGGTGAGCAGTTCAGGGGTGGAAGATGGAGTTCCTCAAGGTAAGAACCAAAGGGACAGAGAACTTGAACTTTATCCCAAGGACACCAACCTATAACAGAGACTCAGGTCTCAGAATATTGAAGACATCTGGCGTCAGGGCATTTCTAGGTAGCTCTTATTTGCCTTCATAACCAAAATACCCAGCCCCAGGTTTGATGGTGTTTCTTAGCTAGGTGGCCATATGGGGGCCCAGCCTCAGGAGGTAAATTAATTAACCATTTAATTAACCACCCAATCAATCAGTCAATCAATCAATCAGATAACTAGCCAACAAATTAACTCAGCAGTTAGGTACTGAGTGCCTGATATATGCTACATACTGTTCTAGATGATTGGTGAGGGAACATTGAATGAAAAAGCACAAGTCCTGCCTTCATGGGGTTTCTCAGGGGAAGAAAGAGTAAATGGATAAGTACAATGTGCAGTGTGTCAGGTGGGATAAGAGTGGCGGGAAGGGATACAGCAGGAGGGAATAGCAGGTGACAAGGAGGAGAGAGGCTTACAGAAATAAATAGAGTGAGAGAGAGGTGACATTTGAGCAAAGTCCAGAGGGAGCTCAGGGAGAGAGCAGGTGCAAATGACCTTGAAATGGAAGCGTCCTTGACATGTTTGAGAAGTGGCAAGGAGGTTGGTGGGGCTGGAGTGCAGGGAGCCTGGTGGTCAGTAGTTGAGATCAGATGGAAAGAAGCAAAGCCCACCGTCTCTGGAACTTGAGAACAAGCATCCCCAAAGCCCTCCTGGAAATTGTAACAAGGTTTTCCAGGCTGTGGACCTGTCATCTGAAGCAGTTGGTGCTGACTGGCTGGTGTTAATTACATGTCTCCAGCTCTAGCTCCTCATCCAGGGTGGCTTAACTTGGATTAAGTCTTTGATTTAATGCAAGGTTTGTGTCCCATGTGCTTAGGAATGTGGCTTGATTTAACTGTGGAATCTATAAATTGACCTTCCAGCTGGGGATCTTCTTTTTAATCTTTCAATTAGATCTAAAGATGCTCACTCTGTTTGCAGAGGGATAGATACCATTGCATGTCAAGGACTTTCACATCTGTATAGGAGACCCAGGGGAGATTCAGTTGACTTGGGCTATTCTTAGAAGAAGCCCTAGCTGTTCTGGGGATAACCTTCTCCTTTGCAATATACCCTACGTACCTATCAGGAGGCAAAATAAGAAAACCCCAAGCAAGAACTTAAAGGGAGAAAAACACTAACACGGAGGCTCAGTTTTCTTGGCATGAAAAAATAGCCTATTGTTTTTTGCTTAAAAAAATAAGAGGAAGAGGGGTTGGGAAGAGATACCTCCAGGTTTGGCCATTCAGTCATTCAGACTATTTATTGAATAACTTTCATGTGGCAGTCACTCTCCTGGGTGTTGATATGACAGTGAGCAAAATGGACAAAAGTTCTTGACCTCATAGATCTACATTCTAGTGGGATGGTGGGAAGGGAGAGACATTTTAGAAATAGGAATAATGCTACATGTTAGAGGTCAGAAAATGCTACAAAGAAAAAGCAGAGCCAGGGCCCAGGACATGTTGAGAGGGGTGGAGTCCCAATTGTAAATAGGGTGGTGATAAGGTTTGACTCTGTGTCCCCACCCAAATCTCATCTCTAACTGTAATCTCCACATGTCAAGGGAGGGACCTGGTGGGAGGTGACTGGATCATGGGGGCTCTTTCCTCCATGCTGTTCTTGTGATAGTGAGTGAGTTTTCAAGAAAGCCGATGGTTTTATAAGTGGCTGTTTCCCCTGCTCTCCTCTCTTGCCTGCCGCCATGTAAGACATGCCTGTTTCCCCTTCTGCCATGATTGTAAATTCCCTGAGACCTCCCCAGCCATGCAGAACTGTGGGCCAATTAAATCTCTTTTTTTTAATAAATCACCCAGTCTGAGGCAGCTCTTTATAGCAGTGTGAAAATGGACTAATACAGGTGGTCAACATTTTCTTTTTGTTACTATAAAAGAAATTATTGGGAAAATTGGTGACATATTAATAAGGTTTGTGGATTAGATAATGGTATTAAGTCAATGTCAATTTCCTGACTTTATATGGTAGTTACCTAAGAAAATGACCATGGTCTTAGGAAATACACACTGAAGTGATTAGGGGTAAAGGAATATCATGACCCCAACTCATTCTCAAACAATTCATAAAAAAATACAAATGCAATATGTATGTATCAAGAAAAGATGATAAAGCAAGTGTGGTAAAATATTGACGATTTTAGGAAGACTAGGTAAAACGGGTTTATGAGAATTTTTTTAAGACAGTGTCTCACTCTATTGCTCAGGCTGGAGTGCAGTGGCACAGTCACAGCTCACTGCAGCCTCGACCTCCTGGACTCAAGCCATCCTCCCACTTCAGCCTCCCAAGTTACTGGGACTGCAGGTGAGCACCACCATGCTTGGCTAATTCTTTCATTATTATTATTATTTTTGTAGAGATGGGGTCTTGATATGTTGCCCAGGCTGGTCTCGACCTCCTGGCCTCAAGCAATGCTCTCAGCTCAGCCTCCCAAAATGCTGGCACTACAGGTGTGAGCCACCACACCCAGCCTGTATATGAGCGCTCTTTATACCAAGCTTACAACTTTCCTGTTAGGATCAAATTATTTCAAAATCTAAAAAAAAAAAATTACAAAAATAAGCAAGGTGTCAAGGAACCATCACAACTTCTTATGCTCATCTCCCACCCCTCTGCTGTTCCATGTTCAACACAATCACTTTACTGAATTATGTGTCACCCTCTTCTTCCCTCTCCGCAGCTCCTGTCAAACATTCACTTTCAGAATTTTCTGCTTTGGTTGGCTCTGCCAGAAATGACCTTTTCTCCTTTTCTCCCTGGAAAACTCCTATTCATCCTTTAAAGCCCTTCTCTGTAGAAATGTATCTTTGTTGTTTCCTATTCTCTCAGAAGAGAAGAAATAACCCCTTCCTCTGTGTCTTGTTTATTATTATATTATTGGATGTGAAACATTATTGTTTTTGTTTCAGTGTAAGTCATCTGCTCTCTCCTCCTCACTGTGAGTATCATGTGTCTCATAAGGCATGGGTCTCATTCATCTTTCTGTCCCCAGCCTAGCCTGCTACCCAACCCAGAGTGGAAGCTCAATAGAACTTTGCTGAAATGAATGGAAAGTTCTGATTGTCTGATTGGAGCACAGGAGCTTGGGGGACAGTTTGCACAGTGAAAGAAGGGGTCTTGATGGAACAAGCTAGCATCAGTTCAGTTCAGTTCAGAAAGGTCATAAAGACCTTTCTATGGTGGCGGACATTGACATATCTGTAGTCAAGGTAAAGCTGTCTAGGGAATCTTGCAGGGCAGAGACACATCTGCAGAATATTTGCATCATAGAGCTGAGGACAGTAACTGGGGGCAGGGCAGGAGAGTCATGGGAGTGAGGTCATGCATAGAAGTATGACTTAACTTGGTCTAAAAATAAATTGCTGGTGGTAGGTTGTCCAGTTACCCTTTGTCATTAAATGACTGAGACTTCTTTTGACCAGGATTCTTGTTAAGTTTTCTTGCCAGGCTGAACTCTAAAAATGACACGCATTCAGGGCTGAACAGAGGCTCACAGATCATTAATCCAAACTCCATGGAATGCTCGCACTCCCTCATTACTTTGATACCCCTGGTTTTTAAGGCTCAGAAGAAGGGTGACCCTGAATGTTAACCCTCCAAGTGGAATGTAAAACACACGACTGTTAACGGACCTATTTCAGTCTCTCTGGGTACCTTGGGAACAGAGATTCTATGTGATACGTGACACAATTTTCAGTCATTGTAGCTATCGATATAGTTCAAGCGAGGCTTTTGCCCAAAGTGGGGAGACTCAGGCAAAAATAAATTGGGGCAGGAACAGTAGAGTCATGTGGGTTCTGTAGGAATCTGCTAATGAGGGAGAAAAAGAGAATACCATGAAATGGAATAGCTTGCTGGTTTTAAAAAAGAGTCTTTAAGAGTCTTGGAGACAAACAGCTCTTGGCTTGAGTCACAGCCCAGTCATTCACCAGCCGTGAGACCTCAGGCAAGGCACTCATCTTCTTTGAGCTTTAGTGTCTGCATCTATGAGGTGGGAATAATCATCACAGTTACCTCAAACGGTCCTTAAAAGGATGAAATTACTTAATGCTTGTAAAGTACTTAGTATAGTGTATGACATCTAGGAAGGGGTCAATAAATTTTGTTAGTAACAACAACATAATAAAAATTATTATTTTTTAATTTATCATCATCATTATTACTTAGAGACAGGATCTCGCTGTGTCACCCAGGTTGGAGTGCACTGGCATGACAATCAGTCACTGCAGCCTCAAACTCCTGGGCTCAAGTGATCCTCCTGCGTCAGCCCTGAGTAGCTGGGGCTACAGGTGTGCACCACTGTACCTGGCTATTTTTAAATTTAATTTTTTTTTAAATTAAACTTCTATGTTGCCGAGGCTGGTCTTGAACTTCTGACCTCATGTGGTCCTCCTGCCTTGGCTTACCAAAGTACTTAGGGGTTA
Source organism: Homo sapiens (assembly GCF_000001405.40). Taxonomy (NCBI): domain Eukaryota; kingdom Metazoa; phylum Chordata; class Mammalia; order Primates; family Hominidae; genus Homo; species Homo sapiens. Next base: position 18,079,734 of record NC_000016.10, on the reverse strand, counting down.
CAGTGCAAAGGGATTAAAGACGTGAGTGTGCCACTGCAGCTGGCCTGATTTTATTTTATTATTTATTTATTTTATTTTATTTTATTTTATTTTATTAGTTTTTTTAATTTAATTTTTTTTTTGAGGCAGAGTTTTGCTTTTGTTGCCCAGGCTGGAGTGCAATGGTGTCATCTCAACTCATCACAACCTCCGCCTCCTGGGTTCAAGAAATTCTCCTGCCTCAGCCTCCCGAGTAGCTGGGATTACAGGCATGTGCCACCACATCCGGCTAATTTTTTGTATTTTTAGTAGAGATGGGATTTCTCCATGTTGGTCAGGCTGGTCTTGATCCGCCCACCTCAGCCTCCCAAAGTGCTGGGATTAAAGGCTTGAGCCACCACGCCCGGCCTTATTTATTTATTTTTAAAATTATACTTTAAGTTCTGGGGTACATGTGCAGAATGTGCAGGTTTGTAACATAGGTGTACACGTGCCATGGTGGTTTGCTGCACCCATCAACCCATCATCTACATTAGGTATTTCTCATAATGCTATCCCTCCCCTAGCCCCCCACCCCCTGACAGGCCCCAGTATGTGATGTTCCCCTCCCTGTGTCCATGTGTTCTTATTGTTCAATTCCCAATTATGAGTGAAAATATGCAATGTCTAGTTTTCTGTCCTTGTGATAGTTTGCTGAGAATGATAGTTTCCAGCTTCATCCATGTCCCTGCAAAGGACATGAACTAATCCTTTTTTATGGCTACATAGTATTCCGTGGTGTATATGTGCCACATTTTCTTTATCCAGTCTGTCATTGATGGGTATTGGGTTGGTTCCAAGTCTTTGCTATTGTGAACAGTGCGCCTGGCCTAATTTTAAAACACAAATAATGGACCTCATTTTCTAGCCTGTCTCCTCTATTATTCCATGAGCATTTCAGAGCAGTGCTGTGTCTGATATATCTGTGACATCACCTCATCCCCTGCAAAAGCTGGCACAGAGAAGGTGCTTGGTGAATGCGTTTCTTGAAGTGAGTTAAAGCCACCATTCTTGCAGCCTAGATTTTGTTTCTAGGAAGGGCACCATGTCCACCTGGTTCACAGCTGTGTTCTGAGCACGGAGCTTGGCACCTCGCACATGGTAGGCAGTTAGACATTTGTGGACTGGTAGAGGAAGGAATGATAGGAGCAGCAACAAGGTTTCTGAGAACCATGCACAATCATGCCACATGCATGCACCAGAGACTATAGCCAAGGCTGCTGGCTTCTTAGGTGTATATTTCAGCACTTCTATATAACTTGTAACATTGTATTAAGTCTGATTTACTGATGTGCGCACAGTAAACACTGTGGAAGGATAGGTACCAAACTGTCCCCAGCAGTTTCCTGGGGGTTGGACCTCTTGCTTTTTATTATACACTTGTCTATTGCTTGATGCTTTTATAGTAAGCATGAATTACTTTGGCAATGAAAACACCAAATAAGATAAAGAAATAAAATATTGAAAAGGGAGAGGGGGAAGATGAAGAGGAAAGAAGAACAGAAATGAGCAGATTTTTTAGAAAGAAAAATGTCAGGCACAGGTGGGAGGGAGTAACCCTTGGTTGTGAATTTTGTCCCTCCCAGACCTCAGATATTACCCTCCAGCCCTGCAGGGAGCACTGTCTCCTCTTGGTGTGCCTTTAAATGTCAGGGTCCCACTGCAGAGAAGGGGTGAACTGAGGACATTTTCACACTTTTAGGGCAGTGTTTTGTTTGGAATAATGCTAACAACTCATGAGAGGAAAGATTTTTGCAGCTGGACAGATCTGGGTCAGGATGCCAGCTCCATTATTTGCTAGCTGGACAAGTTATTTCACCTCTTGAGATCAGTGCTTTAATCTCTAAAAGGGGACTAATAAATATCTACCTGCTAGCACTTCAGCCTTAGAGGACTAAGTAAGGTAGTAAAAACCTTCAAATACCTATGGTGATGATGATGATGATGGCATTTAGTTGGTATGGATAGACAATGAGCTACTAATTCACACCCATGTTTCTTCTACCTGTCTTTATCCTCAGAACACAAACATGGATGTTTTCAAATTTTCAAATGCGTTTCTGAAAATAGCATATGCTTTTTTTTCTTCTTCTTTAAGTGACAAGGTCTCACTCAGGCTGGAGTGCAGTGGTGGGATCATGGCTCACTGTAGCCGTGACCTCCTGGGCTGAAACGATCCTCCTGCTTCAGCCTCCTGAGTAGCTGGGACTACAGGTGTACACCACTGTATCTGGCTAATTTTTGTATTTTTCATAGAGACAAAGTCTCACTATGTTGCCCAGGCTGGTATTGAATTCCTGGTCTCCAGCGATCTTCCCACCTCAGCCTTCTGAAGTGCTGAGATTATAGGCATGAGCCATCTCACCTGGCCAACAGATTGTTTAAATATTTTTTTCCTTAAAAATATTTTTAGATTCGGGGGGTATATGTGCAGATTTGTTACCTAGGTGTATTCTCTGATGTTGAGGTTTGGGGCTCTGCTGATCCCATCATCCATATACTAAGCTTAGTACCCAATAGTTAGTTATTTTTTGTGCTATTTTAAAATTGGGTTTTATCGGGCTTCCCTAGAGCTCCCAATCTCGTAATCCTGTGGAGTGTGTTTTGGTACCACACGATCTTGGTAAGTTTACAGTAGGTTTTATTGATCAGTCTTCTCTAAGCCTTCATAAATCTGCTATTTTAGAATTTGTTCAGTAATTTCCTCAGATAATCAGTTCAAGAGATCTGTGGTTCAACATGGTGACTATAGTTAACAACAATGTATTCTTGAAATTTGCTAAGAGAGTAATGTGTGAGGTCATGCATGTTAATTAGCTTGATTTGGCATTTTAAAATGTATATATATTTCAAAATATGTTGCACGCAATAAATACAATATACACAATTTTTATTTGTCAATTATAAAACTGATTAATAAAAAAATTTCCTCAGAAGTCAATGCCTGTATCTGGTTCTCGGATGTCAACTTCCAACCCATCCCCTTTGTGAAAAGAGAGACCCCAGCGGCCTCTCTCCGGTTTGGTTTCTCTGAAAGGGATCACAGTTCAGGTCTTTGGAGGTAGCTCCATGGATATGAACATGGGTTCTGAGACTTGTGCACGTGGCCTAGAAATTTGAATTCATTTAAAGCAATGTTCTCTTACTTGCTGTCCATCTATTTCAGATTTCATGTTCTTCTTAATGATATACATATATATTTTTTCATTTTGCTTATTTATTCATTTTACTTGAAGAGATGGGCACACATGAATTTGCAATTTTCTCTGCTGCCTGCTGTTTTGCTGCTGAATGCTCAGTCTGTTTTCCTGGTACCTGCTTTTCCTCTAGAATAGTGCGCTTCTGATGGTGTTGGTTCCACCCCGCCACTCAGGGCATTGCATTCTCAGGTCTCTAGGGATTGTTGCAGAAATGAGCAGGTGACTCAGTTGGTATGCAATGCATACTGTTGCCTCTGCTGGGGAAGAGGCACCTTTGGCTCTTTTCTTCTAGAACTGCTTAAAAAAAAAAAAGCTACAGTGAACATGGCCTTCTAGGAGCCACTACCTAGGGCCTGATATTTAGAATGCCCCAATATGGTGCCCCAGGTAGAGAGCTGAGTCAAGAGGAAAAAAGTCAAGATGTAAGTGAGGCTAGGCCCATTGGCTCATGCCTCTAATCACAACACTTTGGGAGGCTGACATGGGAGTATTGCTTGAGGCTAGGAGTTCAAGACCAGCCTGGGCGATATGGTGAGACCCTGTCTGTAGACCAAAAAAAAAAAAAAAAAAAAAAAAAAAAAAAAAAAAAAAAAAAAATTAGCTGGGCATGGTAGCACATGTCTGTAGTCCCAGCTACTTGGAAGGCTGGGGTAAAAAGATTGCTGCAGCCCAGGGTTCAAGGCTGCAGTGAGCTATGATCATGCCTCTGGACCCCAGTCTGGGTGACAGAGCAAGACCCCATCTCTAAGAAAAAAAAAAAGAAAAGAACAAATATGAGTGAACAGGACCAAGCTATTCTAAAGTCAGTCTTTTCTTTCCCCTGAACTTTTTGATTATTTAAGCCAATAAATTCCTTCTTTTGCTTAACCCAGTTTGATTTGAGGTTCTTGTTAATTGCAGCAAAGTCCTAACCAAACACTTAAAACAGCAAACCTCTGAAAGTTGCTTTAAGGCTTGATTTTGAGAGCCCATTGGCTTTTTGGGTTTTGGCAAATTAGTGTAGGGTTTATGCCTTCCTGACCACATCTTTGACATTTTTGTCATTCTCTGATGTCCTTTTGTGATCACGAGTCCCTTTTTATATGCGTTCTAGGATTTTAAATATCTAAGCAAACCCCTAGCCTGGATCCAGGATTTCTTTCATTTTAAAATGTCTTTTTTTCATGATAAAAGTATTTCATTGTACCACACATCTAAATTTAGAAATAGAGAAAAATGGGAGGAAAGAATTACCCAGTGATCTTCTACCCAAACAAAACTAGTGAACATTTCCCAAAAATTCTTTCCCAAACTTTCTTATTCCCACATAGATCATTGGATTCTACTCTATAAATAGTTTGACATATTGCTTTTAAATTTTTAAAAAGTTAATACATCCATATGCCATAAAATTTAAAAGATAGCACACATTCTTCTGCATCTTACATTTAAAAACATTTTCAATCAGCAAATAAGTACATATATTTATGGGGTACAATGGGATGTTATGATATGTGCATACATTGTGGAATAATTAAATCAGGTCAATTAACATACTCCTCCCCTCACATACTTAACATTTCTTTGTGGTGAGAACATTTAAAATCTACTTTTAGCAGTGGTGGTGATCAGAGGGTGAGGATGTGGTAGATGGGGAAAGAAAGATGTTGGCCAAAGGGTACAGAAGGAATAAGTTTTAGTGATCTATTGCACACTATGGTGACTATAGTTAATAATAATGTGTATTTCAAAATTGTACCTTGCATTATTCACTTAACGGTTAATCTTGGAAATGGTTCTATGTCAGTAGAGAGTGTCCTCATTCTTCTTTTATATGTATGTACGAGAGATTATTTAAGCCAGCCCCTACTATTGGAACACAGTTTGCTTCCAGGTTTTAGGTCATTGTAACCAGTGCTGCACAGCTTTTTGCATGAAGCTTTGGTGCTAGTTCCAAAGGATTCTCTGAAAACAAAGATAGTCAAATGGCAGGGATATTTTGGAGGCCATTGATACCGTTCTGAAATTATCTCTCCTTAGGGCTGCTGTTTTTGCTACTTCCTCCAGGAGAAAATGAAAGGGCTCTGTTTGTTTATTTTTATTTTTTATTTTTTCTGAAATCATTCTTTTATTCTTTTCATGAAATTTCAGAAAAATTCCAGGAGAGCTAACAACAAGGACTAAGGTTAAAACCAAAATTTAATTTTTGGTACCACTGATTAACAAAACCATTTTGTTGAATCTTAATGGAGTGACTGAGTAACTTAGTATTAATAACTTAGAACTGATTGAATACTACTGATTCTGTTTAAGTTTTATTTGAAAGTTTAAACATGTTGCTTTAAATAATTTGATCTATTTACTAATACCTTCATATCTGCTTCATATTTAAAACTCCATGTGTAGAAAATATCAAACTTGTACGTTACTTTACAATTATTTTCTAGTAAGAGAACTCAGTTACTTGTTTATTTATTCTTATTCAGCACTGAGATCAGTGCTCGGCACATAGTAAGTGTTTAATGTGTTAGGTTTTACAACTGCTGCTATTATTATTTTTTCCTTTTGACTCTCCTCACTCTTTTCTCAGTATCACTGGAGAACATACCAAGCTATATCTCAATTATGCAGACCTCTCTTCCAAGCCTAGGGACTGGAATCATGGATGCATAATGTTTCCTGTGAACTGTAGGAAACACTCCTCACCCCTGTCAGGGAGTAATATAGGATGTCGTTCTGAAAAAGAAAAAAGAAGAAGGAAACAGTGATGCCTCCCTTGGTTAGGCTGAAATCAAAGATAAGACTTTCTCCCTTTTCTTGTTGCTTCCCATTTTTAAAGGCCTAATCAAAATCCTGCTTCCATAGCACAGAACCTGGCATATAGGAGGCTCTTAAGTTTTGAATGAACGAATGATTGATTGTTGTACCCTTTGACTGATCTCTCCAGTAGCCAACTGGAAACTTGACGAGGAACATGACCATCTTTTCTTCTTATTTCTTGCTCACCAAAAATGTCATAAATACATAACAGATACTTGTTAAACAAATGAATGTATGCATCCAGATATCTGAATTGCTACAAAACTAATTATAATCTTCAAACAGTCCAAAACCTGGCTGCTTCTTCAGCAACATCATCTAAGATTTAGAAAAGAAAAGAGAAAAAAAGCTAATGGGCCAGGTGTGGTGGTTCATGCCAGTGATCCCAGCATTTTGGGAGGCCAAGGTGAGAGGATTGCTTGAGCCCAGGAGTTTGAGACCTGCCTGGACCACATAGCAAGACCCTATCTCTACTTAAAAAAAATTAGCTAGTCGTGGTGGCATGCCTGTAGTCCCAGATACTTGGGAGACTAAAGCAGGAGGATGGCTTGAGCCCGGGAGGTCAAGGCTGCAGTGAGCTATGATTGTGCCATTGCACTACAGCCTGGATGACAGAGCGAGACACTGTCTTAAAAAAAAACTTGCTAATGGATTCCCAGGCAACACCTTAGACTTACTGGACTATAAACTCTAGGGATGGGTTCTAGATTCTCTATTTTAACCCCCAATCCTTCACCCCCGGCCAGTGATTCTGATGTAACCACCCTTACAGAAGATTATGGTACAGAACTTGAGGACCACTGATTTTCCTACCCTATCGCAGGATCCCACTGCATTTTGTTTGTTTGTTTGTTTCTGAAGTGGCCTCTTGGCTGCTCTGGGGGTGATCTTATCTGTGAGTATACACTATTTCACACTGATAAGCCACTCTGACTCTCCAGCAGCTACCCCTGGCTTTAATCCTATTAATAAACCTGTCCCCTGGCCTCCAAAGATGTGCCCTTTATCTTGCTCATTAAGGCTGCAGCAAGCGGCTTTTCCTTGCTTTCTACCACAACTCAGTTTTATTACAAAGTTCTGCTCTCTTTTGGAGAAATAGACTTGATGCTCACACTTTCAATCACCAGGTCCTTGCTGGCCAAATGGCTCATCCCGTGTTTTTATGGGGCTCTAGAGAGTCTGCCATATTGTAGAAGTAGCAGCTGGAGAAGGAATTAGCATTGGATCATCCCCTTTGATGGAAGACTCTGTGGTAGGCATGCTATAGGCATTTAATTCTTATGCCAATGAGTGGGTATTGTTATCCCACTTTTCAGGTGAAAAAACTGAGGTCAGCGAGATTAAGTAAATACCCTGAATATCAGGATTTAAACCCAAGTTTTTAAAATTCCAGAGTCCCAGTGTGGAGCCTGGGAGGGCTTGGGATGCAGAGGTGTTTGAACCCCAGACCATGGGAGACTGGGGAGCATCAGGATTGGGGTTCTAGGCAGGCCCAGTCAGTAGGGTGGGATGACTAGCAGCTATCAAATGCCAAAGAAAGAAAAATTCAGTTTCAGAAGGTAGAAGCAGGCATTGTAGGAATGGCTCAAAGCATCAAGTTCAAAGGGAGCTGGACAAGATGCTGGAACTAGAGCTGATGTTGGGGGATGGACCCTTGGCCAGGAGGGACTGAGAGGATGAGCTGGGAGGGGCTGGCTGAGGATTGAAAGAAACTTATAAAAGGGCTCCTGAGCCTCTGCCTGTGGGAAGGAAAGAGCAGCCTAGGGCACTTGGGCAGTGGGTCTGCAAGCTGATCTGGATCATAATTTGTCACCAGCTAAGCTTGCCATTTAATGCAATCATTCAACAAACATTGATTGAGTCCTTCCTGTGTGCTGGAGATGCCGGGTGCTGAGAAAACAAGGCAGCAAAGGTCCCCGCTATTTTGGAACATATGTAATACTCTATTAATAATCATTATCATAGCAACCAACAGTCATTCAGCACTTAAGTGCTAGGCACTGTTTTAATTACTTTCCATGTATTAATACATTCAATCTTAACAACTACCCTATGAGGCAAGTACTATTATTATCGCTACTTCACAGTTGAGAATGCTTTTGTTTGGAGAAGTCGTGCCGCATGCACGATGGAGAGAGGCTGGGTAGGGACTGGGCGCTGGTGGCCGTTGGTTTCTGATCCACTGGGCTGTATAGCCTCCCATGTGGAGGTAAGTTGCCATTTCTCTCAGCTGCCTTCAATAGCTTTTGATAACTTCCAGTTTCATTTACCACGTTTTGTACTCTTAATTGTTCTCAGAGGCATTTCTCAAACAGTCTGCCTTTTAAAATGTAAGAGCACTTAATTGGCCTTTGTGGTGAAAAGGCAGGCACCTGCATTTTCTAGAATGTCATCTGTATGCAAATTTCCAAATAGCCGAGTAGTCATTCCGCTGCATGAAAACCAGGGGTCCAGGGAGACCCACTCCTAGCTTCATCGCTGACCCGCCCCTGCTCCTGTGACCTGAGATATTGATTTGGCATCTGTTCAGCTGTTCAGTTCAATATGACATGCTTTTCTTTTCTTTCTTCCTAAGTGCCCAACACAGTGTGGGTGCCCAAAGGATAAGAAGCAAGGAATCTGCCTTTGAGAAGTCTGCAGTCTAGCCATGGAGACAAGACGTACCCAGGATGAAATACGGGTGAAATACTGCAATACATAATTAAGTACTAAATCTATGGTGAGCTATGGGATTGCCAGATGCTGCGCAGGTTCAAAGAGGGGAAGTGATAGCATGGATTTCTCGAAGGAGAGAGGTGAGCTAGGTGTTGAAAGATATGGATAGGTGGAAGTAAAATGGAGGACATTTCAGGCAAGAGACCTGCAAGGGCAAAGCGCATAGTGGTCAGGGAATGGCTTGACTTCTGAAAATCAAGAAGGAGATTGGATTTCCTGGAGCGAAGGTTTTTAGTGGTGTATAGATGGTAAAAAGCCTTCAACGCTACTCCAACAGTAACAATACCTAATATTCAAGGGCTTGAAATGTGCAAAGCACCATTTCAACTCTCCATTTTGATCCTGAAGACACTTCATAAAGTTTGTGGTGTCTTCATTGTACTTTGTGGAAACTGAGTTTTAGAAAGCTGATGTAACTTGCCTCAAGCAACAGTGTAATGCCAGAAGTGGAATTTGAACCTACTCAGACCAATGTTACCCTCCAAGCTATGTTATATTCCTAATATTGCTTCGCATTTTCCAGATGAGGAAAAAAGACTCAGGGATGAAGTTAGTTCGCTCTTCTTGGTTGCAGACAACAGAACCCACTCAAGCTAGTTTAAACAGAAAGAAATTTATTCAGTGCTACCAGGGAACGTGCAGACTCTCTCAAAGGGCTAAAGGTTGGCCTTGCCAGAAACCCCACTGCAGGGCTGGTCTTTGCAGATCCCACTCTTGCCGCCTCTGGGCAGGGGCACCAAGCTCTTGTTACTGACTCTAAACACAGTTCTGATGCCCTGAGAGCCACCTGCCTCCATTGCCACCATTGCCAGACAGATGGGCACTACATGGTGCCATCTTCCTCACATGTTGGGCTTCTGAATTGATATTTCACATAAGCACATCTGATTCTCAGAGAATTACATGAGCGAGTTTTGGGGCTGCCCTTTTGGGGAGGCAGGACTCATCAGTGGGAAATGCCCCTGACATAGGAAAGCTATTGTCCAAGAAGTGCCATGCAGCTGGGAAACATGACATTTTTTCCATAGTGTTAATAAATGCTCAAGCTGGCCTCCAGGCCTGGGCTACTCTGGCTCCAGGGACCATGCTTATAATGACTATACCATGACTTGCAAATAATAGACCCTGGTCTGAGGCTGGGCTGCCTAAAAGAGAACCACCTGGGAAGTTTATTAAAAAACACAGGGTCCCAGGCCTCTCCTCCAGAGATTCTGATTCAGTGAGTCCAATCAAGGTCTGGGGATTTGCATTTCCCAAAACCCTTCCAACCATTCTAATGTGTAGCCAGGCTTAGGAGTCAAGACATTGCATGATATTCTCAGTGACACTTTTCTTAAATATGCTTCATGTATTAAGGCTGTAGTTCTCAACTGGGGACAATTTACACCCCCCTCCTTAGGGGGACACTTGCTGGAGTACAGTGGCACGATCTCGGCTCACTGCAACCTCTGCCTCCTGGGTTCAAGTAATTCTCCTGCCTCAGCCTCCCAAGCAGTTGGGACTACAGGGGCGCACCACCACGCCCAGCTAATTTTTGTATTTTTAGTAGAGACAGGGTTTTGCCCTATTGACCAGGCTGGTCTCGAACTCCTGACCTCGTGATCCACCCACCTTGGCCTCCCAAAGTGCTCAGATTATAGGCGTAAGCCACCGCGCCCGGCCCAGAGATACTCTTAGACATCCTACAGTGCACAGAGACATACTGCCAAAACACAGAATTATTCAACTCCACATATCAATAGAGTGAAGGCTGAGAAACCCTGTATTACGGGGTGCTCAATTTTGCTGAGACCTCACAGCATCATTCTCTCCGGAGGTGTTATGCTCCCGTTAAGACAGAAAGGCTTGTAAGAGCTTTGGAGGTGCCAGTCCCTTTAAATCTTGACCATTGGAAACATAACCCCAGTGTCCCTGTGCCATTTCATGGAGAGAAAAGTTTTCAGAGCAATGTCACTGTGACCACTTGGTGTCCTCTGTTCTCTGGCTCTTAAATTCCACCTGCTCTCACTATGACTTGGTATCTGATAAAAGCCCTGGAAAAGTCTCTGCCGTTGCAGTCCTCAGCCCTCTTGATAATAAAGTTTCAGGGAGGTGGCATAGGGTAGTGGTTTTAAGCTTGGGCTTTAAAGGAAGATCTGAGTTAGAAACCCAGGTGTGCCACTTACCACTCTTGGGCAAGTTATTTAACTTCCCCAAGACTGTTTCCTCCTCTATAAAATGGAAATAGTGACAGTGCTTACTTACCTGGACTGTGGTGTGGATGCAAGGAGAGAATCACATGTCTCAGTCAGCTCTTGCTGCAATAGCACCATGTAATGAACATCCTCAGAATTTCAGTGGCATACCACAATAACTGTCTATTTCCTGTGCATGTATTGGCAGGTTGGCTATAGTTTGGCTGACCTAGGCTGGGCTTGCCTCTAACCCTGTGGATTGGTGAAGGCTTGTTCTACATATCTCTCCTGTTTCTTGGACCAGCCACTACCCAACACTTATTCTTTATAGAGCAAAAGGAAGAAGCTCAAGAGGGCAAGCCCAAGCAAACAAGCACATGTCAAACTTTCATTCACAACAACATTTGCTTTTATCCCACTGGCCAAAGCAAGTCACACGGCCAAAACTCGGATTGATGGGACTAGGAAGTATACCTTGCCTACAGTAAGAAGGAGAGAGGAACAATAATCTAAATTACTCATGTATAGCAAGGGTTCTAGAAATGTTTTCTGTTTACCTTAATGCTGGGAGTCATCATTTGAGCTAGCTTAGTCTTTGTTCTTCCCAAACCTGGTGCTCTAACCTCTATCTTGATCCATGTATGCATTAGCTTCAACCTCTTCCCTGTGAACCAGTCTCAGATCTGTTCCTCTTGTCCTTCCAGGGATCTCAGTTTCTTCTTCTGAGCCTTCTTGTTGAGTTGTGTAAATAAGCAGTCATCCTCTGCTGCTTCCTGGTACCCTATCACCAGTGGGTGCAGTTGATTTGAATTCACTCTGGACTTGGTTTATTGAAACTTCTCCACAGTCACTTTCTCTCCTTTTTACTTATCTTAAGTTCTTCCTGTCTTTGTAGGAACTGGTCAACCAGAAAACCTTTCTATTTATTTTCTTAAATTTTTAAAATTTTTAATTATTGTGAACACATAGTGGGTGTATATATATTTATGGAGTACATGAGATGTTTTGATGCAGGCATGCAATGTGAAATAAGCACCTCATGGAGAATGGGGTATGTATCCCCTCAAGCACTTATCCTTTGAGTTACAAACAATCCAATTATACTCTTTAAGTTATTTTATAATGTACAATTAAGTTATTGTTGACTATAGTCACCCTATTGTGTTATCAAATAGTAGGTCTTGTTCATTCTTTCTGGTTATTTCTTTTTGTGCCCATTAACCATCCCCACTTCCCCCCAGACCCTCGATACCCTTCCCAGCCTCTGATAACTATGCTTCTACTCTCTATGTCCATGCGTTCAATTGTTTTAATTTTTAGATCCCACAAATAAATGAGAACATGTGATGTTTGTCTTTCTGTGCCTGGTTTATTTCACTTAATGTAATGATCTTCGGTTCCATCCATGTTGTAGCAAATGACTGGATCTCATTCTTTTTTATGGTGGCATAGTACTCCATTGTGTATATGTACCACATTTTCTGTATCCAGTTATCTGCTGACAGACCCTCAGGTTGCTTCCAAATCTGGCTATTGTAAACAGTGCTGCAACAAACACAGGAGTTTTTTTGTTGCAGATATCTCTTTGATATACTGATTTCCTTTCTTTTGGGTATATACCCAGTAGTGGGATTGCTAGATCATATGGTAGCCCAATTTTTAGTTTTTTGAGAGACCTCCAAGCTGTTCTCCATAGTGCTTGTACAAATTTACATTCCCACAAACAGTGTAGTACAATGGTTCTCTTTTCTCCACATCCTCACCAGCATTTGTTATTACCTGTCTTGTGGATATAAGTCATTTTGATTGGGATAAGATAATAAGTCATTGTAATTTTGATTTTCATTTCTCTGATGATTAATGATACTGAGCACGTTTTCATATGCCTGTTTGCCATTTTCAGGTCTTCTTTCGGGAAACAAGTATTCAAATCTTTTGCTCATTTTTTTGAATCAGATTACTAGATTTTTTTCCTGTAGAGTTGTTTGAGCTCCTTATATATTCTGGTTACTAATCCCTTGTCAGATGGGTAGTTTGCAAATATTTTTCCCATTCTGTGAGTTGTCTTTCACTTTGTTGATTGTATCCTTTGCTGTGCAGAAGCTTTTTAACTTGATGTGGTTCCATTTGTCTGTTTTTGCTTTGGTTGCCTGTGCTTGTGGGGTATTTCTTGAGAAATTTTTTCCCAGACCAATGTCCTGAAGATTTTTCCCAAAGTTTTCTTGTAGTAGTTTCATAGTTTGAGGTCTTAGATTTAAATCTTTAATCCATTTTGATTTGATTTTTGTATGTGGCAAGAGATAGGGATCTAGTTTCATTCCCCTGCATATGGATATCCAGTTTTCCCAGCACTGTTTATTGAAGAGACTGTCTTTTCGCCGGTGTACGTTATTGACACCTGTGTAAAAAATCAGTTCATTGTAGGTGTGAATTTGTTTCTGGGCTCTCTATTCTGTTCCATTGGTCTATGTGTCTGTTTTTGTGCCAGTACCATATTATTTTGGTTACTGTAGCTCTGTAGTAAAATTTGAAGTCGGATAATGTGATTTCCCCAGTTGTTTTTGTTATTGTTGTTGTTGTTTGTTTGTTTCTTTTTGCTTAGGATAACTTTGGCTATTCTGGGTCTTTTGTGGTTCTATATAAATTTTAGCATAGCTTTTTCTATTTTTCTGAAGAATATTGTTGGTACTCTGAAAAAGATTGCGTTGAATCTGTAGATTGCTTTGGGTAGTATAAATATGTTAGCAACATTAATTCTTCCAATCCATGAACATGGGATATGTTTTCATTTTTTGGTGTACTCTACAATTTCTTTCATCAGTGTTTTATAGTTTTTATTAGAGATATCTTTCACTTCTTTGGTTAAGTCAATTCCCGGTATTTAATTTTATGTGTATCTATTGTAAATGGGATTACTTTTTTAAATTTATTGTTTACATTGTTCCCTATTGGCATATAGAAATGCTACTGATTTTTGTTTGTTGATTTTGGATCCTGCAATGTTACTGAATTTGTTAATCTATCAGTTCTGATAGATTTTTTGTAGAGTCTTGAGTTTTTTTCAAATATAAGATCATATCATCTGCAAACAAGGATAGTTTGACTTCTTCCTTTCCACTTTGAATGTCCTTTATATCCTTCCCTTGTCTGATTGCTCTAGCTAGGACTTCCAGTACTGTATTAAATAATAGTGGTGAAAGTAGACATCCTTGTCATGCTCCAGATCTTATAGAAAAGGCTTTATGTTTTTCCACGTTCAGTATGATACTAGCTGTGGGTCTGTCATATATAGCTTTTATTATGTTGAGATATATTTCTTCTATACCCAGTTTTTTGAAGGTTTTTAATTATGAAGGATGTTGAGTTTTATCAAATGCTTTTCAGCATCAATTGAAATGATCATATGGTTTTTATCCTTCATTCTTTTGATATGATGTATCACATTGATTGATTTGCATTTGTTGAACCATCCTTGCATCCCAGGGATAAATCTCACTTGATCATGATGCATGATCTTTCTAAGGTATTGTTTAATTTAGTTTGATAGTATTTTGTTGAGAATTTTTGCATCAATATTTATCAGAGATATTGGCCTGTACTTTTCTTGTTTGATATGTCTTTGTCTGTTTTTGGGATCAGGATTGGCATTAGTTCTTTAAATGTTTGATAGAATTCAGCAGTTAAGCCATCAGACCCGGGCTTTTCTTTAGCGGGGGACTTTTTATGAAGGCTTTGATCTTGTTACTTGTTATTGTTCTGTTCAGATTTTGGATTTCTCAGGAAACCTTTCTGAATGGGTTCAGCCTTCAGAAATCTATTCTTGGCATCATTATTCTTTTCCTTGCTCTGATCGTTGAACTACTACTCTTCTGTAGGGTGGCTACCCTCTTTCCATGAATTGATCTGGGCATGTGGACAAGGCTCAGAAATCAATAGGGTTCTTAGGCAATATTTGATGGTATTAAGATTTTTCAATAATAATTATCTATATTCCCAACAAATGACAATAGATTTCTGTATATAGAGAAGCAATATAGCACTGTGTTTGAGGACATAGGCTTGTGAGCATTAGTTCTCAATCTTGGCTACACCTTATAATTGCTGAGAACATTTAAGAAATACTGATGCCTGAGTCCCACACTCAAGGATTCAAATTCAATTGGTTTGGGGCGTGGCCTGGACATCAGGATTTAAAAAGCTTCTCATGATTCTAACATGCCAAGTTGGCAAGTGCTGCTTTAGAGTAGGTCAAAATTTATTTTTAAACCTTGGCTTTGCACTTAGGAGCTACAGCTTGGTCAAGCTACTCAGTCTGTTTGAACCTAATGTCCTCGCCTATAAAATGAGGCTGATAATATGCACTATCCCGGGTTATGTAAAATAGAATGAACTGGCCATATAACAAGCATGTACTGAGCACCATTATATTCCTTTAAAATGGAATTTTGTTTTATTTATGAGAGGCAGTTTCATTAATGAAAATTAGGGCAATATAGAAAATGAGAGAGAGAGAAAAAATACTCTGAGTTCTACTCCTGAAGCTTTTCATGTGTTGCCTTTAATTTTGGGGCTTTTTCATGCCGCATATATTTTTATTTTTCTTTTAACCAAGGTGGAAATCATCGTGAAATGCAATTTATACCCTGCTTTTCTTCACTCAACTGTTATGTTGATGAGGTAATAATCATAATTTCAAATTTGCTAAGGTTTCAGAATCCTGAATGTCGTACATAGTTAAGTTGGAGCTCCTGGATTGAGAGTCACAGAGAATTGTTGGCCTCTCTTCTTGTGATTTTCCTGGTGACAGTTTGGTCCCTAAGAGGCCATCTTTGCACACTCTGGAGCTCTGTGTTCAGGGATCAGCCCTGAGGGCAAGTGTGCACCAGTCTAAGCTGACTTTTCATCTGGAAAATCCTGCTGCTCTTTGCATTACAGGAGGGATGCAATCTACCAAATATGGTGCTATTTTTATGAGGGATTAAATTTTACTGGGATAAGAGCATCTCCTCCCTGTTGCCACTGTGCAGGGATGTCTGCATTCACCCCATTCTGTCACCAGCCCAATTTTCCTTCCATGTACCAAGGCTCCCACCCTTCATTTCCAATCATACAAACAGTGTCTTGACTCAAGGCAGAAAGAAGCATTCCTGTTTTCTGTCCAGTCGCACTCACCTACACACCTAGGCCCTTCTGGAGTTTAAGGGTTGTTGAAGAGACAGTGTGATGCATGGAGAAGACATTGATCTTTGGGATGTAGCAGCCCAGATTTTGAATCTAAGATCTGCAACTTGATATTTGACCTTCAGAGAGTTGCTAAACATGCCAAGCCTCCATTTTCTCACCTTCAAAAAGGGTAACAAGGTGGCAGTCTACCTCACAGAATTGTGTGAAGGTTAACAATGAACTCATTCATCCATTCAAAAACATTTATTGAGCACCTATTATGTGCCATGCACTGGGTTAGGTGCTGGGAATATGGATGAGCAAAAGCCAGAAAGTTCATACCTGTGTGGAATTTGCAGCTTGGCGGGGTGGGGGGTGGGGGTGCAGATAGGAGATGCTTAAAGCACAGATTACGATCCTGTGTGTTCAGGTTTTGATGGGAGGCACAAGATACTCTAGAAGTGCACTGCAATGATACCTGATTTGGTTTGGGAGGGGTGGGATTTAAAAAAATCAATACAATGAAGTGAGCTGATGTGGCAAATTAATTCTCACTGCTTCTCTTTAATTACAAAGAAGTGTTGGGTAAAAGAAGTGTAGCTGAGCTTGGGAAAAAGAAGGCAGAGCTTCAAGCAGCAGAAAGAAAGAGGAAATGAAAAGCTACAGTAATGAACAGGAGCTTCAGCTCAGCAGTCCCAGGCGTGTCTTGTGTGTGCATAGCTCCCGGCTTCACGCGGAACTTAGCCACCAGGGAAATGGGAACTCAAAACTCTCCACCTGCTGGCTTAAGAGTGCAGCGAGGAAGCTGAACTTGTGTCTGGGGCCTTAGGTGGGAAAAGTGTCCTCTGTGAGCAGCCGAAATCACGTGGGGCCCTGTGGGTGGATGTTCTGACTTTGCCCATTACAAGGTGAGGGAGCTGGATGTGGAGGGATTCACGTAGAAACTGGGGGCGCACCTGAGATCACCCGCAGAGCCCCTCCCTGCCCCAGGGCACCCTGCCTTTGCTGCGCTGGGAGCCTTTGTGCAGGCTGTCTCCTCTGCTAGAGGGCTCGCTCCCTTTCCTCATCACGGTCATTGCCTCCCCCAACTCCCGACTGGCTTCACTGGCCAGTATCTTGACTCCAGTGTCATTTCCTCTGAGAGGTTTTCCAAGATTTGATCGGGGGCTCCCATTCTGCTTTCCAGATTCATGCCTTTCCCCATTCATAGCCCTTGCTACAAACACAATTTAATAATTGTGTCATTTTTGTTACATGACTGCCCCTGCCCCTCACCGAACTGTTAGATTATAAAAGTAGGAACCACACACGTCTGTGTCTGTTTAACTACATTTTATTATTTCCTGGATAGTGCCTGGCGTATAGTTCCCAAGAAATAAATACCGAGTGAATGAATGAATGAATGAATGAATGAACTTGTTAACCCTCAATGAACATGGCCACTGCTCCTATTTCCTACCAATCCCACCTGGAAATAAAACAGTAACAATTTATTATTTATTTATTTATTTACAATTTCCTTCATGACCTGTAGTTATTGGAGAGTGAAAATATGTACTCTAGGCTGGGCGCGGTGGCTCATGCCTGTAATCCTAGCACTTTGGGAGGCTGAGGCAGGTGTATCATGAGGTCAGGAGTTCGAGACCAGCCTGGCCAAGATGGTGAAACCCCATCTCTACTAAAAATTCAAAAATTAGCCGGGCTTGGTGGCGCACGCCTGTAGTCCCAGCTACTTGGGAGGCTGAGGCAGGAGAATCGCTTGAACCCAGGAGGCGGAGGTTGTGGTGAGCTGAGATCGTGCCATTGCACTCCGGTCTGGGCAACAAGAGCGAAACTCTGTCTTAAAAAAAAAAAAAAGAAAAAGAAAATTTGTACTCTACTATGGCATTGGTGCTCAAACTATAGTATCCATCAGTGTCACCAGGAAGGCTTGGTAAGACACAGATCTCTGGGCTCCACTCCCAGAGTTTCTGACTCAGTAGGCCTGGGCTGGGACCCGGGATTTGCATTTCTGACACCTTCCTAGGTACTGTTGATGCTGAGGTCCGTGGACCACGCTTTGAGAACCACTGCTGTACAGCATCATGATTTTGATTTATGGGATTTTCAAGCCAGAGCTATCAAATACACTACCAATGACACTATAGCTTTATGTCCTTAAAAGACATCATACATGGGTGATGAACATGACCCATGCCTGATGACACAGAAGTGCTCTTCCTGGGAAAAGTGGGCTTTCTGTTTCCCTTGTAAATAGGGGAGAAATTGGAAAGGCTCAAAGGTCGGGCTCTGGAGTCAGATCTGCCGGGGATGCAACTTTTGCCACTTCCTGCGAGTGCTAAATCTTGTGAATGTTATGGAACCTCTCTCAGTTTCCTCATCTCTAAAATGGGATGAATTGTAGGATCTGCTTCCCAGGGTGGTTGAACAGCAAAGATGTTTTGACAGCACCTGGTGTGTAGTGAGTACTCTCCAAATGTTAGTTTTGATGGGGAAAGTAAGGCGTATCTAATAGCATCTGCCTGAGGGTGTTTATACACACTGTCTCATTTAAGTCTCCCAGCAATGCTTTGAAATAGGTATTATTAGCCCTATTTTATAAGGGAGGAAACCGAAGCACTGAGAGGGTAAGTGATTTAAGAATGCATATACAGGAAAAACATGTAGGGTTGCACCACACTCCATTTTTCTGGCAATGCCTGTCCTCCTGGGACCGCCAGGAAGCAGGTGTCTTGGCGGGACCGACAGCCCCCACAGCATGGAGGGGGGTGTTCCTGTCCATCCCATCGGACCAGGGGCCACTCATCTCCTAGTCAATTTCCTTTTCTTTCCACGTGTGCGCACACCATTCTGATATCCTCTTCCCAGCCCTGCTGAGGCTCCAGCTCTGTCCTTTCTCATCCACACTGAAGGATGAGCCTGACATAGAAAAATTTCAAAGGAGCACGAGCCAGCTGAGCTGCACTGTCTGTCTGTCATGCTTAGAGAGTGACGACCTCGGTGGGCTTCACCCGCATGACAGGGACAATGCTCCCCTGGAGAACTGTGCCAGGCAGGATCAGACAGTTACAACTGCCCAGATCCTCTCCTTTCAAGTAGGCCTGTGAGCAGCTGCCTGACTTGCAAAAGAAACAGGCCCCTGGCTCCCGTCCCAGGGAGGGACATGGCTTTGGTCCTCATTTTCCCAGTGGAGGCTAAGTGAAAGTGACAGTGTCCTCTCGAAACAGCAGTTGTGACTGACAGGTTTTGAGTTGGCCCGGGGTCCTGATCTTAACTGGTTTGGATAAAATGACTTTGAAGGTTTTACTGCAGAAGCATCCTGGTGAGAATGGGGCTGAGATGCAGGTGTGCAGGTGGCTGGGACTGCACCCTGGGCTTGATGGCTCCTTAGCTTTGTGCCCTCAGATGAGTCACCTGAATGCTCTGGAATCTCAAGGACCTGCTGGAGGGTGGGACCACCTTGGCCTGGCAGGTGGGCACATAGCCTTCCTTGACTGGGGAGCTTTTGTGCATGGACTATAGGCACCCTTTTCCAAGGCACGAATTGTGGATGATAGAAAGGTGCTGGAACCATATGTTTTATTCATTTAATTTTTTAAAACAATGGATTATGGGATGCCCCTGTCAATAACCCTCATGGCTGCCCGCTGCCCTCAGAGTGAAGTCCAGGATGGCTTACATGGCTGTCTCAGCTTGGGTTGGCCTAGAAGTAGACCAATGAGGTAACGGATGTGAGACCAGGTCTTTTTTTTGAGGAAGGGCTCAGGAAACACCCAGATAGGGGTGTGAAAGTGAAACAGGAAGGAAAAGAACCAATAAAGGGTCGCTATGAAGCACGGGACCACTGTGTGCATCTAGAGCTAAATCCTGCCAGGCAAAGCTGAAGAGTGGCACAGAACACACATGTCAGCATTATCTCCCCCGAGGGGTGAGGGAGCTGGGGTATTTATCCACCCACCCCTGCTCAGACATTGATTGGAGGACTCTGGGGGTGGGGAGCGTGAATTCGCTGGCACTGCTGACAGTGGGGACAAGGGGGGACCCAGACCCAGAAAAAGTCCCCAGGCAAAGCAGAGCAGGTTCTGGCATTTGGAAGTCGGGCAACTTTCATTGAAGAAGGGCAACCAACAGTGTCTTCTATATCATGTGGAGTCTGACTCAGCCTACCCCTTTAGCCTTATCACCCACACATACACACACATACACCTCTCACACCCCACAACCCACATACACAACTTGCAAACTCCATAATCCACACTGATGCACAACAAATACACACAACTGCTCACACCCTATAGCCCCACCACATAACCCAAAATACACACCCAATGAATGCCACTAACAACATACAATCTGCCACACAATTACATACATGCAACCCACAACACACACATCCATACAACCCACAGCCCATACACACACAGAACCCCTCCCACATAACCTAAAACTCATACTCACATACATGCAACCTACAGCATACACACATACAACCTGCAGCATAAGCATAACACACCTCCCCCATATAACCGCACTCCATACACAACTCCCCACAACCTAAAACCCACCACATAACCCAGAATATGAAGCCACACACCCACATGCATGTGACCTACAATGCACATAACCCACACCACACACAACCCACAACATACAAACACAACCGCAACACACACAACTCACAACCCCTCCCACATACCCTCAAACACACATGCAACCTATTAACAGACACATAAACCTACAGCCTGCACACACTCACAGCACACACAGCTATAACACTCTCTCTCTCTCACACACACACGCACATACACACACACACACACACCCCACACTGGACTTTTAAAAGTTCATTTAACATGCAAAGCTCTCTCTTAATTCCTGATCCTTAAAATGCCCTCTTCCTTTTACTGGACAAACCCTCCTTCCCCTGCAGGTTTCAGTTACTCTACTCTCCTTACATGGGACATCTTGACCAGTTCCAGTGGGGTTGGTTCCTGTCCCTGTAAGCACCCTCAGCTTCTTGCACTTCTTTGTTCCTGACAATTATCCCATTTGAATCCTGAGATAGTTTGGACTTGTCTCTGCTCAAATCTCAAATTGAATTGTAGTCCCCACTGTTGGAGGTGGGGCCTGGTGGGAGGTGATTGGGTCATGGGCATGGATCCCTCAAGAATGGCTTGGGTCATCCCCTTGGTGATAAGTGAGCCGTCTCTTACTCTGAGTTCACACAAGATCTAGTGATTTAGGCCAGGCACTGTGGCTCACGCCTGTAATCCCAGCATTTTGGGAGGCCGAGGTGGGCAGATCACGGGGTCAGGAGATCGAGACCATCTTGACTAACACGGTGAAACGCTGTCTCTACTAAAAATACAAAAAATTAGCCAGGCGTGGTGGCACACACCTATAGTCCCAGCTACTCAGGAGGCTGAGGCAGGAGAATCGCTTGAATCCGGGAGGCGGAGGTTGCAGTGAGCCAAGATTATGCCACTGCACTCCAGCCTGGGCGACAGAGCAAGACGCTGTCTCAAAAAATAAAAATAAAAATAAAAAAGCATGTGACATCTCCCCCTCTACATGTCCCAGTCTCTCTCTCTTGCTCCTGTTCTCGCCATGTAATGTGCCTGCTCTCTGTTCATCTTCTGCCATGATTGGAAGCTTCCTGATGCCTCTCCAGAAACAGATGCTGCTATGCTTCCTATACAGCTTGCAAAACCATGAGCCAATTAAACTTCTTCTCTTTATTAACTACCCAGCCTCAGGCATTTCTTTATAGCACTGCAAGAAGGGCCTAATACAAATCCCCACTTTAAGGTTGGCTGTGCCTGCCAGATTGCAAACTCCAGAGGAGCAGCCCTCCCAACTCTCCCATCTAGGGTTTATTCCCTAGCACCTAGAACAGTGCCTGGCATATCATAGGTGCCCCATATGTATTTGCTGAATTTATTTGAAAAATAATCTTTAACAATATATAGCAGCAACCTACGTATATAGCATTTCCTTATGTGTCCAGAAATTTCATTTATTCCTTAGAACGTGGCTGTGAGGCAAACATTAGTACCCGACTTTATGGATGTGGAAAGTGAGGCTCATGGGGCTTTTGAGTTATTCGAGGATTTACATTCAGTCTGTTGTCTGTGAGGACCAGATCTTGGGTTTCATGTTCCCTGATCAGCACTTTTCCCACCTCACCCCATGAGATTGGACGTGAACCCTCTTAAAGTGCTCACCTTGGGACGCGCTGTGTTCACTCAGATCAAGCCACTGTTTCTCAAAGCACTTTTCTTTTTCAAAATCAAAATATCTATGTTTTAAGTAGAAAGCAATATATGCTTTTCTCCTCGATTTTCTTTTGGGGGTGGGAGAAGGCCTTTAAAATGAGAAAAAAAATTGTTTTATTTTAGTTTTTAGGAAAAGCAGATTTTTTTGGGGGGGGGCTTTAGCTTTCTTATCTGTAAAACAGGGATAATAAAATAGGTCAGATTTCTTCTTTGTGGGTCTGTGACACTCCTGCTAGATCTGGGAGTCTTCTGAAACTAGTGAAAAAAATTTGCATGTAGGCACATTTTTCTGGGAAGAAATTGTGGCTGTCAGAGAAGGCTGTGCTCGATCTGATGTTTAAAGTAAGAGTGAATGAGGATTTGTTCAGTGAATAAGGAAGGGAAGGGCATTCCTGGAAAAGGGATGTTGTGGACTGAATTGTGTTTCTCCCCTTCAAATTCCTGTGTTGACGAGGTCAAGAGATCGAGACCATCCTGATCAACATGGTGAAACCCCGTCTACTAAAAATACAAAAGATTTGGGTGTGATGGTGCACTCCTGTAGTCCCAGCTACTCGGGAGGCTGAGGCAGAAGGATTGCTTTTACCTGGGAGGTGGAGGTTGCAGTGAGCTAAGATTGTGCCACTGCACTCCAGCCTGGCGACAGAGCGATACTCTGTCTCAAACAAACAAACAAACAAACAAAAAATAAATTCCTGTGTTGACGAGGTCAAGAGATTGAAACCATCCTGACCAACATGGTGAAACCCCGTCTCTACTAAAAATACAAAAAATTAGCTGGGCATGATGGTGCACTCCTGTAGTCCCAGCCACTTGGGAGGCTGAGGCAGGAGGATCGCTTGAACCTGGGAGGTGGAGGTTGCAGTGAGCCGAGATTGTGCCACAGCACTCCAGCCTGGCGACAGAGTGATACTCTGTCTCAAAAAAACAAACAAACAAAAACTCAACAAATTCCTGTGTTGAAGTCCTAACCCCTAATATCTAAGAATCTGTCTTCAGGGTCCTTATAGACCTCTGAAGGATTAAATGAGGTCATTGCAGTGGGCCCTAATCCAATAGCTTTTTCAGAATATTAGAGTTATGTGACCCCAAAATGTTTCTAGATATTCCGTTAGAGCTCTTCCAGAGGAACGGTGTTAAAATCTCTATGAAATGTCAGCAGATAACATAAACCTGAGAACCAACAATCACTTTTTAAGAAGTACAGTAAGAGGATAGGAAAGAGGTAGTATACCTTGTGTATTTTGTATCTAACATTCAATAGTCTTATAAATTAAGAGAGATTTTGGTTGTTAAAAACACATTGCTAGTGAGAGTTCAGTATAACAGGCATTTTCATCCACTGCTGGGGGCGAGGTGTCAATTGACCTAATCTTTTGGGGATGCGGTTTAACAAAACACATAAAGACTTTCCAATGTGCATATCTTTGATCAAATAACTCCACCATTGGTCCTGTAACATCTTGGAAAATAAAGGATTATGAAAATCTGTAGCATAGAAGAAAGTATTATATAAATCTTAAGATCATCTCAGATCTTAAATACTGATAAAATCGAAAATATTTGATAAAATCTGACATCTCTCACTGATAATAAAGGCTTGAATCTGAAAATGCATTTTTAAAAACATAACCAAAATATTATCTAAACCAAACGAAGAGCCAACCAATGTTATGCCTGTTAATACAGGGAGACTCTAAAGGCATTTTCTTTCTTTCTCTTTGCTTGCTTGCTTGCTTGCTTGCTTTTTCTTTCTTTCTTTTCTTTTCTTTTCTTTCTTTTCTTTCTTTCTTTCTTCCTCCCCTCCCCTCCCCTCCCCTTCCCTTCCCTTCCTTCCCTTTCTTTTTCAGAATTTCTTTTGAGACAGAGTTTCACTCTTGTTGCCCAGGCTGGAGTGCAATGTCGTCTCACTGCAGCCTCTGCCTCCTGGGTTCAAGCGATTCTCCTGCCTCAGCATTCTGAGTAGCTAGGACTACAGGCATGTGCCACTACACCTGGCTATTTTTTGTCTTTTTAGTAGAGACAGGGTTTCACCATGTTGGTCAGGCTGGTCTCAAACTCCTGACCTCAGATGATCCACCCACCTCAGCCTCCCAAAGTGCTGGGATTACAGGTATGAGCCACTGCGCCCAGCCCCACTAAACACATTTCTATCGAATGTGGGAACAAACTGCTCTCTCAGTCATTGTTTATTTATAATTGCTCACCAAGGCAATTATCGAAGAAAATGAACTAGGAATAAGTCTTGGAATCAACATGGAAAAATAATCGTTACTTAAAATGATAAGAATATCTATGTAGAAAATCTCATGGAATCAACTAAAAACTTATAGAAGTAATAAGAGGGTTTAGTCGTTTGGCTGAATTTTTCCTTTTTTTTTTAACCAACAATAATCAGGTAGAAAATATTATCATTTAAAAAGATTTCATTGAGTGTAGTTACCAAGTAATAGAAACCACCTAGCAGAAGATAATTGATATGCAGGACATAATGGAATATATTTATAAAGTGTACTGAGTGTTTTAAAAGACCACTTGATGTATTTTAGAATGATATGCTTGGGATTCCTAAGCCACCTCCCACTAGATTAATCTATAAATTTGACATTGTTACAAACGTAATGTAAATTTTTAATGTGACAAAAATGATTCTAAATTTTGTATGAATAAATATGTGAGGACACAGAGTTCCACGGATGAATTTTGTTTCTGCATTTTAATCCATTTAATACATTCTACAATATGAACTTTATACATTGGTACCCAAATAGCATTTATTTTTTTAAAAATTATGGACAACAGATAGGAAGGGAATGGACATTACTGTGGCCATGCTGAGCTCCCGCAGGCTTTGTGCTTTTAGCAGAGCACGAGTCCCAGTATGCTGATACCATGCCTTATTACTAGAGAATTTCTAGAAATGGTCCTTCTCTTCCTTAAAGGCTGATATGGGCTGTGATGCACCTGAAATGGGCATCATTTACACAGTGCGAGTCCCGAGGCCTAATCACCCGCCCTTACCCCATTCTCCACTGCCCCGTAAATTTATCCAAAAATTGAATGCAGGAAAATATACCTCATCTCTAGGTCTGTCCACTGGCAAACAGACCCCTGGCTGTGGGAATTTTGAGACCGTGGGATGGGAGACATTTGGTGGGCTTTGTCTTGGTTGTCACGTCTCTTCTCAGGGATGCTGTGAGGTCTCATGATTTAAGGACAGGTGAAGGGATGCAGTGACCCAAGTTTCTGCATCATTAAGTGACATGAGCTTTCAGGACAATGGGAGCCTTCTTTGACCTTCTGCATAATAACTCCCTCAGCAACTCAGAGTAAAGAAAAAATCACAAAATTTCAGGTTTGAAAATGTTCTCAGGGTTTTAGACCCCTCTTCTCCCATTCTTCCCAGATGAACGCATTCTCCCCATGGCATTCAGTTTAAGGCTTTTTGAACACCTACAATGGATTAAGCACAGTGTTTGCAATTTATCACGATTGCTTTTTGACTTATTTACCATTCCTTTCCCTTACTAGAATATGAGCCCATATAGTCAAGGACCTTGCCCGTCTTGTTCGTTGCTGAATCTTCAGTGGCTTTAGCAGTGCATGGCACATGGTAGGCCCCCAGTAGATATTTATTGAATAAACAGGGATGAAAAAAATATAGTTACTGCCACCTAGAAGCTGACAGTTTAGTGGAAGAAAGGGGGAATAGAAATCATTGAAGTGCAAGATAATAGTTCTCTAGTAAAGGTGTATGTAAGTTGCAAAGAAACATATGATAGAAAACCAACCCTGCAGGGGCTGTTGGAGGAGGTTGTGCATGGTCTGATTCCTGGAGTAACAATGCATATTTTTTAGGTAAATACAGTAGGGAAAGGCACTCATGGAAGGGGGATGTTAAGAGCTGAATTGTGCCTTCCCACCAAATACTGAAGTTCTAACTCTAACCTCCAGTATTTAAGATTGTGACTGTCTTTGGAGATAGGTCCTTGAAGAGCTTATTAGAGTTGAATGAGGTCATTGGGGTGGACCCTAATTGCATAGGATTGGTGTCCTTGTAAGAAGGGGAGATTAGACACACACACACACACACACACACACACACACACGCAGAGGGAAGGGCACATGAAGACACAAGGAGAAGACGGCCATCTACAAGCCCAGGAGACAGGCCTCAGAAGAGACAACCCTACTGTCACCTTAATCTTGGACTTCCAGCCTCCAGAACTGTGAGAAAATACATTTCTGTTGTTTAAGCCACCAAGTCTTTGGTGCTTGTGATAGCAGCCCCAGCAAACTAATGTAAGAAGGTAGCGTGCATGAAAATGTGGAGGTGGGATGGAGCGCGGCTTCTTTGGGGACTCTGTCTTGCAGTATAGCTATAGGAAAACTGTTCTAGGAAGAGGGCCGATTGGCAGAGAAAGAAGGAAGAGCAGGGCTTTTCAAACTCATGC
This sequence comes from Homo sapiens, assembly GCF_000001405.40. Taxonomy (NCBI): domain Eukaryota; kingdom Metazoa; phylum Chordata; class Mammalia; order Primates; family Hominidae; genus Homo; species Homo sapiens. Next base: position 18,052,936 of record NC_000016.10, on the reverse strand, counting down.
TTGTACGAATGAAGCAGGACAGGTGTAGGACAATAGGGGAGAGGTGGAGTCTGTGGCTTTACCTAAAGAGGGTGGATGTGCATTGATTGTGGCTGCTCATTGTCAATGAAGGGCCAGGTGTTGCCAGAATTTCCTATTCCTCAAGATAAGTCATAAATATGAATTTTTATATATAGTCTTATCATTCTATAAAAAGTTGGCCACTAATTTAATATTTCAAATTCAATTTAGGCCACAATAGAAATATACGAAGTAGATAAAGTCTGTTGCCTGCTAAGTTATAATTCCTGAACTAGCTAAGAACCCATTCATAAAGAATGAGGCATGTGTGGCAAGGAATTTCAAATTTTATTAGTTGGCAGGAAGAATGGTTGATGAATTTTGAAGGAGAGAAAAAGACATGAACTTAACTGGTGGTGGTTTAGAGCAGGAGACAGCGAACATTTTCTTTTTTTTTTTTTTTTTTTTTTTTTTTTTGAGACGGAGTCTCGCTCTGTCGCCCAGGCCGGACTGCGGACTGCAGTGGCACAATCTCGGCTCACTACAAGCTCCGCTTCCCGGGTTCACGCCATTCTCCTGCCTCAGCCTCCCGAGTAGCTGGGACTACAGGCGCCCGCCACCACCCCCGGCTAATTTTTTGTATTTTTAGTAGAGACGGGGTTTCACCTTGTTAGCCAGGATGGTCTCGATCTCCTGACCTCATGATCCACCCGCCTCGGCCTCCCAAAGTGCTGGGATTACAGGCGTGAGCCACCGCGCCCGGCCGAACATTTTCTTAAAGGGCCAGAGAGTAGACACATTTTTTGACTTCACGGGCTCCATGAGCTTCATCTCTTTTGCAGCTACTCAGTTCTGCTGTTGTGGCATAAAACTGCTGTAGACAATATGCAAACAAATGGCATGGTTGCATTCCAATAAACTTTATTTACAAGACAAGCAGATGATAGGCCAGATTTGGTCCCATCCTTCCATGGGCTGTACTTGCTGATCCCTGGTTTAGAGGGCTGGAGGCTCAAACTGGAAAGAGGCGTTCAGAAAATGGGTAAGAGATGGACGGAAGCTGTGGTCATGGGAATGAGGAGAGGGTGCAACAGATTCAAGAGGTACTTAGCAGGTAACATTGCCAGGACTTGCTGATTGATGGGGTGTGTAGGAAAGAAAGAGAACTGTGGATAATGCCCAGGTTTCTGGCTTGACGGATGATCAGTTTGCATCCCGTTAATTTGCACAACCTCCCAAGCCAGCCCATTCCACATGGGGGGTAACCCTGTTGAATCCCTTGTCCTCATGGGCCAGCCCTGACTTATGGAAGAAACTTCTTAGATCCTAGGTATCCCTAGAATTGTCCTGCCCTGCCACTACGACTGAAATTGAAAACTTCTTTCTCTTCAGAGCAGAGGCAATGAGACAGTTTAATATCTCTTGCCTTCAGGTTATTGCAGAGTCTCTGGCCTGTGGTCTTGGGATAGGAAAATGGGTCTCTAAGCAATTAGAGCAGCAAGGTGCTGCAGAGATCAAAGCATGCTAGGACTTAGGATGCCAATTACCAAATCTCTATAGGTCCCCACTTCCCAGAGCAGTATGGAAAAAAATCTGTTAAATTGTACTCTGAGCAGAGGTGGCACGGCCAGACCTCAAATGCATCTGCCAGGCTCTAGTTCGTGCCTGCAAAGTCAGGAGCCCACTTTGATGTGCTCCAGGTGGCCACTGGAGCCATGGCTGAATATCAGGGGATGCTGGACTCCTCTTTTTACTCAGCCAGAACCCACAGATGCCTCTTAGAAACAAGAGTGCTGAGGAAGGTGAGCACCAGGACCTGCGGCAGAGCTAATGAATTCTGCGTACAGGTTTACAGTCTCTGCTGCAGCCGCCGCTGAGAAGTGTGTGCAAAATTGTCCTGGGCACTTAACATGAAGAGGAGGAAAGGATCTATAGCCCAGCATGCAGGAGGCTGGGCGGGGCTGCTTCTGACTTTGGGAAAAAAAAATGGTTAGGACTGGACTTTGAGAGATTGGCCCTGGAGGATGGGAAGGAACCTACGTGGGTTCCTTCCCACATAGGTTCTGACTGTGTTTATTTTGTCACCCACCAGGCCTAGTCCTGTAGCCAGAGGTCAGTGAGACCTTGAAAATCCAGGAGGCTAAGGGAGATGCAGTGGGGTGTAGAAAGAAAGCTCATCCATTGGGCACAATGGCAGAAAATGGGTCCCTTGACATGTATTTTATTCTTGACTCCTAATAACCCTAAAGCCAGCTGTAATGTGTGTCAACTTAATACATGGACATATAAATTAATTTATGGGATTGATTTATCACATCCCTGGGCTAAGGGGTACCAAGATAGCTGGTAAAATGTTATTTCTGGCTGTGTCTCTAAGGGCGTTCACAAAGAGATTAGTATTAGAATCTGAAGGCTGAGTAAAGAAGATCACCCAAAAGCGCTCCCTATGGCCTCTGCACCTGCCTGTCTGCCTGGTACCCCTAGGGGTTTGAGCAGCTGAGCAACCGAAGGAGCGAGCCGCACCCCTGCTGCATGCCTTGTGAGAGGGATAAGGGAACTCTCCTCTTTCACTATGATGTCTGCTTTTCTGCCCTGGTACATGGGCTAGGTGTGGGCTCTAGGGAGAATCAAGGGTCTTCGTACAAGCTGAAGGGGGCATGTACAAGCTGAAGGGGGCAAGTAGGGCTGCCCCGGGGCCAGTGTGACAAAGTGCAGCACCCTGACCAGTGGACAAAGGGGTGGTTCTGACTCAGTGAACCCAGAAGGGGAAATGCCATCATTCAGCTCCCTAAGGGCAGGGCAGTTACAGAAGAGATAGTCAATGTTTCCCTCCCTTCTTAGGAAACCTAATCACCAATGCCACACCCCCTTCACGGGCATCCTAACCCACCAGTGAGCACCACTTGATGGGACTTATTACTTATGGTCTTCTACAAGTCAGCTGCTAGTTGGCCAGAGAGGTAGGAGACACCTACCCACAAGCCAGAGGATTGGAACAGTTCAGGTGGCCAACTGTGGGTCTGGAGAAGCTTTCACGGTTGAGGGGGCTGTTGGCCTGGGTCTTGTGGAATAAACAGAGTTTAGATAGGTGGATGGGGGAGTGATTCCAGGTGGGGAACTGGAGGCACAACGTAAGAAAAACATAGTGCAGAACAGGGAGGAAACTGGCCCAGTGGAGACCCATGTTTCCTGTTAAAGAGCGCAGGTGGATTAATTCATTGGCTCTGTGCATGCCCCATCCCACATGACTTTATAGCTCCTTGTGCCAAAATACTGGAGTATAATATATTTCCCCGACCTTTCACTTTGGGCTTGGCTGTGTGTAATGCTTTGGCTAGTAGAATAAGGTGAGAGTTACAGCGTTCCAGTTCTGAGCTAAGACTTAAGGGGCCTCACATGTTTCTGCCTGCTCTGTGTCACTGTGTCACTGTCATTATCACGAGATACATCTACCTGGGATCATCTTTCAGAGCTGGAAGAGAATGAGACACATATGAAGCAGAGGCAGCCACTGCAGCCAAGCCTAGACAGAATCAGCCAGGCCAGCTGAGCCTGCATCAGCGCAACTGCAGATGCGTGAGCTACAAAAATTCTTCTTGTTGCACCCACTGGGATTTTGCGGTTGTTACACAGCAGTAAGCATGAGAGCTGTAGCCACAGTAAACTGAGAGAGGAGAGAAGGAATTCATGGGCATCAGCAAATTCTGAAAGGGTACATTTGCTTCTAAAGTCTGTATGCACAAGTTCTGGGCTATTTATATTAGCCTCTTTTTCCTTTTTGTGAAAGCTTCCCAGAGAGAGTAGCTGATTTCCTCAAGGCCACACAAGTTAGCAACAGAATCAAGGCTAAGATAGAACACTCCTTAGCTCCAGGGACAGAGTCCATCACACCACATGACTTTCCTGTTCCAGATATTCATGTACAGCATGGTCTGGAGACCAGGAAACCTTTCCTTTCTCATTGGTGAGGTCTTAAGGTTTCAGCCAACACCAATGCTCAGCCATTAACCAGATTGATATGGCTATTTGCCATAACATTTAGCAACCTCTACATCAAATAAATGGCCAGAGAGACTCCTGACACTTCCAGTATCAAAGAAAGAGAAACCATATTCTGTAGCTTTACAAGGTTGTCTGAACAAGACCTATTAAAGGGATTGGAGTGAATTGAGGCTCTGTGGCAGAATTTGTGGTGTTTCTCTGCCTCACAGTCCTTCAGAGTGTTCTCTGGATGGTACAGTCAGATAAAAAGGCAGGGGCGGCCAAACACACAGCCATCTGGCTGTGTTACCCGTCCTCTCTGGTCCTTCATTTCTTCATCTGTCAGATGAGCCACTTTGGTACTCTGTGATTTTATCATCCAAAGGACTTCCATCATGAGTGATGGAAGGAGTAGGTGGGAAGATCTGGGGAGAATAGCAGGCTTGGTGTTAAGGTCAGGGATTCCCTCATTTTCCTTCTTCCCTTCTCACTGTATTATTCTGCTCTTCATTCTAGTTTTCTCTCCTGCTGGCAAGTCTCCCTGAAGGACCACATCAACTGGTGTTTCTTGCACTTCTGAAACATATGCTCAAATGGGTCCCTCCTAACTTCTCCACCGCCCTCTCTCTGCAAAGCCTGCTAGGAGACAATGGGCCAGTTGTTTAACCTCTCTATGCCTCAGTTTCCTCATCTGTGACTTAGGGTTATTATACGAGATTATGTTATTATACATACATGGGGTTATATATTATACATGTATATTACATATATACATATATTATACATATACTACATATATTACATACATATATGCGTATACATATATGGAATACAAGTACATATGTATATATGTCGACATGTACATGTAGACATACATGTCTACATATATAGATAAAATGTGCATGTATACATTTATACATGTATACTTACATATGTACATGTACACACATTTATACATATGTATTCATATGTACATATGTGCACATATACACGTGTGTACACGTACATGTGCATACGTATATGTATATACATGTGTGTGCATGTAAACATATACACATGTGTGTATATGTATATGGATGGATATACATATGTACGTATATTACATACATATATTACATATACTATATGGGATCATGTTACACATGTGGGTTATTATATGAGAATGATGTATTCTCCTATAATTTGTGAGAATTATATGCGTGATACAGACATGCAGTGCTTAGTGAAGTGTTGGGTGCATAATGAGTACTGAACAAACGTGATCTATGACTAACATCTTCACTGTAACCTTCTGGCAGAGACTGTTATTACATTTATTCTACCCAGGGATTGATGTACTATAGAGAGTAGGATATGAAGGGATATGAAGTCAATATCTTGGAGTGGTGAGCAGAGTCCTTGAGTGTATCTTGACTTCAAAACCTTCTCTATGGAAGGAAACTCTGGGTTGGGAGACAGAGATCTGCAGGGAATTACAGATGGGAGAAGAGAGCCCAGGAAGAGGAAAGAACATGGTCCAAGGCCCTGAGTAGGAATGATCATGGGGATCAAAGATCTGCAAGTCCAGCACAACTGGGAAAACAGGGTATTGTGGGAAAGAATCAGGAGATGAGGCTGGACAGGAAAGAACCACAGCTATAAAACTGTGGGCTGGCAAGAGAGAGTGCTTTATGAAGAACCTTTTAAATACTTCACTAGGTTTAAATTTGAGAGTGGAGAGGGACTATTTTACGAAAGATTTAACCATGTACAACCAAATGTCATCAGGCTCATTATCATTACTTAAGGCACTATTCAGTTGTAAATTGCTGGTATTGCTGCATTTAGCCTTATGGTAGAATTCTTCTTTGGAGTTAAATATGCTTAGTAACAATTTGAATTTTCTTTTGACATTGGAGTGATTTAATATGAAATGTGCCCAACAACCACATGTCAAAAAGACATAAAAATTCAAGAGAGGTTGAGAGGGCCTGTGTGTGTATGTGTGCGTGTGTGATGGTGACATTGGTGGTGAGGATGGTTTTGGTGGGGAAAGGGGTGCTTTGGAAAATCTGACTCCATAGAGCTGAAGAAGGTGGAACTAATTTCCTCTCTCAGTCTCCAACCTCAGAAGCCTCTTGAGTCTTAAGTGGCAAAGAGTGAGAAAACATGGAAAGGGTTGAAGGACTCTCTTACATCCTCGCTATTCTAAGTGTTGTCTACCTGGGTGCTTCTTAGAAATGCAGAATCTTAGCTCCCTCCCAGACCTGCTGAATGAGAACCTGCATTTAACAGGATGCCCGGATGATCTGTGTGCACAGTAAACTTTAAGAATCTGTGACTTACATGACGATGATGAAAGTGGGGAGGCAGAAATGGTTTGTTTGATTTAGATGATATAAGCATCGAGGGTTTGTTTAGGTTGTCAGTGTGGTGTGAACTTTGAAGTTGGATGGACTGGGACTTTAATCCTGGCTCTCCTATTTGCCTTGGGAGAGTCCTTGGCCTTCTAGTGTCTCAGCTTCCCCATCCAGGCAATGGGAATAATAGGACCAGCATGCAGTTTTGCTGTGAGGATTAAATAAGAAAATACAAGTAAAGCATTTGGCACACATCTGAGGTTCAGTAAATGATAATTCTGTTATTCTTCCCCAAGACACTGACACTTGTTCTTTCTGAATAGGTGAGCAATTACGAGGTAACTCAATGACAAAAATAACAAACAAACAAACAAAAAAACCCTAAAATTTATTGAGCACCTTCTATGTGCCAGGCACTCTCTGCTCGCAGAGTGGTCACTAAGCAGTTTTAGTCTGCAGCCAGAAAGCCTGGTGCAAAGCTTGCTATGAGACAATGGGGCAGTTAGAGAAACTCTCGGTGCCTCCGTTTCCCCATCTGTGACATTGAGATAACAATTTTGCCTATTTCTGTATGAGAATTATATAAGTAATCCACACATGTTCAATGCTTAGTGAAGTGTTTGATACATAATGAATACTGAATAAATATTAGCTGTTATTAACATGCTTATTTTATCCTTACTGTAACCTTCTGGAGGAGAGGGCTATTATTTCTATTCTATAGTTGAAAAAGTGAGAGGCTAAAGAACTTTCTGAGGGCCATGTGGCTAGTAAATTGTAGAGCCAGGATTTCAACCCATATTTATTAGCCTCAGATACCATGTACCTCATCAACTCATAGTTTTGTTCTAATATTCACAAGCCAGGGGAGTAACCCTGCAGCCAGACCAGCTGCCCCAGGAGTTGCTCTCAGCTTCCTTCCTTCTCGTAGGAAGTGGGAAACCAAACGGAATTGGAAGAAATCAAAGTGCCAGCCTCAGGATGTAGAAAGGCAGATTCTCAAAGCACTTGTGCTGTATTTAATGCATCCCTTTGAAATGCTCTGCTCATAACCTGTCAAGGGCAATTTGGAAACATGTGCTCAAGGAGGTGAATGTTGGCTGCTCCCTGACACTGTCTCTTCTATTATATATACAGTGACAGCCACACAGATCAACCTAGGCACGACTTATTTATGGGGCAGCCCGGCCCCTGCTGAACGAGTCCTCAGTGCGTGCAATAGATTTCACTAGAAAAAAGAGAATGTGCAATTTGGGAAGGTAATTATTTTTTTGTAAGTTCATTTACAAAAGTGAATTTTCCAATTACCAGTGGAAGGAAAGAAATATTTTAGGTTAAAATTTCAGGTTGAAATATATAAAGGGACCTTGTACTAGTTTGGAAACCAGGAGTCTTAGGTTCAGTGTAGCTCAGGGTATTCCTCTGGTTGCAAGTCTGTCTCTGCATCTCACCAGTTGAGTGACCTTGGACAAATGGCTTCACCCTTCTGAGTTTCAGTTTTCTAGTCAGTAAGACCAGCATTCTGATTGTCCTGGGAAGGTTAAATAAGATATCACACTTGGACAGCTTTGTCCAAAACCTAGTGCAAGTAGGTGCTAATGCATATCAGCTGTTAGTAATAACAGTGGCAGTACTGGCTTTGTGACCTGGGGTAAGTTAATCCCCTTTTCAGGGCTTTACCTTTTAAAAATGAGAAGGTGGGGTAAGATTATTTTTTGGTTTCCTTCAGCCATATTGCATATTTTTCTTTGGTCTCTTTGTTTTGCATGCCCTCATGGACAGGAGAAATACTCTATCTGAATTTAATTCATCTGCGTATTCATTTCTACATCTGAATTTATCTCTGCATCTATCTATCAATATCTGTTGTCTGACTATCTATCTATCTATCTATCTTTTTTTTTTTTTTGAGACAGTCTTAGTTTGTCACCCAGGCTGGAATGCAGTGGCACAATCTTGGTTCACTGCAGCTTCTGCAACCTCTGCCTCCCAGGTTCAAGTGATTCTCATGCCTCTGCCTCCCGAGTAGCTGGGATTACAGGCATGCACCACCACACCCAGCTAATGTTTGTATTTTTAGTGGAGATGGGGTTTTACCATGTTTGCTAGGCCAGTCTCAAACTCCTGACCTTATGTGATCTGCCCACCTCGACCCCCAAAGTGCTTGGATTATAGATGTGAGTCTATCTATCCTATCGATATCTGTCTATCTATCTATCTATCTATCTATCTATCTATCTATCTATCTATCTATCTATCTAATCTATCTATCTATCTATCTATCATCTGTCTGTATAATCTATATAATCATCCATCCATCCATCCATCCATCCATCCATCCATCCATCCAGAGGCTCAATCCCTAAAGACTCAAGGAATAATATGAAAAAGTTTTAAAACATTTCCATACCTTGAGACTAAGCAGAGTATAAACTTGCCATTTGGGTGGATACTGAATTTCAGGTAAAACATTCCCTTCCCAACTCATTACCACCTTTATAAACAAATTAGAGATCTTGACCTTGGATTAATTGCCAGGTATTTGCTGATTGTCCGGCTTTCTTTCTCCATCTTTCTGTTTGGTGACAGTTTGAAAGGAGTGGTCTAACAAAATCCACCTTAGTACCAAATGGCTAAAGTCTATCCCCTTTTTTCCCCCTTAGACTAACATCTCAAAATAAAATAGTGATTAACAACACTTTCAAGGTAGGCTTGTTGTCTGAAATATTTTAATGGATTTCAATGAAATTTATTCTGTAAAGAGAACTAATGGAGAGATGTAATTTTCATGTGTAATAGTTATCACAGACATCATTATGCTCCCCAGGAAGCGGGAGAGAGAAGGAAAAAGAGAAGAAAGAATGAGAGGATAACTCAAGGTTGAGAGTGTGTTGTTATAAATGACAGTAATTATTCCTTGCATGTGAGTGCTGTGCTATGGCATTCAAAGCATTCATACATACCCTTTCTTATTTCACTCTCACAGCCACTTTGTAAAGATAAAGTGATTTTTTCACTATGCAGATTGGGAGCTGAGGTTCTGAAAGGCTTGCACAAATAGTCACTGCTCTGGTAAACCAAAGAGCTAGGGTTTCCATGCAGTTTTCTAGACTCAAAGATCAGTATTCTTTAAATTACAACACAGCCTTCCTAGCATAAGCCCATTATGATGGTTTCCATCTTGTTTTCCCCACCTCCTTGGCCCACGTGCACTGGAATGGTTGAGAAGTGGGTTATTTGGTGAATAGAATATCCAACTTAACTGGGAACAGTCCCAGAAAACATACCTTTTCAGCTCATTTTTAGAAAGTTGGAACACACTTTACTGTAAAACTTCACAGGGGAAAAAAATCTTTTGATTCAGAGAGCACTTCAAAATCTCATAAGGGCTGAGCATGTTATGGTTAAGAGCATCAACTCTTCTTTTAAAATTCTGAGAAACCTTTCTGGTTAGTTCGAGTTCCCTGGTTGCTCGTATTCTGAATAAACAGATGTTTGCTGAACTCGCTACACTCAAAATAAATACTCCAGTATTGCAGGGGAAGCCTCTTCACTTTCCTCGTTTCCCCTGTGTCTTTCCAGTCTCTTGCTGCGTTGGCATATGTATTAGTCTGGAGCAGTGTGACTTACTAATTAATTGATTAATGAATTCAGTCAACTATATTAAACAGGGGAACTTAGGGCTAAATGCTCTGAAAGAATTTCCTGTGGTCTGCCCACTTCTTGGATGCAAGATCAGAGATGTGGAGAGCATCTCCTTCAGTTTGGGAAAACGAGCATGGCAGCTTTTTTTCCAAGACAGCATCTTTGTTGATGGGATCCAGAATTTTCCAGGCCATGAATTCTGGCCACCTGCTCGCTCATCGACTCCAGAAGAAATAGGAAGGAGGAGAAGATGGAGAAGGAGGAGAGAAAGGGAGAAGAAGGAGGAGAAGGAGGAAGAAAAGGAGAGGTAGGAGGAAGAGAAAGAGGAAAAGAAGAAGAGCGGGGAAGAGGGGAGAGGAGGAGGAGTCAGGGGAGAAAGAGAGGAAGATGAGAAGAGAGCAAATCTTTGTACAGGGCAGACAAATCTAACATCTCCTTCTCAGGTTCCTCCAAAAGCCTTTCTCCTTCCAGCTGGGTTTCTTGCTTTGCATTCACAGCAGGTCTGTTTACAGGACTTTCTATGCAAACAGAAAGTAGTTTTAATGCAGCATTTATATCTTTGCAGGGCAAAGGTAGTCCTAGGTGGATCTATGTTGTGTCAATAGATGTGCTCATTGCTTTAACTGGAAAGAAAAGAGTCTATTCCTGAATAGAATTGCCTCTTTCCCCACTTCCCCGTGCTCCTCGCCTCCTTTTTTTTTTTTTTTTTTGTTTTGAAGGCTCATGTTTGTTTGATTCTGTGTTTATTTGGTTAGCCTGCCAGTTTGTTGGGTCTGGGATAAAGGCAGTACACAGAAAGTGCAAGAGAAACTAGACTTTGATTTCTGTTCCTTAGAAGGAAATAAATGTTAATCCTAAATAGCATTTTGGGTAGTGCAGAGGACACGTGTGTCTGTGATGGAAGGGCGTGCTTGGCTGTATTACATGTTAATTACTCAAGTGCTGGCATTGAGTGGGCCAAGAAACAAAAGAACCATGGGGTTTGATTAAGGCCACACAAGGAAGAAGAGAGAATGCTAAGGTAGATTTCCCAGAGATCCCTGACTCTGAATTCTGGTAGTAAAAATTGAGCTTCCCCTGGTCTCTCCGGGCATTGCTATCCATCTCACATCACTGCAACCTTATGGAAAACTGCAAGGTGGTTATTTGTATTAGAGCAGCGTCTCTGGAGCAGAGGATGCTTTTAGATGGTTCCTGAATAAACTTAAAAAACATTCAGAGTTTTATGTTTATTTTAATGACTATCAGAAGATGAAATATAGCTAGTATGCTAACCCCATGTTCTCAGCAGTAATATAAAGTTTCCTTTCAAAATGAATCAAGTAAAATGTAGAGTCTGTTTGAAGAGAAATATTAAGCAAATAATAGAGCAGTGATGCACCCATATGACAGAAAATTGTGAAGGCAGCACTTGAATGATTGGAGCATGGAAAATAACCACTTAAAGAAAAAAAAATCCCAAATGATACTTTCTGTTAAGGTTTAAAGATACTCAGATGAGGAGCCTGGGCTTTGATTATGCTTACTTGGCTAGAAGCAATACCTTGTAGCCTGGAAAGAAAAACACGCTATTAATGACAACATTTATAAGGATTCAGGTAAGGGTAGTAGGTAGTGGATGTTTATAATTTTTTGGCTACTCAATGTCTAACCCATTTACTATGTTTAGGGAATCATTTATAGCTGATCTTGAAGATATCCTTGGCAGCTCCTTCTGCTATAGAACCTGGAAGGCCAGTATTTGCTTCCCATGATCTCTGGATGATAGAGTATGGGCTTTTTAGACCTAAGTTCAGCTAATAATATGTTTCTTCCTAGGTCCTTGAATCTCAGGCTACTGACATAAAGCAGCGAGCTGCAGAGGAGGTGGAGACACTCTTTTTTTTTTTTTTTTTTGAGACAGAGTCTTGCTCTGTCACCCAGGCTGGAGTGCAGTGGCACGACCTCGGCTCGCTGCAAGATCTGCCTCCCGGGTTCACGTCATTCTCCTGACTCAGCCTCCCGAGTAGCTGAGACTACAGGTGCCCGCCACCACACCCGGCTAATTTTTTTTTTGTATTTTTAGTAGAGACAGGTTTTACCATGTTAGCCGGGATGATCTCGATCTCCTGACCTCGTGATCTGCCCACCTCAGCCTCCCAAAGTGCTGGGATTACAGGCGTGAGCCCCCGTGCCCAGCTGAGACACTCTTAATGGGCTCTTCTGGGGGAGAGTTTAGATGATTTTGGCCACTTGGTTTCCCTTGATTTTTTCCCCCACTTTCAAAGTCTAATTTTCTCTTTGATTCTGTGAGCAATTGGGGAAACTTCTAATAATCCCTTTACTGTTTAAGTGAAATAGAGTTCATTTCTGTTGTTGACAAACTGGAACATAGTATGAGAAGGTAGTCTAGCTGGTGGTTATGGCACAGACTCCAAAATCAGGCTACTTGAATTCAAATCCAGGATCTGCCGCTTATGAGTTGTGCACCTCTAAACAGACTCCTTCAAAATGGGGATTGTAATGGGGTCTACCTCAGAGAATTTCAAGCAGATTGAGACAAACCTCTAATATGGACTTTGTCACAGAGCAAGGGCTTAATAAGTACTAGCTATTACCATAACCAGAATTTGGAATTATAGAGGAGTAAGAATGACTTATTGCTCACTCTTTGTGACTACATCAAGCTTCTCCGAGAAGCCATAGAACAGCTGTTGTCTAGTGATATGGAAGCTACTCAGAGGTATTTACAAAGGAGTGCTTCCTTTGCCCATGAAACGAACAAGTAATCTGAACATCAAGAATTTTAGCACCAGGGACAGCACCACCCCTCAGAACCAGAGAGTGAAGACTCCAGTCTAGAGTGGTGTGCAATTCAATATGGTGGCCACCAGCCATAAACTAAAAATTAAGTTCCTCAGTCACACTAGTCATATTTCAAATGCTTAATAGCTACAGGTAGCTAATGGCTATCGTATTGGACAGCACAGAAGAATGTTCCATTGTTGTGGCAAGTTCTATTGGACAGCCCTGATGTAGATTATCTGGTTTGGCATAGCTACCATTAATAATGGAGTATTGCATGTGCCAAGTGCTGTGTTAAGCCCTTTATATGTGTTATCTCATTGAATCCTCACAACAAGACAGTAAGGCCTGGGCTATCATTAACCCCACTTTACAGATGAGAATACTGAGTCTCAGGGCCAGGCACGGTGGCTCATGCCTGTAATCCCAGCACTTTGGGAGGCCGAGGTGGGTGGATCATCCAAGGTCAGGAGTTCGAGACCAGCTTCACCAACACGGTGAAACCCCGTCTCTACTAAAAATATGCCATGCCGGGCGTGGTGGCAGGCACCTGTAATCCTAGCTACTTGGGAGGCTGAGGCAGGAGAATCACTTGAACTGGGGAGGCAGTGGTTGCATTGAGCTGAGATCATGCCATTGCACTCCAGCCTGGGCAACAAGAGTGAAACTCTGTCTCAAAAAAAAAAAAAAAAAAAAAAGTCTCAGATCACCTTTGTAACCTGTCCAAGGTCAACACAGGTAGTTAAATGAATGAAGTGATGTTGAAACCAGATGTTACTCTGTTATATGACATGAATTTCCCATGTTCTAAAGTATGTTTTATTCATATTTAGCTTATGGCCCTGCAGAAGCCCCTACATTGTTGGCTTATAGTTTTTCTCAGCAAAGAGACCACACCAGGCAAGAGCATTCCTGTGGATATCTATGTTTCTCAAAGCTCAGGTTAAGACGGGAAACCCGAGGCCACTCTTCCCGATTTATTTTTCTCATGTTTGGGGGTGGAGGGGGCTAGGCATTGTGCTAATTTTTGAATATACAATAGTAACTAAAATACTCTTTTGCTTTAATGAGAGTTACAGGGGAGAGTCTAAGGAGAGCATGGATCACACACATAAACTGTGATAACAATGCAATGAAAAACATAAGGGCTAATGAGACATATGACAGGAAGGCCTGCTGGAGTCTGGGGTTCATGAGGGGGTGTTCAAGGAAAAGTCTTCTGAGGAGATGATGTTTGAGTTGAGATGTGGAAAGTGGATAGGAATTAACTAAAAACAAAGGAAATAACACATACAAAGCCCCTGAGGTGGCCAGGAGCAAGGTGAATTCAAAAGGAGGCAGTGGTTGAAGAATGGTAAGAGATCAAATGACAAAGAGATGAAGTCGGTGAGGTAGCAGAGGTGAGATCACAGAGAACTTTATCAACCATGTTCAGGAGTTTAAATCTCTCATGATGCATAGGTTTTAAAGTGTGTGTTGTGGATAACGAGGCAATCTCATATATGTCTTAAAAGATCATTCTGGCTACAGACTGAAAAATAGAAAGTGGGGGGAAATGACAAGGGAGAACTGACTGGGGAGAGCTAGTTGGGAGGCCCCATCTTCCCTGAATGAATGACACCAGGAAAGAGCCCCAACAGTGAAAGAAAAGTTGAATGAAGAAGACCCAGTTCACATCTTTACTGAAGTTTCTCAACAAATATCATGGGAAATTCCATCTACAACCTAGAGCAGACCTTTATCCTAGCCTCCTCTCCCTGTTTCCCTCGAGACATTGGTCCTCAAGATAGTTTCTCCTCTACTTTCTCAAATCCAGAACTTTTAATTCTCAACTCAGCCACTGTGTGCATGGTGGTCTTGCTAACCTACTTGCTTCCAGTTTATATTTTTAGATTAACATTGCCCCTCAGACTTCTGTAATCTGCCTCTCCTGTCACTCACTACTTAGACCCAGAAAATGTACATCCTTAGCAAACAGGAGGAAAAGGGAAGGCAGCAAATATGCATGGTATTAGTCCATTTTGTATTGTTATAAAGGAATACCTGAGGCTGGATAATTTATAAAGAAAATTGTTTGGCTCATGTTTCTGCAGACTGCATGAAAACCATAGTGGTGGCATCTGCTTCTGGTGAGGGCCTCAGGAAGGTCACAATCAAGGTGGAAGGCAAAAGGGGTTGTGGATGTGGCACAGGTGAGAGAGGGAGCAAGGTAGAAGGGAGGAGGTGCCAGCCTCCTTTTAACAATCAGCTCTGATGTGAACAAATAGAGTGAGAACTCATTCAGTACCATGAGGAGGACATGAAGCCATTTATGAGGGCTCCACCCCCAGGAACCAAACTCCTCCAACCAGGTCCACTGTCAGCAATGGGGATTGTATTTCAACATGAGATTTGGAGGGGACAAACATCCAAACTATATCATGTATCTAATATTACAGTTTTTCTTTTATTTGTGGTTCTTTGATTTGGCCAACTACTCTGTCTCTCTTTTATGGCTTACCAGATGGTGTATCTCCATTCCCATCAATACTCTCCTGATTCCATTTTGGAACCCAGATGTTATACAGTTAAATCTGGCTTTTGCCACTTATTTTCTATGAGACAAAAATAAGTATCTCAGAAGCCTCAATGTCTTCCTCAGTAAAATGGGGATAATAGTAATATTTTTCTCATTGGTTTGTCATGTAAGCTGATTGTTTAGTGTTCATAAAGTGCTAGGCCCAGGACATGATACATAGTAATAGTTGTTGTTGTCATCATTGTCAGTCTCATTACCACCATCATCATCATCACTATCACCATTAGTACCATCTTCACCATCATCATCATCACCATCACCATCATTATTATCTTCATCATCATTATCATCACCATCTTCATCTTTATCTCCATCTTCATTATCACCATCATCATCATCATCACATCAACATCATCATCATCATCACCATCATTATCATCACCATCATCACCATCATATCCTCATAATCACTATCATCATCATCGTCATTATCATTACCCTCACTATCTTTATCATCACCACTACCATCATCTTATCATCATCATCATCCTCATCCTCATCCATGGTTTTGGATGAAGAGACACTCTTTTAGCCCCAGCCCATGGGATCTTGCTGTCTAGGCTAACTCTCTCCCAGCCAGTGAAGATAAATGTGGGTAGAAAAAGGCATGGGTTCCTCTTTCAATCTGTCTTTATAACCACCTTGACGTTGAGGTCTGTACCCCCATGGGCTGGCTTCCTCAGGTTGGGTTTTTCTCCTCCCCTTCCATCCAGGGATATCTGGGGATAAGTCACAAAAAAGAAGCTACAGAGTCAGTCCTCTTCTTGGTTGGATTCAGCAGTCCTGCCACACATTATGGTCTCCTTTGGCCCCAGCCTTGAGAATGAGTTGATGTCATTGTCCTCCTGCACCTGATGCCAGGACCAAGGAAAACTTGAAAGGGAATGTGTTTGAGGTAATACTTGACTAAAAACAACCTGAAGGGAGTGATCACAAAAGGGGCAGCTTGAGCACTACATGAGGACTTTTTTAATGAGGACATATTACTCCTGCAACTATGCTTCCTCTTCCTGTTCCAATACTCTTGATGTCCCTTATTAATCAACTTTTCAAAAAATACTATTGAACATTTTATATTTTTTATTTATTTTGTTTATTGATTATTGTCTATCTCCCTTCAGTAGGATGTAAACTTTACATAGGAAGGGATATTTGTTTCATCCACTGATCTATCCCAACTGCCTAGACGAGTGCCTGGCATGGAGAAGGGGCTCTGTAAATTAATGTTAGAGAATAAACGAATGAGGAAGGACTAATCTTATTTTAAAATACCTCTCTTTAATTCTGCATTTCAATCTTTAGGTGGGAGAAGCTAATGTTTAGATAAAAAAGCAACTGCAGATAACTAGCTTAATTAAAATGGATACGCTTTTGGGAGGAGGATGACCCCTTTCCCCTTTCTTTCATTCCTAGTCTTTTTTTCTTCTCATTGGATCTACATTCTTTACAGTTTGTCCATCTTCCCTTTCCCCCTCAGTGTTCCCAGTCACTCAGCAGAGTCTGTGCATACTCTTCAGGTCTCTCATCAGGATCTGGAATTGGCTGAATGAAGGGACAACACAATGTGAAAATCTCCTCATATTTAGGGAAGGGTCCTTTCTCTAAGCTGGCCAAAGATGCCTGTTCTTTTCTCTGGGATAGAATTTGTGCAAACAAGGCTGTTATAATGGTTAGTAACATAAATTCTGGCAACAGACAAGCCTGATTTTTAACCAATTCATTATGCATTAGTAGAATAACTCTTGGGAATTCAGTTCTTTAATGCCTTGATTTTCTAATCTGCAAAATAGGGATAATGGTAGTACCCATCCTCTTGGGGAAGTTGTGAGAGTTAAACGAGATAATGTAGCTCTGTGTAGTCCTAGCTACTATGGGTTGATTGAGGTGTTCAGAGGAAAGTATTATCAATGTATTTCTTTTTTTTTTCTAATCCCTTTCTAAAGACTAGGACAAAGTGTTTATATTTATTTATTTATTTTTATGTTTTTTGAGATGGAGTCTCGCTCTGTCGCCAGGCTGCAGTGCAGTGGTGCGATCTTGGCTCACTGCAACCTCCACCGCCCAGGTTCAAGCAATTCTCCTGGCTCAGTCTCCCACATAGTTGAGGTTACAGGCCACTGTGCCCAGCTAATGCACCACTATGCCCGGCTAATTTTTACATTTTTAGTAGAGACGGAATTTCACCATGTTGGCCAGGCTGGTCTTGAATTCCTGACCTCAGGTGATCCGCGTGTCCTGGCCTCCCAAAGTGCTGGGATTAAAGGCGTGAGTCACCACACCTGGCCTAATTTTTGTATTTTTAGTAGAGACAGGGTTTCACCATGTTGGCCAGGATGGTCTCGATCTCTTGACCTCGTGATCTGCCCACCTTGGCGTCCCAGTTAGGATTACAGGTGTGAGCCACCGTGCCCAGCTAAGTGTTTATATTTCTAATAGCCAAATGCATTTTGGGAAGATTATTTTTTGTTTTAGTTTTTGGACAATTTTAGGGGAATAATAATGATGTCTTCCCACTCCAAGCACTTTATTTTGTTAGTTTAATTTGTGTTGCCTTTTTTCATGATTTTGTTTTCCTGTTTTTGATATAAGGGAATCTTCTTAGCCAATTAAAGCATTTCTGACCTAAGGCTTTGGTGGCAGCAAAATGGCATGCTTATCTGTATTGTTCAATAGGAATCTTCGCCTTCTAGGGGAAATCTGATGCTTTCATTACTTATGCTCAGGAATGAGGGTAAGCAAACCTTTAAGGATCATAGGCTTAACTCTTTCTAGTTAAGGGCAGACACAATATTCTACAAGATCCTGCCGGTGTGGGACCCTGGCTGTGCTCCTGTCTGGAACCTCATCTTTCACCCCATTCTTTTTGTTCTCTTCTCTGTGCTTTTTATCGGCCTTTATTAGGCTTTTTTTTGGTGTTTTTGTAAAATCATATTATACTTCTCCTACTATAGGACATTTGTATACTCTCTTTTCATTGCCCTGCCTTGAACGATCTACTCTTGTCTTTTCCCTTAAATTGTTAACTTCTATGCATTCTTGAGATATCGTTCCAAAAACCGCATATGCCCAGCTTCCTTTTGGTATTTGGATGGGGGCATAAGTTGATACTAAACAAATTAAGAAAAAGTCAAGGAGTGATTCAGATGGAGATCAAAATACATCTTTGTTAAATCAGAAAAACTGACGTTGGAAAATATGGCTCATTTCTGTGGGTAAAATTTTTATACTGAATCCAGAATTAACTAGACTTACCACTTAGTCACAGGCATCACCAGACCCCCCGGGATGCCCCATGGTGGGCCTGCCTTTGTAAAACTTCAGCGTGATATGACATCAAAAGTATAGGCAACAAAAGGAAAAATACATCAATTGGAATAGATCAAAATTTAAAACTTATGTGCATCAAAGCACACTATCAACACACTTAAAAGGCAACCCATAGAATTGGAGAACATATTTGCAGGTTATATACATGATAAGAGAAAGATATCCAGAATATATAAAGGACTCCTACAATTCAACAACAAGCAAACAAAAAACATGATTTAAAAATGGATGAAGGACTTGTATAGACATTCCTCCAAAGAAGGTATACAATTGGCTGAAAAGCATATGAAAAGATGCTCAACATCAATAATCACTAAGGAAATACAAATCAAAACCATAATGAGTTACCGCTTGACACCCCTTGGAATAGAAAGGCTTTTATTATTTTTTTTAAAGGAAAATACAGGTGTCAGTGAGGATGTAGAAACACTGGAACCCTGTGCATGGCCAGTGAGGAGGTAAAATTGTGTGATCCCAATGGAAAACAGTATGGTGGTTTCTTAAAAAATTAAAAATGAAATTTTCATGTGATTCAGCAATTCCATTTCTGAGTATATACCTAAAACAATTGAAAGCAGGGACTTGGACAGATATTTTTGCATCCATATTTACAGCAGTATTTTTCACAATGGCCAAAGGAGGAAGTAATTCCAATGTCCATTGATAAATGAATGTCATTAAATGAAACAAAATGTCATATGTCCACATAATAAAATATTATTCAGTCTTAAAAAGAAAGGAAATTCTGACACATTGTACAATATGGATAAGCCTGGAGGACATTATGCTAAGTGAAGTAAGCCAGTCACAAAAATACAAATGCTGTATGATTTCACTCATATGAGATATCTAAAGTTGTTAAACTTATAGAGACGGAAAGCAGAATGGTAGTTGCCAGGGGCTGGAGAGAGGGAGAATGGGGAGTTGTTTAGTGGGAACAGAGTTTCAATTTGGGGAAGATGATAAAAGTTCTGCAGATGAATGGTGGTAATGGTTGCACAGCAATGTGAATGTACTTAATGCCACTGAGCTGTACCTTAAAAATGGTTAAAATGGTAAGTTGTATGTTATATATATTTACCACAATAAAAACAAAACAAAACAAAAACACTGCATAGAGGAACAGAGCAAAGCAGGTTTTCTGTAGTGGTTAGCTCCTAAGAGGAAGGAGAAGGAAGGGGCCCAGCAGCAGTTCTCTCCCTAATTTTCCAGGGGAGGAAGATGGAGGGAGGTTAGGACTGATTGATTAATGGAACTCTCTGCACTTGGAAAGCAACATGGGGTAGAAAAGAAGAATCTCCAACACTATTCCGAAACTAGCCTTTTGTCTTTTTCCTGATTTATGTAGAACCTTACATTTTCCTACATGGCTGTTATCTCACATTATAATTGTACTTCCATTTGTGTAATCATTTGATATATTTCCTTATTATAAGGTTGGATTATAGGAAATTGCCATTCTTATAAGTAAAAAATGATTGAATATTTGCAGTCTCCTATGGTTCAATACTCAGTAGAGAGTAAGCACCTGAAGCTTAAAGAATGGGTCTGGTCTAGATAACCCATTCTAGACCAAGGGTTTAGCACAGAGCCTGGCTCAATGTAGAAGCATAGCAAATATTATCCTTGTGAATGTGTGATTTAGTGTGGCTGTGTCCCCACTCAAATCTCAGCTTGAATTGTATCTCCCAGAATTCCCACGTGTTGTGGGAGGGACCCAGGAGGAGTTAATCAAATCATGGGGGCCAGTCTCTCCTGTGCTATTCTCATGATAGTGAGTAAGTCTCACGAGATCTAATGGGTTTATCTGGGGTTTCTGCTTTTGCTTCCTCCTCATTTTTTCTCTTGCCACTGCCATGTAAGAAGTGCCTTTCATCTCCTGTCATGATTCTGAGGGCTCCTCAGTCATGTGGAACTGTAGGTCCCATTAGAACTCTTTTTCTTCCCAGTCTTGGGTATGTCTTTATCAGTAGTGTGACAATGGACTAATACAATGTAAGTAACTATTTGCTGAATAAATGGACTGGATTCTCCTGCCAAATATTACAAAAAAAAAAAGTTTTAATTATTTTAAAAAAGAAATGAAGTGAAATTTCCCATGTTGAGTACTAATACTATAACCTTTTTTTTGAGACAGAATCTCTCTCTGTCACCCAGGCTGGAGTGCAGTGGTGCGATCATGGCTTTCTGCAGCCTCAACTTCCACAGCTCAAGCAATCCTCCTGCCTCAGCCTTCCAAATAGCTGGGACTACAAGTGCTTGCCACCATACCCAGCTAATTTTTTGTATTTTTTTCTGTAGAGATGGGGTTTCACCATGTTGCTCAGGCTGATCTTAAACTCCTGAGCTCAAGTGATCTGCTTGCCTCGGCCTCTCAAAGTTGCTGGGATTACAGGTGTGAGCCACCACACCTGGTGCTAATATTATAATATTTAATAATTAAATATTATTTATAATTTTGTATATCTTGATTTTGTTGCCTTGAAAAAATATAAAGCAATAGAAGTAAAATAAAATAAATAACATCCCTTTCTAGAATACATATAAGTAAACATAAAATAAAATAAATAATATCACTATCTAGAATATGTATCTTAGACATAGCAGCATGTTCTAATTAATGGATAAGAATCCATTTGTAGGTTCTTCAAATGGAGCCCCAGATGCAGTCCATGACTAAGATCTACCATGGACCCCTGGACTGGTCTGCTAGCCCACACTCCGATGTTGATGACACCGAAGGCACCCCTCCCAAGGAAATCTCAACTGCATGACCCCTACTATGCCCCAATTCATCAGGAAGCAGTTAGAGTGGTCATCAGCCAACCTCCTCAACAGCACTTGGGTTTTCCTGTTGAGAGTGGGGACTGAGAGACAGGACTAGCTGGATTTCCTAGGCCAACTAAGAATCCCTAAGCCTAGCTGGGAAGGTGACCACATCCACCTTTAAACACGGGGCTTGCAACTTAGCTCATACCCAACAAATCAGGTAGTAAAGAGAGCTCACTAAAATACTGATTAGGCGAAAACAGGAGGTAAGGAAACAGCCAGTCATCTATCGCCTGAGAGCACAGCAGGAGGGACAATGATCGGGATATAAACCCAGGCCTTAGAGCTGGCAACAGCTACCCTCTTTGGGTGCCTTTGTATGGGAGCTCTGTTTTCACTCTATTAAATCTTGCAACTGCAAAAACAAAAAACAAAACAAAAAAACCCATAGAATCCATTTGTAATTTACTAGCTTGATTTTAGGAACAGACATTTATTTCCTCAAATGAAATTGGGCATACACTTCTTGTCCCCCAATCTTCAAGTGGGTATTAAGTCTTAGACTAGGATTTGACTCTAGTTCTGGCGAATCCATACCCTCTCCCATCATGACTGTTTTAACTTGGATTCAGCATCACTTTTTCTCATGTTGCACTTCATCTGGGATGATTTGGTAAAAGCAATATTTAGAGCATTGAGATATCAGAGATAGAGCCCAGCCTATTGACCTGACCCTCAGTCGCATTTCATAGGGGTGAAAAGTTAAAATTTTTCCTTTTTCTCCCCGTATTACCCTACTACCTTGCCCTGTCATTTGGATTCAAAGTATATTTCTGGACATGGAATTCTGTTTTCACTAACATTTTTCTCATAGTCTATTTCTGGATATGGAATTCTGTTTCCACTAACATTTTTCTCATGGTCTATGTGAAGAGGCAAAATTACATAGTGGTTAAAAGTGTAGACCTTGGAATTAGCTTGAGCATGAATCTCAGCTGTCACTTTCAAGTCGTGTGACCTTTGACGAGTTACTTAATTTCTCTACGCTTCAGTTTCCTGATATCCAAAATGAGGGTTAAATAGGCTAAAATGTACAAAGATCTTAGAGCATACCCTGGAATATCGGAAGAGCTCTAGCAGTATTACTTGTTATTAATATCATCATTATTAATAGTTCTATTATTACTAATTATATAGTGACAATCACTTGAATCTTGTAGTTTGAGGGAAATCTTGCTAAAAGAATTTCTAGGAGATCAGAGGCAAAAAAAAAAAAAAAAAGGAAAAAGAAAAAAGAAAAAAAAGAAAAAAAACCCGTCAACTAATTTTCCAGGTTTTTGAGGGGAATCACTTAGAAAGGAGGCAGGGAGCAATTTGAATCTAAACGGCAGGATAAGGCAGATAAGGCAGTAGGAAAAAAAATATATATGTGTGTATATGGAGAGAAGAGAGAAAAGAAACTTTAGTTTTCTGCTTTTTTTTTTTTTGAGATGGAGTCTTGCTCTGTCACCCAGGCTGGAGCACAGTGGCATGATCTTGGCTCACTGCAACTTCTACCTCCCAGGTTCAAGTGATTCTCCCACCTCAGCCTCCTGGGTAGCTGGGACTACAGGAGTGTGCCATCACACCCAGCTAATTTTTGTATTTTTAGTAGGGATAGGGTTTCACCATATTGGCCAGGATGGTCTTGAACTGGTGACCTCGTGATCCTCCCGCCTCAGCTTCCCAAAGTGCTAGGATTACAGGCGTGAGCCACCGCACCAGGCCAGTTCTCTGCAGTTCTATAAAATAAGAGAGCAGGTCAATAAGATGCACTATTTCTCTAACAGCACAAAGCTGCAGCTAATGCCCTTAAAACACAAACCTAATCTTAACTAGAATGGGAAAAAGCGACAGATTTTTGCCAAATGTTTAATTTTTTTAATATTTTAAAAATTAATTTTTTAATTTAATTTTTAATTTTTGCCAAATTAAAAGAGGCAAAATGAGAAAAAGTTCTGGGGTTATGGATTGGCACAGACCTACTGAGAAGGAGAAAGCCTAGCACTTGATATATAGTAGGCACACAATAAAAGATTGTAAGATGAATTTGTTGAATGAAAGAAAATTGGAATTTGGGAGCTCAGAGGTTATGGGCAAAAGTTGACATACCCTATCTCTGAAGGAAACATTTCCACCTAGAAAATGAGATGGCACAGAGCTGTTAGGTCCAGCGTGAGAAGTTCAAGATGTCAGAGGTAATGTGGATTCAGTAAGTGTTGCATAGACATCCCTGGAGGTAGAGAAGGGAAGTTGCTCTCTGCACAGGAGTATCCCAGTATCCCAAATCACCTTGAAGAGGCTAAAGGATGCTCTGAGCTGTGTGAGACATGGCTGGAACCTTCTTAATAATGATAGTGGCAGATGATAAGGAAAACAAAATGAGTTCTTCCTGGCCGGGCACAGTGGCACATGCCTGTAATCCCAGCACTGTGGGAGGTCGAGGTGGGCAGATCACTTGCAGCCAGGAGTTCGAGACCAGCCTGGCCAACATGGCAAAACCCTGTCTCCACTAAAAATACAAAAATTAGCCCAAACATAGTGGCCTGCCCCTGCACCTGTAGTCCCAGCTACTTGGGAGGCTGAAGCAGGAGAATCACTTGAACCCTGGAGGTGGAGGTTGCAATGAACTGGGATCATGCCACAGCACTCCAGCCTGGGTGGCAGAGCAAGACTCTGTCCCAAAAAAAAAAAAAAAAAAGATTCTTCCTTTGTGCCAGGCTCTGTTTTAAGCTCTTTAAATGTAAGACAACCCTTTGACCCAGGCACCACTATCGGTCCTATGTTTCAGATGGCATATTTTATGGCAGGTAGGATTCCAAGACAACCCCAGTGACCTCCGCTTTCTAGTGTTATGTCTTGGCGATCCCCTCTCATTCCATGTGGTAGGACCTGTGACTTCCTCTTGCCAACAGAATACAGCAAAGGTGATGGATAGGATGTCACTGGCTTGATTGAATTATATTGTATGGCAAAGGTGATGGGATATCATGGCCCTCACTATCTTACTACATATATGACTCTGAGAACACTCATTTTCATTATCCTGTTGGCCTCGAAGAAGCAAGCCACCATGAGATCTACAGCCACAAGAAAATGAATTCTGCCAGCAATCCGAATGAACCTGGAGGCTGATTTTTCTCTACTCAAACCTCTAGATGAGAACACAGCCCAACTGATGCCTCATTGACAGCCTCATAGGACTCTGAGCAGAAGAGGCAGCTAAGCCTGTCTAGACTCCTGATCTGTGAAAACTTGAGATAATAAATATATGTCGTTTTAAGCTGCTAAGTGTATGATAACTTGTAACATGGCAATGAAAAACAAATTCATCTTTTGTCAAAGAATTAGAGCAATGTACTAGGTTCTGTAATTTAGATAATTCAGTGCTCTCCCAAGAGGATCAGTCTAGGGCAGGAGAGGTGAAAGTATGATTTGAGGTCCCCCTCCTGGCATGGAACTGCCCATGTCCAAAAAGTCTCTACTTTCTAATTTCCCCATGATGCCTTTGATAGGGTTGGAGCTCCTTACCCTATTTGGTTGTCCTGAAAGTAAGATACTTACTTATTTATCTGTTATTTCCTCTGAAATGTAAGCTCAGGGAGGGCAGGGACAAAATCTAGCACCTCCAGTATCTAGCCCAGTGCATGGGTTCAATAAATATTTGTTAAATGAATATATGAATGTATGAATAGCTGACTGCATACCATCGATCAAGGTAAAAGATTAAGTGACTAAGAGCAAGCAAACTGAGAAGTTAAATGACTTGCTCAAGTTATCACAACTACAAAATGGTAGGAAAAGGCAGGATCTAAATCTTGGAAGGGTCAATACTTTAGATCGGGGTCTGCAAACTACAGCCTGCAGGCAAAATCCACCCCATCACCCATTTTTGTATGGACCATGTGATAATGATAGTTTTCACATTTTCAAATACTTGAAAAAAAAAACCCCAAAGTAATATTTTAAGACATGTGAAAATTACATGAAATTCAAATTCGGTGCCCGTAAATAGAGTTTTATTGACACACAATCACAACGACATTTACTTGTTTACCTACTGTCCATGGCTGCTTTCATGCCACAGTGGTAGAGCTGAGTCCTTTCCTCAAAGACCATTTGACTCACAAAGACTAAAACATTTACTTACGTGGCCCTTTACTGAAGAAGTTGCCTCTGGAGTGAGACCATCTGGATTCAACCCTATCTCCCTCACTTCTCTCCTCTATAATCTTGGCAGGTCAGTTAAATGTTTTGTTTTCTCATCTGTAAAATGAAGATTAAAAAGTTCACCTAACTCGTACGTGGTAGTGACGATCACCTACCACACATGTAAAAGTCCCAACAAATGTTAGTCACCACAATAGTCACATCAGTGTGCCATATCACATCCAAGTCACGTTGTGAAACTGTAACTTGTAAGAGAAATGTTACAGTCGAATATCTGATGTTTATTGATGCTTTTTGATTATTATAGTTAAGATGCTGGTAACCAGAGTAGGCCGGGAGCGGTGGCTCACGCCTGTAATCCCAGCACTTTGGGAGGCTGAGACGGGTGGTCACTTGAGGTCAGGAGTTTGAGACCAGCCTGGCCAACATAATGAAACCCTGTCTGTACTAAAAATACAAAAATTAGCTGGGTGTGGTGGTGCACGCCTGTAATCTCAGCTAGTCAGGAGGCTGAGGCAGGAGAATTGCTTGAACCGGGGAGGCGGAGGTTGCAGTGAGCTGAGATCACACCAATGCACTCCAGCCTGGAAAACAGAGTGAGACTCCATCTCAAAAAAAAGAAAAAAAAAAAAAGAAGAAAGAGAGAGAGAGAGAGAAGGAAGGAAGGAAGGAAGGGACAGAGGGAGGGAGGGAGGGAGAAAGAAAGGAAGGAAGGAAGGAAGGAAGGAAGGAAGGAAGGAAGGAAGGAAGGAAGGAAGATAGATAGATAGATTCTGGTGACTGGAATCTATAAACTTTGTGTTCATTGAACCACTATTCTCTGCCAATTCCTGCCAAACAGAATAGTACCTTTCCCAGGCTTATTTGTGTATACATGTGTATGCATGCTTGCACGTAGCACTTATTGCACTTGGTGGTCAGTTCACCCCGTGGCAAAATGCCACACTCTGAAATCCTCATTACTGGATAACTTTGAAATTTGGACTCACATATGGGACGAATTTCCAGTCCCTAATACATGTCCTAGGAGCCAAACTTCATATGATTCTCCTCTGGGGGAGAGTCAGAGAGAGGATAGATAGTTCTGCCTATAAATAGAGTAAAATTATTTTTCTTCCACCAACCTCATGATACCTGAAATGCTTCTATTGTATATTCATTACTGAGTTCTCAAGTTATTTTCATTTCTAAAAATATTCTAACAACCTGAAGAGTGCCAAGTATTTTGTAGACACGTATTTCACCTCAAAGCTGAGCATGATTGTACAGAAATGTTATGCTAGTGGGTGGTCCAGTGAAAGGTAAATATCTCAGAGAGATGAACTCTCCTCAGGAATTTCATCTTCCTTTCTCTCCATGGGGCCCTGAGGATGAGTTACATTTTCAGAAGAAAATAACGAAAGGCAGAGAGATGCTTACTGGTGGCACTTGAGGTCTCCACCCAGAGTAGGTGACTTGTCCTTCCAGGTTGGGTTGCATGCATTACAACAAAGCTTGAGTTTCCCAAAATTTAGAGTGCATGAGAATAATCTATAGAGCATGTTAAGAATGGAGATTCCGACTGGGGGTGGTGGCTCACATCTGTAATCCCAGCACTTTGGGAAGCCAAGGAGGGAGGATCGCTTGAGTCCAGGAGTTTGAGACCAGCCTGGGCAACACAGCAAGACCCCACCTCTATAAATAATATTTTAAAAAAGAATGGAGTTTCCTAACTCCAAATTCCACAGATTCTGATTAAGTAGGTTTGGTATAGAGGGTTTTTCTTCCTTTGAAAGCACCCCGGGTGATTCCGATGGTCTCTGATCCATACTTTGGGAAAATGTGACCTGGATGTGATTGGCACTCAAACTTGGCCAGTTCAACCCTACGTAGATAATGATTGGCTCATGTTTCTTTGCTGGTACTGGTGATCACAAAGGTGACCCAGCTGCACCACTGGTGAGAATCCAACTCTAGAACCATGGAACCAATTAGTCCTAGAGTTATTTCATGTCAGACTATTAGAAGTCTGGTCCTTGGGCTTTTTGGTCAGATGAATATGCAATGCAGGGTCTGTACATCCAGCAACTTGTTGAAGTAGTAGGTGCCTATCTTTGGAAGTGACAGTCGTTGCCTTCTGGTCACTGTACTGTTCTCCAAAAAGACTGTCAGAAGGAAAGATTTGCTGAACTGATGAATACTGGCTTCCAAAAAGAATCCCATCCAAATGCCAGACTCTCACATCTGGAGCTAAAACAATAAGTGATAGAGGCTATAAACTTCAAAATAAAAGATTCCTTGCCCTCAGGCAGGAAGGCGTTATAAATCTCACCGAGAAGTTGAGAAGCTGGTTAAACTCATTATTTGCTGTTCAAGACTCTCCTCTTGCAGTTTTCATCCTTTGTTAAATTTATAATCTCTAAATCCTTAGCCAAGATCCAAGCCTTTTGGGAGGTAGCAGCCGGAAGATTTAGAAGTTATTCAGTCCCCAGGGGTGTTAATGGTGAAATAGACTTTGGTAATACGTTCTTAATTGTCACCATAAATCAACATTGTACAATATGTTAAGTCGGCCCATGTAACTTGCTGATTGGAGAGGATTTTCCATGCTTTGGAGACAGCTGTAAATTTGATGAGACAAGTGGTTTGTCTCGGGGGATGTGACCTAATAAACATACTAATTCATTTTTGGAATATCTGCCATGCTCTTTACCCTCAGAGGAGGTACCTGATTGGTTGAGGGAAGAAGCTCCCAAGTGTTTGGGGTTGAAGTTTTAACACAGAGAGTGAAGGACATTTTTTGCCCCTGGACTGTAGTTTTTTTCTGAAATCTTTTGTACCTTAGGGATTTTTTTTCTTTAAATGTGTCCTCTGGAATCTGTCAGCCCACTTACGCAGTCTTTTAGAGTTTCTCCAAGGATACCCCAATTATTTTTTCTTTGCATACATTGCATGCATTTTCTTTCCAATCCATTCATTAAACATTTACTGCACACCTACTAGGTGTCAGGCAGCATTCTCAGCACTGAGGCTATAGCAGAAGAAAACTCTGTACTCATGGAGGTTATATTCCAGAGGAGAACAGCAGACAACTTATTCTTGTAAATAAGAATATCAGGTTATTTAATGAAAATAATAAATGCTCTTTGATCTGAAAGAGGCTTCTCTGGATTGGGAGGTTAAATAAGTTGCATGCAAAGAGGTCAGATTTAAGGTGAGACCTTCATGAAATGGAGAAACTAGCCATGATCTAGGGGAAGAGTGGTCCAGGCTGAGGGGACAGTGAAGACAGGGGCACTAGAGTAGGAGGTAGTTTGGCATATTTGATAACCAGTATAAAAGCAAAGGTGCCTGAAGCCTATGTGAAAGGGACATTTGAAAGAGGATCAGTGAGGTGAGGAAGGGTCAAATCATAGCAGTCCAGGCAATGAGTGGTACTTGAAGCATGAAAGGAAGAAGGGTAGGGCTTTAGTGGCATGATGCAATTTTAATTTAAAACACCAGCTCATTCTGCAGAAAATGACCCATAGCAGGGCAAGTGTGGAAGCTGGGATGTCAAAGACAAGGCTCTTGCAGTTTTCCAGGTAGAAGATGGGGATCAGGATGAGAGGGATAAAGATGGAGAGACGATGATGGATTTGATGGGGGTGGATGAGCTGGCAATGGGGAGGTGAGGGAATGGAGGAATCAAGAGTGATATTCAGCTTTTGGCTTGAGCACCTGGATGAATGTTGGTGCCATTTACTGACATGGGAAAGAAAAATTGCTTTAATTTGGAGTTTTTTTGTTTGAAGTTTTATGTAGGGGGCAGGAACTCAATAGTTCTGTTTAGGCCATGTTGAGTTTGAGGTGACTAGTAGACATTGACATGGGGCTGTTGAGCCAGGGGCTCAAGGGAAAGGTCAGGTGAAAACCATGACCAACTGAGGCTGGGCGGTGGTTCACGCCTGTAATCCCAGCACTTTGGGAGGCTGAGGCAGGCGGATCACGAGGTCAAGAGATTGAGACCATCCTGGCTAAACATGGTGAAACCCCGTCTCTACTAAAAATACAAAAAATTAGCCGGGCGTGGTGGCAGGCGCTTGTAATCCCAGCTACTGGGGAGGCTGAGGCAGGAGAATCACTTCAACCCAGGAGGCAGAGGTTGCAGTGAGTCAAGATTGCACCTCTTCACTCTAGCCTGGGTGACAGAGCAAGACTCCGTCTCAAAAAAAAAAAAAAAAAGAAAGTCCTCCAGCTGAAGGACAGAAAAATGACAGCTTCCATTGGCACTGACTTTATATTAGCGTAGGTGATTAGTCAAGCTCCCAGCTGGCAGGGGCATTGAGCAATTAAGCAAATAGAGTATTACAGGCCAAAAATTCAAGCTATTCCTGTAGAACTTTCCAGACGCTATGCTAAGCACTTGGAAGAGGAATATATATACACACATACGTAGTGTATGTATGTATGTGTGTGTGTATGTGTGCGTGTGTATATACGTATAATATGTATATGTATGTATCAGTATCCTTGCCATCTTGAAACATGTTGTCAACTGACTTATAGTTGCTTTTAGGGAGTTCTTACAGGGTTCAAGTGACCAAGATTTGAATGCCAATCCTCAAATTTGCTAGTTCTGTGTTTTAAGTTAATTTTATTTTTTAACATTATCATACAGTAAAACTGATTTTTTCATGTACGGTTCTATGACTGTATAGGCATATATTTATATAATCACCGTAATCAGAATACAGAACTGTTCCATCACCCCAGAAACCTCCGTCCTGCTATCCTAGTATTAGTCATGCTCTAATCCCCATGCCAACCCCTGTGGTCTGTTCTCTGTCACCATGGTCGTGTCTTTTCAAGAATGTCATATAAACGAAATCACACAGTAGGTAACATTTTGAAACTGGTTTCTTTCACTCAAAATGATGCCTTCGAGATTCATCTACACTGTTGTGTATATCAGTAGTTCATTCTTTTTCATTGTCGAATAGCATTTCATTGTATCGGTGTGCCACAGTTTGCTAAAGTTTTTTACCCATCGAAGGGCATTTAGGGGCAATTTGGGGCAATTATGAATAAAGTTTCCATTTTGGGGCAACTGCAAGTAAAGCTGCTATCAACATGTGTGTACAGGTGTTTGTATGAACATAAGTTTATATTTCTTTTTTTTTTTTCTTTTGAGACAGAGTCTCACTCTGTCACCCAGGCTGGAGTGTAGTGGCGCGATCTCAGCTCACTGAAACCTCCGCCTCCCGGGTTCAAGCAATTCTCCTGCCTCAGCCTCCCGAGTACCTGAGATTACAGGCACGTGTCACCATACCCGGCTAATTTTTGTATTGTTAGTAGAGACGGGGTTTCACCATGTTGCCCAGGCTGGTCTCGAACTCCTGACCTCAAGTGAGCCGCCTGCCTCGGCCTCCCAAAGTGCTGGGATTACAGCTGTGGGCCACTGTGCCCAGCCTAGTTTGCATTTCTTGAGGGGAAATAACCGAGGGTGGCATTAGTAGGTCATATGGTATGTACACATTTTTCAGTTAGTTTTCAACTTTCTGAACCCCAATTTATATTTCACAGGGTTGTTCTGTGGACTAGCTGAAGTAACGTGTATTAAATGTCTGGCACATAATTTTTTTGGGTCAGAATATCTCTCCCCATATCCCAAATACTAAGGTATATTGGGATAGTGAAATTAGCACAAATATAATATCCCATTATTGAGTCTTTGGAGTTTATTAAAACATAGAATTCCCCATGGGAATCAGGTAACGCTCTAGTCTAAAAATACCTCATAAAAATAGGCTTCTATAAATATGTTACACTCTCTCAAATCTAAGTCTTTTCTAATTCTTCCTCTTTCAAAATAAACCTTAACCCGTTCTGTAAGTGGTACGATTTCAGGCGATGGATTCATTAGCCTGTGGAGGCCACCTCTATTTCTTCTCAGGGAGATCCCTGATTATCTGTACAGTGGTCTTGTTTCATCTCTTCATAATCCAAATAAGTTCTTACCAGACACTGCCAGACAGACTACTAAATTACCTATGTTTTATATGCCAAATAGGGAAAATGGGTATTATTTGAAGGGTTGCCAGATTTAGAAACAAAACAAAGCAAAACCAAGTATCAAAATAACAGATGCTCATGCAGTATTTGAGACGTACTAAAATAATTCTCTTATCTATTTGAAATTCGCATTTAGTTGTGCTTCCTTTATTTTGTCTGGCAACCCTAATTCTTCACTTTCCGACTTTCATTTTTTGTTTGTAGAGGGCTGTAGTTACTCCAGGCAAACACATCTTCAGGCCTTAACAGAGGTATACCAAATCCTTTAGGCTGGGAAGGAGAAGAATAAAGAAGAACAGTTACTGCAGATGTTTGGCCATCCAAAGAGGAAATTTGTCTGGTCTGTGAGCCCTCTTTGTAGTTATTTCTGTCACTGTTAATAGTATATTAAAACTCAAAGTTGATTATAACATTTTGCAGACTTTTTTTCTAGTTATACCCCCATGTTATTTTCATTCATTCATTGAGTATTTCATATTTCAATGTTTATTTATGGCCTAGCATTTTCCCAGCAGGAAAGAAAAGCTAACAAGGGCATCATTTCCCACCATGCAGAGGAAGGAAGTGCTATTTTGCCAATTACCCTTTACATAAATATCTGGCAATGAATGACTGGAAGAATTCTTCCAGCGGTACTGCTGTTTTACAGAATGATTCAAGCATCAAAGTATAACAGAGGTCTCCAAACAATAAGTGATAAGATGATGATGATGATGGTAATGATGATTTAATGATAACTAACGTCTATTAAGCACTTACTCTACATCAAAAACTATACTGGCCAGGCGCGGTGGCTCACGCCTGTAATCCCAGCACTTTGGGAGGCCTAGGCCGGAGGATCACGAGGTCAGGAGATAGAGACCACCTTGGCTAATACGGTGAAACACCATCTCTACTAAAAATACAAAAAAAAAAAAAAAATAGGTGGGCGTGGTGGCGGGTGCCTGTAGTCCCAGCTACTCAGGAGGCTGAGGCAGGAGAATGGTGTGAACCCGGGAGGCGGAGCTTGCAATGGGCCAAGATTGCGCCACTGCACTCCAGCCTGGGCGACAGAGCGAGACTCCATCTCAAAAACAAAAACAAACAAACAAATAAACAAAAAACTATACTAAATGCTTTATCTTTATTGTATCATTTAATTCTTGTGAGAATACTGTTGTTTTCTTCATTTTACAGATGAGAACATTGAGGCAGGGAACAGCCCCCTGCCCAAAGACAGTGATTACGTTAGTTACGCACGTCTCTGAAGAATTTCAGGTTTTCCATCAGAGAAAAAGCTGCATTGGAACACAATACCCCATCCTCTATGCAGCTCAGACATGTCACAGTTGATGCGCCCCACCTCTCAACCTCAGATGTTAGGAAAATTGGAACTATTTATTCCTAGTGAGGGGGGATTAGTTGGCTGCTGGGATACCCTGGCGTCTAGTCCCAATTCTGGCCCAAACATGTCCCTGAACCTCAGTTTCTTTACCTGTGGGAGTTTCTTTACCAGCTGAGAGTTCTATTAAGTTGTCTCAGAGTTCTCGCCCGTGTTTTCAGCTCTCTTACCTATAATCTCTGGTGTTTGATTCATGTGGAAAAGGTCACAAAGAATGCATAACTGGAATGAGAGGAGAAATACAAGGAGAAGCTAAATGTAGACAGAAAAATATATTGAATGAGACACTGCCGGCAATAGAAACAGCTCTAGTGAGAAGAGCAGAAAGAAGATGATTGAATCCAGACACTGCTCACCTAGAATACATGCTTGTTCTGATAGGGAGGTTGCATTTTATTCCTATACCCTCACCCAGAAAGACAAGCACTGGAAACAGGTTGATGAATGCGTGGAGAGTTGAAACCAAGCATGCTTAGAGGCAACCGCAGCGGGAGGGGGACCTCAAAGTTATTGAGAGCAAGCTCCTATCTTCCATTTAAAATAAAATCTGGTAATAAAGTACATCCGGTTTTAGAAAAATGATTGTATTTCTTTTTTCTTTCTTTTTATTTGAGACAGAATCTTGCTCTGTCATCAGGCTGCAGTGCAGTGGCACAACCTCGGCTCACTGCACCTCTGCCTCCTGGGTTCAAGTGATTCTCCTGCCTCAGCTTCCCAAGTAGCTGGGATTACAGGCATGGACCACCATGCCCGGCTAATTTTTGTGTTTTTAGTAGAGATGGGGTTTCACCATGTTGGCCAGGCTGGTCTCAAACTCCTGACCTCAGGTGATCCACCCACCTCACCCTCCCAAAGTGCTGGGATTACAGGAGTGAGCCACTGTGCCTGGCCAATAATTGCATTTCTTGCCCATTCTTCTTGGACTCTGATTTTTTTTTTTTTACCCAAGGTGAAGAATAACTGCAGGGAAAACAATACTTCTTGTTGATTATGAATGTGCTG
This sequence comes from Homo sapiens, assembly GCF_000001405.40. Classification (NCBI taxonomy): domain Eukaryota; kingdom Metazoa; phylum Chordata; class Mammalia; order Primates; family Hominidae; genus Homo; species Homo sapiens. The sequence continues at coordinate 18,018,888 of NC_000016.10, read as the reverse complement.
AGGCAGGAAGTGGAAATATACATCATTGCTAGGTTGTAAAATAAACTTTTGAGGGCAATTGCTGCACAGCGTTTCCGGAAGCGTCTTTCCACCAATATCTGACACACAGAAGGGGGAAAGAACGCAAAATGTCATCACCAGGATTGCTTGGGGATGCCAGGCAGGTCACACCAATAACTTGAGTCCTAAAAGCATTTTGTCGTTTTCCTTCCCAATCTCCTTCCCCTGAATTGTATGGTACATTAAACGCTTAAACAATAACAGCTTTCCAGACCCAGAGGTGTCATTAAATAAGTTAAGGATCTAATTAAAGGGCTGTGTGTGGGGGGGTACCATCTCCCTGCTTGCTTTGTACTGAATCACTTGTGTCCCATTTCAGTGTTTCCAAGCCAGGAATTTGCCTGTAAATTGATCTCGCACTACTATTGTGTATTGGATTTCATTTCCTCTTATGCAATTATCTATTAGTAACTGGAGAAGGCAAAACAGCAGAATAAATAATTAAATGTAAATTAAACAATTTTGGAGTTACACTTTGGCTGAAGACAGGAGCATGTGTTATGAATTTAAACTTTCTAAGAGTGCAAAGAAAGCGTCCCCACCCTGTAATGGGTTTGTTCTATCCCGGTGGTATGGAATTCCAATTGTTGCATATCCTCTTTTTATAGAAGAGGAAACGGAGACTCTGAAAAGGTCAGACCGTCTGTTAGAATGTAAAAGCAGTTGGCAGTAAAGTCAGGGAGGAATCAGCAGAATTTTAACTGTCTCACAAGAAACCCCACATAGTGGCCTTTATTTTGGGAATGGATTTATCAAGGTCCAGGATCTTACAGGTCAAGAAACTTCCTACATCAGCACAGAAACACAGAACATCTTCTGAGGCATTGGGGAGAGAGCTTGATCCAATTAAGCTTGCAGAGATGAAGAAAACCCAAATGCCATTGTAATCATTGAAAATGAGGAAATATGGCATGCTGGAGGCAGGGTCTCTGCATTAACCTGCACTGGTAGTGCCCTACATAACTCCAGCAGCTGCCATTCATATTGAAGTTCCTGCAAAGGACACCCTTTTGTCTCCTGGACAGTCTTCCGACTTAGAAGGCAAGCTATCAGTCTTATAGATGAAGGAATGAAGGCCAAGATAAATTTGATGATATATCCAAGAAATAGATTCATTGTGTAGGAGAACCTGGACTCAAATCCAGGTTTTCTGGCACCCAATCTAGTCTTACCTCTTACGACATTTAAAAAAATTTGTGGCTCCATAGTATTCCATGTTGTATATGTGCCACATTTTCTTTATCCAGTCTGTCATTGATGGGCATTTGGGCTGGTTCCAAGTCTTCGGTATTGTGAACAGTGCTGCAACAAACATATGTGTGCATGTGTCTTTATAGTAGAACGATTTATAATCCTTTGGGTATATTCCCAGGATGAGTTCATGTCCTTTGCAGGGACATGGATGAAGCTGGAAACCATCATTCTCAGCAAAATAACACAAGAACAGAAAACTAAACACTGCATGTTCTCACTCATAAGTGGGAGTTGAACAATGAGAACACGTGGACACAGGGAAGGGAACATCACACACCAGGGCCTGTCAGAGGGTTGGGGGGCTAGGGGAGGGATAGCATTAGGAGAAATACCTAATGCAGATGACAGGTTGATGGGTGCAGCAAACCACCGTGGCACCTGTATACCTATGTAACAACCTTGTACTTTCTGCACACATATTCTGCATAGAACTTAAAGTATAATAAAAGAAAATAAATAAATTTGTATAAATTTAAAGGGTACAAATGCAGTTTTATTTCATGGATATATTGCATAGTGATGAAGTCTGGGCTTTTAGTGTAACTGTCACCCAAGGGATATACATTGTCCTCATGAAGTAACTTCTCTTCCTTCACCTACCTCCCACCCTTCCACCCTTCCAAGTCTCCAATGTTTATTATTTCACTCTCTACATTCATGTGTACACATTATTTAGCTTCCACTTATAAGTGAGAACACAACAGTATTTGACTTTCTGTTTCTAAGTTGTTTCTAAGTTGTTTCACTTAAGATAAAGGCCTCCAGTTCTATCCATGTTGCTGCAAAAGACATGATTTTAGTCTTTATAATGGCTTAATAGTAATCCATGGTGTATATATACCATATATAGTATATATACTGTATGTATGTGTGTGCGTGCATATATATATATGTGCGTCATATATATATATGCACACACACACATATATATGATGCAAAAATATGGGACTAAGTTGATTGCAAGAAGGACATTTATTTGTAGTAGGAGAGCTGAAGCAAGAAGGCAGAGTGTTGCTTTAACCTCTACTGGGAATGTGTATGTTGAGTGCCTCAAACTTTTTTATTCTTCTTCATTTATCTGCAAAGACCTCCAAAGCATTTAAAGATCATAAATAAATTATAGTAGGCAGGTGATGCTATGGTTTGAATATTTACCCCCTTCCCCAACTCCTGTCAAAATTGAATTACCATTGTAACAGTATTAAGAGGTGAGACCTTTAAGAGATTATTAGGCCATGAGGGCTCTGCCCTCATAAATGGATTAATGCTCTTATCACAGGAGTACGTTTGTTATTTTGGGAGTTGGTTCTTTATAAAAGGATGAGTTTGGTTCCCTTTTGTCTCTCTGTCCTCCTCTCTTTGCCCTTCCATTGCGGGATGAAGCAGTAAGTAGTCCCTTGCTAGATGCCAGCTGCTTCAATCTCAGACTTCCCAGCCTCCAGAGCCATGAGCCAATACATTTCTGTTCATTGTAAATTGCCTAGTCTGTGGTATTCTATTATAGCAGCACAAAATAGACCAAGACAGGTGATCCCTCAAATTTGGAATCTGTGGGTAGTGAGGACTGACTGTACTTAACAGTGTTTGAGAAATAAATGATTGAACAACAACTGAGTGAGTGAATGGCCTGTGAACAAATTTGAGGGAGGGAATCCGAGTTGGTGCATCTGCTTATACCAAGTTCACTTCCATTGCCATCTTCCTAACTCTCTACTCAAGGAAGGAGGAGGTGCTATTCCTTGGTTGGCACCTATAATATTAATTGAGTGCTGTTTTACTAGATGCAGTGGATATTGTGTACTTTAGGCAGAATCCTAGTCTCTACTCTCTCCTCTTGTGATTCTTGTTACAGACCTAATGTCAGGCCACCCTTTATCTCCATCTTTTTTTTTTTTATTACCTCTTCTGAGCTTAAAGTTGGTTAGTCAAGTTAGACCAGAATTTGCCCTTCAGGCCAGTCTTCTTTCTCCTTTATCTCTCTTCTGCTTACCTCTAAGTTGTTCCAAGATTTAGATTATAGAGGGGGAGGAGAAGCCCTTGCTTGGGTAAAATGCTTAAGCTACATGATTCAAACTTTTCACAGATAATTATTACACTGAGATATTGGGTGTTTGCTTTGATCTTAATACAGTGGTATTCTTATTTTTATTCTTCTATTGTCCTTTGTGTATAAAGGTCGCTGGTGCTGATTGGCAGGAAAGGGTTTGGGCATTCCTGGGTTTCTGTGTAGAATACTGACAAACAGCACTAAGAACCACATTTCGACATCTAACATGGGTGTCTGATGGACAGCTGGGAGTTGTTATAAATGTACATAGATAATAGGTCAGAGAGCCAAGTTCAAGCTTAGCAGGTGCTCTATAGACAGTCTTTACATGCTTGGATGAGGGCATAAAATACAACCATTTTCAGATGTTTTGTAAGAATTGATTTTTCTCTGCTTAGGATGTTTTTTATCTTGTGGGAGGACTCAATATTATTGTTATGCAAATTTACTCCCCCCCCCACAATAATAAATTTTATCCATCAAAATCCAAACAATGATTGTGGTGGTGTTTGGTAAACCAATTCTGAAAACCATACAGAGGAATAATGGGCAAAGAGAAGGGAAGATAATTTAGAAATAGAACAGAGCTGGGGCTCTTTCTACTTGATATCAAAACCTCTTCAAAACATATATCCATTAACAAACTGTGGTATTGGCACAGGCATAGACAATAAACTAATGAAGTGAACAGAACAGAGTCTAGAACCCCATAACACACACACATTCTCTCTCACACACATACAGGCGCACACACACATACACACACAGAGAGAGAGAGAGAGAAAGAGGGGGAGAGAGAGAGAGAGAGAGAGAGAGAGAAACTGGTTGTATGACAAAGACGGCATTTAAGATCAGCAGGAGAAAAGTAAAATCAGTGGGAAAAAGTATTAAATGAATAGGATTATTGATTATCAAATCAGAAAAGCCTTCTTAGTACATCCTTAGGTCACATCATATTCTAAACTCCAGGTGGATCAAAGATCTAAATGTAACAAAAGCAAAGCCTTACAGCTTTTAGAAGGAACTAAAGTGGAATATCTTTACATCTTGGGAAAATACATGTTGCTTAATTAAGATGAAGAAAGTAGAACCCTGAAGTGTAGCAATTGATAAATTTGGCTACACTAAATTTAAAACTTCTGTATGTTGAATACAATATAAGCAAAGTGTAACAACAAACCAGTGACTAGCAGAATACATTTGCAATACAGAGAATTAGTTTCCTAAAGACATAAGGAACTCCTACAAGTCAATTCCAACTACACACAACTGTTAAAAACTTTTAACAAAAATAAATCTAGCAGAGTTTTTTTGGGCAAAGAATGACAGCAATCACACAGCATGCAGAACCAGGAGAAGTTTGGAGAGCTCATCTCTGAGTGGGCAGTGAGTATTTATAGACAGAAAATGGAAGTAAAATACAGAAATAGCTTGATAGGTTACAGCTGGGCTTTGCCTTATTTGGACATGGTCTGATCGGTTGGCCGCCTGTGATTGGTGAGGCTTGGCTGTTTGTGATTGGTGGAGACCTGGCTCTCTGTTACAAAAAATAGACTCCTAAATTATATTTTGGTTTGTTTACACGCTAAATTAGGTTGTAGTCCATTACATACGAACTCAAAGTACAGAGACAGCCTCAGGCCAATGGCCTCCTGCTTATTTAATTTAACAATTTAACACAACCAAAGGGAAAAGGGGAAAATGATGAGAACAGGCAATCTGCAGAAGAAGAAACCCCAAAGACCGATAAATATGAACTGAGATCTTCTTTATTAATTAGGGTAATTAAATTTGAAAATTAAGTGGCCAGGCACAGTGGCTCCTATCTGTAAGCCCAGCTCTTTTCCAGGCCAAGGCGGGAGGATCACTTGAGCCCAGCGATTTGAGAGCAGCCTAGGCAACATAGCAAAACCCTGTCTCCCTAAAAAAAACGAACAAAATTAGCCAGGCATGGTGCTGTGCACCTTTCCACCCAGGTGCTTGAGAGGATGAGGTGGGAGGATCACTTGAGTCTCGAAGTTTTGAGGCTGCAGTGAGCAATGATTGTGCCACTGCACTCCTGCCTGGACAACAGAGCAAGACCCTATCTCAAAAATTTTTTTGAGAAATATGATGCCATTCCACACCCATCAATATGGCAGTACCAAAAGTTGAGTAGAATGTGGCGAAATGGGGATACCTTTTGTTGGGAATGTTTCAACTACTGTAGACAACAGTTTGGTAAAATCTAGTAAAATTTTGCATTTGATATTCCATAGTGAATAAATAAATTTCACTACCAGGCATACACCCCAAGAAACTATTCCATATGTGCTTAAGTACATCTCTACAAGAATCCGCATTGCTTCACTGTTTATAATAATAAAAAATGGAAACATCTTAAATGGCCATAAATAAGACATATTGTGTGTATTAGCTGCATAGCAAATTATGCCAACACTTAGAAGCTTAAAATTAGACAATTTATTTTCTTACTGTTTCTTTGGGATGGGAACTGGCTGGGTACCCCTGGTTCAGTCCTTCTCACAGGCTGTGATCACGGTGGTGGCTGGGCTACAGCCATCATCTCAAGGCTTGACTGGGTAGGATCCACTTCCAAGCCCATTCACCTGGTTATTGGCAGCCTCAGATCCTCTCTGGCTATTGGCTGGAGACATCAGTTCCTTACCACCTGGGATTCTCCATTGAGCAGCTCACAACTTGGCAGCTGTGTTCTCTTAGAGTGAACCAGCGAGAGAGTGAGAGAGGGTAAGCAAGACAGATGTCACAGTTTTTTTTTTTTTTAACAGCCTAACCTCAATTATCTCATCACTTTAGTGATATTCTATTTGTTAGCAGGAAGTCACTTGGTCTGGCCCACACATTGTGGTATAGCCACAGTGGATTACTATAGAACAGTGAACAATCCATGAGCTTAAATTGGATCTCATCAAAACTAAAAACTTTTGCTCTGAGAAAGCTCATGTGAAGACACATGATAGACTGGGAAATAATATTTACAAACCACATATCTGACAAGGTGTTAGGATCTAAATATACAAGGAACTCCCAAGATTCAACAGTAAAAACAAAACAAACATAGTCCAATTAGGAAATGGGAAAGCCTGAACAGGCATTTCACAGAGCAGGATATACAGATGGCAGATAAGGACAGGAAAAGATGCTCAGGATCTTTAGCCATCAGGGGAAGGCAAATTAAGACAATGAGAAATCACTACACATCTATCAGAAGGCTAAAATAAAAAGTAGTCACAACAGCAAATGCTGACAGGGTTGTGGGAAACCTGGATCCCTGGCACAGTGCTGGTGGGGAATGTAAAATGATACAGCCACTTTGGAAAACAGTTTGGCAGTTTTTAAAAATAAAATGAATCATACAGTTAGCATATGACCCAGCAATTATACTCCTGAACATTTCTGCCAGAGAAATGAAAATGTATGCTCAAACCTGTATACAAATATTTATAACAGCTTTATTTGTAATAGCCCCCAAACTGGAGTCAGCCCAGACATCCTTCAACAGGTGAATGGTTTAGCAAACCGTGATAGGGAGATTTCATGGAACAGGACTCAACAAGAGAAAGGGCTACACTTTTGATGCATGCAATAACTCAAATAAATATCCGGGGAATTATGCCAACTAAGAAAAGCTGATCACTAAAGGCTCCATGCTATATGATTCCATTTATAGAACATTTTTGAAATGACAAAAATTTTAAAAGTAGGGGAGCCAGACTTTAGAGATGGGGGCGGTGAAGAAGGGGAGATGGGCGTGGTTTTAAAAGGACAACATGAGGGATCCTTGGAGTGATGGAACTTTTCAGTATCGTGACACGCATTTACATGCATGATAAAATTGTATACAGTTCACTATGCACATAGATACCAATGAGTACAAGTAAAACAAGGGAATTTGGAAGAAGATTAGATTCAATCAATGTCAATATCCTGGTTATGATATTATACCCTAGTTTTGCAAAATGTTACCACTGGGTAAAGTATACATGGAAACTCTATTATTTCTCACAACTACATGTGAATCTATAATTATCCCAATAAAATTTTCAATAAAAAATAAATGAACTAGGGTTCAATACAGCAACATAAATAAATCCCAATTGTGCTGTCTACTTTTTTTGATATTTGAAAAATATATTTTAAAAGTTCCTTTAAAACATTATAAAATTTTTATTATGGAACTTTTCAAACATATAAAAAGTAGAGAAAACAGTATAATGAATATAGCTACCACATAGCATTTGTTAGCATTTTGCCAGATTTTACTCAATTATTTTACATTAAATGCAGACATCATAACATTTCCCCTCTACGTATATGAACTTGCATCTCCAAAATAATGAGATTGGCTGGGTGTGTTGGCCCACGCCTGTAATCCCGGAACTTTGGGAGGCTGAGGCAGGCGGATCACCTGAGGTCAGGAGTTTCAGACCAGCTTGGCCAACATGGCGAAACCCCGTCTCTACTAAAAATACAAAAATTAGCCAGGCGTGGTGGTGGGCACCTGTAGTCCCAGCTACACAGGAGCCTGAGGCAGGAGAATCACTTAAACCTGGGAGGTGGAGGTTGCAGTGAGCCAAGATCACACCACTGCACTCCAGCCTGGGTGACAGAGCAAGACTGCATTAAAAAAAAAAAAAAGAGATCACTTTCCTACAAAACCATAGTACCATATACCATATTGCACCTAACAAAATAAATACAAATTCCTTAATATCATCTAATATGTTGCTCCATGTTCAAATTTCTCCATTTGTTTCAAATATATATTTATAATTGTTTTTTTAAAGCCAGGATCCAAACAAAGATCATGAGTTCCATTTGATATTTATGTTTCTTACAACCCCTGAAATCTCATATCCATTTTCATACATTGGTTACAATATCTTTAGTAACCCAGGATACCCTGGGTTACTTTGGGCTGTATTTTTGCCATCCTTATGGAGTTCTTATCAACACTACCTTATCTTTTGTAGGATGCTGTCTTTGTCAGCTAGAACTGCTGTAACAAAATACCAGAGACTGAGTGGCTTAAACAACAGATTGTATTTTTCATGATTCTGGTAGCTGAGAAGTCCAAGATCAAGTCGTCTGCAGATTCATTCTGCAGACCCTCATTCTGAGGGTCCTCTTCCTGGCTTCTAGACAGTTTCCTTCTTGCTGTGTCCTCACATGGCCTTTCTGTGGTTTGTGTTCTTGGAGAGAGTTATTCTGTCTCTTCCTCTTCTTAGAAGGACGCTAATCCCATTATGAGAGCACCACCCTCATGACCTCATGTAAAACTACATGCTAAAGGCCCCACCTCCAAATACCATCACATGGAAGATTAGAATTTCAACCTACAAATTTTGGGGAAACACAAACATTTAGTTCATAACAGAGCCTGATGAGTACATTATCTCATTTGACTCAGCAACACAGGACACCCTAGCTTTCTTAATTATAGATGAGATATATTAGCTTTCATTCAGGGTAAGTACTAATGAGATCACATCTTAGATAGTCTCATCGATCTATCTATCTGTCAATCAATCAATCACAGATAGAAGAAACTGAGTTTCAGAGAGGTCAAGTGACTTTCCTAAGGTAACCACTAGTGGCAGAACCAGTCCTACTGGCTCATCATCTTTCTACTGTGTCACTACCTAGGACCACACAAAGAGAGGCAGCATGCTGACTTCCAGCCAGCAGGTTCCTGGAGCTGGACTAACCCATCACACTTTTGAAATCATGCCAGGTGTCTATGGCCATACAACCCTGAACGTGCCCGATCTTGTCTGAAATCATGCCAGGTGTTCTCTTGATGCTAAAGGCAGAAGCGTGATTTATCCAACATGGCCAGAGGGCTGGAGGGCTGGGCTGCATCCCCATCTCTGCCTTGGTGCACTGATTTGCATGTACTTCTGGTGGCCAGCCATCTCCTATCAGCTCTCACAGTTTCCCTGGAAGTTGGCCTAATTTGCAACTGCCAGCGCCTGTGTCTCTTTGCTTGAAGGCTCTCTTTGATCATTGGAGTCCACTCTGCCCATGGACAGAGGCTAGAAGGGGAGGCCAGGAGGGTTGGGAAATTAACACCCCCCAGGAGTAGCTGCCAACCTGTGACAATTGAAAGATGAGGAATGAAGACCCAGCTCCCAGTCTCCCTGGTGGATGACTCCGAGGTGTGCATTCTGTATTGGATCCAGAGTATGCCAGTGTAGATAAGCCCCAGTTACCCATACTAATAACTACCCCCTTTATATGATAACTTATTCATACATAACCCGTTTGTATGAATTACCTGATAACACCCCCTTTATATGAATTTCCATCGCTTCCCTGTCTTACTTCTCCCTGCTCATGTGGTCTTGGAGCACTTCCTAATAAGGTACTTGCAACTTGAATCCTTATTTCAGGGTTTACTTCTGGAATAACCCAAATAAAGACATTCCCCTAAATCTGTGGCCAGAATGGCCAGGAGACATGGCATTTGTTTTCTTGTGCACACAATTCATGTTGACTTACCAGGAAAAGGTTTGGGATGAAGAAAAGGTTGAGAACCTAAGATGAAAGGTCTTCTCCCACACATGAAAGCTAAATGACCTGGGCTATAGAGAGTTACCTGTGACCAGATCTTGTGTGGAAGAAGAATGAAGTCCCTAAGGGTAGGATAGCCTTAAAAGATATTTCATGATGTCCATTAAAAGAGGCCCATAAATCCAGAGACTACTATTCTGTTAAGAATCTGTGAAGTACAATATTCCTTTTTCTTCTTTAGTAGGGGAAAAAGATTCTGCATAAAATTCCACTTTTAATTAATAACATGTAGTTAAACTAATATTGGTTCATTAGGTAGAGCGAGAACTTCTACCGAGGACAACTTTCAAAGGAATAAGGTACCAATCTGATCTATGTTGACTATAAAACATTTCTCAAGCAGCTTAGCAGAGGCAAGACAGGGCCGATTTATTTGGATCGTTAACCTTGGGAAATAAAACTACAGAGCAGGGCGCAGGGTTTGTAAAATGGCAGCCTTACCCACTCTGGGGTGCTTTGCTTTCCAGTGAAAAAGGGAAAATGATGGAAAAGCCAGGGTATTAGAGGCCATAATGCTACCCAAAGAACTTTGGAGGGTATGTGCCCCCACAGCTTTCTCTTCCTCTTCCTGGAGCTAGCTGGAATTGAATGTGAACACGTCTCTGCTTTGTTCAAAGGAGCGTCTCTCCCTCCTTGGGTTGGGGCAGTTTATCACCCAACCTGTGGGAAAGGCCACGGGAAGGATTTCTGGCTGTATTAACAATGCAGTGATGTAACAATCACAAATCCCAAGAAGATCTGGACAAAGAGCAAAGAAAAAATAAACCGGAAGTGCAAACAGATGAGGGGTCATTCACCTTTCTCAGAAAATGCAGGTGTAGGGGCAGCAGAGCAGGCTTAGACTCAACGGCCACAGCTCAGGGTTATTGCTTTATTGGCCATCATGGGCTGAGACTGTTACAGCTTGACATTTTTTAAATTAATTTTTTATTTTGGAATAATTTTATGTTTGCAGAAAAGTTGCAAAAATAGTACAGACAGTTCCCTTACCTAGTTTCCTCTTTTGTAACCTCTTATATCAACATGGAATGTACATTTGTCAAAACCAAGAAACCAACACTGGTACATTACTCTCCACCAAACTCTGGACTTTATGCGGATTTACCAGTTTTTCCATTAATGTCATTTTTTGTTGTTGTTGGTCTAAGACCCCATTTAGGATATTGCTTTATACTTCGTGGTCATGTCTCCTTCCTGTCCTTTGGTCTGTGACAGTTTCTCAGTCGTTCCTGTTTTTTCTTGACCTTGACAGGTTTCAAGAGTACTGGCCAGGTGTTATGTTACCTGTCAATTTGGGTTTCTCATGATTAATCAACCTGGTGTTGCAGTCTTGGTGAAGAATACTATGGAGAAAAGTGCCCTTCTTGTGACATCGTGTCAGGGAATGCATGCCGTCACCATGACTTTTCATTGGTTGATGTTAACCTGATTACCAAAGTCTGATTTTTAAATATCTGTTTTCTATTTTTAGGGCAGCGGCACGCCTGGTAGAAATGCTTCTCTGGGAGAGGAGGGTCTTAGGGTTGAGCCAAACAGCGCATCCTGGAATAGGATGAGGACAGCAGGTCTGGGTGCGGCAGGGAGGCCAATTTGTTGATAATAACTAAAGATTATCTTGCCCACCATGAGACGTTAGACAACTGGACAATATATATGAAAGAACTATTTTTCGCACATAGAACAAAGGCAGTGCAGGACTTTGAATGTTTATAGCTACTTCATTTGTACTACTCAAAAACTGGAAAAACCCAAATATCTTTCAATATGTGGATGGATACATGAATGTGTATATTCATACAAATAAATACTTTTCAGCCACAAAAAGAATAAACGAGGGCTGGGTGCAGTGGCTCACACCTGTAATCCCAGCACTTTGGGAGGCTGAGGCGGGTGGATCGAGGCTGAGGTCAGGAGTTCAAGACCAGCCTGGCCAACATGGTGAAACCCGGTCTCTACTAAAAATACAAAAATTAGCCAGGCATGGTGGCGGGCGACTGTAATCCCAGCTACTCAGGAGGCTGAGGCAGGAGAATCACTTGAACCTGGGAGGCGGAGGTTGCAGTGAGCTGAGATCGCACCACTGCACTCTAGCCTGGGTGACAGAGCAAGACTCCGCCAGAAAAAAAAAAAAAAAAAAAAAAGAATAAACGACTGGCATGTACAACAATGTGGATGAATTTTAGAGACATCACGCTGAATAAGAGCAGTCAGACACAAAACACAAAAGAGCACACGCTGTATGATTCCATTCTTAATGAATTCTAGAACAGGAACATTAATCTATAGTCACAGAAAGGGCTGACTACAGAGGAGAATGAGGGCACCGATTTGGGTTTTGTATTTTGATTGGGATGCTGGTTATGTGAATAACCATTTGTTGAAACTCATCAAGCTGTGCTTTTAAGATGGATACATTTTATTATCTAGAAATTATACCTCCAGGATGCTGATGTAAAATGTAAAAAGAGAAAAATATCAGTAGGGATCGAGTCAGGGAAGTAGTTTTAAGCCTAAGGTTTATAGAGGGAAGAGGGTAGGATAATAGGAGAGCACAGAGCGAGGTTGATACCTAGGAGTGTCAAAGGCAGCGTGGGAAAAATGGAAAGCTATATGAAAGATATATCAGCCCCCCAAAGTGCTGAGATTACAGGTATAAGCCACCATGGCTGGCCTAAAATTTACGTTTTTAAATTCTAACCCCCAATGTGATGGTATTAGGATGTGGAGCCTTTGGGAGGGGAAGTTCAGACTAGGAATCAGAACAGCTCTGAGAGTGCTGAGTGCCCCTTGTAGGTGGTGCCTGAGGATGGCACAGTGACTTGAAGACCTGACTTCCTCAACACAGCTTCCTACTCCTAATCAGGATTTTCTCTGATCTTCTCTCACAGCACTCAATATTAAATTCTTCTGAAACTGATAACTCTCATTTTTTTAGTGAGATGGTTAAATGCTTTTCTAAAAACCCAAGTTGAATATGTAAACTTCTAGAGATGCAGATGAGAAAGTCAAGGTCTAGTTAAATTTATTTGTTCATATACCAATTTTAATTATGTGTATATTGGACTTTGTATTGAATTAAATGTTTGTGTCTACTCAAAATTTATATTTATGTACATTGTTTGTTTGTTTGTTTGTTTGAGACAGGGTCTCCCTCTGTTGCCCAGACTGGAGTGCAGTGGCATGATCTCGGCTCACTGCAACCTCCACCTCCCAGGTTCAAGGGATCCTCCTGCCTCAGCCTCCCGAGTAGCTGGGATTACAGGTACACACCACTGTGCCCGGCTAAATTTTGTATTTTTCTAGAGATAAGGTTTCACCATATTGGCCAGGCTGGTCTCAAACTCCTAACCTCAAGTATTCTGCCTGCCTCAGCCCCAACAAAGTGCTGGGATTACAGGTATGAGCCACTGTGGCCGGCCTAAAGTTTACATTTTTAAATTCTAACCCCCAATATGACGGTATTAGGATGTGGAGCCTTTGGGAACTAATTAATGAGGTTGTGAGGGTGGAGCATCATGAATGGGATTAGTGCCCTTTTTTAAGGGACCTACAGCACTCTCCCATCCTCTTTCTGCCAAGTGGGGATAGGACACGTAGTCAGCTGTCGATAACCTGGAAGAGAGCTCTCACCAGAATCTGATCATCCTAACACCCTAGTCTCAGACTTCTAGCCTCCAGAGCTGTGAAAAAGGAATTTCTGGTGTTAAAGCCACCCAGTCTATGATAATTTGTTGTAGTAGCCTGGACCAATGAAGATGGCCTCTTTATATGTGTTGTGGCACCTGTGTCTTCATCAGGCCCTCGGTCACCCAGAAGAGGGATTCTAGAAGTGAGCATTACTGTATGCTTGCCTTTGTGGCGGGGGCGGGGCACAATTGTTTCAAGGTTAACTGCTTCTGGGACAGCTGACATGTGGACGTGGCTCAAGTGGCTCATTAGCCAGTTGGCTATGGTGTGAATTCAGCAAGGGGGAGCTGGAAAGAATATCCACCCCAGTGGAAGGTACCCAGGAGGTACCCGCTCCTCTGAATTGTATGTAGTGTATTTTAAAAGGATCCTTTAAGGAAGTTCTCTCTGGCCAGTACATTTGGCCAGATTTCTCTCCGTTTTGGTTACCCAGAGGAAGTTCACTCACATGGTCTGTGAAGCTCAAAGCTCTTGACAGCTGCCCCTAAATTAGCTTCTGAATGTCTGCTAAAAAGACAAATGCCAAGGGAAGAGCCCAGGGCTGTGCCCTAAACAATGTTGTTATGAGCTGGGGTGGATATGACTGTCTCATACCCACTCATATCACCGCTTATTTATAAATGGGTTTCAAGATCTCGGGTTACATCAGAGTAGTTCATACTGTTGTACCTTTGAACCCACTGCCCCTCACACTTCTGCTGGAATATTCCCCTTCACATTTCCTCATCTATCTGCCTGGAAACCTCTTATCCATCCTTCAAAAGCCCAGCTTGGCCAGGTGCGGTGGCTCACACCTGCACTCCCAGCACTTTGGGAGGCTGAGGCAGGCAGATCACTTGAGGTCAGGAGTTCGAGACCAGCCTGGCCAACATGGTGAAACCCCGTCTCTACTAAAAATACAAAAATTAGCCGGACGTGGTGGTGTGTACCTATAGTCTCAGCTACTCAGGAGGCTGAGGCAGAAGAATTGCTTGAACCTGGGAGGCAGCGGTTGCAGTGAACCGAGATCACACCACTGCACTCCAGCCTGGGCAACAGAGCCAGACTTCACTTCAAACAAACAAACAAACAAACAAACAAAACCCCAAATCCCAGCTGAAGCATTCTCCTTTTTCTTTGGTTTTTCCCTACCATCTCCAGTGGCTCTTCTTCTGCCCAGCCACTGACAAAATTAACTCCTGTTTGCTCTATGCTGTGCTGTACTTTGTAAGTGCCTCTATTGTTTATTATGTCAAGTTGAAACCTTTCTTTCTCCCAAAAGACTAGAAGCATCTTTGGGGAAAAAAAAAAAACTCTAATTTTTTTTTCTACATCTGTATCACAATGCCTGGCACATAGTAGGCGTGCAGAAACTGCTGGAGTGCGGCATTCTAAACAAATTCAACCTCTAGTTGCTTATCTTGAAGGCCATTTCTAAGAGCTGAAGGATCACCTGGGTGACTAGAACTCCACCTGTTTTTCGACTTCCTGTATCCACTATGGCATCTTTAGAGGTCTCTTAAGCCATTGTCCTTTGCAACTCTTGATAAAGGTATTGGTCAAACCAATCACCTCTTCTCTTCATTGACTTACCCTTTGCACATTTCTCGAGAATCTGCTGCTTTGTCAACTCCTTGTGGTTGCAGAGTTGTCTCATTTTCCTTTTCCTGGAAATCCAGTGAACTAGACAGGGATTATCATCCCCATCTGGGGCTCAGAGAAATTGAGCCACTTGCCCAAATTGCATACTTAGCAAGTAGAAAGCAGGAATTGAAAGCGGGTCTTCTGATTCCAAATCAAAACCTCATGTTCTTTTCAGAATGTTAGAGTTCCCTCGCCGATGTGCCTAGCACTGTGCCATGTGTTATAAAGGACGTTGAAAAGATGAACTTCATCACCTTGTGGAAGAAGCAGACACATTTTAGAAGCAAAGAAACAACACAGAGTTAATGTGGAGAACAGAGGATGAGATAGGGGAAAGAAAAAGGCAGCTGCTGACAGGCGGGAGCTGGCCTGGCATGTCCAGCTAGTCTCTCCCGCTGTCCTCCTGAACAGGAACAATTTCACAAATGATAAACGTCAGATAAGGACCACTCTGCAGCTAATGATGGAGAAAGACAAACACAAGACTGGCCCATAATTGTGTCTGAGCACAAACAAAAGCAAGAACATTGTCCAAAGCATAAGAATCATAAAATATCTTTATTTCCTGCCTTATGCCTGCTTCTTTATCAATAATAACAATAATAATAATAATAATAATAATAAATAAAGTAGAGTTTTAGGTCAACTTCATTCCTCTTGACCCCTAGATAAGCCCTAGTCATGGAACTGGCCTCCCTTCCTGACATATCCAATCCCTGCTTCCTTGAAACCTCCTCCACAGTGTACGGCACAAGCCCAAATCCTGCAAGAAGCTCTGCTCAGTCTCTTACACTGATGCCTCATGGTTCTCCACGGTGCACCATTTCCTCCAATGCATTGGATCAATAAACCCAACTTTGTTTGATGAAAGTGTGTTCCTAGTGGTCGTTGACTAATGGACATCCACAAATGGAAAAAGACATGGTGGGACGTGTACGAGAAACACCAGACAAGTGGTCTGGATATTTATGACTCCGGGGATTCCACCAGAGATGTTTGGAAGTCGTTTAAATTCAGTTTTCTCCATTTCTCTTGCCCCTTCCATTGTGAAAGGAAATTGACACCCTCTTATTTCTTTTTTCTGTTAGCCATAAGGCCATGGTGTAGAGTAGTAGATTTCAACCTTGGTTGCACATTAGAATCACTTGGGTACGTTATTTTTTTTGGTAGAATTTTATTTTGTTTATTTTTTTTTTTACAGTTCCCTGAGTTTTTTTTTTTTTTTTTTTTTTTTTAAGTTTTTATTTCCATAGGCTTTTGGGAAGCAGGCGGTATTTGGTTACATAAGTAAGTTCTTCAGTGGTGATTTGTGAGATCTCGGTGCACCCACCATCCGAGCAGTACTCACTGAACCCACTTTGTAGTATCTTATCCCTTACTCCCTCCCCGCTTTCCCTCTGAGTCCCCAAAGTCCATTGTATCATTCTTGCGCCTTTGCATCCTCATAGCTTAGCTCCCACTTATGAGTGAGAACATATGATGTTTGGTTTTCCATTCCTGAGTTACTTCACTTAGAATAATTATCTCCAGTCCCATCCAGGTTGCTGTGAATACCATTAATTCATTCATTTTTATGGCTGAGTAGTATTCCACCATATGTACAATGAACTCAAATTAGCAAGGAAAAACAAATAATCCCATCAAAAAGTGGGCTAAGGACATGAATACACAGTTCTCAATAGAAGATATACAAATGGGCACAAACATATGAAAAAATGTTCAACATCACTAATGATCGGGGAAATGCAAATCAAAACCACAATGTGATACCACCTTATTCCTGCAAGAATGGCCATAATCAAGAAAATAAAAAAATAATAGATGTTGGCATGGATGAAGTGAAAAGGGAACACTTCTACTCTGCTAGTTGGAATGTAAACTAGTACAACCACTATGGAAAACATTGTGAATATTCCTTGAAGAACTGAAAATAAAACTACCATTTGATCCAGCAATCCCACTACTGGGTACCTACCCAGAGGACAAGAAGTCATAATACAAAAAAGATACTTGTACAGACATGTTTATAGCAGCACAATTCACAATTGCAAAAATGTGGAAGTAGCCCAAATGGTCATCAGTCAGTAAGTGGATAAAGAAACTGTGATAAATATATACATTGGATAGATTTAAAGCCAGATATGTACCTGGCTTTCAGCTCCAGAGATACTGACTTAACTGGTGTGAGCTGTGGCCTGAGCATCAGAATTTTTTAAAGCTCCCAGGTAAGGCCAATGTTTAGATACATTTGAGAATCACTGGTCCCGTGATATTGTGTGTGCATGTATGTGTGTGTCTCTGTGTAGAACAGAGTAAGAGGATGTGAATGTACGTGTAACTGAATATGTGATTGTGTGTTTGTGACATTACATGTGTGATAGAGTAGGGATGTGTTTGTGTGTGTTGTGTAAAATGAGGTTCTGGGTGTGTGTGTGCCGCAGCGGGTCATGCCTTGGTGGATGAATGTGCACCCTTTCTGTGCAGCCCTATGGGAGACCAAGACCTCAGATAGCTGTGGGGGACCATCATATCTCAGTTTATGATGGGGAGGTCAACTGGAGGATGTCTAGTCTGCAGGCCTCAGCAGCTGGGAAGGATTATGCTAATCGGGGAACTGAGTGGGGAGAGGAGCCTAGGTAAGTGGGGCAGCGTCCTGAGTGGCTGGAGAGAGCTGCTGAAAACCCAGTGTGGCTGTCAGGTACCAACCTGGGGAGGCTGCTCTTGGGATGCCTCTCCAGGTTTAGTGACTTGGCAGAAGCACATTGGGAAAAGATGCAGAGGAGGATTCCTCTGTCTCATAAAACTCATCTCCCTAGGTAATTTTGCTTAGAGCAATGGTTCTCAAATTTAAGCACATAAAATCCCATAGAGATCTTGTGAAAACACAGCTTGCTGGGTCCCACTCACGGGGTTTCTGATTCTATACATCTGGGGAGAGGCCTGTGAATTTGCATTTCTTTCTTTCTTTCTTTCTTTTTGAGATGGAGTCTCGCTCTGTCGCCCAGACTGGAGTGCAGTGGCGCGATCTCTGCTCACTGCAAGTTCCGCCTCGTGGGTTCACGCCATTCTCCTGCCTCAGCCTTCCGAGTAGCTGGGACTACAGGCGCCCGCCACCACGCACGGCTAATTTTTTTTTTTGTTTTTGTATTTTTAGTAGAGACGGGGTTTCATCGTGTCAGCCAGGATGGTCTCGATCTCCTGACCTCGTGATCCACCCGCCTCAGTCTCTCAAAGTGCTGGGATTACAGGCTTGAGCCACCGTGCCCAGCTGAGAATTTGCATTTCTACAAGTTTTCAGGTGATGCCACTACTGCTGGTCCAGGGACCACACTTTGAGAACCATTGTTTTACAACAGTGGTTCCCAGGCTCCCAGGCTACTGTACCCTGACTCTCCTGGGAAACTTCCTAACAACATATCCCTATTCCCCATCTTGAACTATAGAGTTTCAGAATTTCTCTGAGCTGTGTCCCAAGAAATGAGATTTTTCAGAACTTCCCTGATGATTCTAATATCCAGCCGGGGCTGAAAACCAGCCTGGCGTGTAAGTTTCATGAAGGCAGACATTTTTGTTGATTTCTGTTTTGTTCACAGGTCTATTCCAAATGCCTAAAATAATTCCTAACACCCAGTTAGTGCCCAATAAACATTTGTTGAATGAATATGCGACTGTTTCTTACCAACTACCATCCAACCAAGACAAAGACTTACCTGTTTTTGTTTTTGTTTTTTTTTTGTAATTTCCTTTTTTAAATTAAATTTTTACTTTTAAGTTTCGGGGTACATGTGCAGGTTTGTTACATAGGTAAACATGTGCCATGGTGGTGTGCTGCACCCATCAACCTATCACCTGGGTATTAAGCCCAGCATTCCTAATCCTCTCCCTCCCCCCACCTTAACCCCCAGCAGGCCCCAGTGTGTGTTGTTCCCCTTCCTGTGTCCATGTGTTCTCATTGTTCAACTCCCACTTATAAGCGAGAACATGCAGTGTTTAGTTTCCTGTTCCTGCGTTAGCTTGCTGAGGATAATGGCCTCCAGCTCCATCCATGTCCCTGTGAAGGACCTGATCTCATTCCTTATTATGGCTGCAGACTTATCTGTTGATTCAACATTTATCTGAGCCCCTCCTGTAGGTAAGAAAGTGTGTTACAGAACAATTTCATGCAGCTCCACATTGAGGTTTTTGAATTATTGGCTTTTTCTTTGGGCAGAGGAGACAGAGAGACGTTGAATGGGATGGGCCTTCGAGAGCCCTAAGGTTCAGAACCCTCATGTCCACGTACACGGCCACGAATGCAAACCTTTTGTCTTTTAGCTGTCAGGGAAAAAAAAATGTCATTGATGAGAGACTAGGCTGGCCACCATCAGCTCCTCAGTGAGCTCTGTCTTGCCAAGTGCTCCAGTCCCTGTGACAGGGTCATGCTGCTTCCAGGTCAGATGTGGTCCTGAGATGTTGGATCTGCTATGATTTATGTCATCACAGACACCCTCACGGTCAGGATCCATCCTGCCTGTTTGAATGCCTACTCAGAGCTCAGAATTCTATCATCATTATTTATTGTGTTTATTCCCTACCAAATACGTTCATGAGATCTTAATGGTGCTGGTTATTTGAAAAAGGAACATATCTGAGGGGTGTGTGTGTGTGTGTTTCCTCTTCCTGTACTGAGGACCTCCTTTTTTATAAAGTCATCTCCACAGATATGCTGAAGGAAGGAATATATATTAAATATATATATTTGTATAAATATATATTAAATATATATATATGTATAAATATATATTAAATATATATTTGTATAAATATATGTTTTATCAATATATGTTATTAGTATATGTTAATATTGATATATTTTATTAATATATATTAATATTAATGTTTCATTAATATATATTAATATTATTAATATTCCTTATATATTTACATATATTTTTTTTCTTTTTTGAGATGGAGTCTTACTTTGTCACCCAGGCTGGATTGCAGTGGTGCAATCTCAGCTCACTGCAACCTCCGCCTCCCAGGTTCAAGTGATTCTCCTGCTTCAGCCTCCTGAGTAGCTGGAATTAGTGGCTCACACCACCACGCCCAGCTAATTTTTGTATTTTTAGTAGAAACAAAGTTTCACTATGCTGGCCAAGCTGGTCTCAAACTCCTTACCTCAAATGATCCACCTGCCTCGGCCTCCCAAAGTGCTGGGATTACAGGCATGAGCCACCACAGCCGGCCCCTTCAGCATATATTTTTATTGAATGCCTGTAATATGCCAGATATTTGTGCTAGGAACTAGGAATAGCATGTGAGCGAGACCTCATAACATTGTAGTCTTGGACAGCACTGTTCAATAAAACTGCCCTGAGGAACACGTTTTGTATCTGTCTTGTCCATGATGATGGCCACTTGCCACGTGTGGCTATTGTGTGCTGGAAATGTGGCCAGTGTGAGCGAGAAATGCATTTTTAAGTTTTGCTTTATTTGACTTAAATTTAAATAGAAATAGCCACATGCTCTGTATAGTGGCTACCATATTCAACAATGCAGAACTGAGTGAGAATCACATATCATCTAAATAGACAATGATAATATCTCTTATGTGCTTGGAAGGAGAAACACAAAAAGCTTTGAGAGCATAGATCAGGGGCATGTGACCTCGTCACTGGGGGAATGGAAAGGCTTCGTTGAAGAGTGACATTTAATGTCTTTCAAATTCTGCCTAGAACTTCTCAATGGGAACCTCAAAAGTATCATAGTGAGGGATCAGACATCATCACATTATTACATACCTTTAATAGTCCTTGTTTTCTCCTCCCTCTAGGAACCCTCCTACCTCCTTGACTCTTCTGTAGCCCCAAACATCCCCATGCAAATAAGCCCATAAAAGGAGCCCTGAGTCCTTCAACTCAAACATGTCATCACTGTACCCGGGTAAATAAAAATAAAAACTCATGCCATATATTGATTTACTGGTGATCATATTATATATGCAATTTGTATGCTGCCTTGTCGCCTACCATAGTGTGGATATTTTCTCATGTGATTAAAGACTCTTCTTAATCATACTCTTGATGGCTGCCATAATTTTCTATCTTATGGCTATGTATCATAATATTTTTCATTAATTTCCTAACTTTGACATTTGTACGCTTTCTTTTATTGCTATTATACTTAATGCTGTGATGAACATCTTTGTGCAGAAATCTTTGTTTGCATTTCTGATATGTGCTCAGGATCAATTCTTACAGGGGTGAAGGATGACGACTGCATCAAATGTCTTGAGATTTTTTATTTTAAAGGTGTTTGATACCTATTGTCAAATTGCTTTCTAGAGAGTTTGCACCAGTTCACAATCTCTTCAGGAATGTATGAGAATCCCAGTGCATTCTGCTATTCTCTTTTAAAAATCATACCACACATGTCTGTGTGTTTCTACAGAGGCTCAATAACCGTTACATGTAGTGGCTGCATGAAGCTTGATTGCAGTGGTGTGCTGTAATCATCCTCTCTCAAAAGAGGTTGCTAATTGATGTCGTTCATGCTGGGCTCTCCCTGGTCTTGCCAAATGGAGGGCCTCCATCAAGTCACAGCTGTCTGGAATCCATCTGGCCCTTCAGGGCTGTTCTGTCAACTTTCTTCATCCGCGGGCAGCATTTCCTAGGCACACGCTTTCCCTTAATGACACTCCAACAAGCAGGAATGTTTTGGAGCAAACTCTAGGTTCACATTGGCAACACTGATGTTTGGCTACAAAAGATATCTCAACTAGGGCATTCTTTTCTATCTGCTGCTTGTTGAGATGAAAGAGCACTGGAATGGGAATCAGAAGATTTGTAATGAGACCTGATTATTTTTTTCTGTTAGCCTGTGTGTATTGTATACCAAGAAGGACTTTTTTTGTTGCAATGGACAGAAACCTAACTCACACTACTTAAACAATAACAATAAAAGGAGAGGATTTATTGTTTCACGTAAATGAGGATACCAGAGAAAGTTAGTTTCAGGTATGGCTGGATTCAGGGTTTCTAATAATGCTATAGCCTTGGTCTTGCTTTCTAATGTCCTCATTCTGCAAGATTTCTATATTGGTTTAATTCTTAGGAGACTGTTCTCTTTGGGGGTTCACAAAACAAGCTCTCCAAATACCCTAGTACAAGGGTCAACAAACCATGGTCCACAGGCCAAATCTGGCTTGCTATCTATTTTCCTAAATAAAGTTTTATTGGAACACAGCCACAGTCATTCATATATGTCTCATCTATGACTGCTTTTGTTCTAGAGCAAGAGGTGAGTAGTTATTACAGAGGCTGAATATAGCCTACAAAGCCTAAAATAGCATTGCTATCTGGCCCTTTACAGAACCGTTTTGCTGAACCAAGCTCTATTATAAAGGTCCATAGTCTCAAAAATTTCTCCAGGTTCACTTACCATGCCTGATCAATTCTCCTCCCAACCCACATTCTTGGCTTCATGAAATGGTTTTTGCCTAACCTCTCAGATCCAGAATCCTGTTCTTTGGCCTTTCTACCTGGCTAAGACTATAGCCATTCTTAAATATTTTCCTTATTTCCATTTACTGCAAAAGATGGTAAGCATGGCCCTGTTCCCATTTTTGGTCATATTCCCTGGATCCTGCCAGTCAAGAAGGAAAGTTATACAGAGCATCCACTTGCCCAAGGGGTCTGCAAGTGGATGATCCATATCCCTGCCTCAAACCCTGTGTCATGGGGCAGCTTCTGCCAAATCTGAGACAGCTTTAGCTTGGTAAGTGGGGTGTCATCTGCAGAAGTCTAAATACTTTTTATTCATGAGACTACTGAGTTCCTGAAAAATGGACTGTGGTGTCAGTCATTGACTCTCACACATGGCTTGGGAGTTTCTCTAGTTCTGTGAGTTTCAAACCCTGTCTATGAATCAGAGAAGAGTAGATTCCTTTTATTATTATTTCAAGTGAAACTAAACAGAAAAGAAATAGGGAAACAATGAGTTTGGGGTGGAGTGTGTACATATGAGTGGCTGGAATCTTAGCTGCCCTCTAATCTCATTCTCTTTTCTCCAGAAGTTTCCCTGATCTTATCCCTAACCTTAACTCTAATCTAGCCCTACCCTTATCTTTATTCTTAACTCTAACTTTCATCCTAATCGAATCTATCAAACGTAACCTTAACATTAACCATGACCCTAACCCTGAACGCTAAACTCTAATCCTAAACCCTAACTCGAACACTTAAAATAGTCTAGGACTTTGAGTTTGGTCATCACTATCTTAGAATAACTTCACTAATCACACTGTTAAGCAGGCTTTTCTGGGTATTCGTCACTGAATGAGGTTAGGTCAGACATTTCAACAAAGAGGAGGGATGAGAAGAGTTACATCTTCCATTTAAAAATAAGTGTTTTGATCATTGGAAAAGGTCAGTGTTGCCACCGTCACTCTCAGACAAATAATTAGTTTAAGCAAGTGATGAACGTGTTCCCTTTATATCAAGATAACGTACTATTTCTGCCTCATTTCAGACCATTTTTAGAGGACTCGTGTTGGGGAGAAGTGTTCATTAGTGCTCCGGGTCATCAGAATGAAATTTTATCCCCTTGAATCCTGACTGATGCTGGGAGTCCTGCCTGGCTTAATTCATGGTCCTCTAACATCTGGGGTCAACAAAATCCATGTAAAGGCAAACTGTAGAAAATGAAAGGATATATTTTAGAAGACAGAGGAAGAAGATAGAAGAAAGGAGAGAAAAGGATGGGAGGGTGGGAAGAAAGAAGAGGAAAATATCAAAGAGTGTTAACAGGATCATTAATCTCATGCTTCTGCCTGATCTGATCAGTGCTCTACTTTAAATTCTTCAATGATTGCTTAATCTTTACAGGATAAAGACAAGGTATCTTGTTGGCACACATAGCCAAACATTATCTCTTATTTCCTTACTCTGGAATATTGCAGTGCTGCGTGAATATATGAAGTTGCCCCAAAGGTGCCATGCTTGGTTAGACCTCTGTGCTTTGCCCATGCTGTTCTCTCTTTCTGTATTGCCATTGCTTTAAAAAAAAACCTGCCTGGGTAAATCTTGCCTGTTCCTAAAGATCCTGCTCAGGTGTCATCCTCCATCAATCTCCCTCTGATTCCCCTGCCACACCCCTTCTCTGTGTCCCATGCTAACATCAATCACACTACTCCTCCCTTCATTCAGCAAACATTTATTGGGCTTTGCTCTGTGCCAGGTACTATGCTAGACGGCGAGGAAGAACCATTAATATACCATCTCAGTCCCAAGTAGTTGAGGTAACAGATAAACCACCAGGAAATCATTCAACTACACTGTGATGGGGGAGGCTCAAAGGGCTGTGGGCTCGGGGAGGAAGGCAGTTCCCCCAGCCTGAGGGCTGAGTGTGCTAGGCGGGCCAACAGTTGGATGGAAGAGTGCAAACACGGAAGTGACTTGAAACCTGAAAGGTGTGAGAGCAGTTTAGGAGGGTTTACTCTGTAGTGAGAGTTAAGCAGAAGCCAGGTCATAAAGAGCTTTGCTAGCTATGTTAAGGCATTTGGATTCCATCCTTAGCACTGGGAGGAAATCACTGGGAGTTTGAAGCAGGGGGTTCACATAATCAGATATGTATTTTGGGTATATTTTAAAATTTTCTTTTTGTCTCCTACATAATAGTAATAATATTATCAGCTAATATTTCTGAAAGACACTATAGGAAAGATAGTATGTTAAACTCTGTAAATTATCTTAGTTAAGGCTCGCTTCTAACTTATAAGGTTGGTACTACTACATAAAGTTATTATTTCATCAAGGAGACATGCAGAGAGATTAAATGACTCATTAAAAGTCATGCTTTTAATCATGAGGATAATTCTACATTTCATCATAATAAAAAATTAAGATATTCATGGTCACTACTTGAAAGAACGAACTCGGAGCACATTTGCTTGTATGATCTTAGTCATCTACTTCATGTCCTTATAATTATTGAAAACGCTTCATTTTGGTTTCATAAATGATAACACTGAGGAAGTGGTTTGGCCAGCTCCTCCCAGGCATGGTCTCAGTCCACCCAGAAACTAGGATCTTGAGGATTGATGCTGTGTTTTGTTAGCCTTGATGGTGCTGGCTCCACTGCACAGAAGCATCTGGCTATGGGGTTATGATGAGTTTACAGATGCATTATCCTCCGCACACAGAGAATAAAAAAAAAATCCCTTTTTCATCCTTGATGGGAAGAGAGAACCAGGTGGTGAATGGGGTTAGAGGGATCCCAGAGACCATGTCTATTGATGTGGTTGGCATTGCACCTCTAATCAGGAAAAGGATATCTGTTCTGGTTGGAGAATCAGAACACCTTAGGTTTGGGCATGTGAAACCCAGTTACCTATGAGTTGCACTTGATGTTTTATGGAGATCCTCTTCTTTCTTCTTTTAATCCTGTATTAGTCTGTTCTGACGCTGCTAAGAAAGACATACCTGAGGCTGGGTAATTTATAAAGGAAAGAGGTTTAATGGACTCACAGTTCCACATGGCTGGGGAGGCCTCACATCATGGTAGAAGATGAAGGAAGAGCAAAGGGATGTCTTATATGGCGGCAGGCAAGACAGTGTGTGCAGGGGAACTGCCCTTTATAAAACCATCAGATCTCATGAGACTTATTCACTATCATGAGAATAGCATGGGAAAGACCCACCCCCATGATTCGACCACCTCCCACCGGGTCCCTCCCATGACATGTGGAGATTATTACAATTCAAGGTAAGATTTGGGTTGGGACACAGAGTCAAACCATATCAAATCCTTTTTTTATGTTTCCCTTCCTCCTTCCTTCTTGTTTCTTCTTCTCTGTATTGTTTACCACTACAACATCAGCAGCAGCAACAAACAGAACATCAGCAGCAGCAACAAACAGTATATCATGATGATTGCTCATTGCTCCTCATGGTCTTATCATTGCACTGTTGTCTTTGTCATCATCATCATCATCATCATCATCATCCACTATTACCACCATCACTGCCACATCAACATCAACATATTGTCTTATCTTGGTCTTATTGTTGCATCATTGTTTTTGTCATTGCCATCATCATCCCAATCCTCATCACTCCCTCTTACTGAGTGCTTGCTTTGTGCCAGGCACTGTGCTCAGGACTTTACATGCATTATCTCACATCATCTACAAAATTAACTGTCATATGTGATTATCCCCATTTTACAGATGACAGACCAGAGGCTCAGAGACGTGAAGTCATTTGCTCAAGGTCACAAAACAGTCACCAATATCAACAGAGTCTCCTCCACAAAATTAAGATTCATCCCACAGGCACCAGAGGTTTCAGTTTATTTCTAGGAATTAAGAAAATTGCAAGATTAAGCTCTTATGGTCTGTTAACTGAGGGCTGCTGTGAATTCAGTGAAAAAGATTTAGAGTTATTATTCTCTAATGACGGTTGTTCCCTGATTCAGAAGAGCAGCTCTTCTTTTGACTAATTGTTAAATTTATGTTTATGATTATTATTTCTAAAGGGAAATTTAGAGTTGAACTGTTTTAGATAATAAATCAGAACCATGATTCAAATGAGGATTTGCCTGATTCCAAAGCCTACATTCCCGCAATACTGTCTGACTTCCTTTGGTAATTATGCCAAAATTAAGTCCTGCAATTCACAAGTCCGTGGTTATCCATCTCACCAGTGGCACCTTTTTGGTTGACTAGAGGATTAAAGTACTTTATGGCAACAACAGTTACCTTCAGGAAAATCCTCCTGAATTTTGGTGGCATCATTTCCCACCGCCACCCCACATCAGTGTAAATATGTTTCCCTCCATCTTCCTTAGCAACCACCCAGCCCTTTTTTAAGAGATAGCATAATATGGTGTAAAGATAGATGGGGATTCAAATCCAGACTCTAAAATTTACTGGCTCTACAACTTGGGACAATTTACCTCCTTGAGCCTGAGTTTCCATTCTTCATCTACATAATAAAAATAACACCAACCACCTCATAGACATGCTGTGAAATTTAAATGAGATAATCCATGTAAATTGTTTGACATGTATTAGATGTCAGTAAATGTTGAAAACAACTCATCAGAATAAACTCACCCTTCCTTCCCTTTTCCCTGCAGTACCCTGCTAACTGGCTAATTGAAATCTTTAATGTATAGGAGAGAGAGAGAGAGATGAAACTGATGGATTTGAAATGGCTCAGTCTATGACTAGCCAAGGGTTCCTTAGCAAATGAGCTCAGCTAGGAATCCTGCCCCCATTCCTTTGACACCTAGCTGTCAGCTGTTCACTTGTCCTTCTCTTTGAGGCCCCTCTTACCCCTGCTGCACATAAAGACCCACTCACAGAAGAGCATTTAATGAGTTAAGCGTTAATTTACTAAAGACAATGTAGAGGAGACATAAAAGCGAGTTTATATCACATTGCCCAGATCGAGCAACTGGAAAAATCCTCATGTCTCTTATTGTTACTTCACTCCTGTGTCTTTCTCCCCCAACACCCAAAGGAATGCCCTGGCTCCTCTCTTCTCTATTATCAGAACAATTCTTCCTCACTTCAAACTTACAAATTCTGTTCATGATAGTGCTTGGTGAAGAAAACAACCCAAGGTTCACTGTGATCGCCTTTATTCAAGGCACTTTGGTGACTGGCACATGACTTTCGGGGTCTTGTGTTCTATCCCAAACAGTAAGTCAAGGTGTCTCCGAAACAAATGCAATCCTCTCTCTAATGATGTTATTACACCATCTGGGGAGTGAGGACCATCTTGCTCCACCTCATTACATGTAAAATGAAGGTGTTGGTGGATTCTGGACAGCTTTATCATGTAAGTCTGTTTATCCTCAGTAAATTATGGGCTTTGGGTTCTATTGGGCAAGAGAAATCCCATGCCAGTTTCAATATTTGTTTAAAGGTAAGTCTTAGAATCAGACCTTCCCAGGCTTGGATATAAGTTTATCAGAAGTAGAACTCAATATCCATTATTTCTATGTGGCGTTCCTGTCTATCCTTGTGCCATGGAGACACATACAAATGAACTTTGGAATTTAGCCCCATTTATGAGCTTATGTCTACTTTTTTCTCTCTTATCCATTATATGTCTGCTTATTAATTTATAAACTAATTAATTACATAAATATCTATAAGGTACCATCTATGTGCTAGGTACTGAAGATATAGAAAAGAAGGGAGACACAATCTCTTCCTTTACAGTTGTGTGTGTGTCCATTAATTAGATGATCACACAAATATAATAAAAATACAACTGTGGTATGTGCAATAAAAGAAAAGCCTGTACCAGGAATCCTATCTAGTTGGATATGTTACTTAGGAGTTTCCTAACTTTCTTGCCTCTGTTCTTTGTTTTATACTCTGACCTCTCTCTCCAGGCTTAAATGTTCTGTTTTTTGTTTTTGTTTTTTTTCTTTTGGAAGGTCACAGTAGTCTCATTACATATTCTGAAGGTGGGATAGAAAGACACATAAGTAGGGTCGGACACAGTGGCTCATGCCTGTAACCCAGCACTTTGGGAGGCCGAGGAGGATGGATCACCTGAGGTCAGGAGTTCGAGACCAGGCTGGCCAACATGGTGAAACCCCATCTCTACTAAAAACACAAAAATTAGCCAGGCATGGTGGCAGGCGCCTGTATTCTCAGCTACTCGGGAGGCTGAGGCAGGAGAGTCACTTGAACCTGGGAGGTGGAGGTTGCAGTGAGCCAAGATCATACCATTACACTCCAGCCTGGCCAACAGAGTGAGATTCTGTCTCAAAAGAAAAGAAAAAAAAAACACATAAGTAGATTGATGCAAATAATAAGAGTGACAAATTCAGGAGGCTGATACTAAAGAAAGTACACATCTGGCCAGGAGGTGATCAGGAAAAGTTTCCTAGAGGAAGAGATATCTGGGCTAGGTATTCAAGGGCAAGTTAGGAGCCAGACAGGCAAAACAGAGGTGGGAGGAAGGGTGGTCCGGGCAGATAACACCACATGAGCAAAGGTTTAGGAAAAAGAAACAATTGTGTGTGGGGAGTGTGTGTGTGTGTGTGTACCACAGGTGGTTCATGTAGTGGGAGCACCAACTGATGGTCAGTGAGGCTGAGATAGCATCATGACCCTCCAATCAGAGCTGAGTTTGCACACAGATTATGTTGACATAATTCTATAGAGGAAGTGCAACCAGTAGCCTGGAACACCCAAGACACTCATCTGCTTCTCATTCCAGACACCTCTTTAAACACACAAACACACACACACACACACACACACACACGACTGCGAAGGCAGGGATTATCGACTTTTCTTTCCCATATATTTTCAGTCTCATATTTCCAGACACCTCTTTAAACTCTTATTTGTTGAAACCCATTTTCTAATGGCTCTTTGTCTAAACACCTCTTGCTGCTTAGCCAGGTAATATGCCCCTTCTCTGACAGTAACAAGGGTGTGCATTTTGGGAGAGACTTCCGAGTGGCCAGAATGACTCCAGGGGGTGAGACAATGGCAGAAGTGTAAATCACACAAGAAATATTGAACTTTGGGAGCCAGCGAACAATAATATGCCACTTTATTCCACTCCTGCCGGAGGTTTATATATGTCATTGTCACTTTTATACTGTTCTCCACCACTGGTAATTTTCTCTCAATCTAATTTTTATTTCCCAAGGGTCTACCAAGGTTAAAAGTGCTGGAAATCCAATGACTATTCTTTTGCCAAGGGATAGTAAATTAAATTAACCATTGCTGGTGGCCAGCTCTGGTCAGAACTATTTATATGTAAACAGGCAAAAATCCCTGAAGGCATTGCTGCAATTATTAGTTGTTCATTCCGGATGTTGACCATAATACAATAGGTTTGAACAAAACTCTAGGAATTGGGGCAGGAATTAGCTTCTGTTCAGCCCGATCTTTGCTCGCACAGGCTGACTTTCTGTAGCTCAAGTATCAGCTAGTTCATGGTGAAACCTTCCCTCCCAGCTTATTGAGTGGGAGGGTGAAGACATTTTTAGTCCCAGATGAACAGTGAAAATAGGAATGGGAGGATTAAAACCTATTGCACAGGCATTGGTTGGCATTTTGTCCTGGTTTCCAGGTTCTGTCCATTCAGTGCAGTCATAATTTGCATACTGCTTCCTGGATGGCCAGCATTAATTATATCAACAAAGACTCCTCCCTTGTAACTGCCTTAGGATTTGGTATATTCCTAAGGACTTTTCCAGAGGGCGGATCTTTTTGGGGGGAACTTTTATAGGAACAAGGAACCTTCCCACTGAGTGATACCACGTTTTTGGAAAATAGTTCAATATTCCAACTTGGTGTCTCTGGTTGGATTTTCAGTGTCAGAGGATTATGGAGGGTTGCTTCAAATAAGCAAGTTCCAGGGCTTGAACGAATTCTCCCTGTTCTCGTTCTCTTTTTTTCCGCCAATGCCAAAGGGAGTCAACTCTGTCATTGCTCTTTAAGCAGCTACAACTCATGTTATCCTTCACTCCATACAACCAAATGATTTCTAGGATACCTTGATAATTTATAACCTGTTTCTATGCTCTTGGGTTCGCTCGAGTGGCTCTTTAAATCAAGCCCCTCAAGCTAGGGAACATGAGGGAAAAGGGGCTTATTTATGAAAATAAAAGAGAGAAGGTAGAATTTGTTCCAATATCTCAGGCCTCCAGTCTTCCATTCTTGTCCCTGGGTAGAAATCTCTCATAGGGCCGGGCACGGTGGCTCATGCCTTTAATCCCAGCACTTCGGGAGGCTGAGGCGGGCAGATCACGAGGTCAGGAGCTCGACACCAGCCTGGCCAATATGGTGAAACCCCATCTCTACTAAAAATACAAAAATTAGCCAGGCGTGGTGGCGTGTGCCTGTAATCTCAGCTACTCGGGAGGCTGAGGCAAAAGAATCGCTTGAACCTGGAGGCGGAGGTTGCAGTGAGCCGAGATCGTGCCGTTGCACTCCAGCCCGTGTGACAATGTGAGACTTGGTCTCAAAAAAAAAAAAAAAAAAAAAAAAAAGAAAAGAAGAAAGGAAAAGAAAAGAAAACTCTCATAGGTCCTGGTAGATCTGCTCCTGGGCCAGACGTTGATCTATTAATGGTTCCTCTTGCACCATGGCTTTGCTGAACGGTTTCCCAGCATCTGTGATCTATCCTGAAGTATTACGAACTCGTTGAGAGTAGTAGAACTAGGAAGACTGGGTGAAGCACACTCAGCTCATCTACCATATTAGATAGCCTTGAACTAGCCCACCAGGGATTTTAGTACCACATTATCTTGGCCTCTGTAGAACTGTTTTCTCCTAGACATGTATCTTGGCTTCCACCAAGGACTGAAACACTCCCTCAGGGAATCTAATATTGTTCTCATTGTTGAAAACTATGTCCGTCCCGTCTCTCTGTGGTTCCATTCATTCAAGATTTGCATGACAAAGTTTTAGAATTAAATCCGAGTCCTTGCGCACCATCCAGCCAAAGGAGTACACAGAGGCTGAGATCAAGCCAGGATTTGTTTGCCAAGCTGTTTTCTCTGGCTGTGTCCTCTAGGGGAAGAGATGTCTTCTTCCTTGTGTGAAGGCACCATTTGTTTAGTAATAAATAAATTTATTACTGAATTGCATAGAGACAGTGCGAGCTCAAGGGGAACCTGCCCATGGAGTGTGTGTGTGTATGTGTGTGTGTGTGTGTGTGTGTGTGTGTGTGTGTATGTGTATATGTGTGTGTGTGTGTGGGTGGGTGGGTGTGTGTGTGTGTGGCAGAGTAGGGGCAGGGAGAGTAGTTACTAGGTCCCTGACCTGCACTTTATAGCTTAGTGGCAATACATGCTCAGGGCCAGGCAATGTCTGCTTTGCCTGGGGAACCCATATAATGGATGCAGTGTCCCTTTGTATCTTGACTGCCAGGGGGCTGAGTCAAAAGCCTTCACTGGAATAAATGTGTAGGGTCTGGAGAAGTAAATCTCCGCATTACATTTTACCCAGTCTTGCCCTAATATTTACTGGAGCCTGAGTTTTAATTTTGCATTTCAGTTTTACCAAATTGGTATCATATATACACTTTGCAATAATTTTTTTTTTCTTTTGAGACAGAATCTCCCTCTGTCGCCCAGGCTGTAGTGCAGTGATGCGATCTCGGCTCACTGCAAACTGCCTCCCAGGTTCAAACAATTCTCCTGCCTCAGCCTCCTGAGTAGCTGGCATTACGAGTCCCTGCCACCATGCCCGGCTAATTTTTGTATTTTTAGTAGAGATAGGGTTTCATTATGTTGGCCAGCCTGGTCTCAAACTCCTGACCTCAAGTGATCCACCCTCCTTGGCCCCCCAAAGTGCTGGGATTACAGGCGTGAGCCACCGTGCCTGGCCAATCATTTTTTTTTTAAATTAGGCTGTGGCAAAAGTCAATAACCCAGAGAATGAATGGACCAGGACCTCTCCAGGCCAGAGTATTTCACAGCACATGAGAAACGTGTTCCTTATTCTTCCTCACAGTGTCATCGATGTGTCCTTCCAGGCTGGCTGGACACGTGGAAAGACACAAAGCAGTTCTCATTATACCTGATGGCTTGGGCATTCCATGGTAAACATAATAAAAGATAGTAAAGCTCATAACAAATAAAGGGATAAGGATTTGTTAAACTTGTATTAAAACTGAGTTTATTAGGGGAAAATATTTTTCCACAAGAGGTCATGAAATTATTGCAGAAAGAGAATTACAGCTAGGGAGGAGGCCCCATTTTTTCAGTCTGCCCTGAGTAAGGTCCCTTGTCTGACCACTTTTTTTTTTTTTTTCACTAGAACAGCAAGAAAGGAACTTAAGAGAACATTCCCCAATGCAAAATTTCTGCCAAAGTTGCTTTACACACGGAGTCAATATCATTTAATTATATATCTCTCCACAGAAATCACACATCCCAGCCTATAATAAAGTTACAGTCTCATAACTTTATTCATATAGGCAGTTTAGGAGTGTTTATCTCTGTACTGGAGAAATTGGTATAAATGAACTGTGGTCATATTCCTTTTTTAAATGGCACAAATGTGTTAGGCTGCAGGGTTCATAAATTAGCTTTTCAGAGAGTTCAATCATAATCGAATATGCTTAATATTCACACATTGTAATTTGAGCATTAAAGATCTTGAACAAAGATCACGGTCTTGGAAGGTATTAAATAAAAAAAAAATACTCCCCTGGAATTGCATTTATTAGCTCCTGATTTTTGATTTCTGTTTCATTAGCCTGTGGTAATAAGTATGGAACCATATAAAAGAAAAGCACAAATCCCCATTTTGGAACATTAAATCCAGATTTTTGACGATAACCTATTTTTGTGCTGCTATTAGGGGAGCGCCAGCTTGTACCCACATCTAGTTATTAATCTGTGAAATGTTTTCTCTCTGGTGCACTTAACCGTCACTGACTAAGTGGGTTATTAAATGGGAGCGAGAAATGAATCAATCAAATATATTCAAATGCTCAGGCTCCAGCATTGTTCTTCGACTTCATTATTTAGGCATTAAATTCCGTGCAACACCGGATGTAATTGTCAATACAGAGGGGTTTGATTTGTGGGAGACGAGTTCTCTTTGGCAATTACGGTTTTAGGTTTACAAGCACACCAGAAATCCTTGCAACATGTTAACACCATTAGCATGGCTTCCGTAATCACATTTTTCAATGGAATCACAGCTGGCTGTGTTGGGGAGCTGACATTTTCATTAGAGAAGAGTGCTGGTCTTTGCAGTAATACATGGAACCATTTGCATGCCCGGCCACTGGTTACACACAGAGCTTTGGTGTAGACAGTTTTTCCTTGGCACCATAAGGTAACTCTTCTCCTCCATTTACCCAGCTCAGTCAGAAAGAAAAATGCTTATAAGTAGGAGATAAACATTGAGCATACATGGACTTAAGCATGGGTGCAATAGACACTGAAAACTACCAGAGAGGGGAAAGAGGGAAGGGGGCATGGCTTGTGAAACGACCTATTGAGTACTGTGCTTGTTACCCGGGTGTAATACACCCATGTAAAAAACCTGCACATGTACCTCCTGTGGCTAAAATAAAAGTTGAATTTTTTAAAAATGTAATCACTATGCATAATGTTAAGAGTCAGACTGCCTGAGTTTGAATTCTGACTTCACTGCTTCCCAGCTGTGTGACCTTGGGTAAGTTAATTAACCTCTCTGTGCTACACTTTGCTTATTTGAAAATGGGGATGATGATGATGATGATAACACTGCCTTCATTTGGATTTCTTCAGAAGCAGACACTGAGACAAGGATTTGGGGGCAAGTAATTTATTTGGAAGGTTCAGAGAACATGGGTAGAGGAGCAGGGACACGTAGGGAGAAGGCAGGCACGAAGGATATGCTACGAAGCCAGCCCCTACAGAGGAAACACAGGCAGGAATTTCTCTGGGCAGCTCTGGTAGATATTGTGTAACTCACAACTCATAGTTCTTCAGGAGAGACGAGTGACCTGGGGCACTGGTCATCTGTTGAAGGATGTCCCCGGAGCAGGGGTGGCACAGCTTGTCACATGAGGATAAAGCAAGTTTCACCAGCCCGAGAGAGCCCTGGCAAAGAAACGCAGGTGCTGGAGACTGGAAGTTGAACCTGTGTGCCCTGCAGTGACACGGGTGAGGCCACCTGTGGCATCTGCTCCAAGCACCTGCTTCCTAAGGTCATTTTGAGGGCTCAATGAGTGAAATTTTACAAAGCACTCAAACAGAGCCTGGCTTGAATAAGTCAATGTAAGCACTTAACTCCAGCTACATCATGGGGTCGGCGTGGAAACTGAACAAAACTGTATGAGAAAAGTCAGGATCGCCAGGCGCGGTGGCTTACGCCTGTAATCCCAGCACTTTGGGAGGCCGAGGTGGGCGGATCACAAGGTCAGGAGATCAAGACCATCCTGGCTAAAATGGTGAAACCCCGTCTCTACTAAAAAATACAAAAAAAAAAAAAAAATTAGCTGGGCGTGGTGGCAGGCGCCTGTAGTCCCAGCTACTGGAGAGGCTGAGGCAGGAGAATGGCGTGAACCCGGGAGGTGGAGCTTGCAGTGAGCCGAGATTGCGCCACTGCACTCCAGTCTTGGCGAAAGAGCGAGACTCCATCTCAAAAAAAAAGAAAAGAAAAGAAAAGTCAGGATCAGCACAATGCTTGGCTCAGATGAAGTGCTTGGCAAATGTTTGTTAAACAAAATACCTACCCTTTACTGATTTCTGACTATGGGCCACTATTTTATTCACTTACCTCATCCTCTGCACTAGCCCTTGAAGACCAGTGTTAGCATCTCTGTTTCACGGTTGGTGGAGGTCAAAGGAATTACACCAGTGGTCAGAGTATAGCTTCAGACTCACAGAACCAGAGGCGTTGTGGCTGGAATCTGGCCTTTTCTGCTTACAGAGGTAGCTCTGAGATGTCTGGTGAGTTGCTGAATTCCCCTAATCTTTAGTTTCCTTATTCATGCTCTGGGGATAGTCAAAGGACTTTCTCAAGGGGATGCTTTGGGGGGGTCAAATGAAATGACACTTGTGAAGATGTGCACAGTACTTAACAAGGAATAGCAGGAATGGTTATTGTTATTATGAACAGTAGTGGTACTAGTAAGTAGCAGGGCCAAGATTTGAACCCAGGTGTGGCTGACCACATCATATCCCATTACTTCCGAGGATTACCTGATAGCAAAGCTTTTGAAGGTGCAGTGGACATCTTTTAGAAGAGCTCCCGGCCGGGTGTGGTGGCTCACGCTTGTAATCCCAGCACTTTGGGAGGCCGAAGTGGGTGGATCGTGAGGCCAGGAGATCGAGACCATCCTGGCCAACATGGTGAAACCCCGCCTCTACTAAAATACAAAAACTTAGCTGGGCATGGTGGTGCACGCCTGTAGTCCCTGCTACTGGGGAGGCTGAGGCAGGGAAATCGCTTGAACCCGGGAGGCAGAGATTGCAGTGAGCAGAGATTGGGCCACTGTACTCCAGCCAGGCACCGGAGCAAGACTCCGTCTCAAAGAAAAAAAAAGAAGAGCTCCCACTGGTCCCCTGGTATTCATGTCTATATACGATTTCCTCCCCTCGAGTATGGGCTGGGCCTAGCGTCTTGCCTCTGATGAACTCAACACAGCAAAGGGGATGGTACGTCACTTCCAAGATTAGGTTTCCAAAAGACCTTGAGTTCCATCTTGCCCGCACTCTTTTCTTGCTTGCCTCCTCTAATGGCAGCCAGATGCTACGTCATGAGCTGCTCAGTGGAGAGATGTGCGTGTCAAGGAACCGAGGGCAGCCTCTGGCCAACAGCGAGAGAAGATCTGAGGCCCTCAGTCCCGTAACCCCAAAGAAACTAATTCCTGCCGACGGCCACAAGAGTGATCCAGGAAGTGAGTTCTTCCCAGTTGAGCCTGCAACCTCGGCAGATACCTTGGCTACCGCCTTGTTGGAAACTGTGAAAGGACCCAGCAAATCCGTGCCTCACTTGTGGAAACTGTGAGATAATAAACATTGATGTTTGTAGGTATTAACTTTTGGGGTAATTTGTTATGCCGCAATAGATTTTTTTGTTTTTATTTTTTTGAGATGGGGTCTCATTCAGTCACCCACGGTGGAGTACAGTAGTGCAATCTGGGCTCATTGCAGTCTCCACCTCCCCAGCTCAAGCAATCCTCCCACCTCAGCCTCCCGAGTAGCTGGGACCACAGGTGAGCACTACCATATCCGGCTAATTTTTTTTTATTTTTTATTTTTACTGTTTTTGGTAGAGACGGGGTTTCGCCATGTTGCCCAGGCTGATCTCAAACTACTGAGGTCAGGCGATCCACCCACCTCAGCCTCCCAAAATTCTGGGATAACAGGCATGATCTTCCACGCCCGGCCAGCAATAGATTATTAACGCAAGAATTATTAAGGTTGTTCAATCACCTCTGTGTAAACAGGAACTCCAGTACTTAGTTCACTGTCCTAAAAGGCAATTCCTTCTTGTTCTAATGGCACCTTGAGAAAGAAAGGTCGAAATATGGCCCACTGGCTCAAAAATGATGCTTTAGACTAGCAGTTTTCAGCCTTTTTGATCCTTGGCACCCTTTTTTAAAAAAAAAAATCAAATGTTGCAGAGGGAGGTCTAACTATGAAACCTAGAAAAACAAGATACCGCCCTATCATCTTGAGAAGAGTGGAGCCCGGGAGCCTGCTTGGTTCATAAAGGTTGAAAATCGCTGCCCAGACCATCTTCCATCTCATGGAACATGCATCATGAGACACAGTAAACACACACTTCGATCTCCTCCATTTCCTAGGTTGGTATACTCAGTGGATGGGCAGGAAGGATGGGTGCTGCATGCAAGGGAATCCTGAGAGCCACGAGGCCCTGCTTTTAGACGCAAAACCTTCCAGGGAATCCAGTCCGTGTTGCTGCACGGCTGTCAGGCAGAATGCTGACCCTGGGGGCTCTGCTATCTCGGTCTTATGTTAGAAATCTTTGAAAGCTCTGGGGAAGAGAGTGAGAATAGAAAAATAAGACTGCATTTGGAAGGGGTGAATGGCAGTGGAGAGGGAGTAGGAAGTAGCTAGACATGAAGAGGCCCTGATTCCCATTTTGAATGTGAGAAACTTCACCTGCTGAAGATTACCCTGGGGTGGTGAATAAAACATAAGGACATTTCAGGTAAGGAAGCATGAAACAGATGGAGATGGCATGTGTTTCCCAAGCATGCCTGATGATCGGAGCTACATGGGGAAAATGTTCAAGAACATATTCCCAGGTTAACTTTGAGATAGGCTGAATCAGAACCACTTGGGGAGGGGCCTGAGAAGCTGTAGATAAAACAAACATCCTGGATGGTTATCAAGCAAGTTGGGACACAGGCATTTGGTACAGGCATACTCATTTCCAGTTTCAAACACTCATCCATCCATCTATCCATCTGTTCATTCAGTCATCCGCTCATTCATTCATCTGGGCATCTATTTAAGAATTCAACACAGTGTCTAGCATGTGTCAGGCACTATCATGGGACTATAATGACTGCCAGAAATGCAAAGACAAATAGCACATGGTCCTTATCCTTTAGAGGCCCACAGATTGGGCAGGAAATAGACAAGGATGAGATGGATCCATGAGAGAGGAAATGGAAAAGGAGGGGCGTCTAATACATACTCATTATCCCTAGACTTGCCTAATTTAACTTCCAGTCACCAACTCTTTCGACTTGGTTATTTAAAGTAAAAATAACGTAATTTAAATACGTCCTTGCACATTCCCTTAGGGGACAGGCTTGTTCATCCAACTATTCTAAGGATTTCAAAGGGACACAGCATCTCTGTATTTCTGAAACTCTAATTAGCAAGCCGGGTGGAATTGACTAGATCTTCATACATCCTTTCCCCAAGAATGACTTCTGCCACAATCTCAGTTTTCCTGCCTGCTGCGTTCCTTCCTTGGTGACAAAGGTACCACCCACCTCAGGAAATGAGCCCCTGGAAGCAAAATGATTAGCCCTGGCCTCAAAGGGCTTTCAAAAGTTTTGCAAACGATGCAACTGGAACATGGGAGAAACAGGTTAAGTTTCTTTCTTTTCCCCTTTTAAAAAATGATTGAATCCCACTGTCTTCTGAAGATGAATATTTCTGCTGGGCAGATTTGCTTTGTAAATTACAGACTCGAGTGGCTTTTTTTTTTCTTGCTGCTCGAGTGAACCGGGAATTAGACATATTTGCAATCAAATAAAATGCGAGGTCTCTTGATGGGTTGGAATTCTGACAACTCTGGGGCTCAGATGTGTGGAATGTGGTAGCGTTGGCCCAATGGCTTAGCACATGTTCGTGGGGCTCTTGTGGGAGGATAGGGTGCTGTGCTAATGATGGAATGATACAGCAGTGAGGAAGAGAGATGGGTCCCTGACCTCAAGGGCTAAGAGTTGACAGGTGGAGAGATTTTGTACAAATAATAACAGAATGTATGTCTATGTTCTAAGATAAAGCATGCAGTCAAAACTTAATGAGTCTCTATTCACTCAATAATGCCAGGCCAGTTTCTAGGTGCAAGGAACTCAACAGTGACAAAAAGAGACACAAGACATAGCCACAAATCAGTGTCTTCGTGGAAATCTCATTTCTCTGTGTGTATGTGTGTATGTACGTGTGGGAGACATGTGCCCTATTTTTCTTATTTATTTTGGTGGTCAGATGAATGAAGAAAACTAAATCAAGACAGAGGGATAAGGAGTGTCTGTGTGTGTTTTGTGTGAGTGCACATGCATGTGTGTTTTATGCAAATACATACACATGTGCACAATTGGTGGAGAATATAATTTTAGATTTGGTGGCTGAACTTTTTTTCTATCACTGCTGTAATGAATTACCACAAATTTAGTGGCTTAAGATAACACAAATATATTACATTATAGTTCTGGAAGTCAAAAATTTGAGCCGTGTGTGGTGCCTCACGCCTGTAATCCCAGCACTTTGGGAGGCCGAGGCAGGCAGATCACTTGAGGTCAGGAGTTCGAGACCAGCCTGGCCAACAGGGTGAAACTCCGTTTCTACTAAAAATACAAAAAGTAACCGGGCATGGTGGCGAGTACCTGTAATCCCAGCTACTCAGGAGACTGAGGCAGAAGAATCACTTGAACCTGGGAGGCCGAAGTTGCAGTGAGCCGAGATCATGCCACTGTGCTCCAGCCTGGGCAACAGAGCAAGATTCCACCTCAAAAAAAAAAAAAATTGAAAGAGGTCAGCAGGCCTGCGTTCCTTCTGGAGGCTGTAGGGGAGAATCTGTTTTCTTGGCTTTTCTAGCTTCTGAAGGCCATCCACATTCCTTGGCTCATAGCCTCATCCTCCACTTCAAAGCCAGCATCTTAGCATCTTCCAATCACTCGCTCTCTCTCTGACTCTGTCCTTCCTGCTTCCCTCGTAAAAGGACTCTTGTGATTCCATTGAAACCACCTGGATAATCTAGAACAAACTCCTCATTTAAAGATCCTTGTTAATCACAGCTGCAAAGTTCCTTTTGCCATGTAAAGGTAACATGGTCACAGATTCTGGGGATTAGGATGTGGACGTCTTTGGGGAGCCATTATTCAGCCTTCCACTGGCCAAGGAAAGCCTCACTGAGGAGCTATTTGATGAGGGTCCTGAGGGGATGAGGGAGGGAACTGGGTAAATAGCCGGGGGAGCATGCTCTAAGAAGAGGGAATAGTGGGTGAGAGTCTGGGAAGTTTGAGGAACCGCATGAGGCCAATGTGGCTGCAGCAGAGGGAATGATGGGGAGAGTGGCGAGGGCAGGGCCAGAGGCAGGATGGGGACTCTGTTACGTGGCATCTCATAGGCTGGTGTAGGGACTTAGCTTTA
The DNA here is from genome assembly GCF_000001405.40 of Homo sapiens. Lineage (NCBI taxonomy): Eukaryota > Metazoa > Chordata > Mammalia > Primates > Hominidae > Homo > Homo sapiens. The sequence goes on along the minus strand of NC_000016.10, from coordinate 17,978,291 downwards.
CTTGTAATGCAGTGGGGATCCACAGAACCCACTGAGTACAGGGTTCCAGATCTATACTTAGGAGAAGCATCTAACCCAGACTTAGAGGGTGGTGGAGTTAAACGAATCTTCTCAGAGGAAGGAAAATGTAAGCTGAGACATGCCAGCTTCTGGGAGAAATTAGAATTAATTACAAAAGCATTTATTGAGTTCTTTGTGCCACTCTCTAGATAGATTTCATGTAGCATTCGTTGAAATGGTTGACCCCTAAATAATTCCACAATGCCACAGACTCTGTCTTGAGGGAGACAGAATTCTTGTTATTTTCCAGAAGGAGAAATGGAGGCTGATAAGGATTAGTATAAGAACAAATAACTAGCCGGGCGCGGTCGCTCACGCCTGTAATCCCAGCACTTTGGGAGGCCGAGGCGGGCGGATCCCGAGGTCAGGAGATGGAGACCATCCTGGCTAACGTGGTGAAACCCCGTCTCTACTAAAAATACAAAAAATTAGCCAGGCGTGGTGGCGGGCGCCTGTAGTCCCAGCTACTCGGGAGGCTGAGGCAGGAGGATGGCGTGAACCCGGGAGGCGGAACTTGTAATGAGCAGAGATCGCGCCACTGCACTCCAGCCTGGGTGACAGAGCGAGACTCCGTCTAAAAAAAAAAAAAAAAAAAAAAAAAGAACAAATAACTAATAAATAGGATGCGGCCAGAATTCGACCTTAGGTGCTTTTAACTCCCGAGCCCAGACTCTTTGATTTACCATATTATTTGGCTACCTCTTGGTTTCCAGTGTAATAGGAAATGTGGGATGAGCCTAGATGACCACAAATACTTGGAAAAGAGTAACGCAGGCCTGAGTCCAGAAGGACCTTGCTCTTTCTGTTGGTTTTGGAAATTTGAGTGCGAGGAGTGAGGTTAAGGAAGCCAAAGCAGCCCGGGAAGAATCAGGAGTCATTATTTCATGTCCAATTTCCCTTCTTTAATTGGGATGGCAGGAAGGGGGTGGGTCAGGGCCAGGTATGTCTCTTGCAGGCAGTCTGGGTGAGTGACGCTGGGGAGAATGCCAGGTGTATTCATTCAACAAGTCCTGCTGGGCGCGGTGGCTCACGCCTGTAATCCTAGCACTTTGAGAGGCTGAGGCAGGCAGATTGCCTGAGCTGAGGAGTTGGAGACCAGCCTGGGCAACATGGTGAAACCCCATCTCGACTAAAGTACAAAAAAATTTAGCCAGTCATGGCGGCGTGCGCCTGTAGTCCCAGCTACTCGGCTGAGGCAGGAAAACTGCTTGAACCCAGGAGGCGGAGGTTGCAGTGAGCCGAGATTACACCAGCCTGGGAGACAGAGCAAGACTCTGTCTCAAAAAAAAAAAAAAAAAAGCCCTGACTGCATGCCACACACCAGGGGCTCAGCATTGAATAAGATAGGGCCTCTGGTGTCATGGTCCTTACTATTTGGGCAAAAGACAGATAGTACAGTAAGCAAATAAAAAATACCAGCTTCTGATTAAGTGCTATGAGGGAGATAAGACGAGAAGATGCAATGAAGAATAATTGGACAGCAATTTAGATGGGTGGTCAAGGAAGGCTTCTCTGAGGAGGTCACCTTTCTTTGAGACCTGAAACATGAAAAGTCACCAGCTATGGAAAAGCCAAGGGTAAAGTGTTGCAGGCAAGGGAACAGCATCTGCAAAAGGTATATGTATATTGGACGTGAGTCATGAGTTGAGTGTGATCAAGAAATGGAAATTCGCCTCTGCTATTGGGGCTGAGTGAGAGGCTGGTCTGGAGGTGGTTAAGCAGATATCAACCTGTCTAGGTCTTGCAAGGGTGATCACACGTAAGTGAGATGGGAAGGCCATTGTAGGATCAGAGCAGGGAACTTCTTTCATCAGATTTACATTTTAAAAGGCTCATTCTGGTTCATGTCCTTTGCAGGGACATGGATGAAGCTGGAAACCATCATTCTCAGCAAACTAACCCAGGAACAGAAAACCAAACACCACATGTTCTCACTCATAAGTGGGAGTTGAACAATGAGAACACATGGACACAGGAAGGGGAACATCACACACCGGGGCTTGTCGGGGGTTTGTGGGGGAAGGGGAGGGAGAGCATTAGGACGATTACCTAATGCATGCGGGGCTTAAGACCTAGATGATGGGTTGATAGGTGCAGCAAACCACCATGGCACATGTATACCTACGTAACAGACCTGCACGTTCTGCACTTGTATCCCAGAACTTAAAGTATAATAATAATAATAATAATAATAATAATAATAATAATAATAAAGCTTATCCTAGCTGTTGGATGTAGGGTAGTTTGAAAGGAGGGTAAGTTGGGAGCTATGGTAATCATAGAGGTGGCCTGGATCGCAGTGATGCCTGTGGAGGTAAGGAGAAGCAGATGGGTTCAGGACCTAAATATTACATGTAAGGGAGAGGGCAGAATCTAGGGAGATTCTGAGGTTTTGCCTTGGACAACTGGTTGAAGGCTAATTGTGATGGGAACCACTGGAGGAGAGAGTGATTTGAAGTTGGAGGAGGTGGGGAACAATGGAAAGAAGAATTAGCAGATCCAAATGGAATTAGCAAACTGGACTTAGAAGTCAAGTCAAAAGCAGAGAATATGGAGAAGATGCTTGGGATGAGGAGTGGGTTGGAGGAAGCTCAATGCTCTGAGCATTCAGCATTTTTGGCAACGAATCTTGTGATTGCCAGAATGAGGAACTCCATCCAGTTGCTTAAACCATGTCATCGTCTCCATCTTCAAGGAGCGAAAGTGATGAGGGAAGAGAACATCTTTGTCATGTAAAGGCCTTTGGAGAATACAGAGTAATAAAGTCTTGCCTGTAAGATGCTCATGAACTCTTCCAGAGGTGGTTTTGGGGGAACTCTCCTGCACAGATGTGGAGACAAAAGCAAGCCAATATTCAGCAAGCTGAGTGCCCATTTGTTTTAAGATGAGGAACAGACTTGCTGGATAAGGGTGAGGAGGGGCTTAAAACATGCTAACAACATCAAAACAGTTAACCTGAGTAGCAGTTTGGGCTTTCCCAAGCACTTTCTGTTTTTCATCAGAGGCATTTTTCTTTCATTTAAAAACTCTTTTCTGAAGTATACTGTACAAACAGAAAAGTACATTCACATAAGTAAGCAGCTCAATGAATTTTCACAAACAGAACACACCCATGGAACAATTATCTAGCTCAAGAAATAAAACATTTTCTGGCACAGCACTTTAGAATTTCAAAAGCAGAGACTAGAATTAACCATTCCTTTGTGGGTCTCTGGTGCTTGTGCCCAGACGCAGGCACCAGATCCTGCTGGAGTCAGCCAATCCCAAGGTTGTGTGTAGAAAGTGGGTTCCTGCTCCCTCAAGTTCAGCCGTATGCTTTTCCCCGAGTCCCACATCTGTTGCCCATGTTCTGCCCACCTGCCGCTCTCCTAACGTGCCCAGGATTCTCAAATGAGGCACAAGTGTGTAAGCTTCTTGGGTTCTTTCATTGACCAAAGACGTGGTCAGTTCTCAGTCTTCTCCTTAGTCAACTTTATCCAAAATGTGTAGATGTGCATGTGTCCTCTTTCCCTTGTTCCAGGTAGCTAGAAGCATTGCAAGGAACCTGGAGTTTTCTTTACAAAAAAAAGTTATTTTTAAGTTCTGGGGTACATGTGCAGGATGTGCAGGTTTGTTACATAGGTAAACGCATGCCATGGTGGTTTGCTGCACCTATTAACCCATCACCTGGTATTCAGCCCAGCATGCACTAGCTATTTTTCCTAATGCTCTCCCTAACCCGACCCCATCCCCGACAGGCCCCAGTGTGTTTTTCCCCTCCCTGTGTCCAAGTGTTCTTATTGTTCAGTTCCCACTTATAAGTGAGAACATGGGGCGCTTGGTTTTCTGTTTCTGTGTTAGTTTGCTGAGGATAATGGCTTCCAGCTCCATCTATGTCCCTGCAAAGGACATCATCTCATTCCTTTTTATGGCTGCCTAGTATTCCATGGTGTATATGTACCATGCTTTCTTTATCCAGTCTATCATTGATGGGCATTTGGGTGGATTCCATGTCTTCGCTATTGTGAATACTGCTGCCACGAACATACATGTACATGTATCTTTGTAACAGAATGATTTATATTCCTTTGTGTATATATCCAGCAAGGGGATTGCTGGGTCAAATGGTAATTCTGGTTCTAGATCTTTGAGGAATTGCCACACTCTTTTCCACAATGGGGACCTGAAGTTTTCAATATAAGCCTAGGATTTTTAGGTTTGAGAAGATAGTCTGGGTGAAAAATAGACAAAATAAAGAATATGGGTTTTAAAGTTTTCTTTGGAGGGAGTCAAAGATTTTTTCCTGTGCCAAGGACTAGGGAATGCTTTTGTAGCTTCTTGTTTTCCTTTGAGACGGGTATCTCCCTGTAAGACAGGCAGGCTGGTTGCTGTGGTCTGAGTGTTTTTGTCTCCCTAAAATACAGATGCTGAAGCCTGATTCCCAATGCAATAGTATTAAGAGTTGGTGCCTTTAGGAAATAATTACATCATGAGGATGGGGCCCACATGAATGGAATTAATGCCCTTTCAAAAAAGAGGCCCAAGGGAGCTTATTTGCCCTTCTACCATGTTTAGGACCCTCTATCCTGTAGCACCATGACCTTGGACTCTACAGCCTCCAGAACTGTGGGAAATAAATCTCTACTATTTACAAGCCACCCAGTTTATGATATTTTGTTATAGCAGGCCAAAACAGTGGTGAAGATCAGGCACCCTGGAATCGTCCAGAACTGGGTTCAAATTCTGCCTGACTCTTGCCAGGTATGTAAACTTGGCAAGTTACTTAGCTTCTCTGAGCCTCAGCTTTTCTCATGCATAAAGTACAGATCATAAGAGGTACCATCTCAAAGGGCAGTTGTGAAGAGTAACTGAGATGACATGTAAAGTGTTTGGCACATTATTTTTATTACTAGAATAATTATTATTGAAAAAATAATCGCCATTAGAAAAATATTACAACTATTATTGTTTAAAATAGTTTTTTTACATGCAGGGTCTTACTCTGTTGCCCAGGCTACAGTGGTGATTATACAGCTGTAGTGCAGTGGTGTGATCATAGCTCACTGCAGCCTTGGACTCCTGGGCTCAAGTAATCCTCCCACCTCAGCCTCCTGAGTAGCTGGGACTACAAGTGTGAACCTCCATGCCCAGCTATTTTTTTTGTTTGTTTGTTTTTCATAGAGACAGGGTACTGCTACGTTGCCCAGGATGGTCTTGAATGCCTGGCTTAAGTGCTCCTTCCACCTTGGCATCCCAAAGTACTGAGATTACAGGCACGAGCCACTGTGCCTGGCCCTGTTATTGCTATGACTGTAGCCATTTGGGAGGTGATGAAACTGAGACTTAGATTAAGTGACTTGCCCAATGCCTCAGGGCAATGTTCCCTGACTCCTAAGCCTTTTCACTCAGCGCATTCCCCTCACTTAAGCACACCCCAGCCCCTTTCCTGGCCCATCTGGTCACAATGGCAGCTCTAATGAAGCAACCGGGGCAGCTGCCAGCCTGAGAAGAGGGACTGGGCAGCCCTCTGGCCGGGCATCATTTAATCAGATGACCTCCAAAGCGAGCTTTTCCGGCTGACCATCCGGCCTCCAGAAGAACGGCATTAAGGAGTTAATGAGGCTTGGCCAAGGCGATGGGCCATCTGTTCTTAATTATCCAAAGTGCACGAGGCCAAGGGCAGGCTGACGTGGGGGCGGCCGGGCACTGCCTGCGTGGTCGAGCTGGCTGCCCCCTCAGCCGCCTGCCTTTGTGCCTCCAGCCTCCTTGGCTCCCTGAGTGCCTCACTTTGCCTTCTCCCCTGTTTCTCCCACCTCTGAGGCCGAGTAGCAGAAGTCAGAAGCTGGTGTCCAAGAGCCCCAAGTGAGCAGAGGCAGAGATGGGAGCAGGAGACGTGGGGTTAAGGTCCAATTCTCCAGACACAGAGCCCAAGACAGGGATTCGGGGGCAAGCAGTTTATCCGGGGAGTGTTTTCAGGAGAAAGGGGAAGGAGGAGCTGAGCAAGGATGGGGAGAAGCTTCACACTGGTCCCTTGGGGAGTTCTGGGCTCAAATGTAGCACAGAGATAGCCCCACCTTGATGTGAGGAATGAAGCAGTTCTCTAGAGGGGGGCCATAATCAGATGCCAGTTGCTCTTGGCCGTCACGGGGAGCAGCTGGGGAGGGACGTGGCCACCAGAAAAGAAATTTCAGTGGGGCACCAAGAGGAGGGTGGGGAGGCAGCAAGCAGAATGTTGAACAGGAATCCTCTTTGGAAACTAACCAACCCTGTTCCTACTTTTTTTTTTTTTTCTTTTTTTCCTGGCAGGAAGCATGGTTATGTCCCCTGAAGCCCTGGTCCACATGAAGCTCTTCCTGCTTTTCTTCAGAGGAAGATGCAGGAGCTGGTTAATGGAATGGATTTTGCATTCAGACGTAGGTTTGAAGCTTGGCTCTTCCACCTAGTAGCTGGCTGATCTTGGGAAGAATTCCTGACCTTTCTGAGCCTCATTCTGCTTGTCTGTAAAATGGGAATAATAGTACTCCCTACCTTTTGGAGCTTTCTGGGAAAGATTTATGAGCTGGTGCACATAAAGTCTCTGAACAGAGCCTAGTACTTAATGTTTAATTACGGTGGTGGTGGGCGGGGGGAGGGTGATAATGGTCTTTCTTCCTGCCTCTTTCTTCCTCTTCTTCCTCCTTCTCCTCTTCATCCTTCCTTCTCCATCTTTCTCCTGTCTCTTCTTCCATCTTCTTTCCTCTTCCCCTTTTTCTTTCATCCTTCTTTTTGTCTGTCCTCCTCTTCTTCCTATTTCTGTTGTTGGTAATGTTATTGCGATCCCCTAGCAAACTAATGGACTTGGTTTGGAGTGAGGCATACTTCAACTTGGGGGAAGACCTCAAATCTATTTCCGGGTTGATGCTGTGCTATTTCTGAGACAATCATAGAAAAGCCCATGTTTGTGTGAGTCGTGTGTGTGGGAATCTTCCCAACAGGCATTCCTGGCTTTCTCCTGGGATTTAAAAACAAGCATCATAGTGGAGTAGAAAACATGAAGTTGGGCAGCACAGAATTCATGTATGAGCTCTGCCTCCTACAGGCTGTATGGCCTTGTGCAAGCTGCTCATCCCCTCTGAGACTTAGATTTCTTATCCTTAAAATATTCAAGTTGCAATGATGTTGGAAAGATTAAATGTGGTGATACTGTGGGCCTAGCCCATGTGCACTACGGGGATTCACAGTCTGGACTTGTCTGGTGTCCTGGCCCAAAGTAGGTGCTTGAAAATTAGTTTCTTTTTTTCACGTTGCATGCCGGGGGATTTGGACTAGAATTGGGATCAGTCACTTCTGGTTTGGATCCTGGAACATTTTGTTTGTCTCTTGTCCTGGTTAGCCCATGACACAAAGGGTCATGGAGTCAGAGTCTTTATTATGATGCTCCTGACCAAGAATCTGGCAGCTCCAGGCTGCTGTGTATTCAGGAATCACAAAGACTTGGGTTCAAAGGCTTGCTCTGCCACTTTTTGAGCTGTTTCTTTCATCTTTCAGATCCTGTGTCTTTATCTGTAAAATGAAGTCATTAGTATATTCCTGTCTGCATCATTGTGCAGATTAAATTAGATGATGTATTTGAGCCCAGTGTCTAGGCTGTGGTGAAAGGAGAACTTACAGCAAACCATGTCATTAATGAGATGGAGGGAGAACCATATCTGTGTGGCTGTCTGCCAAAGACGCCCAGATCTAGAAAAAAAAAAGTGATTCTAAAGAGTTAATTCAACAGGCAGAGCGGCCCTGGCCACCTCTGTTCTATGCTCCAGGCTGGATTCATTTGCACCCTCATATCTTGGCTCAGGGTCCAGCTGCCTGGCGCATGCTGGGGGGTGTGAAGATGAGCCTAATTATGAGGGAGTGTGTGTTGCATGTCCCTGTGATCATGGCAGGGTTTGATGCCAGGGGTCTCTGTGGTCTGACAAAGATGGTGTTTGGAGATGAATGTCGGATTTGTATGTAGAGTGCTGGGGAACTCGGCCAGCTTTGCAGCTTGATTGTAAATTCACTGGAGAGCTCCTAGCTCCTGTTCTGAAAAAGGACTCCTTCCCCTTTGTCACAGGAGCTGAGGTTGTCATTAATGCTTTTTATCAAATATTTCCAACTTTCTGACTTCCAGTCCTCTGGTAGGATTATATTTTCCCACCTACTTTAAAGGTAGATGTGGACATGTGAATTGCTAAGTCAACCCTCATGGACATGAAGCATGAATGAGAAAGCCATGTTTGTTACTTCCCATTGAGATTTTGGGCTTGTTACATCAGCATAACTGAGGTACCCTGACTGATACACAGGATGGATGAATGGATACAAAAATCTGCAAGGGCAGGGAGTCTGCCTGATGTCGTTCCTACCTTATTCCCAGGGCCTAGCATGGTACCTGGCACATATAAGCAGTGGATAAATCCTTGTTGGGGAAGGAAAGGAGGACCTTGGAACCACCAGCCCTTAGTTTGATCCTGATCTTGCAACTCATCAGCTGTGCGAACTTTGGAAATTCACTTAACCTTTTAATCCTCACTTTTCTCATGCATGGAATAGGAATACCATTCCCCGAAATGTTACTGTAGGATTTATTCTCATAATGCAGAAGCTTCTGATGTATAGCAGGCACCCACTACATAATGGCTAACAAAATCTTTTGCTTTGATAAAAGATAGCAGGCATGAAGGGGAGGGACTGGGCCTATGTAAGTACTTTTTTCTGCAAGGAGGATTAGGGTAGGAAGGAAGTTGTAGGTGGCATTGATGTGGGAAGGGGACCTTAATTATGAGTGGTCCCCAAAGCAAGGAGGTGGGGAAGGCAGAGATAAATAAAGCAAGTAGTTGTCAGATATCTCTTTTCTCAGTCCAAGAGAGCTAATTCAAATGGCACAAAACATCCCCAAATATTTGAGCAGAAGCCATAGCTAGTACGCTTTTAATTACCCTGCCAATAAAGATTCCTGGGCAGAACGGTCTTCCATGCACAGTAATGTTTTGCAATGTTTTTAGTAATTGGGTTAAGATAATTTATTAGAGTACCGACTGGATGTGTTTCAATAATTGCTAAGACTAGAATATTAGCCTTTCCTCCCTGAATGCAAATCACTCCCCAATGGGCCAAAGCATTGGAGAATATTGTTCTAAATATGCAAATCACTTTGAGACAAATTCCGAGTGCTGACCATAGCTCTATGTGAGCATTTATTTTAAATTGCACTTGGAAGCTCCCTGAACTTTGAGTCCCATGTTGGGGGCTTGTTTTGTTGGCGAGGTCACAGGCTGTGGTCGATTGACCTCCTACTGTTTTTATTAAAATTAAAGGAAATCTGCATGCAGATGGGAGGTAAGGAGGGTCAGCAAGGGCCCCACCGAGGTCGCTGGCAGCATTAGAGACACAGCTAATGGCTAAAACAGATTTTCCCTCATGTCTATTTTTCTACTGAGCTTGTTGGGAGGAAAACAATCTAACCCTATTTAAGAAAAAAATAATCAGAAATATTAACAGAGGATTTGAGAGGATGAGAGAGTCTTGCCAGAGGGGAGGGAGCATGTTTGCAATCAAGATTTAAAGGTAATAAGCTTCCTAAGGTTAATTTGGTTTATCTGGAATGAACACAGCACATCAGGAGAAAAAAACTCACTTAATAGAAGCTTTGCATTGTCAGGAAATAATAGTAGTGGAAGTTGCATGTATGGGCTGCTTACAGTACCAGATAGGGTCCGAAGCACATTACATGTATCTAACCCATTTAATCCTCCCAACAACCCAGTGAGTGGATATATTGTTATCTCCATGAAGAACTCGAGTCTTGAAGAAATGACAACGTTGGTTGGCTAAGGTCTTTCTTCTTATAAGTGGTTTGAACCAAGAATGCAGAATTCCAAGCTCCTGAATTGGACCACAGGGCTAGATTGCAGCTACCATGTACTAAACGGTCATTGTGGTTTTTGTAACAAGCTAGGTCCATTACATGCGCTAGTCCATTGGACTGTTTAAGTGCTTATTAAGGTGTGTTACTAGGAACAGGGTCTGTAGATCTCTGATTCATGGGGCAGTTGATGTTGGTAAGAGGAACAACAGTGACTGAGGTAGAGGGGAAGGGCATAGTGGGTGTGAGGCAGGGATTTTTTTTTTTTAAAAGATTGCAGGTGCAGAAAAATATGCACCATCCTTAACTTCCTTATTCATAAAATGGAGAATAATAATGATACTGGCTTCAAAGGTACTCAGTGCCATGGCCGATACACAATAAATGCTTAAATATCCAGTCTTAATATCTCTTTATGAAATGATAACTAGGATTTTCTTAGTTTTTTAGAGATAAAAAGAGCAATAATTGGTCACCACCAATTATTGGAAGTAGTACTGTTTGGAAGTACTTCATACTACATCTCCAAAGAGTAAATAAGGCTTTATGAATATATTCCTAACACAGGAAAAGAATTAAGGTACCATATTGAGCTATTGACCTGTAAGGAAGAAATGAGAGCCCCCATATCTCTGTGTTAATTGCAAAGTAACCAGAATCTGGCCTTTGTTCTTCCACTTCTAGATCTCTTGGGGCTGCCTGTAGGTGGATATGTTCATGGAAGACGGTGAAAAAGACAAGAATAGGATTTGCTGTATAGAATCACTATAGTCACCATCACACTGAGTATCAACAACATCTCTTGTTATCCTCACAACTGTGCAAAACAGGTAAGGAGGAGAGTATGACACCGTATTAGTCCATTCTCACACAGCTATAAAAAATACCTGAGACTAGGTAATTTATAAAGAAAAGAGGTTTAATTGGCTCACAGTTCCACAGGCTGTACAGGAAGCATGATGCTGGCATCTGCTTAGCTTCTGGGAAGTCCTCAGGAAACTTACAGTCATGGTGGAAGACAAAGGGGGAGTAAGCACCTCACATGGCCAGAGCAAGAGGAAGAGAGAGAGTGGGGAGGTTTTGCACACTTTTCAAACAACTAGATCTCATGAGAACTCGCTATCTCAATGACAGCACCAAAGGGGAAGGTGTTAAACCATGAGAAACTGCCCCCATGATCCAGTCACCTCCCACCAGTCCCTACCTCCAATATTGGGAATTATAATTTGATAAGAGATTTGCAGGGGAACAGGTCCAAACCATACCAGATAGCCAGTGTACAGGTGAATAATGAGGTTTAAAGAGGAAAAGGGACTTCCTCGTGACCACAGAGTGACTGACTGGTGGAGCAGAGGCTCGAACATAAGTCTTCTAGCTTTGGATCCCTTCAGCTTTTTTCATTCTCTCCGAGATTCCAGGTGGAGGGTAGTAGGTCCTGAATTGGTATTACTTTAATGACAACTGCAATTTTGCACCAAGCTAATAGCCTTGGAATTGTCACCATCGCCATGGGGCTCTTCGCCAAGATAGCCACCACAACCATTCCCAGGGTCACCACCATCACAGTCAAGGTAGTTTTTACAAAGTGTCTTTCTCCAAATAAGTCTTCACATTAGTTGAGAAGCTGTTTGCTAATCTCATCAGTATCCCCAAGTAAAGAAGGATAGTCTACATTATAAGAGGCAGTTACACCTTCCTCCAAAGTTTCCTAATGGATAATAAAATATGAAGAGTACATTCTTTGCTATGTAATTAATGGAAATTTACCATTTTTAAGCTTCCTTTGGGAAATTTTCCATGTCAAATGAATTTGTCGATGGGACCCGAGAGAGAGGCTATCACAACTGTTCCAATGTGTACCTCTTCATCAGGCGGCTGCTGGAGGTTAAATTTTCAGTCACGTCTTCTGATGGCTTTGATCTCTGATGACAGTGTTAACTCTATTCACTCCTTGGTATCACTCTGGTATTTTAAAATGGTCTTTTAAGATAGCCTTGCTAATTATTTTGCTGGAAGTTTAATTAAATCTTGTCACAGAGGAATATGCTATCTTGGGGAATGGCTGCTAAACATAAGTCAAATTGCTAAAAAAAAAAAAAAAAAAAAGAAGGCAGAGGAGACAAATAGGAATACAAAGAATGGTGGAGAAGATAGATTTCCATACTAAAAAAATGCAGGATTTTCTCAAGTTCAAATTCTTTTGTTTGAACCATGTTCAACTTTGAGAGGATTCTAAGTAGTCTTTAATTTTATGTTTATAAAAAAACAAATGTATTGAAAGAAAGCAATTGATGTTTTTCTTTAGTTCTGCTCTGGAACCATAAAGATAAATAGATGAGGTCACTGTTTTCAAGGGGCTCATGGTTGTCTCTGTGTGTGTCTGTGTGTCTGTGTCTGTGTGTATGTAGGGGATGGGAGGTTCAGAGAGAGACATGTTATATATAGAAGGCTAGATGTCTTAGAATATTCATTATGGTGTTGTTTGTAACAGCAAATTTCTGAAACAACCTTTTTGAAAGAAGTAGACTCAAGTAGGAGGAGTATGATATGAAATGATCTCCAACATATGTTTAAGATAAAAAAACAAAGTGCCAACCAGTATACAAAAGGGGTTGGCAAACTTTTTCTTAAAAGACCAGATAGTAAGAGGCTTTGTGGTCTGTATGGTTTCTTTTCTCGTGTGTGAAAGCAACGATGGACGACACACAAAGGAATTCATATGGCTGTGTTCCAATAAAACTTCATACATATTGAACTTGGAATTTCAAAAGTTGTTCATATGTCACCAAATACTCTTCTTCTTTTGTTCCCCCTCCCCTCAATCATCTGAAAATGTAAAAATCATTCTCGGCTTGCTAGCCATACCAAAAAATAATTAAATGAAAGCAGGGTCTCAAAGGGATTATTTTTACATCGACTTCCGTGGCAACCTTATTCACAATAGCTAAAATGTGAGAGCATCCACTGATGGATGAATAAGCAAGATGTGCTACGTACGTATGTATAATAGGCTATTGTTCAGCCTTAGGAAATCCTGACATACATTACAACATGGATGAATTTTGAGGATATTATGCCATGTGAAACAAGCGAGTCACAAAAGACAAACACTGTACGATTCTATTTGTATGAGGTACTTATATTCAAATTCATAGAGACAATAGAATGGTGGTTGTTGGGCTTGAGGGAAGGGGAAAATGGGGAGTTGTTTAATGGGTATGGAGTTTCAGTTTTACAAGAGGAAAAGAATTGCAGAGTTGGATGGTGGTGATGGTTGTACAACATTATGAGTGTGTTTAAAGACACTGAACTGTACACTTAAAATGACTTAGATGGTAAATTTTATGTTGTGTGTGTGTGTGTGTTTTTTTTTCCCAAGATGGAGTCCTGCTCTGTCACCCGGGCTGGAGTACAGTGGCATGATCTCACGTCACTGCAACCTCTGCTTCCCGGGTTCAAGCAATTCTCCTGCCTCAGCCTCCCAAGTACCTGGGATTACAGGGTGCACAGCACTATGCCTGGCTAATTTTTGTATTTTTAGTAGAGATGGGGTTTCACCATGTTGGCCAGGCTGGTCTCCAACTGTTGACCTCGTGATCCACCTGCCTCGGCCTCCCAAAGTGCTGGGTTTACAGCCTGAGCCACCATGCCCAGCCTGTTATGTGTATTTCAACACAATTTAAAAAAATTGTAAAACACACTAAAATAACAACAACAAAAAATAGGAGGCAGGCTGGACTTGGACTGTGGGGCATAGTTTGGAAACCCATGGTGTAGAACATGGACCATTTGTGTACAAATACACACAAACACACACATATGTACAAACTGTACACACAACAAATATGATAGGTTTAATGTTTTTGAAATACCTCTTGGTGATTAATTACTCCCTTAACAGCCAGTTTCTTTCTTCTCGGCACTCCTTGTGTTACAAAAGCTAAGCCATGAGACATTGCCCTAGGGAAGGAGAGGACGCTATGGAATGGAACAAAGCTCATCATTCAATGTTGAGTTTCAAAGATGACTTATTTTTTTTTCTCCAGGAAATGGCAAGACAATTATCTTTAAAGCCAAACTTTATTACAAGATAAATGCTTCTGCATTTGTTTGCCCTTTCTAAATTCCAAAAGGCCTTTTCGCATACCAATGTGCAAGCCTGGCCAACTTAGACCATAGAGTTTCATGACAGATCCTCCTCATGCCCCAGCTCCTGGAGGCGCTAGAGGAAGTGCTGAGTGGCAAGAGGAAGGCTCTTTGGTCCTCAGAGAGGACCTGAAGTCAAAAGAAACAAATGCTGGCCAGGTGAGGTGGCTCACGCCTGTAATCCCAGCACTTTGGGAGGCTGAGGCGGGTGGATCTCCTGAGGTCAAGAGTTTGAGACCAGTCTAGCCAACACAGTGAGACCCCATATCTACTAAATATACAAAAATTAGCCGGGCATGGTTGTGCATGCCTGTAGTCTCAGCTACTCAGGAGGCTGAGACAGGAGAATCACTTGAACCTGGGAGGCAAAGGTTGCAGTGAGCCAAAATCACACCACTGCACTCCAGTCTGGGTGACAGAGTGAGACTCTGTCTTGAAAAAAGAAAAATGCTGAAATATACGTGTCTTGACTGCCCTCTCTAAGACGATACGCTAGAAGTGATGTACAAAACTGGAAGCTAAGTCTTGAGGCCTTTCAGAGCACGGTTGGGCACTTTCTTCATTTTCTGTGGTACAAAGTGAATATTTTCACTTCCCCATCCTTTAGGAAACCCCCTTCAGTTTTGCGAAGGAATGCGGGTGGACGGGTTCCCTGCAGCCTGGATCCCTGCAGAGTGATGTGGAGATTCTGAGAGAACCCATGGACTGCCACTGGGGTCAGAGCAAGGACTCTGTAGATAGGGACTTTGTAACACGAGGAGAGTGGCCAGAATCACAGAATTCAACAAGTCCTCCTCCTGTGATACCCCAAACATTGAGAGACAGCAGCGATGGGCCAGTCTGCCTGTACTGTTGAAAAAACCAGAGAAGTCCCAAGATGTGTCTGGTAGACTTGAGGCCTCCTTCTAATCCAAAGACACACACACATTTTCTTATACCCGTGTGACATTGTGTGGAAGAAACAGCCCTGGTACGGAGTTTAAATCTTTGGGATGATTGAATATTTATCTTAAAGAGTCTGTACTAACTGAAGGCCGTTTTAAACTTCCTGAGATGACGATATCAAAACTGGCATGTTTAGTGTTTTTCATACTACCTAGCAGAATGGTGCTTGCAGCAAGATGAAATCGGGGAAAATAAAGTTTGCTGCCTTTTTTTTTTTTTACTTGCAAATTGTACAGGATGAAGCTTGAGCCTGCAATGTGTAATGCTTACACATGCATACCACACCTCTGGAAGTTTAAGGAAGGGACATGATTGCTTTTCCATTCTGCAGAGGTATCCTGCCCCCGGGGCAGGGGGGGGTGGTGGTCAGGAGGTGAGGAAGGGATTTACTGTTTACTGCTTGGTGTTCCACTTAGAGACGATTGCTGTAGCCCAAACAAGAGGTGGTGATCTTTTCCATAATGATTTGAAGCTTGGAATTGATTCTGTGTGAAACAGGGAATCAGTGATGGTTTAAATAAGCAGAGCAACATCCTGGTTAGATTTGTCTCTTCAGTTACATTGCTTGGCACTAGTCTACAAAAAAGGAAGGCCATGGATAGGACTGGAGGCAGGAAGGCTTTCTTGGAGACTGTTGAAATAATGCAGGAGAGACAAGGTGAGGGTTGGGACTGGGTTGGTGACAGTGGCATCAATGGGAGATAATTAAGAATAAGCTCAGATCCACACAGAAGACAAAGAACAGTCAAAGAAATAGAGGGCATCTTAGAAACGATACACAGAGAAACTCCTAGAATGAAGGGAGCAAAAGTGATCCTGGTGCAGTGCCCATCTCGTACAGTGAAAATAGTTTTGTGTCCGGAATTGGTTCCTTCTGGTGGGTTCTTGGTCTCGCTCACTTAAAGGATGAAGCCGCTGACCCTCACAGTGAGTGTTACAGTTCTTAAAGATGGTGGGTCCGGGGTTTGTTCCTTCAGATGTTCAGATGTATCCAGAGTTTCTTCCTTCTGGTGAGTTCGTGGTCTCACTGACTTCAAGAGGAAAGCTGCAGAACTTCTCAGCGAGTGTTACAGCTCATAAACGTAGTGCAGACCCAACTAGTGAGCAGCAACAATATTTATCGCAAAACAGAAAAGAACTACCTTCCACAGCCTACTGCCGCGGATGGCTCGTGTGGCCTGCTTTTATTCCCTTATTTGGCCCCACCCATATCTTGCTGATTGGTCCATTTTACAGAGTGCTGATTGGTCTGTTTTACAGAGTGCTGATTGGTCCGTTTTGACAGAGTGCTGATTGGTCCGTTTTGACAGAGTGCTGATTGGTGCATTTACAATCCTTTAGCCAGACATAAAAGTTCTCCAAGTCCCCACCTAACCCACAAGCCCAGCTGGCTTCACCTCTCAGCTTCAGTGTTGACTGCATCTCTTAAAACTGCTGAAAGGGCTCATGCACAGGATTATGTATAACTAAATTAATCAATCTCTCCCCTCCCTCACTTTCTTTGCCTCCCTCTCCCTTCTTTCTTTGCTATCATCTATCTTCCCTCTCTCCCTTTTCCAGCTCCTTTAGCCTGCTGGGCAGTGAGTCCAATTCCTTATTAGTTTCTTCCAAATCTCCCTCCTTCTGACTTTTCTCATAAACTTAGCTGTGGGCAGCTCTTGTGTTCCATGTCCCCTTACTGTATCCTTTTAAATATTTCTTTAATCTGTCAGAGAAGCTCCCTGACCTTTCCAGGGTAAGTCATTCTAGCCTTTCTGTCACTTTTCCCTGCTTCAGCTCTGTCCAGCTCAGTGATATGGTGAAGAGGTAGAGTCTTGTTCCCTGGGTTTGTACCTTGGCTCCACAACTAACCAGTTAAGTGACACAGGCAAGAATAGTCACTCTAAACCTCCATGTCCTCACGTGTGAAAGTGTTACCGGAAAGAGGTCCTGATCCAAACCCCAAGAGAGGGTTCTTGGATCTCGTGCAAGACAGAATTCAGGGCAAGTCCCTAGAGTAAGGGGAAAGCAAGTTTATCGAGAAAGTACAGGAATAAAAGAATGGCTACTCCATAGAGCAGCCCCAAGGGCTGCTGGTTGCCTATTTTTATGGTTATTTCTTGATTATGTGCTAAACAAGGGGTGAATTTTTCATGCCACCCCTTTTTACACCATATAGGGTAACTTCCTGACGTTACCATGATATTTGTAAACTGTCACGGGCTGCTGGGAGCGTAGCAGTGAGGACAACCAGATGTCACTCCCTTGCCATCTTGGTTTGGTGGGCTTTGGCCGGCTTCTTTACTGCAACCTGTTTTTTCAGCAAGGTCTTTATGACCTGTATCTTGTGCCAACCTCCTATCTCATCCCGTGACTTAGAATGCCTTAACTGTCTGGGAATGCAGCCCGGTGGACCTCAGCCTCATTTTAGCCAGCTCCTATTCAAGATGGAGTTGCTCTGGTTCAAATGTCAAAAGAAGAATAATGCTGGTACCTTTTTTCACTGGGTTGTTGTGAGGCTTACAAAGCTCAGCACAGGGCTTGCTATAAGCGCTGATGAAATATTAGCATAATAATAATTACCAATACTGTTCTCATTAACACAGGAAATGCTCAGATTTGATCAGCAGCTGCTTGAGCACAAAGAAACAAAAGGCAAAACCCCCAAAGCGGAATCAAACAAAAACAACCCCCAAACAGAATGAACCAAAAACCCTTTTAGAGTGTGGAAAAGGGAAAGGTTGTGAGTACTCATTCATTCATGTGTATGTGGAGTTTTTTTCATTTAAAAAATATCCCCATGACTCATTCCCTGTATTAGGCGTCAATTGCTGTGGTAACAAAGGACCTCAACACTTAGCAGTTTTTTTTTTTTTTTGAGACAGAGTCTCGCTCTGTCGCCCAGGCTGGAGTGCAGTGGCGCGATCTCGGCTCACTGCGAGCTCTGCCTCCCGGGTTCATGCCATTCTCCTGCCTCAGCCTCCCGAGTAGCTGGGACTACAGGTGCCCACCACCATGCCTGGCTAATTTTTTGTATTTTTAGTAGAGACGGGGTTTCACCGTGTTAGCCAGGATGGTCTCCATCTCCTGACCTCGTGATCCGCCCGTCTCGGCCTCCCAAAGTGCTGGGATTACAGGCGTGAGCCACCACGCCCGGCCTACTTAGCAGTTTTTAAAGACACAGTGTCTGTGGGTGGAGGATCTGGGAATAGCTTGGCTGGGTCCTGTGCTTGAGGGCCTCTCACTGGCTTCATCAAGGTGTCACCTGGGGCCTTAATCGTCTTCAGGTTCAACTAGGACAGTATCTGTTCCCAAGCCCACTCTGCTTTTTGGTAGGATTTAGTTCATGAGATGTCAGCATGAGGGCCTCAGTTTCTTGGTGGCTGTTAGCCCGAGGCTGCTCTCAACTCCTTGCAATGTGGTTCTCACCATGAGACAGCAAGCACGAGTAGAGCTAGAGACAGAATAATAGGATGGAAATCAGTCTTTTGTAATCCAATGCCTTGGATTAAAGTTTATGGCCCCTCAAAATTCCTATGTTCAAATCAATGCCCAAGACGATGGTACTAGGAGGTAGGGCCTTTGAGAGGTGATTAGTTAATGAGGACAGGGCCCTCATGAATGGGATTAGTGCCCTTTTAAAAGGGACCCCAGGGAAGTTCCTAGCCTCTTCTGTCTCCTGAGGATGCAGTGAAAAGACGCCCATTGGTGAACTAGGAAGTGAGTTCTCATCAGACGCTGAATCTGCCAGTATCATCTTGATTGTAGACTTACTGTGAGCTGAGAAAGAACTATTTCTGTTGTTTATAAGCCACCCAGTCTCTGGTATTCTGTTATAGCAGTCTACATGGACTAAGACACCGAATACCAGAAATGACATCCCTTTAGCCATATTCTGTTTGTTAGAAGTGAGTCACTTGGTCTGGCCCACATGCAAGGGGAGGGGATTTCACAAGGGCAAGACTACCAGGGGGTGGGGGTCCTTGGAGGCCATGTCAGAAGCTGCTCGCTACTCTCTCCCAATTCTTCTTCCCATGTCCTTTTTTTTTTTTTTTTTTTTTTTGAGACCAAGTCTCACTGTCACCTAGGCTGGAGTGCAGTGGCACAATCTTGGCTCACTGCAACATCCAACATCCACCTCCGGGGTTCAAGCAATTCTCCTGCCTCAGCCTCCCAAGTAGCTGGGATTATAGGTGCACATCACCACACCTGGCTAATTTTTGTATTTTTAGTAGAGACGGAGTTTCACCATGTTGGCCAGGCTGGTCTCGAACTCCTGACCTCAGGTGATGTGCTCGCCTTGGCCTCCCAAAGTGCTGGGATTACAGGCGTGAGCCACCGTGCCCAGCTCCATGTCCCATTCTTTAATCTCAGCTGTCTTCTAGGAGTGCATCCTACTGCACCATGGATTTCATTCTGCCTGATCACTAACTGGAAATTACCATCAGATTCCAGGACCTTCTGCATCATGATTCTCCCAGGTGCCTAAAGGGAACCTGTCTCTGTCAGTTTAAATCAAACCTGCTGGAGGTCAGAACAATAGATGTCCCTCTGTAGAGCAAGGCAGGAGACCTTCATGCTGTTGTGATTGCTTGGTGTTCTGACTTCCTGTTCTGAAAGAACAGAGAGAATTGACATTGAGGCAGCCAGTGGAAGGACCATTTGCTTGTTTCTGGAATATCTCACAGTGAAATTTTCCTCTTCCACAAAGATCATGGATAGACGAATGGGATTATGGTGAGAGACATTGATCGTGGTGAATATGTATTAATTACCTGCTATCATTATTGGTTATTACCATAGTATTATGAGATTGCTGGGGAGAAGAGAAATGGGCTTGTCTTTTCTGAAATTAGACCCATTTATTTCCCATTGGGACTGCTGCTTTCGGATTTTCCAATGAATCCATGAAAAGAGGGACTAAGTGGATATTTAGAACTGAGGCTAAAGCAGGGGCTGTCCAGAGGTGCCCCTCACTCTTCCAGTCATGTAATAATAGAACTTAGATATGGTTTGGGAGACCCAAAAGGAAAGAGTTATAAACCAAAGCAATGACAGGCCAGAACTTCTTGTTTTGTGATATTTTCCACATGGCCACAAAATGGCTGCTGCATTCCTTAAATCACATCTACATTCAAGTCAGGAAGAAGGAAGCAGAAATGGCATCAGCTGCACTGTTCGTTTTATCAGTAGAGTAAAAATGTTTTCCAGAATCACTCTCCTAACGCTCCATCCCCAACGACAATGACACACACAGTCATTTAAAGTCTAATGAGCCACACCTGGCTGCAAGGGGCCTCTGAGAAAGTAACTTTTCCCAGCTGCTATAGTGGAAGGTGGCAAGAGAGGGGAATTGAAACAGATATTGGGGAGCCAAATAGCAACGTCTGCCATAGGTATTATTACTCATTGTAATATATTTAAGTCATATAAGTAAACTGATGATTCTGCAATAACTGAGTCAAGATATGAATCCGTGTCTGCCTGTCGCCCATCTTGCTCTATGCAGCGAGTATTTACTGAGTGGCTCCTGCATGTCAGACCCTGTTTTAAAAGAATGAAAATTCCTGTGCCTGAGGTGACATCATAGCACTTGAGGAGGGAGAACGGAGGCCATTTTGCAAAGACTAAATGACATCATGATCAAGTGTTCAGCAAGTACAATGGTCATTTCTTTTTCTTTTTTTTTTTTTCCCCGGAGTCGGAGTCTTGCTCTGTCGCCCAGGCTGGAGTGCAGTGGTGCGATCTAGGCTCACTGCAACCTCTGCCTCCCGGGTTCAAGCAATTCTCCTGCCTCAGTCTCCCAAGTAGCTGGGATTACAGGTGCCCGCCACCATGCCCAACTAATTTTTTTTATTTTTAGTAGAGATGGGGTTTCACCATGTTGGCCAGGCTGGTCTCGAAATCCTGACCTCATGATCCACCTGCCTCAGCCTCTCAAAGTGTTGGGATTACAGGGGTGAGCCACCATGCCCAGCCCATTTCTTTTTTTCTAATTATTTTCTTTTTAAATTTTTAGAGTTTATATTTTTATTTTTAAAAAAGCTCCCTTGAGGTATAATTTACGTATCATAAAATTCACCCATTTTGAATGAACAATTTAATGAATTTTCATAAATTTAGAATTGTGGAACCATCACCAGAACCCAACTTAAGAACAGATTTATCACCCTAACAAGATCGCTTGTGCTTCTTCGTAGTTCTTGCATTTCTCATCACCAGTCCCAAAACCAGTCATCTATTTTCTGTCTCATAGATTTTGTTCTTCTGATATTGTGAAATTACATAACATGTGGTCTCTGGCATTGGGCATCTTTCACTTAGCATGTTTTCGAGGCTCATGTGTGTTATAGCATATTTCAGTGTTCTGTTCCTTGATTTTGCTGAATTGTATTCCACTGTATGTTTATTCTTATTCTTATTATTTATTTATTTATTTATTTTTTTAAGACAGAGTCTCGCTCTGTTGCCCAGGCTGGAGTGCAGTGGCGCGATCTCGGCTCACTGCAACCTCCGCCTCCTGGGCTCAAGTGATTCCCCTGCCTCAGCCTCCCGAGTAGCTGGGACTACAGGTGTGTGCCACCACGCCAGGCTAATTTTTTGTATTTTAGTAGAGATGGGGTTTCACCATGTTGGCCAGGATGGTGTCGATCTCCTAACCTTGTGATCCACCTGCCTCAGCCTCCCAAAATGCTGGGATTATAGGCGTGAGCCACCGCACCCGGCCTGTTTATCATTTTTTTTAACCTATTTTGTTAATTTACTCACCAGTTGATGGACATCTGGGTTGTTTCCAGTTTTGGGTTATTGTGATTAATGCTGCTGTGAGCACTTGCCTAAAAGTCTTTTGTAGGCATATTATTTCATTTATCTTGGGTAGGTACCTAGGAGTGATATTGCTGGGTTCTTTCTACATATGGGAAATTTATGTTTAACATTTTAAGAAACTGCAGAACTATTCTTCTAAAGTGGCTGTACCGTTTTACATTTATAAATAGCAATGTATGGGGTTTCCCATTTCTGACTGCATCTTATTACTGAAGGGAATTTAGAGCAGTAGTTGAGAGGTGGGAGGGCCGGGCGCAGTGGCTCACGCCTGTAATCCCAGCACTTTGGGAGGCCAAGGCGGGTGGATCACCTGAGGTCAGGAGTTCGAGACCAGCCTCAACATGGAGAAAACCCATCTCTACTAAAAATACAAAATTAGCCAGGCGTGGTGGTGCATGCCTGTAATCCCAACTACTCGGGAGGCTGAGGCAGGAGAATTGCTTGAACCTGGGAGGCGGAGGTTGTGGTGAGCCAAGATTGCACCATTGTACTCCAGCCTGAGCAACAGGAGTGAAACTCCGTCTCAAAAAAAAAAAAAAAAAAAGGTGGGAGGATCACTTGAGATCAAGACTTCAAGACCAGCCTGGGCAACAATGCAAGGGGCTAATCTCTATAAAAAGTAAAAATTGAGCCAGGCATGGTGGCTTGTGCCTGTGGTCCCAGCTACTTGGGAGGCTGAGGTAGGAGGATGGTTTGAGCCTAGGAGTTCGAGGCTGCAGTGAGCTATGATCGTGCCACTGAACTCCACCCTGAGTTACAAAGCAAGTCT
Organism: Homo sapiens; assembly: GCF_000001405.40. Taxonomy (NCBI): domain Eukaryota; kingdom Metazoa; phylum Chordata; class Mammalia; order Primates; family Hominidae; genus Homo; species Homo sapiens. The sequence continues at coordinate 17,955,705 of NC_000016.10, read as the reverse complement.
CTATCAAAAATAAATAAATAAATGCATACATACCTAAAGCCCACCTCTGGCTTCATGCAGCCCAGGTTTTGGTCTCTGCTTTGCCTCTTATGACTTCTGTTGTTACTTTGGATAAACTATTTCAGTGTCAGTTTTTTTGGCTTTGTAAAATGGAAACAATAACAGAAATAATACCTACATTGTATGGTGGTTGCAAGGAGTAAATCAGATTATTGGTCCAGTGTCAATCATATAGCAATTTCTGTATCAACTCTTATCACAGTAAGTAAATCTTGTGTGTGTGTGTGTGTGTGTGTGTTCTTTAAATTGTTTTTACCTGTGGTAAGGTAAAAATAATTAATATTTGGGTTCAGTAATCTTATATAACTTTTCCCATTTGGGGGATGCATTGGTACAAGCTTCCAGTTTCAAGAACATAAAAGATGATGGGGTGGTTGGAACCTGTCTAGAAATAACATAAGTGGCTTCATACCTGTTTCTTGCCTCAATTCCTCCAATGCTCCAGCCACATTCTTAGGCTTTTGTCCTGCTTTTCTGACTATAGGGTCAGAGGACCCCTCAGTACTGTGTTCTGTTCCCCGAAGCTGGTTTTTTCAGTTCAGTTTTCTGACTTTTTTTTTCCCCAGGTAGTGACCCAGGAAGCCATCTGCCTTTCATGGCCCCTCTGCATCTTTGACCCAGGCACGACCCTCCCAATCACTCAGGAAGTGCCATTGCACCTGAGTGCCGAAGCCATTTCGGTGCTATATGATAGTTAGAAAGTGATTGTACTGTAGTTCCTGAAACAGAAAATGTGCTCTGCAACTGACAAGAAACAGAGCATCATGCAGCCCAAGTCGTTTGGAATAACTGATCATGGCATGCCACGTGAGCCCATTGAAACACACAGCTTTCAATTAAAGCAAACAAACAAAAATGCCAAGAGAAAAGTCCCAGGAAAATGCAATTTGCAAGTTGTTCGACGTTTGTTTTCAATTTCTACATTATTCCAAATGTCATCTTGTAATGAGGGCACAATTTCCTCTTTCTGTCTCCCACCTCCCTTCCCCTTCCTCCTTTCTTTCCTCCCACTCTCTTTCTCTATTTGCAGGGTTAGGGAAACTGACTTGATGTCCACAGGGATGTCCAACTGATGATGACCCAACTCACTCTGGCTCAGCTAAAAATCCCAGCTAGTCTCCAGCATGAAGACTGTGTCACCCCAAAGCTAAGTAGGGTTACTGGCTCTCTCTTTCTCCCTTTTTAGAGGGTTTCTGCAACTTAGTGAGTCCAAGGCACTCAAATAATCCCATCTTTGGTGCAAACTTAAGAGAGCCAGGGCTTAAGGCAAGCCCCTGAGATGGCCCTGCTTGCAGAGAGACAAAACTGGGCACTGATGTGCTAACCCACTGTGCAGTCTTTATACTGTATCGTCCAGAAGTCTGTATGGCAAGTGTGTTTATAGCATGGGTCCTGTCATTCTCAACTAAACTTTTTGTCAGAATTTTGGAGTTAAAGAACTCCTTTACGTGTTGTTATATGTTGACATCTAAGTTGGGAGGATCCTATGAAAGCTTAAAGGGAAGATTGTGGTACCCAGACTGTGAAAAGCAGGTGAGTACTAACACTCAGACTGTTTCCTAGTTTTTCTCATCTGGAAGATTAACACAGTCCAGAGTCCCAGGCTTGTTTTTGAACTACTCCAACTTAGTAAGTCTAACCTGAGGTTTAGTAATCTGTATTTTATTTTTTTAGATGGAGTCCCACTCTGTCGCCCAGGCTGGAGTGAAGTGGCGCGATCTCTGCTCACTGCAACCTCTGCCTACCGGGTTCAAGCAATTCTAGTGCCTCAGCCTCCCGAGTAGCTGGGACTACAGGCAGGTGCCACAAGGACTGGTTAATTTTTGTATTTTTAGTAGAGACAGGGTTTCACCATGTTAGCCAGGCTGATCTGGAGCTCCTGACCTCAAGTGATCCACCCCACTCGGCCTCCCAAAGTATTGGGATTACAGGCATGAGCCACCACACCTGGCCAGGAATCTGTATTTTAACATATGCATCAGGTCATTCTTATAATTATTCAAGGCTGGGGAATACCATATAGGGCCATGAATTAAAATTCTAGGGTCACTCAATATGCTTGTTAAAAGCAGATTCCTGGGTCCGTGACTAGAGCGTTTCAGTAGGTCTTTCTGTAGACTGAATGTTTATGTTCCTCCCAAAATTTAAATGCTCAAACTTAATCCCCAATGTGATGGTATTAGGAGGTGGGGGCATTTGGGAGGTGATTAGGTCATGAGGGTAGAGCCTTTATGAATGAGATTAGTGGCTTTACAAAAGAGACCTCAGAGAGCTGCCTTGCTCCCTCCACCAGGTGAGGATATAGCCAAAAGACAGCTGTCTGTAAGCCAGGGGACTTCCAGACAGACACTGAATCTGCCACCACCTGGATCTTAGATTTCCCAGCCTCCAGAACTGTGAACAGTGCATTTATGTTTGAGACACCCAGTCTATGGTAAGTTGTTATAATAGCTTGAATGGTCTAAAACCAGTCTTCCTTCTGGGGTCTGCATTTTTAATAAGCTTGCTGTGACTCTATGGTGGGTAGTTGAACATCCCTTTGAGAGACACTTGGCTTGGAGTCTCATTGCTTTCTGTGGTCCATAGACTGGCAACGTCAGCATCACTGGAGGCTTGTTAGAAAGACAGCCTGGAGGCCGGGCGCAGTGGCTCGCACCTGTAATCCCAGCACTTTGGGAGGCCGAGGCGGGTGGATCACGAGGTCAGGAGATCGAGACCATCCTGGCTAACACGGTGAAACCCTGTCTGTACTAAAAAATACAAAAAATTAGCCAGGCGTGGTGGCAGGCACCTGTAGTCCCAGCTACTTGGGAGGCTGAGGCAGGAGAATGGCGTGAACCCAGGAGGCGGAGCTTGCAGTGAGCCGAGATCGGGCCCCTGCACTTTAGCCTGGGTGACAGAGCGAGACTCCATCTCAAAAAAAAAAAAAAAAAGAAAAAAGAAAGACAGCCTGGACCTCTTGAATGAGAATCTGCATAATAACTATAGGTCCAGGTTATTTGTATGCACATCAGATTTGGAAAGTAATATCTTAAAGCAGTGACGCCCCAGAGTGTAGTGTCCAGGACTGCATCTTTGGCCTCACCTAGAAACTTAAAAAAATGCAGATTTTCACGCCCTACCCAGATCTACTGGAATCAAAATCTCTGAAGTGGAAGCCAGTAATCGGGGTTTCAACAAGCCCTCCAGGTAACATACTGATTTATGCTAAAGTTTGAGAACTTCTCTCTTTGTTTTAAACAAGGCTCATTTTTCTTCAGTTGTATTAGTCTTCATCATTGACATTTAAACCTGTGAATACACTGTCCTATTCTCTGAATTACTGTATCAAAGAAGCTCCATTCACTTGCATCTTGCCCCTGAAAGTGTTGGGACTCCATGAATAGGAGATAAAGAATTGAACGTTATTGACTGGCTCTAGCTCAGCAAACTTCTAGCTCAATCAGTTTCTTTCTCATCAAGGGTGGTATCGGAACAGCTGTTTTCTCCCCTTCTAGAGTAATCACTTGTGCAAGAGTGGAAATAGAAAATGACAGTCCTCACAAAGGGTTCTTATAGTAGGTCCCTATTCTGGTGGGGTGCAGTGGGCTTTGTAAATGACTCTAACCCATCCCTACTCCTGAGACTGAATGATCCCCAACAGGTGATGCCACCCCAAAGAGTGGTGCCACTGAGGCCAGAAAGAGAACGGAGATCAATATGGTGTGTGACCTTGTGTAGTTTAACTCACTTCTCTGGGTTTGTGTTTTAAGGTTTATCTCATTTACCAAGAGGTTAATGCTATTGCTTCTCCCATTTTGCAGATTTTTTTTTTTTTTGTAAATTTCAAAGGGACATTTAAATGTGTAAGTACTTTGAATAGTTAAAACTTCTCCACAAATATGCAGAATTATTCGTGTTATGAATGGAATGTGGAGTTGGATGGGAAAAAGAATTAGAGCTGCATGTTTTGAGGAAAGGGAATTTAAGGAAAACATTTCCATTATTCTTTGAACATTGATACAGCTATGCTCTTTCGTAAAGTTAATGCCTGAAGTTAACTCTTAGCTCACTGCCTTAATGTGGGTTTCCTCCAAAGCAGATCTCAGGACAGATACAAGACAGAGAGTATGTCTGGGTGGTAATCCCAGGACATACTTTGCGGGGAGAAGGGTTAGAATGTGAGACAGGGAAGGGAAGGCAGCCAGTAAAGGATGTCACCAAGTACTGCTCTGGGCAACTGGAGTTTAGCCTCGCTGAAGACCTCTGGAAGCATCCTGTTTGTCTTTGTGGGACTTCATTGGTTGGGTGCTGCTTCTGGGCAACACATTTTTTTTTTTTAACTTGAAGTTCTGGGATACATGTGCAGGCTGTGCAGGTTTGTTACATAGGTAACAAACCTATGTAACAATTTGCCATGGTGATTTGCTGCACCTATCAATCTGTCATCTTAGGTTTTTTAAGCCCCGCATGCATTAGGTATTTGTCCTAATGCTCTCCCTCCCCTTGCCCGCCACCACTCAACAGGCTCTGGTATGTGATGTTCCCCTCCCTGTGTCCATGTATTCTCATTGTTCAATTCCAACTTATGATTGAGAACATGCAGTGTTTGGTTTTCTGTTCCTGCGTTAGTTTGCTGAGAATGATGGTTTCCAGCTTCATCCATGTCCCTGTAAAGGACATGAACTCATTCTTTTTTATGGCTGCATAATAGTCCATAGTGTATATGTGCCACATTTTCTTTGTTCAGTCTATCGTTGATGGTCATTTGGGTTTGTTCCAAGTCTTTGCTATTATAAATAGTGCTGCAATAAACATACATGTCCAGGTGTCTTTGTAGCAGAATGATTTATAATCCTTTGGGTATATACTCAGTAATGTGATTGCTGGGCACCATCAATTTACTGGCACTTCTGTTCTGCCTTCTGTGTGAATGGAGGGAGCTCCCATAGCTGAGAGGGCCCTTATGCAGAGAGATGCAAATGCCAGCAATGGGAAGCCAGGCCTACATCAACTTAAGTTCCAAGGCCAGATGTCCGTGGGCAAGGCACACATCTCTGAGTGAAACCCCGTCTCTACTAAAAAATACAAAAAATACAGGTGGCGGGTGCCTGTAGTCCCAGCTACTTGGGAGGCTGAGGCAGGAGGATGGCGTGAATCTGGGAGGCAGAGCTTGCAGTGAGCCGAGATTGTGCCACTGCACTCCAGCCTGGGCAACAGAGTGAGACTCCATCTCAAAAAAAAAAAATATATATATATATATTCTCGATAGGACAGCACAGTCCATCTCTCCCTGCTTTACAGAAGAGGAGACTCCATTTCTGGTAGGTGATGTGACTTATGCAAGAACACAGAGTGTGTTTATGATCGAGCCAAGATGTATGTGCATGTTTAATTTCCAGCTCAGTGTTCTTAACACTCCTTTTTGAGATGTTCAGTGTTTTCTGAAACCTTCAGCTGCGTTTTGGATCTCCAACAGGGACTTGCACATTATTTCCCCAAATATCACTGAGGTCAGCGTCTGCAAATCAGAGTCTCCTGGAAACATTTACAGTGAGATTAGAAAAGGAATTGAACGAGGTTAGGTGGTCTCTGTTGGGCCTGAAAATGTAACATGCAGAGTGGGAAATTAAAACAGGGTCTTTGGGGAGAGAAAAGAGGGAGAGGAAAAACCCGGCTTCTCTTATCTTCCTGTCACATGTGAACTCTGTCATTGGAGCTTCCGTTTTTGATAAGCTCAGTGTGTCTTATCACAGCCTTTGACACATGCATTGATCATTTCTTAAACTGTGCCCACAGAGGCATTTTCCTTCCTCTCTCTGGACAGCTCTCCCTTTGCCTTTCCTTCCCTCCCCCTTTGCCTTTCCTTCCCTCCCCCTTTATTTGTTGACACTGATGTTGCATGCAGAGAAGGTTGCTTTCAAAAATACATCTTTTTAATAACTTGTCTCCTAGGAGAGAGGGGTACATCTATGCTTGGGTGGGTTGCTAAGAAAAATCCTGCACTGCTGTCTAACATCTCCTCCTGTCACGGGGAGCGTTTGACAAAGAAAAATGGGCCGGCCTTGCGTTTGGTGCTGATCCCCGGCACAGTCACTGATTCTGGATTGCAGATTCCAGCGGTGGAAGGCACTGTTAAGACAGCCCAGTTGCAATTTGGGCATTCCACAGAAGTCTTTAAAGCAACACTGATGAGCCAAACAAAAACCCATATTGCAGTTGTTGGTTTTTTTCCCCCCCAAGAAATTAAAAATCCTAGTCAAACACATCCAGCTAGCCGGTGCCTTATCACCAGGCAGGGAGGTAGCTTGAAAAAAAAATTTCCGATTACTCCCAGCTCGTGTGAGAGATTCTGAAAGCAGCACATTACCATTCTATAACAGGAAAGCATACATACAATTCAATTTTATGCACTTCAGGCTTGGGAGTGTTTAGTACTTAGTCTAATTGATCAGGTGGAATGGGAAGGCTCTGGGAGCTAATTATCTTCCACATTGGAAACCCTTTATTGCTTGGATGACCTTTTTGGAAAATCAGGGACAAGTAATGGCCCTTCTCAGATTTTTGCTGGAAGAATACTGTGGCCAAAAACATCAAGAATAAGAGAAATGTCTTTCCATGGAAGCACCAATGATACCATTTGCTGTTTCTGTCTTTTTATGTGGTTACTGCTTAATATCCACAGACCGTTTTATGTTTACCAAGTCATTTTGCATTGTCTATTTAGAGATTTTAAGTATTCCTTTTTTTTTTTTTTTTTTTTGAGATGGAGTCTTGCTCTGTCACCAGGCAGGAGTGCAGTGGCGTGATCTCAGCTGACTACAACTGCCGCCTCCTGGGTTCAAGCAATTCTCCTGCCTCAACCTCCTGAGTAGCTGGGACTACAGGAGCGCACCACCACGTCCAGCTAATTTTTGTATTTTTAGTAAAGATGGGGTTTCACCATGTTGGCCAGGATGATCTTGATCTCTTGACCTCGTGATCTGCCTGCCTCGGCCTCCCAAAGTGCTGGGATTCCTGAGATCTCAGTAGTACGGGGATTGATGCCTCCGTTTTATGGATGAACAGGGAATTTGTCTAATCACACAGCTGGCGGTTGGCTGACTTGTGAATTCAACTCAGGTTGTTCAAATTATTTTGTAGAAAAATCTCAACATTTGTTTTTCTTTAGGGGTGGATATCAATTTTACATTTTACAGGCAACTTTGTTTATGAAAGTCATCAGAATGGGCCTTTGGATATAAGGCCCAGTTGTAAAGAAAATGACTAGTGTTCCTCGAGAAAACCAAGTACAGTCATGGATGGCTGCGCAGGTTGCTCACTGCACAATGGTGACATTGAAGCCCAGCCCTTGCTCTCTTTGCCCAGCCTTGCATCCCAGTGTGGGTGGGGCATCTTCACCCAGAGAAGGGACCACTTTAATTTTAACAGAAGCACCTGCCGAGAGGAGGTGCTGTTTTCTAATTTGCACATGGGTGCCATATGAGCTCTTAGTAATCTTTGTCAATATTAAATGCAGAAGCTACAGCCTGAAATACTCAGAGTTCTATTTAATGATGAAAAATGAGATTATGTTTAGCAGGACTGTGCCTTTGTGGAGTTAGAGGAAACTTGCTACTCTCTCAAATTGGATTTCGGTTGAATGATACCTGAAGCTTACTTGCTTGCGAGAAGTCTGGGTTTCTTTTTCCAAAAGTTTGTTTATAGTTGATCAGGGGAACAGAGTCTTGCTGAGAGGGAAATATAATCAGACCTGATGTCTCCATTTTAGGCTGGAAAAAGGACTTTGAACTTGAGTTAGACTAGTCTTGGCATAGCCCTTAGGGTAGTGAATGAACCATGCTTTTAGAAGTACTCTGTAGATGTTTTGAATGCCTTGTCTGTACCTTGGAGGATGAAGACCATTGTGTGGTTGGAGTGGGGGTGTCTTCTGAAGAAAGGGTCTGTTCCTATGGCCATCCATCCTGATACGGGAAATAAGACCTTGGGCTGAGAGAGGAAGGAACTTCTTTTTACATCTGGGTCTAGGGAGATTAAGGACCTAAATTTTTAGAGTTTCCATTGGAGAGGCAGTAACTCCAGTGACAGCGATGAGTTTCTCTCTGTGAAAAATTTTGAAGTCCCCAACTGTTTGATAAAGGTTTGTTAAATATTATGGTCTGGGATACTTAGACCTGCTTGAAAGGGGGATTAATAGAAGGGTTTCTCTCCAAGCTTGGAGTATAGAGTGGGCACACAGATGATTGCGTAAATATGCTCAAATATATTACTCTAAAGTCTATTCCCAAAGCCCTTTGACCCTTACAAAGGGAATGTCAGACAGAGGCTCTTGCCAAAATCTTCCTCTTAATGTTGACATAGCAGGGAGGCATCATATTGCAGATAAGTAAGTCTGGTTTAAACATTAGTTCTGTAACTTGCAGGTAAGTTATTAGCTTTCTCAGTTGCCTTTTCTGACATAAGCATGTTCATCTTTACTTCAAAGATTTGGGATGAGGCTAATCTTTGAGAAAGGGCCCTTGCACCAGCCACACAGAGGTGCTAAGAAAAACGTTAGCTCCCTCCTTGTTAGAAAAAGAAGCGCTTTCAAGATTAAAAAAAAAAAAAGATTTCTGGGTGTCCCTTTAGTTACTTACACCAAGAAGGCATAATTCTGACTCCATCTAGATCAGGGGCTGACAGACATTTTCTGCAAAGGGCCACAGAGTGCATATTCTCTGCTTTGTGGGCCGTACAGTTTCTGTCATACCAACTCAGCTCTGCCATAGTAGCATGAAAACCCTAGACAACGTATATACAAATTGGGCATGGCTGTGTTTCAACAAGATTATATTTATGAAAACAGGTAGGAGGCTGGTTTGGCCTTTGGGATGTGGTTTGCAGACCTCTGATCTGAACAGTGTTCACTTAAACTCTCTGCGCAGTTATAAGCTTTGTCCACCCTCCTATTCTCCTCTCTGTAAATGGTTTTTGTTTTCTGCCCCTTTTCTCTCTATGGGCAATGCACACAGTCATTTCTCAATAAATGAGGGTGCCGAGGAGACGCCTAATTTTCAAATAAAATGACTGAGAAAACACTGAGAGAACAGAGAGGATCGATGGCTAAGCCCACACACACAGCACAGCAGAAGCAGAGCTGGCATAGCACACCCTCCCCTGTCCCTTCCCCACAGTCCATCTCTTTATTTAACTCACTGACCCATTTTGCCCTCTTGGAAATCAGCTGGATTTGAAATGGCACCTTTAGCATATTTTTACATCTTTTTGCCCTACTTTTCCACGTTCATCCATGGATGGTAGAAAGTTTTCAAATTAAGTGTCACTGTTCAAAGTCAAAAATTAATTAATTAGCCAGTGGCCAGACATGTGCGGTGCCCGGAATGCTTATCAGTCTGCCTCAAAAGCTTTGCTAATTAGAATGAAGTCAGAGTGGAACCAGGCAGATCAAAGAGCCCAATCTCTCTCCCTTAGAACTTCTCTCGCATTGGTCCTGGAATTCTAATCAATTCCACCATTTAAATAAATTCTATGGGCTGGGTCTTGTTTTGTCCAGGGTACAGAGTGAAATTAGGGATTCATCACAAGTGTTTTCAGTTTGCAAATTCCTCCATATGGGGGATATCCTTCAATAGAAAATACCTCAATGCCTCCTTCAAAACACAGGTAGGTGTTTCATGGTTAGGTACTTTATGCAGCTTGCTCAACTTTCCCAACTATGATGACAAACCTGGTTCTTGAAACTTTACTTCCAAAGCTGATTGCTCAGCACCTTCATTTGGACAAGCGTAGGGCTGAGAAAATAGCCTGATAGGTATCTTTTGTAGGTTAATACGATTTTATTTCATCCATCCGTGATAGCACATTTTATAAACAACTTTATTGAGGTGTAGTTTACCTACCACAAGATTCACCCATTTTAAGTGTGCAATTTAATTTTTAGTTAATTTGCTGAGTTATGCAGCCATCACCACAATTCAGCTTTAGAATACGTTCATCACTTCAGTAAAATCCTTCATGCCCATTTACAGTGAATCCCTAATCCATCCTCAGTCCCTGCCAACCACTACCTAGTTGTCGTCTCTCTGTATGAGTCTTTTTGGAGCATTTTATAGAAATGGGATTATATACTATTCGGTCTTTTGTGTTTGGCTTCTTTCACTTAGCATAATGTGTTCGAGGTTCACACATGTGTCAGTATTTCACTCCTTTTTCTTACTAGCTAATAATAATACCATTGTATGGATATACCACATTTTATTTATCCACTCACCGGTGAATGAACATTTGGGTTTTTTCCAGTTTGGGGCTATTATGAGTAAGCTGATATAACCATTTATGTGTGCACATATGTCGTATTTTTAGGAGTGGGAACTGCTGAGTCATAGGTAAATTTGACCTTTTTAAGATACTGCCAAGTTTTTTCCAAAGCAACTGGCCATTTTACATTCCCACCAGCTAAGTATGAGGGCCCATGTTGCTTTACAGCCTCACCAATACAATTGTGGTTGTTACTGCCTTTTTGGTTATAGTCATCCTAGTGAGTGTAAAGAGGTGTATTTTTGTAGTTTTAATTTACATGTCCCTGATGGCTTGACAGCTACTTATTGCATAGAATCATCTACACCAGAGTCTCCCATTGTGTATTTGGAAGAACACTAAGGCCATCAGATGCCTCACAAATAAACAGGTTCTCTGATCTTGTAAATTTAGGAAATAATGCAAATTGTTTCTACCTCTATTCATAGTATATTGTATTGAGAGCTCCAGTCCTGCAATAGAGAAACCTGCCTGAATTTATTTAACTCAGCACTTCCTAGATTTATCTGAAAATGTAAATTTTGTTCCTAGAAGGTAAATATTAAATGTTTTTTGGAAAGTGCCAAATTCTGCCTATTCCTCAGCCTCGGCCTCGCTGGAGAGAGTGAATAATGGGATGGGCAGCGTGTCCCATGCAGTGATCCTTTTTCCATAGGAAGCCGATGACTTAGGGAGGAGACCAGGGGACCTTTTTATTCCTGGAAGTTTATTCTATTTCCCCATATCACTCCCCAAACCCCCTCTACCAGGGTTGGGTTTCTGCAAAATGTGGAGTTTGGGAATGGAATGGGAAGATCTGGCTTGTGGAATGGAATGGAAGCTTTTCTCTCATTCTTGGCATTGTTTTGGTGAAGGAGTGAGGTGAGCTGGATGCTGAAAGAAAGGCATGCCACAGGTCTCATGGGACTCATTAGGATCTTGGAATAGGATGAATGGTGGCCCCAAAAGATATTCCCACTTAGAACTTGTGAGTGTTAATTTATTTGAAAAAGGAGTCTTTGTAGATGTAAACAAGTTAAGAATATTTTTGTTATTCATTTTTTAAAATTGACACATAATTGTACATATTTGTGGGATACATAGTGATGTTTTGATATACACAATGTATAGTGATCAGATCACGGTAATTAGCATATCCGTAATCTAAAACATTCTTTATGCTGAGAACATTCAGGATCCTCTCATCCAGCTATTTGGATATATATTTGAAAATATATATTATTGTTAACCATAGTCATCCTACAGTGTTATGGAACACTAGAACTTATTCCTCCTGAGCTGAGATTTTATATCCTTTACAATATACCTATACCCCACCTTCCGCCCCACCCTTTCCACCCTCTAGTAACCTCTGTTCAGCAAAGTAAAGGATCTTGAAATGAGATCATCCTAATTGTCAGGGAAAGACCTGAATCCAATGACACATGTCTTTATAAGAGACAGATAAGGAAAAGACGCAGAGAGGAGAAAACAGACAACCCAAGGAATCCCTGGACCCACCAGAAACTGGAAGAGGCAAGGAAGCATTCTTTCTTGGAAGCTTTAAATTTCCAAGTTTGTGGTCATTTGTTATGGCAGCCCTAGGAAACCAGTATAGATCTGATGTTTCACAAAGAGTGTTACGATCAGAAAATAAGTATTTATTGGGATGGGAGCATTGAAGTCCTTCCTTCCAGCCCACACTTGGTTCTGAACCAGGATGGTGATGCAGATAATGCAGCAGATAGTGCTGGCTAGGTCTGAGCACTCGTAGGTCAAAATATAACCTAATTATCCTAGATACAAAAGTGAGGAAGGGGCATGTGAGGAAGAAGAGGCAGGGAAGAACATGCGCAGTAAAATCAGTGAAATGTATATTTTTAAGACCCCAGAGTAAGTCTAATAGGGGTTGGAAATGCTTACCAATGTGGGCTGAGGAGCAGAAGGTCCTAGAGCAGATGAAGGTGACACCTCTTAGGACAAGCCTGGGACACACAACCTGGGGCTTTCCTGGGTCAACTCTGCAACTTTTCATTTCCCCACTTTTCAAAGCCTGGAGGATGGCTTCTCTCCGCAGAGGAGGAGGAGGGGGTGGTGGCATTGTGGGTGGTGGATAGGGTGGGATGAAGGGTAAAAACTTTGTCCCAATAATGTAAAGGTATCATGATCTATTTTTACAGATTTCAGTCTGTAAGAATGAAGCTATGTAAGATGGCTCTAACAGCTCCTGAAGCAGCAGCCTTCAGATAGTTAATTATGACAGTATCTAACATTTATTTATCACAGCTCCAGCCACAGGAGCTTTACATGTAGAACCTCACTTTTTCCACACCATAATCCTATGAGGCAGAAATTATTAGCTTTTGCCTTTCTTTTAGATGAGGAAACTAAAGCTCAGAGAGGTTTTGTGACTTGCCCAACATCTTGTAACCAGTAAATGGGGAAAGCAGGATTCAAATCCTGGTTAATCTAATTCCAGTGTCAAGCTATTCAACGACGTTAGGCCATGAGACCAAGATCTCCTGGTCCTGTGGGAAGAAGGAGGCTAGATTCACTCAAGTTCCAGAATTCTTATTCTAGACCAAAAGAAAGCTCATGACAAAGGTAATTTTCAAAGTTGGCTTGTTGAGTAATCTCAGTGCTTTGATGTGTATAAGGGCATAGATGCTGGCTCCAAAGTGATGGTTCCTGGTATAATGATTGAGAGGCAGTGGGTAGGGTATAAAGTACGGACAGTCCTGAAATCTAGTCCTGGCTCTGATCATGAGTGAGTGGCCCTGGGAAAGTCACTGAAGCTCTCAGCCTTCGTTTATTTGTAAAGGGGAAATAATTATCTGATATCTAACTTGCAGAGATGTTGTGAGTTAAATGATCATATGTATATATAAAACCATAACAATACATATAAAACTATACATATAACTAATATTAACTATGTATGACCATATAAACCTGGGGTCCCCAACCTCCAGGCCATAGACTGGTACCAGTTTGTGCCCTGTCAGGAGCCAGGCCACACAGCAGAAGTTGAGCGGCGAGCGAGCGAGGCTTCATCTGTATTTACAGCTGCTTCCCATTGCTGGCATCACCACCTGAGCCCTGTCTCCTGTCGGATTAGTGGCGGCATTAGATTCTCGTAGGAGCAGGAACCCTGTGTGAACTGCACGTGCAAGGGATCTAGGTTGCGAGCTCCTAGATGAGAAACTAATGCCCCGTCACTGTCTCGCTGCAGATGGGACCGTCTAGTTGCAGGAAAGCAAGCTCAGGGCTCCTACTGATTCTACATTATGGTGAGTTGCATAATTACTTCATTATATATTACAGTGTAATAATAATAGAAATAAAGTGCATGATGAATGTAATGCGCTTGAATCATCCCACAATCACCCTGTCTGCTGACCCCAGTCTGTGGAAAAATCATCTTCCACAAAACTGGTCCATGGTGCCAAAAAAAGGTTGGGGACCGCTGATATAACTATATATAAAACTCTCTCTAGCGGTATATATTTATATATAGCCAAAGGCTGAATACCATGCATCATGCTTGGTGCATAGTAGACACTGAATACTTGACAGACATTTATGTTATCATGATTGTTACTGTTTTTATTATAACTTCAACAGGCGTATGGGATAAATAGTTGTCCCCAAAAAGTTTCTTTAACTGAAATTACTGACCCAAACAAATGCCCCATATTATTTAGAGGAGAAATGAATGAAGTCTTTTTGAGGTTTGCTAGTTTAAACATTAGTATTGGGTTTTTAATCTGGCTGAACAAATTGAAAATGGACTAAACATCTGCAGCCCCATGGAAACAATCAACAACCATGCATGCCTCAAAACAGGTGAATTTCATCGACGTTTAAGGCATGACTTGGTGCAAAAATTACCTATTAGGGTGGTTTCCCTATCTTAGGTTAGAAACCACCCTGGCTTTCAGAGGCAAGGCCATTAGTCTCTAGCTCCTGTTTCAGGGCTATAGAGACAGTGACGAGAGGAGAGACTGGAGCAGGTCAGACATACTGGCAGGTACAGCAAGAATCAAGTTGTAAATAACTCAGTAAATGTTAGAGAATGGGATAGGTGACATTTGAAATAATAAGCGAGCCCTCTCTGAGCAGTCACTCCTCCTAACCTTTTGGAAAATTACACTGACCTGCGTCTTAGCAAAGGGCATTTATCAAAAGGACAGCTGGCCAGACTTGCAGAATCCATGGTGAGAGGGGATTTTCAGCAGGAGGCTTGGCAGGTGGATGGAATTGGAGGCCCTGGGGTGAGACCACGTGGTCTTGGGATTGCTTACCATTCAGAACTTATATTTTGGGAGAGAGTAGAGGGAATCAGACATCTACTTCCGCTCCTGCTAGTTGCAATTGTGTGGGAATACAGACACTGTGCCACATAACCTTCTATTTATTTTTTTCTCCCCAAGCAAGGCTAGAGTCTTAGAATGTATATGTCTCCATTTAGAGCTTCTGGAGATGAAATTTCTAGGATTTGTTTCTAACATTATGCTAGCCGGTCATGTGGGGCTTAAGTTCAAAGGACCCTTGCTCTCTGTGGGAACTGGTTGGTAACCTTTGACCTAATGAATTCACTGGATGCAAATCCCAGCTGGAACGTGTTCTGTGGGCATGCCGGAGTAATGCTTTTCAAACTTCAGGTTGGGGCCCATTAGGGGATCATGATATTAATTTTGTGGGCCATAGCTGCTTTTTCTATTCTAAAAAAAAATAAAGTAGGGCCAGGTATGGTGACCCACGCCTGCAATTCCAGCACTTTGGGAGGCTGAGGTGGGAGGATTGCTTGAGCCCAGGAGTTCAAGACAAGCCTGGGCAACATAGTAAGACCCTGTCTCTACCAAAATAATAATAAAAATTAGCGGCCAGATGTGGTAGCTCACGCCTGAAATCCCAGCACTTTGGGAGGCCGAGGTGGGCAGATCACAAGGCCAGGAGATCGAGACCATCCTGGCTAACACGGTGAAACCCCATCTCTACTAAAAATACAAAAAATTAGCTGGGCATGGTGGCACGCATCTATAGTCCCAGCTACTTGGGAGGCTAAGGCAGGAGAATCATTTGAACCCAGGAGGCGGAGGTTGCAGTGAGCCGAGGTTGTGCCACTGCACTCCAGCCTGGGTAACAGAGCAAGACTCCGTTTCACACACAAAAAAAATAAATAAAAGCCAGGCATGGTGGTGTACAACATACAGGTGCACACCTGTAGTGCCAGCTACTTAGGAGGCTGAGATGGGAGAATCACTTAAGTCCCAGGAAACTGAGGCTGCAGTGAGCTATGATTGTACCACTGCACTCCAGCCTGGGTGACCAGAGTGAGACCCTGTCTCAAAAAAGAAAGAAAATAGAAAATGTCCGAATGTATCACATGACATATGCAAAACTGAAATATTTAAAGCATGTCAGATGGAGCTGCTGCGGTTGAAGCCTGCAGAAGAGCCATCTCATTTAAACTTCCTCCTTTTTCTCAGTGGCCTCCGAGGATGTTCAGAGCAAGATGTGAAAAACAGATATCTAGAGAATCTGAAGGGCTGTTTGCAATGAGCCATGATGTGCTTTTGGAACTCACTGATGGTACTGTGCTTCTTCAGTGAAGAGCATCGTAGCCTTGTAATGGGTCTGGAAACCATCTTCCTAGATGCTAGATGCTTGGTATGAATAAGCCAAGTGAGTGTGCTCTTTCAGCCCTATGGGAGCAAAATTTGAATGCTGAGCCCCTCTTGGTGAGCAGATCCTGAGAAAGGGCTCATGGCATCCGAAGACACAGGAGGCCAGTTGTGTAAATTTAGCATGCCGTTTTGTTCATGAGAAACATGAGATGCCCATTACAGAAACTTACCCATTCATGTCACCAGTCAGGGCATATCATCTGTGCTCTAGAATTAGAGGGCTGTTTGGTGGAGCTCAAGCTCAAAAGGAATTTGCTTCAACTGGTTTTACTCTGGTGCTAGAGGCTCTGAGTTTGAATAGAGGGGAGTGAGTGAACTTTCCCCTTACTTGGACATGGTTGCCTGGTTAGAGCCCCTCTTCCTTGAACAGCAGGATTGTAGCCTTGCAGGATGTAATCCTCCCACACTCTCTCCGTTTTATGAAAGAGAAAATGAAACCTCAGAGGTTAAGTGTCTGGAAACAGAGACTTGAACGATGTCAGAAGTAATTTCTCTCCATCTCTCATCTTTGGCTCTTAGCTGCATATTAGCATAAAGCTTTATGGAGCTCTTGGGATACAGACGAGCTGCCTTCCTGGGGTCACTTGGACACAGGAAGGGGAACATCACACACCAGGGCCTGTTGTGGGGTGGGAGTAGCGGGGAGGGATAGCATTAGGAGATATACCTAATGTAAATGACGAGTTAATGGGTGTAGCACACCAACATGGCACATGTATACATATGTAACAAACCTGCATGTTGTGCACATGTACCCTAGAACTTAAAGTATAATAAAAAAATTAAAAAAAAAAAAGAAAATGTGGCGACCAACAGATATCTTTTTTTTTTTTTCGTTGTACAGCTTTGACTACTTGGAAAAGTTGTACTGATCTTCTTTCTCCTGCTTCCAAAATTCCCAAAGAAGATAACTCATTGGCAGGAGCTCACCCATGGCCAGTTAGCTAAGGCCAGAGGTGTTGCAATGCAAAGCTATTATAGCTCCAGTGGGAAGAACATGGGAGGAACTGGGAAAAGAGGCAATTCCACAGATTAAGGAGGGAGGTTGGGGGGTAGTGCTGGATAGAAAGTAAAAAGCAGGTATTTCCTTTAAGAGCCTATTGCCATACATAGCGCCTTACTTTCTTGAAAACATGTTGAAGGACCATGTTCATTTGTTAATTATTATTATTATATATTTTTTTAGACAGAGTTTTACTCTCATCTCATCTAGCTCAGGCTAGAGTGCAGTGATGGGATCACAGATCACCACAGCCTTGACTTCCTGGGTTCAGGTCATCTTCTCACCTCAGCCTCCTGAGTAGCTGGGATTACAGGCATGCACCACCATCCCGGGCTAATTTTTCTGTGTTTTTTTTTTTTTTTTTTTTTTTTTTGTAGAGACAGGGTTTTTGCTGTGTTGCTCAGGCTGGTCTGGAACTCCTGGGGTCAAGTGATCCTCCTGCCTGAGCCTCCCAAAGTGCTGGGATCATAGGCATGAGCCATTGTGCCTGGCCATTAATTATTTTATTTATTCATTCTCTCAACTATTATTTAATGACTATCTAGTATGTACCTGACATGTTATAACATGCTTGTTGATTCTAAATCATTGAGTCAAATTAGAGTAAGAACAAATAGGCTGAGTAGGGTGGCTCATGCCTATAATCCTAGCACTTTGGGAGGCCGAGGTAGGCAGATAACCTGAGATCAGGAGTTCAAGACCAGCCTGGCCAACAAGGTGAAGCCCCACCTCTACTAAAAATACAAAAATTAGCCAGGCGTGGTGGCGCATGACAGTAATCCCAGCTACTTGGGAGGCTGAGGCAGGAGAATCACTTAACCCCAGGAAGCAGAGGCTGCAGTGAGCCAAGATCACACCACTGCACTCTAGCCTGGGCGACAGAGCAAGACTCCGTCTCAAACACATAAATAAGGACAAATAATATGAGAGATATAATACGAGTGGTACTAAACGGAGACAACAGTACGTCTTTGCTCTAAATGCCTGATATGTGTGTTGTATCTGTTTATCTGTCTCCCTTTACCAGGCTGAATACTCCATCAGAGCAGAGATTTCATCTTAGTTATTCTTATAAAATCTAAAATGTAAACAGTAGGGTTGAAGGGTTAAGAACACTGGCTCTGAAGCCAGACTTTCTGGGTTCCAGTCTTAGCTTCACCACTTGCTTTTTAGCTATCTCACCTCAGGAAAGTTACTTAACTTCTCTATGCATGAACTTCCTTATCTATAAAATGAAGAATTTGGTAGTTTCTACCTCATAGGGTGTGTAAGTACTAAATGCATTAATATATGTAAAATACTCAGAATAGTGCCATGGTACTTAGTCAATGCTCAGTAAATACTGAGTTCTGATGACCTGTTAGTAGTTGAAGGAAGAATATGATCATCCTGACTGGGGGAAATGTTTGGCTTTGTGGCTGATGCAAAGCACCTCTTTTCCTTTCCTGGTGCCACAGGACAAAGTCTGAGCAGCATTCAGAACCAAGGATCCGAGCTCATAGCGTCATGCAGAATTTGTTTTTCTTGGCTGCCCCTTCACCCGGAGGGTAAAAGACAATGAAGTAATCAAGCTCCAAATAAAAGTTGCAATACCATTTTCTTTTCCTCTTCAAGGAATCTTTCAGCTGTAGCATCCCGTGCAGTTTCTGCATAGGGGGTATTGATGATGTGCCATATTTCATTATACTCACTGCTCTACTTTGTGAACAAAGAGAGAGAAGGCCCTGCTCAGTGCCTGGGGGACATGTTCTTCTTTATCCAAATGGAGAGTATCCAGGTGGAAATACCACCTGTGGATAGAGCTGGGTTATAGCCAAGAGGGACGATTCAGCAGAACTGATCTTAAAGAGGCCTTAGTTTCTGCACTAATCGGTTGGAACTAGGGCTGCTATTGGATATAACCTGCCCCCAAATGCAGACTCTAGGATGGTAGTTTTCAAACCTGAATGTGCCTATGAGTTCTCTGGGGATATTGTTAAAATGCAGATTCTGACTCACTAGGTCTGGGATGGAACCTGGGATGCTCCGTTTGTAACAGGTGTGCAGATGATGGTGAAGCTGCTGGACCACAGTTTGAGTAGCAAGGATGTTGCCTATCCCTCAGTCTTGCTGGCTTATTTACCACCCATTTACTTACTCTAACATTGCTCTCACATAACCACGTTGTAGGCAACGTTGCAGAACTTGATTATTTATTTATTCATATGTTCAACAAATATTTATTGAGCATCTACTCTACTCCCGAATTGTTATAAATGCCATGGATTTATTCCAAACCAGTGTTTCTCAGCCTGGGTCCGACTGACATTTTGGGCTGGATGATTCTTTGTTACAGGGAGCTGTCCTGTGCATTGTAGGATATTTGGCAGCATCCCTGGCCTCTACTCACTGGATGTCAATTGTGACATTGCCCGGGGTCCCCTGGGGGACAAAACCACCCTGGGTGGAGAACCACTGGGTCAACTCAAGGTTGGTCAGCTGTGACAACAGAAACCACTACATACAAAGTCTGTGCTTTCCAGACATAATATTGCATGCATGAAGTGCTCGTATGTGTATGATCTTGTCTGAACCTTGTCAGGATGCTCAGTTTCCCAGATGAAGGGATGAAGCTCATGGTATAACTGAGATTTGAACCCTGATCCTCAGGGGCCAAGTCCCAAGTGCTACCCACTACACCACACTGCCTTCTCTGCACTTCCCTGACTATTTTTGGCTTAGATAAGCCACTGGGCCTCCTTAGTTTAGTGTCTTTCTCTTTCAAAACTATAATAATAATATAATAATAATAATAATTAGAACATCCCTTCATGCATTCAAAGAGGTGGAATAGTGCAGTAAGTAAGAGCTTTCTGGGGCTGGGCATGGTGGCTCACACCTATAATTACAGCACTTTGGGAAGCCAAGGTGGGAGGATCACTTGAGCCCAGGAGTCTGAGACCAGGCTGGGCAACGTGGTAAGACCCTGACTCTACCAAATTAAAAAATTAGCCAAGCATGGTGGCACGTGCCTGTGGTCTCAGCTACTTGGGAGGCTGAGGTGTGAGGATTGCTTGAGCCTGGGAGGTCAAGGCTGCAGTTAGCCATGTTGGTGCCACTGTACTCCAGCCTGGGTGACAGATCAAGACCTTGTCTTAAAAAACAACAGCAACAGGCCGGGTGCGGTGGCTCACGCCTGTAATTCCAGCACTTTGGGAGGCCGAGGCAGGCGGATCATGAGGTCAGGAGATCGAGACCATCCTGGCTAACGCGTTCTCTACTAAAAATACAAAAAATTAGCCAGGCGTGGTGGCAGGCGCCTGTAGTCCCAGCTACTTGGGAGGCTGAGGCAGGAGAATGGTGTCAACCTGGGAGGTGGAGCTTGAAGTGAGCCGAGATTGTGCCATGCACTCCAACCTGGGCAACAGAGGCAGCCTGGGCGACAGAGCGAGACTCCGTCTCAAAAAACAACAACAACAATAACAACAAAAACACAAAGAAAAACAGCAACAACGATAAACACTCTCTGGAACTTACCTGGTCCCACTGTTCTCTACTGTGTTACTTATTTAATTAGACATTTATTTAGAAATTTTAATTAATTTTTGTTTGAACTTTTTTTCTTGTATGGGTACATACTATTTCACATGTTTGCAGGGTACATGTGAGACTTTGTAACATGCCTAGAATGATCAGTCATGGAATGATCAAGTCAGGATATTTAGTTGTTTTAACTCTGTTTTCTCTTACTCATATGTGGAAAGGGGATAACAGTATGTGCCTCATGGTGGCATGTGGTGGTGTTGCTGTTGCTATCAGAAGACAGAAGAGTGTCTAAGGCCAATTTTAATGCATAGACTAATTTGCTACTTCCTTTGTATCATCCTTTTAATTTTTCTTACTATCTAAGAATTCATGGCGGACAAATCCTACCAGTCCCTTTTCTTCCCTTCCAGGATTCTGACAAAGGAGCTTCCACACAAAGCAGCACCTCCCCACCCCTAACACTTCCAAAGCAGGGTTTCAAGTTGCAAAGAAGGGTTTCAAACCTCGACTGGGAACATGGCTAGGCCTGAGGCTGAGTAGACCCTCTGTGATATTGTGATAGAAGAAAAAATATATATTTGATCTTCTTCCTTAGTTCTTAACAGAGAGGCCCTAAAACCATTTTAATTTTCTGAGTCAGAGGGGTGAGAGGAGCATCTTTTGTTACTCTTAATAAGACTTTGAACCATACCTGAGTTTATGCAAATGCCGTGACTCTTGGTGGGCCCCTAGCTAGCTTCAGGATAGGGGCTGATCACCAGAGGAATCAATCATGTGATTAGAGGATTGGAACTTTCAGGGAGGGGAGAGGGGCTGGAGATTGAGCTGATCCCAAATGGCCAGTGATTTAATCTTTCATGCTTATGTAATGGAACTTCCATGAAATCCCCTAAACTGGATGGGCTCAGAGAGCTGCTGAGTTGAACACATCCATGTGCCAGGAAGGTGGCACACCCTAACTCCTACAGGGACAGATGTCTCCATGCTGAGGACCCTTCTGACCTCACCCTGTGTGCCTCTTCATCTGGTGTACATTTGTATCCTTCATAATAAACCAGTAATAGTAAATAAATGGTTTTTCCTGGGTTCCAGTAGCCATCATAGCAAACCATTGAACATGGGGGTGCTGGTGGGGGAACCCCTTATTTATAGCTGGTCTATTAGAAGTACAGGAGACCTAGAACTTGCAATTAGCATCTGAAATGGGAGCAGTCTTGTGGGACTGAGCCCTTAACCTGTGGGGTCTGATGCAAATTCTGGGTAGTTGGTGTTAGAACTGGGTCCTTGGACACCCAGTTGGTTGTCTGAAGAGTTGGATCATTGGGTGTTGGTATGGAAAAAAACCCACACATTTGATGTCAGAAGTGTTATGAGTAGAAACAGATCTTAGCCTCCTACTCCTTGTGTATTAGTCTATTTTCATACTGCTAATAAAGACATACCCGAGACTGGGCAATTTACAAAAGAAAGGTTTATTGGACTTACAGTTCCACGTGGCTGGGTAGGCCTCACAATCATGGTGGAAGGCAAGGAGGAGTGAGTCACATCTTACATGGATGGCAGCAGGCAAAAAGAGAGCTTGTGCAGAGAAACTCCTGTTTTTTAAACCATCAGATCTCGTGAGACCTACTCATTATCACATTATCATGAGAACAGCATGGGAAAGACCTGCCCCCATGATTCAATCATCCCCCACTGGGTCCCTCCCACAACACGTGGGAATTATGGGAACTACAAGATGAGATTTGGGTGAGGACACAGAGCCAAACCATATCACCTTCTTCACCAAGTTAAAGACTATTTTTTTTTTCAATTTGAGAGCAGGTACTGTTTATTAACCAACCAGCTTAGAAAAATAATCATGGTAGACACCTTGGTTCATTTTTCTAATAAGCCTGTTGATCTTGTCCTCCCTGTTGCCAGCATCTCCACCTTCTACAAGATGGGTGGTCTTTTTCTTCATTCCAACTCGTGGAGAAGACAATTTGAAGGGCCACAGGAAGTTATTTGCCTCTTTGAAGTGTTTTCCAACAGTATAGATCTCATGAATCAGATCCTCCATGCAGATGATGCCGTATTTACCAAGAGATCGAGCAATCAAAGCGTTATCTGTCAAAGCAATTTGCTTCTTATTGATTTTGCCATAACCACGCTTGTAGATTAGTTCATTTACTGACTTCAGATTGGGGCACCCCCATGCAGTATATGGCTCTACAATCCTCAGCATGTTAATCGAAGCCTTGTTGAGCTTCACGAAGGTTCCATTGAAGACTCGACGAAGGCAAAGAAGCTGCAACATCTTTCGAACCTTTGGGCTCACGCCATTGATACCTCTGATTCTGAAGACAAACGCCAATTTGGGTTCTGCAGGTACATAGAAGTTGCCAGCTTTTCTTGCCATCCTCGCCATTCGAATTTCAGTTCTGTACATCTGCCAAAGACTATTGACTTACAGGTCAGGTCTGACTTTGAGATAGCCATCGAGGGGTGAGGCCCACAGGCCTATAGGGCACTGAAGAGGGAGAAAGGGGGGTGTCTGGGAGGTATGCAAAGAGAAAGTGGTAAGTGGCGGGCCCTAACCCTGCAATACCCTATCCCTGCCCTTTAGTAAGCCATGTTCCGGTGAGTGTTGTTCTCTGAGCAATTACATTCATCCTTTCTTTTCTTGGGGAGGACTCATGGGTAAAAAGAGTTGGCAGCTTTCTTCCCACAAGACAAGAGCGATATCCTCTCCTTTATGGACTAAGGAAGAAATGTGGAATCTGGGGAAGGGTCTGTCCTTAACTCTCACCTTGGTTTTCAGAAATGAGGAAATTGACCTCATTTGTCTTTTACCCAAATCAATTTTCATCCCTTTGGCATTTGTTAGATTCACTCAGTCAATTGTTTAATTGCTTCATCCAGGTGGCTGGTGGGGGTCACAACTGCTCCTCTTCGGACACCCTCTGCTTCCAGCAATTATCCCTGTCTCCCCCTCAGAGCAGTGCCATATGCCAGAGTGGGGCTTGTTGGGGACCTGGGCCAGGCTTGAGGAGAAGTTTTAATTCAGTCTAATAATCCAGACTGATACCCTTGTGCAAAATGCTCAGATAGAATACACATTCGTGGTAAAAGAATTTTCATTATCTTTGTTTTTAAAACCGTTGCATTTTTGTTACCCATTTATTGGCATCTTGCTCTTTTCACTTAGCAGTATCTCTGTAGCCCTGGTAAATCATTTTAATGGTGTTCTAAGTGCAACAGGAGGCTACTGGAAGTTTTTGAACACAGGGATATGTTTTGTTATTTGGGAAGTTATTTCCACAGCAAGTCCGACAGCATCTGTGAGGAAGCATCCCAAGACCCGAGCCACCCAATCCCTGCTCACGACTCCAGTTCTGTGTTTTATAGCCACCCCCTGGGTTTTCTAAACCCCAGTGCCTACTCCCCTCCCTGATATTCTCACACCCAGACTTCAGCCACCCGGCCGCCCTCTCCCCAAAGCTCCATCGCTCACTCTTCTCTTTGTACTCACTAGTAATTCCTATATCTGAAGAACTGATTTCCTTTCAACTCGACTTCTTTGAAGTCCCAAGCCTTTGAATTATTTTCACTTCTTTTATTCTTGAGGAAAATTCCTAATGGTTGTTTTCATGAGCATCGGTGACAGGGAGTTTGCTACCAGCAAATATTCCCTGCCAGTGTCTTCTTGGTGAACAAGTAAGTATCAGAGGTTAAAAGAATCTTAGGGCTCATAGAAAATAATTGGCCAACCAGGGCGAGAATCCATTTCAAGGGCTATTTAATGGTCATCAAATTAAATACTTCCAGGGACTAGGAACTCACTACCTCCAAGGCCAGTTTATTTTATCATTGGACAGTCTTGACTGTTAGACATTTTTCTTATATTTTTCCTTTTCTGAAATGCCACCCTTAATCTCTAACTTACACTTCCAAAGTCAAAGTGTTCCCATTACCTTCTTAGTGTCTCATTGTGATTTCCCCAAACCACAATGACTGTTTTCTCGTAAAGCATATGCCTTGCTCAGTTATTATTTACTTTTATATATCTTTATCAAGGTATAATTGAAATTCAACAAATAGCACATACAGTATAGAGTTAGCTGCATCTTCACTTACCTATACACCCTCAAAACCATCATAATCAAAATAGTGAATATGCTCATCATTTCCAAAAGTTTTCGCATGCCCCTTTTATAATATCTCCTTCTTACCCCTTCCTCTTCCATTCTCAGGAAGCCCTAGCTTGCTTTTTATCCTTAGTTTGCATTTTCTAGAATTATGAATAAATGGAATCGTACAGTTCATACTCTTTCTTTGTCTGGTTACCTTCACGTAGCATCATTACTTTGAAATTCATCCTTTTTGTAGCATGTATCAATAGTTCATTGCTTTTTATTGCTGAGAAGTGTTTAACTGTATGGATGTACCACAATTTGTTTATCCATTCACCAGTTGTTTTACTGGAAACATCTAAATTGTTTCCATATTTTAGCTATTGCAAATAAGACTTCAATGAACATTTGTGTACCAAATCTCTGTGGACATATACTTTCTCTTCTCTTGAGTGAATACCTAGGACTAGGATGGCTGGATGGTATGGTAAGTATATGTTTAGCTTTTTAAGAAGCTGCCAAATTGTTTTCCATGTGGTTGTGCCACTTTACATTCCTGCCAGCAGGGTATGAGAGTTCTAATGACTCCTCGTCTTCACCACTCCTGGAAGTGGTCAGTCTTTTTGTTTTTAACCTCTGTTCATTTTTGATCCTGTGATCTTAGAATACATTGAACATGTCTTCATCTCTCCCAGGCAAAGATCTGTGACAGTGTGCCTGCCATATTTTATTCTTCAGAACTGCCTGGTTATACTGAATTATCTACTCAACAAAAACTATTGGGATCTACTATGTGCCAAGCCTTGTGTTACTCAGGATACTTGGATGAAGGCAACTAGGATGATTTCTAGCAAACAATTCCAGGACTTATGATGTGGGTTGCAATGGATTGCCCACCCAGTGAAATGGAAGTCTGGGTATAGAATAACATGATGTTTTCCAATACTACAAATGGTTCACTATTGCTTGAATGTAGGGTTAAGGCAGCAAGAAATAAGGTGAGGCTCCATTATGAAGTCCCTTTTCTACCATATTAAAAGATCAGTGATGCTGGCCATCAAAGAATTTTGAGAAATGGAAAGGCATGTTTGGATCTGTTCTTTATAAATTTCACTTTGATGGGGTAAAGGATTCTCTTTCTCTTGAGATACAGGCCCTGCCACATCTCTCGATCAATCGATAGATAGATAGATAGATAGATAGACAGACAGACAGACAGACAGATAGATAGATCATCTTCTTTAGATTCCCTTGGGTGGATTTGGAGCATTTCTGTCTGTTTCAAACTTCACACATCTTTGGCTTTTAAAATCTAAGTGGTGGTACCCGTGCTTGGGTCCCAACTACTATGTTCTGTGAATAAGACTGGTTTTCCAGGTGTCAGGGCTGAAAGAGAAGGGGTGTCCTTGTAGAAATGACCATTGGTTTGGACTGCCATGTCACCTGCCAGAGCCCTACAGGAGTGTACTGTTATGGGGTGTCCATTTGGCAAGATGCTGACTAAAACCACCGGGATAACAGAGGTCAAGGGAGAGGCCAGACCTTCCTTGGGGTTTTCTCTCTCTCTCTCTCTCTCTCTCTCTCTCTCTCTCTCTGTCTCTCACTCTCTCTCTCTGTCTCTCTGTGTGTGTGTGTGTATAGTACTGACATTTAGTTGTGACACCCTGGTATGGTTGCACCATTGTTAACCGATTAAAAGACTTTCATTTTGGTTGGTAAATAGCAGCTTCCTGGTGCACCCCAGTTACTGTGATCCCCTGGTCTTGCACAAAAGGGGTCCTAGTACTTTGCTCTAATGTCACAGCTGGTATCCTTCTCCGTTGGTCAGTACCTATGCCATGATGGTTTTTATGGTTATCAAATACTTTAAATTCACATCACCATCAAAACACACAAATTAGCAGCCCAAAAAATGATTATGCTGGTTTGATCCTGTGTGTGCTTGTGTGTGGGTACACACATATATTTTTAAATACCAGGCTGTGCTGAAGGTGGTACTTATGTGTTTAGAAAGAAAAACACTAGAATATCTCTCTAAATCAGCATAAATGATTCACCAATAAAGCAGTGGTGTCTGAAGGGAAACCATATCATGGAGAATCACCCAGGCAAATCAAAATGAACACTCCAGCTATGGTTTATAGTTTGTAGAAACTTAAAAGATTCAGTGTCAACTTCTAAGTCAGTGGCTGATTTTTCTAAGTAGGGGCTATTTTCTTTCATCCTGACTAGCAGTTGGTTTGGAGCAATAGCTAAAGTAATTTTTTCTTAGTTAACTTCAATATAATTTTCATCATACTTGATTTTTAGACACTGAAATTGCCCATAATTGTGTCTGTCCTATCACTATGTTAATAAGGAAAATTATAATGGATTATCCTTTTGTTTTCCTGGTCATTTGTTGATGCCTTTTTTGTTGTAAGGATGTGAAAACATAAGGCAATTTCACCAATTACTGGTAATGTTATTCAGATATTTAATTTATTTTATGCATGCATAATCAGCCATAAATACATTTTAGCTAATGGAGATGACAAGGGTGTAATATAATTTGAGCCCAAACAAATTCAAAACAACATTAAGAAGGAAACACAAAACCATGGGAAGGAAAGAAATAAGCAACTCAATCTGTCTTTAGTTTCACTTATGCCAGATCTTCTAATGTGGACCGGGTCTTTTGGATTAAAATAAAATAATGAAAGAGCTTAGTAAAGTGGGTGGCGCATAGTAGGTGCTTAATAAATAGTTGTTTTCTTTCTTTCTCTCTAAAAGCCTAGTTGACTATTACAGCATACTTTGCTGTCATAGTGTTTGCTATAGACTGAATGTTTGAGTTTCCCCAGAGTTTATATGTTGGAATCTAACCCATTGTGATGGTATTAGGGGGTAGGACCATTGGGAGACAATTAGGATATGATAGTGGATCCCTCAAGAATGGAATTCATGCTCTTATAGGAAGAAACACAAAAGAGATTATCTTTCTTTCTTTTCTTTTTTTTTTCTTTGAGATGGTCTTGCTCTGTCACTCAGGCTGGAGTGCAATAGCATGATCCTGGCTCACACAACCTCCACCTCCCAGGTTCAAGTGATGCTCTCACGTCACCCTCCCAAGTAGCTGGAACTATAGGCATGTGCCAACACCCCCAGCTAATTTTTTGTATTTTTAGTATGGATGGGATTTCACCACGTTGGCCTCTCAGCTATGAGAGGACACAGTGAGAAGGCAGCTGTCTGCGAACTAGGAAGAGAGCCCTCACCAGACCCCAGATCTGCCAGCATCTTGATCTTGGACTTCCCAGCCTCCAGAACCACAAGGAATACATGTATATTGTTTATGCCACTCAGTCTACGGTATTTTTATTATAGCAGCCCAAACTGGCTAAGACAGTATTATTTCATCCAAGCCTGTTCAAGCTCTTCCCTCTGCCCTCCAGACTGATGGCCAAATCTAAGGGTGCAAAAAGAAAGCACCGTGGAACCAGTGGAGTCTTGGAATTAGAGTCAGCATCTGAGTCCACAGGAAAAAAAGCACAAACATGGAACTTCTCCCTTCCCATCCCCAGAAAGTGCCCTGAAAACAAAACGTGCTGTGACCCCATTTTATCTCAGTTACACATTCTAGCCAAGTGCCTGCCTGCTACAAACTTCATTTATGGCTTACCTTTACACTTTGATATCTTGAGTTTGCTAAAGCCTGGCAAATCCAGGCAAATTTCTTCTTGTCAGAAAAGACTCCTAGCAGCTGCCCAACTAGAAACCCTTCCTCTTTGAATACTGATTATGACAGGGAGAAACTCATTTAGTTGCTAATCTGTCTTTAACACCTGCTAATCTCCATTTCTGTTAAAGAGACTCCGTAACCTGTTCCTGGCAGTCTTCCAGCTGGGGTGGCACCAGAGAAGAGGGGGCAACCAATCCTCAAATCTGGATGCACTCCTATTTTTGTAATTCCAGGAAGGCCCACGTTAGACTATTTTAAATTGTTGTTGCTTTGCCCAGAGGAAAAGCGTGTGAATGAATTATGAGCAGGTGGCTTCTTGTGAAGGAACCTGTTACCTCCCCACTGCTACACGGCATTCTTCCTGGCCCAGCAAACCATCTGGGGGTCCCAGTAGTGCCAGTAACTATGTCTGGAGGCCTTTCATTGCCTTATAATAAAGAGAAGAGAGTCACATTTATATCCAGGAGTGAAGAAAAATATGGGCATTTGGAGCTGTGGTGAGGAAGTCTGGGATAGCTTGGCAGTTACAGGGGAGGATATAGAAAGTTTTCAAATGTCAAAGGAGCATTTTTCTTGCTTACACTCTAAAACAAATGCAGCGGCAGCTGTCCATGGCCTCACCCTCCCTAGCGAGTTTCTTTTGCTGTTTGCTCTTTCTTCCACATGCTCTGGTAGGAGGGCCCTGATGTCTGTCTCTGTCTTTGGAAATAGAATTCATGTGTTTTAAGCCTGTCAAACAATTGGATGCCTGAGGGGCGTTAAATGAGAATCCTGGGCCTCAGAGTGGCATCGTCAATCACGCACAACCCAAAAATAAGTAAATGCCTGTTTGCCCCTTGACAGTCTTGTTCAAGAAAAGCACTTTAGATCCTGGCTACACTATCCAATATCCACGCCACTCGGTGTGGTGTATCTAGTTCTTGTTTGCTATTTCTCAACAAGCTGGAGAAGGTGGCTGCGGGTGTGAGGGGCTTAGTTGAAGAATGTATTTATTTATAATTTCTGTGTTGCCTGTGCCACTGGAACTGATGCTAAACCTTGTGGTGCTTAGGGATAGATTTAAAATGAGGAGATTCCGAGTAAGGCCATTTAGACTGGAACTGGAAGAAGTTTTCACCTCTTCACCTCCAGACTCATGCCTCACAGAATTATTGGAAGAAGAGTCAGGAGCTATGTAGTAGGAAATTTTCTGAGGCAGAATTTGAATCCAGGTTTGCTTGATTTTGAAGCTGGTGCTACTAACTTCAATGATGTAGTTGTGGCTGTATAGTTACCGAATTATAAACAGCATGGTTCTAACAGTTGGGTTACAATATGCCATCACCTGAGTGTGACAAATGACATACTGTGATGGCTCGCTCGCTGCTCCGTTTTGTTGCATAGCAACTGTTTCGGTGCTTCGAGTTGCAAATGTCCATATTTACATATTATGTGTTAAATTTCTAATTTTTCAAACACTGTGCTCTTATAGAGTGAAAAAAATCTAAACATTGAAAATTTCATGAATCTGGCTATTATTAAAAAGTCAAGAGACAACAGATGCTGGTGAGGCTGTGGAGAAAAGGGAACGGTTATACACTGTTGATGGGAATGCAAATTAGTCCAGCCACTGTAAAGAAGAGTTTGGAGATTTCTCAAATAACTTAGAACTATGATTTGTCATGACAATCCCATTACTGGGTATGTATCCAAAGGAAAATAAGTTATGCTACCAAAAAGACACATGCACTCATACGTTCATCGCAGCAGTATTCACAGTAGCAAAGATATGGAATCAACCTCGATGCCCATCAACAGCGGATTGGATAAAGAAAATGCGGCACATATATACCATGGAATACTATGTAGCCATAAAAACAACTAAATCATGTCCTTTGCAGCAACATGGATGTAGCTGGAGGCCATTACCCTGAGCAAAGTAGCACAGGAACAGAAAACCAGATACCAGATGTTCTTACTTGTAAGTGGGGGTGAAATATTGGGTATTCATGGACATAAAGCTGGCAATAATAGACACTAGGGACTACTAGAGGTGGGGAGGAAAAGAGAGGGAGACAGTATTAAAAAAAAAAACTATTGGGTACTATGCTCAGTACCTAGGTGACAGCTGCCCCAGTTGTCCACCAAACCTCAGCATCATGTAATATATATCCAGGTAACAAACCTGAACATGTACCCCTTGAATCTAAATAAAATAAAAGTTGTCAGGGCATGGTGGCTCAGGCCTGTAATCCCAGTACTTTGGGAGGCTGAGGCAGGGGGATCCCTTGAGCTCAGGAGTTTGAGACCAGCCTGGACAACATAGGGTGACCTTGTCTCTCCAAATAATAAAAAATAATCTGGCTGTGGTGGTGCATGCCTGTGGTCCCAGCTACTCAGAAGGCTGAGGCAGGAGAACGCCTGAGCCTGGGAGCTTGAGGCTGCAGTGAACTATAATCCCACCACTGAACTCTAGCCTGGGTGACAGAGGAAGACCCTGTCTCAAATAAATAAATAAAAGTTGAAATTACATAAAAAAATAAAATGGCATTCATCTGCAATAAGTCCCATACTAGACCTTTTAGACTTTTTTGTTTTTGTTTTTTTGTGCCATAATTAACATATAATAAAATGCACAGATCTAAAGTGTTCAGTTCAATGAATATTGGTAATAGTATATACCAGTGTAACACCACTCAAAAGAACATAGATCTCCATCATCCTAGAAACGCTTTGACTCCTTTCCAGTTCATTCCTTCCCTATATCCCACTACCTGATTTCTGTCAACCTAGGTTAGTTTGGTTTATATATAGATTTCATAAATAGGGTCATTCTTATGTGTTGGATGTCATTTTGTTTCAGGATTCTGTTGCTTATACTGTTTTTGAGATTCATGCATGTGCGTATTGTGTGTATTTGTCATTTATTCTTTCTCTTGGTGTGTAGTATTCCTATGTAGGCATCCGGCATTCTCCTGTTATGCGCATTTACATGGTTTCCACTTTTCTGCAGTTATGAACATGGCTACTATGAACATTCTTGTGCATGATTTGGAGTAAACGTGTTTTCGTTTCTTTTGGGTAAGTACTTAGGAGAAGAAGAGACGGGTCATAAGTTTGACATGTATGTCAAACTTGAAGAAAGGGCCACATAGTCCTGAAAGTGTAGTAACATTGTACTCTCACACCAGCAATGTATGTGAGTTCCAGTTGCTCCTTGTCCTTGCCCACATTTGATGTCAGTCTTTTTCATTTTAGTGTTTCTACTGGGTGTCAAGTGCTATTTGATTATGGTTTTTAATTTGCATTCCCTTTGATGACTAACAACATTGAGTCCTTTTCAAATACTTGTTGACTATTGATGTATCTTCTTTTGTGAAGCATCTGTTCAAGTATTTTGTTAATTTTGAAAAATTAGGTTGCTCAATTAGATTGTTGATTTGTAGTTTTTGTGTACACTGGATATAAGCCCATAGTCATATATAGGTGGTATAAGTATATTTCCAAACCATAACTTGTCTATTCATTTTCTTTATGGTATCTTTTGATAAGCAGAAAATTTTAACTTTGATAAAGTCCAACATTTTTAAATCTTTTTCTTTTTTTTTATCATGTTTTTGGGGTCATGTTCAAAAATTTCTTGCACACTCAAAGTCTTGAAAATATTCTTTTTTCCTAAAAGTGTTATGGTTCTGAGTTTTATATCTAAGTACATAGTTCATCTTGTGTTTGTGGGGGAAAATTGTCATGGTTCATTTTTTGTCTTATAAAGCATTCAATTGTTTCATCAACATTTGTTTAAAAGGCATTCTTTGCCACGTAGAATTGACTTTGTACCGTTATGTGAAATCCACTGACCATATGAATGTGGGTCTATTTCTGGACACTCTCTCCTGCTCCATTGATCTAGTGTTCTATCCTATGATCCACTATTAAACTGTCTTGATTACTGTAATTTTAGAATAAGGCTTGAGATCAGATAATGTTAGTTCTCCAGTTTTGTTCACCTTTTTCAAGATTGTTTTCATTATTCTAGACATGTAGATTTGCCATAAACATTTTTAGAGTTATCTTATGTAAGTCTGGTAAGTAGCCTGCTGGAATTTTGATAGGAATCATACTGAAGTTATGTGCTAATTTAGAAACAATGAATATCTCAATAGCACTGAACCTTCCAATGTACGAACATTGTAAAACATTTCATTTATTCAGGTCTTTAACTTTTCTCAGCAATGTTTTCTGGGTTTGAGTAGGTTTCATTACATTTATTTCCAGGTATTTGATATTTTGATGTTATTGAAAGTTATATTGTTTCTTATTTTGAAACAGTCTCAAAATTTCCAATAAGTTTAGAGTACAGAATAAAGAAACTTTTTCAAAGCATTTGAAAGTTTCCAACATGATACTTTATTATCTCCTAATACTTGAATGTGTATTTTCTAAGAACAAGAATATTCCCCTAAATAGCCACCATACGAACATAAAAATCAGGAAATAGACATGTATCCCCTCTTAATACCTAGTCTTCAGACTCCATTCAAGTGTAGTTAGTTGTCCCCAGAGTGGTCTTTGTAAGAAATTGATCTGGTCCAGAATCGTGTTATGTTTAGTTGAACTAGTCTGAAACAGTTCCTCAGTATTTCTTTGACTTTGGTGACCTAGACAAATTATAAGAATGTTTTGTAGAATTTGGATTGCTCTGATCTTTCCTTTTGGTTAGATTCAGGCTATTCCTCTTTGGCAGAAACATCACAGAGCGAGATAGTGTTCTTATGGAGTCCTATCAAGTGACATATAATTTTGATTTGTTCCTTTACTGATGATATTCACTTTGATCAATTGATGAAGGGGATGTCTATTAGGCTTTCCACTGTAAATTTACTATGTATCCCCTTGTAATAAATATTTCGTGTAGTGATATTTTGAAACTGTTTTGTTCTTCATCAAACTTTGAATTTAATTACTATCAGTATAGGCTCATGCCTTCATATTTTACTTAGCTTTAATCCATTAATATTATTTTTTATTTTGATGCTCAAATTGTTTCAGATTTTGTGGATAGGGGCACCTTCAAGATTTCCATGTCTTTTTAATTATACCCCTATTTGTTTTATTATTTTTAAAAGAGCTTTCTTACTTTCTGGCACAAAGTGTTCCAGATTCATTTTGTACTTCTTTTTTCTTTAGCCCTGGAATTAGCCATTTATCCAACAAGCCCTTTTATTTTATTTTGTGTCTACTTTTATTTTAGAATGGTATTTAGAAACCAAGATCTGAGCCTTAGGTGTGCTCAGTAACTTCTGTGTATATTCCTATTTCTATATTTATGCCCATATCTATATACCTTATGTGAATATCTATCTATACTTGTTGAAAGCCAAGGGTTTACACCAATATCTTTCATTCCAGCCCTACAGAGTTTATTCTAATTATCTGCCTTTCCTTGTTTGTATATCTCTTTATTGGCAGAAACCTAGCTCCCATTTCCCTCAATGTGTTTATTGGATCAACCCCATCATAGGTACCAATCTCTAGTCATGGCTGTCACTCCTGCCCCCTGGTGGCTATTCAGGCTCTGACACCTCCTGCTGGGCTTCCCTCCCAAGCAGATGCCCTGTTCAACCTGCACGGGCTTTGGTGCCTAGCACCTGGTCACCCTCTCATGTAGGCAGCCCTTCAGTCTGCTCAACTCTGATGCCCTGTGATAGGCCATCTTCTCTTGTGGACGTCCTCTACACATACTCAGTCCTCAACACCATGTAGAGGCCCACAGCAACTTTACCCTACTTCTCTGCAGGGTTGCCTAATGTGTTCAGCCCCACCTGATGGCTTTTGGACAGAATTGTTCAGGAAAGAAAAGGAAGGGGAGAGTTACTGTGTTTTACATTTTAATTTTCAATTGTTTGTTGCTTATATATAGTTATACAATTAATTTTGCTTATCAACCTTGTGTCCTGTGACTTTTAAAAACTTACTAACTAGTTGTAGAAGTTTGGTAGATTGCTTTGGACATTGTACTTCTGCTTACACAACAATGTAATTTGCAAATTAGTAGAAGTTTATTTCTTTTGCAATTTTTATAACAATTTTATAACAATTTTTATAAAAAATTGTATTGCTACAGTTATGATTTCCAGGATAATACTGAATACAAGTGGTGAGGGCATACATCATTGCCTTGTTTTTGATCTTGGGGGAAAAATTGTTTATAATTTTGATATTAATTATGATGAAGTATTTGGTGTAGCTGTAGGTTTTTCATAGATACACTTTATCAGCTTGAGAAATTTCTAGTTTGCTGAGTTTTTTAGTCATAAAAAGGTATGGGATTTTTGCATGTTTTTATTTTTTAATTGACAAAATTGTATATATTTATGGAGTACAACATGATGTTTTTATATAGTTATTGTTTGATCTAGGCATTTGATAGTCATTGTGAAATGACTAAATCAGGCTAATTAACATATGCTTTACTTACATACTTAGCATTTTTTGGTGATAAGACCATTTAAAATCTGCTCTCTTAGCAATTTTCACATAAATATGTTATTAGTTACAGTAACATAATGTATAATAGATCTCTTGAACTTCTCCTGTCTAACTGAAGTTTTGTATCCTTTGACCAACATCTCCCCAGTCCCCCCATTCTCCAGCATTACTTTTTTAGATTTAACGTATGAACTCATTCATGCAATATTTTGTTTTTTTTTTTGTGCCTGGCTTACTTCACTTAACCTAATGTCCTCCAGGTGCATCCATGTTGTCACAAATAAGAGGGCTTCTTTAAGGCTGAATAATACTCTGTTGTGTGTATATACTATATTTTCTTTATCCACTCATCCATTGATGAACATGTAGGTTAATTCCAGCTATTGTTGCTGCAGTGAACATAGTTCAGGTATTCCTTCGACACACTGATTTCATATCCTTTAGATACATACCCAGTAGAGAGATCGCTGGATCAAATGATTGTTCTATTACTAATTTTTTGAGGAAACTCCATACTGTTTTCCATAATAGCTGTACTAAGTTACATTTTCACCAACAGCATCTGAGGGTTCCCTTGTATCTACATTCCTGGTCAACACTTGTTATCTTTCATCTTGTTGATAAGTCATTGTAATAGGTGTGAAGTGCTATCGCATTGTGGTTTTAATCTGCATTTTCCTGGTGACTAGTGCTGTCGAGCATCTTAAAAATATACCTGTTGGTATATGAAAAGTATATAAAAAATAAAGCTGGGGGGTTGGAGTACTGGGGAGATATTGGTCAAAGGATACAAAATTTCAGTTAGACAAGAGGAGTAAGTTCAAGAGATCTACTGTACATTATGGTGACTATAATTAATAATATTGTATATGTAAAAATTGCTAAGAGAGTAGATTTTAAATGTTCTCACCACCAAGATATGCTAAATATGTAGGGAATTGATATGTTCAGTAGCTTGATTCAGTCGTTCCACAATGACTATCAAATGTCTAGATCAAACAATGAATATATCAAAACATCATGTTGTACTCCATAAATATATACAATTTTTGTCAATTAAAAAAAGATGTAGAAATCCAATATCTTTTATATACCTGTTTGTATGTTGCCTTTTGAGATATGTCTGTTCAGATCCTTTGCCCATTTTAGTCAGGATGTTTTCTTGCTACTTAATTGAGTTTCCTGTGTATTTTAGATATTAACTCCCTCATAAGGTGTATGATTGGCAGGTATTTTGTTCTATTCTCTCGGTTGCCTCTTCATTCTGTTGATTGTTTCCTTTGCTGTGCAGAAGCTTTTCAGTGTGATGAAATCCCTTTTGTCTATTTCTGCTTTTGTTGCCTATGTCTTTGGGGTCCGATTAAAAAAAATCATTGCCCATAGCAATGCAATGGGGTTTTCCCCTTATGTTTTCTTCTACTGGTTTTTCAGTTTCAGGCCTTATGTTTAAGTCTTTAATCTATTTCTGGCTGATTTTTGTATCTGATGTGAGATCAAGGCCTAATTTCATTCTTTTGCGTGTGGGTATCCAGTTTTCTCTGAACTGTTTATTGAAGAGACTATTCTTTCCCCATTGTATATTCTTGGATTCTTTTTCAAAAATCAATTGACCATAAATGCATGGACTTATTTCTGGGTTTTTTATTCTGTTCCATTGGCTTATGTGTCTGTTTTTATACTAGCCATGCTGTTTTGATTACTATTGCTTTGTAGTATATTTTTAAATCAGGTAGGAAAATTTCTCCAGCTCAATTATTTTTACTCATGATCACCTTGGCTATTCTTATGCTAGGCTACTGCAGCAGGGACTGATGCAATCTAATCTGCAGTTGAGCTCAGTTTGGGTTTTGCTGTGGCTTTTGTTTAATTCAATTTGTCTCTGGCTTCAAATGAGTGTGGGATCAGGACTTCCTTTCAGCAGGACCCAGGTCTGAGTGCTGGTGAGAGTATACCAATCTCTCTGTGCTTCAGGAACATGTTTCTAGCTTTCAGAACTGGAGGAAGTCTTTCCTGGCTCTACCACCAACCTACCAACGTGTTGGGTTCTGAAGATTTCTCTTTGCTCTCTATTCCTGCTCACTGATTTCAGAGCCTAGAGACTTCAGTCCTGCTTCTTGCCTCTGAGTCTTCTATGGATGCAGCTATATCTACTATATAGGACTAGTATGCATTAGAGGGACACCTCATCATATCTAGTCTCAGCCCTTTGCTATAGCTTAAGTGACTTGTTTTGATCCTTTGGGTGCATTCTATGTCCACTGTGTAAGGGAACCCACTGACTTTCTTCTAAATACTGAAATTTATAGGTAAAATTGAAATACAATACAAAAAGTGTTGATAATTCTGCCTCAACTGATGTAGTAGGGTAGATTGATTACAACAATAGCTTTGATTCTCCATCCCTCCCTATATCTACAACCTTCATAATGTGACTTTGTAGCTCTTTTCATAAATAGTTGGAATCTATCTGTCTACTCCTTGAGTCTGGGTTTACCTTGTGTTTGAGTTGGCTTGGGCTGCCATAAAAAAATACCACAGACTAGGTGGTGGCTTAAACAACAGAAATTTGTTTTCTCACAGTTCTGGAGGCTAGAAGTCCAAGATCAAAATGTTGTCAGGTTTGGTTTCTCCTGAGGTCTCTCTCCTTGATTTACAGATGACACCTCATCTCTTTTTGTGTCCTGTTCAAAAAATTTTTTGCATATCCAAGGTCTTAAAAATATTCTTTTATTCCTAGAAATGTTATGGTTCTGGGTTTTATGTCTAAGTATATAATTCAACTTGAATTAATTTTTGTTGGGGGAAAAAGTATTATGGTTTCTTTTTTTCCTATAAAGAATTCAATTGTTTCATCAATAAAGACTGATAAAACAACAAAGGCCATGTGTCCTCACAGGGTCTCTCTCTCTCTCTCTCTCTCTGTGTGTGTGTGTGTGTGTGTGCGTGTGTGTGTACTTCTGGTATCTCTTCTTCTTTTTATAAGGACAGAGGTTATATTAGCTTAGGGCTCCACCCTTATGGCCTTTTAAAACCTTAATTACCTCTTTAAAGCCCCTATCTCCACATACAGTGACATTGGGGGTGTAGGGCTTCAACTTATGAATCTAAGGTGGGACAAAATTCAAACCATAAGATCTTATAAATTACAGGGGCTATTAGAACATGTTGGAAGTGACAGTGTGTCAGCTTTAAACCTCCCCCTCAGCAGATGTTGTACCTGTTACTTTCTTTTGGAGTCTGCCCAGCTGCCATGAGCTAGCCTGTTGAATGTAGAGATGACACAGGGTTCAGTGACTCCCTTTACTTTAGGCAACAGCCAACCAACCACGAGACATGTAAGGCTATCCTTGACCAGCCATTACCAGATGACCTTGCCAGCTGACTGTAGACATAAGATGAGATCACCCAAACTTTGCCCAGATCAATAGAACTTCCCTGCTTACCCATAGACTTATAAGCAATAATAAAAGTGTATTGTTTTAAACCGTTGAATATTAGGGGAGTTTGTTTCTTAGTAATAGGTAGCTGATACAACTGACAACTACCTACGTTTCCTTTCTGCAAAAGAAGATCATAGTCATAGTCTGCAACAGGACTAAGTGAATTTTGTGTAGTCCTGGCAAAGTCGTTCTGAGGCATCCATTCATCTGCATGTGATAAGAAGAAAACAGAATTACTTTGTTTTCAACAGCTTGCATTAGATTTCCACTTGGGAAGGAACTGTTTTTATTTGGAAAAATACAGTAGAAGCCTTCTTATCTGATATAATTAGAAGTAGTAGTTGGCTGGTTAATGTAGCAGAAAAATTAGAGTTTCCTGTTAGCCATGAGCTTTCAGCTTTCTGTAGAGAGCATTTAGTATGTTTTGTTGAAGAAATGGAGGGTTTTGGTTATTTTGATAAAGCAGATTTAGTAAATGTTGGTTAGGAGCATTGCTTCTGTAGCTTGTAACCTCTCTTTAAGGAATGAGAGGGCCTAGGTGGGTATCCTAAGAAGAAGAGACAGAACCATTATTATGTATGCAATTCTGAGTTCCAGGTCACAGATGGGGAAATAATGCCCCTCATTCACTCATTAATGCAAAAGATTTTACTGTATTTTTTCCAAACAAACAAGCATCTCTTAAGTTCTGTCTTGGGAGCTTAATGAAATTAGGGACTTTGTCATTCATGTTTATCCACTATGTATCCCAGTATATCAGTGCTTGTCAGAGACTAGGTACCATCTACTAGGTGAATTTAGAAGTAGAAGGGAGCTTACTTATATCATTTGGTTGAAGCATGGTAAAAATGAATCATGTAAAATCTGGCAGCAGAACTTCGTTGAGGAAGAGAACTACTGTTGTAGCACAATAGCTTAATATACAGACCAGTTGGGCTTGGAAAGTTGTGAGATGACAAGGAATAGTTTGGAAGGAGTCAGTGAACAAGGAGATTGTAAAAACATCCTCAGGAGAGAGTCATAATAATTTTGGAGTTATGGCTTGCGTGGAGCAAACAAAGGGGTAGGAGGAGGAAGAGGAGTGAAAACAGAGCCAAGTGAGGTAGTGCATGGGAAATTCTGTGGCAGGTAAAGAGACTGACTGAATTTCAAAACTGTGAGGTACTTTGCTGCTAAGTTTACGTCTGTGCTGAAACCCCCTTCATGGTAAAGGCTGCCACGCAGGTAGCCTGGGTTAAAGGATGAGGATTCTGGGTGAAGTGATGGAGATTAGTGAAAAAATGGGCAGACAGTGAGTTTATCCACAAACTAAATGGTCTCTCCTGAATATTGGGACTCTGAGTAAGAAACGATCCAGCGATTGTGACAACTCTTTCTGGACATCTTGAGGAGCTCCACAGAGATGGGAGATTAACACTGAGCTTTTCCATGGCATATGGTGTACGGCTTTGCCAGTTTCATTTGAATTTCAAAGGAGTGGGTGGCTCAGGAAGTTGATATTGGGATGATGTAGATATCATTTTAGATATTAAGAAAGAAGACCTTATCGGGGACTGGCCAGTGGATGGGCACAAGTTAATAGGAATAAGCACATCTTCTGGCAAAGGGAACTTTTTACCTCCACACCCTGCTTCGCACTAATATAACCAAGTAAGTCGTAGGGAGCACCCTGCCTTTAAATTACACTCAAAATCCATTTTGTAACTTTAAGTATATGTTTAAAAGAACTGCATATATTTGTTTCTTCTATGTTTGGAGGTCGTGATTGTAGCACCCTTAATTGAGAAAGCTCGTGTGAACATTGTTCTCTTTTATCTCTCCCATACTGAGATTTAGATAATGATAATTTTCAAACAATTATTTCTCAGCATGTTTTATGGCCAATATTGCACAATTATAATATTTTTATGTTAGAAAAGTTCTCCTTTTCCCACTTGAGTGTTACCCAATTTTCTTTCAATGTGAGTTTTGTAGCCTCGGTAAAATTTAGTCACTTAATTACCCTGGAGACAGGAAGGAGAAAGGTAAGCCTACTTTGGACACTTATGAAAGAAGTTTAGTCATTGAAGGACCTGGTTATAAAAGTTTGAAGCATGGACATCATACTGGAACAGGATCCCTAAGGTAAAACTTATTTATGTCTTATCCCCATAGTTCCATCTTTGGTATTTGTTTCTTGCCATAGGTGACTGCCTATCTTCAGGTGTTTTCTGATGAAGGAAGCTAAAAATCCTGGATAAATGCCAGACCTATACCTCTCTCCACCCCCAGATGTTGGGGCTGTACCTTTAATGTGGAGGATTGGGTATCTGGAAGAAAATCAAAAGTTCCTGATCATTGGAAGGAGGAATGGTACTCAAATTCTAGACCTCAGTACATTGGGGTTTAAATTCTGATTTCCCCACTTCTTAATTTCCCTCTACTCATTTGTTGTTATCTAACCCCGTTGAACTTTAACCCTCACATCCTTAAAATGATAATCAGACATACATTTATCAAGGAATTGTTTTTCTTTAAAAAAACAACCAACCAACCAGTTTCCTGTATTCCACTCTAGAGATTCTGATTTAATTGGCTTAGGCTGCAGTCTAGACATTGAAATTTTTACAAATCTCCCCAAGAGATTCTAAGGTGCAACAGAGAAATGGCAGGGAGGAGAGGAAAAAAGGAAAGAGGGGGAGGGGGAAGGGAGAAGGAGAGAGTGTGCTACCCATTAACTGTGTGTCTCCTAGGGCAAGTTACTTAACCTCCCTACTATAGTGTGAATGTATCCTGCAAAAGTTCATTTGTTGGAAACTTAATCATATTTTTAACAGTATTAAGAGGTGGGGCCTTTAGAAGGTGAGGGCCTTTAGGCCGTTAGGGCTTTACCCTCATGAGCAGATTAATGTCATTATCACCAGAGTAGGTTAATGATTTTGGGAGTGGGCTCCTAACAAAAGGGTAAGTCTGGCTGTTATTTTTTCTCTGTGTTGAGTGCTTGCTTCTGCTTTCCACTTTCTGCTTTCCACCCTTCTGCCACAAGATGTATCTTACCAGATGCAGGTGCCATGTCCTTGGACTTCCCATCCTCTAGAACCATAAACAAAATACACTTCTGTTCTTCATAAATGTTCTAGCCTGTGATATTCTGCTATAGCAGCAGAAAATAGACTAAGACACTCCCTCTTCTTCCATTCCTTTATCTGTGAAATGGGGATAATAATAGAACCTACTTAACAGATTTTTATAAGTATTAAGTTAACATAATTACAATACTTACATGCAGGACTAGTTTTAAATTGTATTAATAAATAATATTTTACATATTTATTGGGTATAAGTGAGTATCTTTCACACATATAGAATGTGTAGTGATCAAGCCAGGGTATTTGGGATATTCGTTACTTTGAGTATTTTTCATTTATATGCATTGGTAACATTTCAAGTCTTCTTCCAGCTACTTTCAAATATGCAATATACAGTTGCTAACAATGATCACCCTAGTAGCTATCAAACATTAGAACTTATTTCTTCTATCTAACTCTCGGTTTGTACCTATTCACCAATCTCTCTTCATTTCCCCCTCCCACCTTCACATACTTCCCACTCCAGTATCTATTATTTTACCTTCTATCTCTATGAGATCAAATTTTTTAGCTCTATCATGTGAGTGAGAACATGTGGTATTTTTCTTTCCAGAAGGACTAGTTAAGTATCTACTGTTACTATTAATGATTAAAATTATCATAAACAGATCATATACCCTCTTTCAGTAGTTTGGTGTAGCAAATGGGATTAAATTTATCTTTTTTCTAAAGCATTTTATTGAAGTAAAACATATACTCATAAACGTACACAAATCATAATTGTACTGCTTGACAAATATTCAGAGGTGGACACACCACTCAGATCAATACGGAAAATATTTCCTAGAAGATTTCCATGTTCCTTCTCCATCATCTTCCTCAAAGATCACCATTATTTTGACTTGTGCCACCATTCATTAGCTTTTCCTATTTTGGATTTTTGATAAATGGAGTCATATTTCATGCACCCTTTCATTTTTGTCTTCTTTTGTTCAACATTTTATCTACAGTATTTATCTGTAATTGTGTGTCTAACAGAAGTTTGCTCATTCTAATTGCTATGTAATATTCCATCTTATGACTATTACAATATGCTTATTTATTTATTATGCTGCTGGATAATTGGGTAAGCTCCAGTTTGGGGAAGCATTTGTGAAAAATGCTTCTATTAAATATTCTTTTCTCTTTCTTTCTTTCTTTCTTTCTTTCTTTCTTTCTTTCTTTCTTTCTTTCTTTCTCTCTCTCTCTCTCTCTCTCTCTTTCTTTCTTTCTTTCTTTCTTTTCTTTCTTTTCTTTCTTTCCCAGGCTGGAGTGCAGTGGCATGATCACAGCTCACTGCAATCTCAACGACCTGGGCTGGAGCAATCCTCCCACCTCAGCTTCCTGAGTACATGGGGCCACAGGCACATGCCACTACAACTGGCTAATTTTTAAATTTTTGTGGACATGGGGTCTCACTATGTTGCTCAGGCAGGTCTTGAACTCCTGACCTCAAACAATCCTCCCACGTCAGCCTCCCAAAGTGCTGGGATTACAGGTGTGACCCACCACACCTGGTCTATACATATTCTTATACAGATCTTTATCTCTATTATATTTATTTCAGTAAAGTCTACTTTGCTTGATATTAGTATAATGACATTGGCTTTGCTATGTCCTTGGGTATTTCTTACCATCCTTTTACTTTCAACTTTTCTATATTTTTATATTGATGTTCAGTGTCATATAAACCACATATAGCCAGTTATTTATTTTATTTTATTTTATTTTATTTTATTTTATTTTTTTATTATACTTTAAGTTCTAGGCTACATGTGCACAACGTGCAGGTTTGTTACATATGTGTACATGTTCCATGTTGGTGTG
The DNA here is from genome assembly GCF_000001405.40 of Homo sapiens. NCBI lineage: Eukaryota > Metazoa > Chordata > Mammalia > Primates > Hominidae > Homo > Homo sapiens. Next base: position 17,912,474 of record NC_000016.10, on the reverse strand, counting down.
TTGCACCCATTAACTCGTCATTTACATTAGGTAAATCTCCTAATGCTATTCCTCCCTCCTCCCCCAACCCCACAACAGGCCCCGGTATGTGATGTTCCCCTTCCTGTGTCCAAGTGTTCTCATTGTTCAATTCCCACCTATGAGTGAGACCATGAGCTGTTTGGTTTTTTGTCCTTGCGATAGTTTGCTGAGAATGATGGTTTCCAGCTTCATCCATGTCCCTACAAAGGATATGAACTCATCCTTTTTTGTGGCTGCATAGTATTCCATGGTGTATATGTGCCATATTTTCTTAATCCACTTAATCCAGTCTATCATTGTTGGACATTTGGGTTGGTTCCAAGTCTTTGCTATTGTGAATAGTGCCGCAATAAACATACGTGTGCATGTGTCTTTATAGCAGCATGATTTATAATCCTTTGGGTATATACCCAGTAATGGGATGGCTGGGTCAAATGGTATTTCTAGTTCTAGATCCCTGAGGAATCACCACACTGTCTTCCACAATGGTTGAACTAGTTTACAGTCCCACCAACTGTGTAAAAGTGTTCCTATTTCTCCACATCCTCTCCAGCACCTGTTGTTTCTTGACTTTTTACTGATTGCCATTCTAACTGGTGTGAGATGGTATCTCATTGTGGTTTGATTTGCATTCCTCTGATGGCCAGTGATGATGAGCATTTTTTCATTTGTCTTTTAGCTGCATAAATGTCTTCTTTTGAGAAGTGTCTGTTCATATCCTTTGCCACTTGTTGATTGGGTTGTTCATTTTTGTCTTGTAAATTTGTTTGAGTTCTTTGTAGATTCTGGATATTAGCCCTTTGTCAGATGAGTAGATTGCAAAAATTTTCTCCCATTCTGTAGGTTGCCTGTTCGCTCTGATGGTAGTTTCTTTTGCTGTGCAGAAGCTCCTTAGTTTAATTAGATCCCATTTGTCAATTTTGGCTTTTGTTGCCATTGCTTTTGGTGTTTTAGACATGAAGTCCTTGCCCATGCCTATGTCCTGAATGGTATTGCCTAGGTTTTCTTCTAGGGCTTTTATGGTTTTAGGTCTAACATTTAAGTCTTTAATCCATCTTGAATTAATTTTTGTATAAGGTGTAAGGAAGGGATCCAGTTTCAGCTTTCTACATATGGCTAGCCAGTTTTCCCAGCACCATTTGTTGAATAGGGAATCCTTTCCCCATTTCTTGTTTTTGTCAAGTTTGTCAAAGATCAGATAGTTGTAGATGTGTGGTATTATTTCTGAGGGCTCTGTTCTGTTCCATTGGTCTATATCTCTGTTTTGGTACCAGTACCACGCTGTTTTGGTTACTGTAGCCTTATAGTATAGTTTGAAGTCAGTAGCGTGATGCCTCCAGCTTTGTTCTTTTGGCTTAGGATTGACTTGGCAATGCGGGCTCTTTTTTGGTTCCATATGAACTTTAAAGTAGTTTTTTCCAATTCTGTGAAGAAAGTCATTGGTAGCTTGATGGGGATGGCATTGAACCTATAAATTACCTTGGGCAGTATGGCCATTTTCACGATATTGATTCTTCCTATCCATGAGCACGGAATGTTCCTCCATTTGTTTGTGTCCTCTTTTATTTTGTTGAGCAGTGGTTTGTGGTTCTCCTTGAACAGGTCCTTCACATCCCTTGTAAGTTGGATTCCTAGGTATTTCATTCTCTTTGAAGCAGTTTTGGATGGGGTTTCACTCATGATTTGGCTCTCTGTTTGTCTGTTATTGGTGTATAAGAATGCTTGTGATTTTTGCACATTGATTTTGTATCCTGAGACTTTGCTGAAGTTGCTTATCAGCTTAAAGAGATTTTGGGCTGAGACGATGGGGTTTTCTAGATACACAATCATGTCATCTGCAAACAGGGACAATTTGACTTCCTCTTTTCCTAATTGAATACCCTTTATTTCTTTCTCCTGCCTGATTCCCCTGGCCAGAACTTCCAACACTATGTTGAATAGGAGTGGTGAGAGAGGGCGTCCCTGTCTTGTGCCAGTTTTCAAAGGAAATGCTTCCAGTTTTTGCCCATTCAGTATGATATTGGCTGTGGGTTTGTCATAAATAGCTCTTATTATTTTGGGATACGTCCCATCAATACCTAATTTATTGAGAGTTTTTAGCATGAAGGGCTGTTGAATTTTGTCAAAGGCCTTTTCTGCATTTATTGAGATAATCGTGTGGTTTTTGTCTTTGGTTCTGTTTATATGCTGGATTACATTTATTGATTTGCGTATGTTGAACAAGCCTTGCATCCCAGGGATGAAGCCCACTTGATCATGGTAGATAAGCTTTTTGATGTGCTGCTGGATTCAGTTTGCCAGTATTTTATTGAGGATTTTTGCATCGATGTTCATCAGGGATATTGGTCTAAAATTCTCTTTTTTTGTTGTGTCTTTGCCAGGCTTTGCTATCAGGATGATGCTGGCCTCATAAAATGAGTTAGGGAGGATTCCCTCTTTTTCTATTGATTGGAATAGTTTCAGAAGGAATGGTACCAGCTCTTCCTTGTACCTCTGGTAGAATTCGGCTGTGAATCCGTCTGGTCCTGGACTTTTTTTGGTTGGTAGGCTATTAATTATTGCCTCAATTTCAGAGCCTGTTATTGGTCTATTCAGAGATTCAACTTCTTCCTGGTTTAGTCTTGGGAGGGTGTATGTGTCAAGGAATTTGTCAATTTCTTCTAGATTTTCTAGTTTATTTGCATAGAGGTGTTTATAGTATTCTCTGATGGTAGTTTGTATTTCTGTGGGATTGGTGGTGATATCCCCTTTATCATTTTTTACTGCGCTTATTTGATTCTTCTCTCTTTTCTTCTTCATTAGTCTTTCTAGCAGTCTATCAATTTTGTTGATCTGTTCAAAAAACCAGCTCCTGGATTCATTGATTTTTTGAAGGGTTTTTTGTGTCTCTATCTCCTTCAGTTCTGCTATGATCTTAGTTATTTCTTGCCTTCTGCTAGCTTTTGAATGTGTTTGTTCTTGCTTCTCTAGTTCTTTTAATTGTGATGTTAGGGTGTCAATTTTAGATCTGTCCTGCTTTCTCTTGTGGGCATTTAGTGCTATAAATTTCCCTCTACACACTGCTTTGAATGTGTCCCAGAGATTCTGGTATGTGGTGTCTTTGTTCTTATTGGTTTCAAAGAACATCTTTATTTCTGCCTTCATTTCATTATGTACCCAGTAGTCATTCAGGAGCAGGTTGTTCAGTTTCCATGTAGTTGAGTGGTTTTGAATGAGTTTCTTAATCCTGAGTTCTAGTTTGATTGCACTGTGGTCTGAGAGATAGTTTGTTATAATTTCTGTTCTTTTACATTTGCTGAGGAGTGCTTTACTTCCAACTGTGTGGTCAATTTTGGAATAAGTGTGGTGTGGTGCTGAGAAGAATGTATATTCTGTTGATTTGGGGTGGAGAGTTCTGTAGATGTCTATTAGGTTCGCTTGGTGCAGAGCTGAGTTCAATTCCTGGATATCCTTGTCAACTTTGTGTCTCATTGATCTGTCTAATGTTGACAGTGTGGTGTTAAAGTCTCCTGTTATTATTGTGTGGGAGGCTAAGTCTCTTTGTAGGTCTCTGAGGACTTGCTTTATGAATCTGGGTGCTCCTGTATTGGGTGCATATATATTTAGGATAGTTAGCTCTTCTTGTTGAATTGATCCCTTTACCATTATGTAATAGCCTTCTTTGTCTCTTTTGATCTTTGTTGGTTTAAAGTCCATTGTATCAGAGACTAGGATTGCAACCCCTGCCTTTTTTGTTTTCCATTTGCTTGGTAGATCTTCCTCCATCCCTTTATTTTGAGCCTATGTGTGTCTCTGCACGTGAGATGGGTTTCCTGAATACAGCACACTGATGGGTCTTGACTCTTTATCCAATTTGCCAGTCTGTGTCTTTTAATTGGAGCATTTAGCCCATTTACATTTAAGGTTAATATTGTTATGTGTGAATTTGATCCTGTCATTATGATGTTAGCTGGTTATTTTGCTCGTTAGTTGATGCAGTTTCTTCGTAGCCTCGATGGTCTTTACAATTTGGCATGTTTTTGCAGTGGCTGGTACCAGTTATTCCTTTCCATGTTTAGTGCTTCCTTCTCTTGTGGGGCAGGGCTGGTGTGACAAAATCTCTCAGCATTTGCTTGTCTGTAAAGTATTTTATTTCTCCTTCACTTATGAAGCTTCGTTTGGCTGGATATGAAATTCTGGGTTGAAAATTCTTTTCTTTAAGAATATTGAATATTGGCCCCCACTCTCTTCTGGCTTGCACAGTTTCTGCCAAGAGATCAGCTGTTAGTGTGATGGGCTTCCCTTTGTGGTAACCCAACATTTCGGTCTGGCTGCCCCTAACATTTTTTCCTCATTTCAACTTTGGTGAATCTGACAATTATGTGTCTTGGAGTTGCTCTTCTCGAGGAGTATCTTTGTGGCATTCTCTGTATTTCCTGAATTTGAATGTTGGCCTGCCTTGCTAGGTTGGGGAAGTTCTCCTGGAGAATATCCTGCAGAGTGTTTTCCAGCTTGGTTCCATTCTCCCGGTCACTTTCAGGTATACCAATCAGACGTAGCTTTGGTCTTTTCACATAGTCCCGTATTTCTTGGAGGCTTTGTTCGTTTCTTTTTATTCTTTTTTCTCTAAACTTCTCTTCTCGCCTCATTTCATTCATTTGATCTTCCATCACTGATACCCTTTCTTCCAGTTGATCGAATTGGCTACTGAAGCTTGTGCATTCGTCACGTAGTTCTCATGTCATGGTTTTCAGCTCCATCAGGTCCTTTAAGGACTTCTCTGCATTGGTTATTCTAGTTAGCGATTTGTCTAATCTTTTTTCAAGGTTTTTAACTTCTTTGCCATGGGTTCAAACTTCCTCCTTAGCTGGGAGAAGTTTGATCATCTGAAGCCTTCTTCTCTCAGCTCATCAAAGTCATGCAAAACAAAACACCAGCTTTGTTCCGTTGCTGGTGAGGAGCTGCATTGCTTTGGAGGAGGAGAGGCGCTCTGATTTTTAGTATTTTCAGTTTTTCTGCTCTGTTTTTTTCCCCATCTTTGTGGTTTTATCTACTATTGGTCTTTGTTAATGGTGATGTACAGATGGGGTTTTGGTGTGGATGACCTTTCTGTTTGTTAGTTTTACTTCTAACAGTCAGGATCCTCAGCTGCAGGTCTGTTGGAGTTTGCCGGAGGTCCACTCCAGAACCTGTTTGCCTGGGTATCAGCAGCGGAGGCTGCAGAGTAGCGAATATTGCTGAACAGAAAATGTTGCTGTCTGATCATTCCTCTGGAAGTTTTGTCTCAGACGGGTACCCGGCCATGTGAGGTGTCAGTCTGCCCCTACTGGGGGGTGCCTCCCAGTTAGGCTACTCGGGGGTCAGGGACCCTCTTGAGGAGGCAGGCTGTCCGTTCTCAGATCTCCAACTCCGTGCTGGAAGAACCACTGCTCTCTTCAAAGCTGTCAGACAGGGACATTTAAGTCTGCAGAGGTTTCTGCTGCCTTTTGTTCGGCTATGCCCTGCCCCCAGAGGTGGAGTCTACAGAGGCAGGCAGGTCTCCTTGAGCTGCGGTGGGCTCCACCCAGTTCGAGCCTCCCGGCCGCTTTGTTTACCTACTCAAGCCTCAGCAATGGCGGGCACCCCTCCCCCAGCTGCCGCCTTGCAGTTTGATCTCAGACTGCTGTGCTAGCAATGAGTGAGGCTCCGTGGGTGTGGGACCCTCCGAGCCAGGCACGGGATATAATGTCCTGGTGTGCCATTTGCTAAGACCATTGGAAAAGCATAGTATTAGGGTGGGAGTGACCCAATTTTCCAGGTGCCTTCTGTCACAGCTTTGCTTGGCTAGGAAAGGGAATTCCTTGACCCCTTGTGCTTCCCGGGTGAGGCGATGTCTCGCCCTGCTTCGGCTCACACTCAGTGGGCGGCACCCACTGTCCTGCGCCCACTGTCTGACAAGCCCCAGTGAGATGAACCCGGTACCTCAGTTGGAAATACAGAAATCACCCATCTTCTGCGTCGCTCATGCTGGGAGCTGTAGACTGGAGCTGTTCCTATTTGGCCATCTTGGATAAAACCCATAGCTTGTTATTTTTATCTAGGTTGAAAATCTCTTTTAATTGGATTACTTAATCCATTAACATTTATTGCTAGTTACCGAAATATTTATGGTAAAATGTGTCATCATACTTTCGTTTGTATTTTCTTTTGGATTAATAAATTATTTTTTATTCCATTTTGGCTAGTTTTTAACATGTTCATATACATTCTCTTATTTTCCTCTTAGGGGTTTCAGTAGATATTACAATATGCGTCATTGCCTTATTAAGGTCTACTTGATGTAACAATTTTTTCTTATTTCCCAGACAAAGCTAGAATGTTACAGGAGTTAACTTTTATTTAACATCTCCTATTTTTTATGTCATCATTGTTATATATTTCAATTCTAAAAATATAGTGAACACTGCCAGACAAATTGTGGATGTTTTGGTAGTCAATATTCATTTGGATTTACTTACATATTTGTCCTTTCCATTGCCTTTATTCCTTACTGTACTGCTTTTTTTTCCCTGTAGGATCACTGCTTCTGTGTTTATTTTTACTTAACATCCTTTAATATTTCTCTAGTACCAGTCTGCTGTAATTAAATATTTTAGTTTTTATTTATGTAAAATTATATTTATTCTACCTTCATTTTCATGTCGTGTATAGAACTTGCGGTTGATAGTTATTTTCTATCAGCCTTTTAAGAATATTATAGCACTGCCTCCTAGTTTCTGTCATTTTAATTGAGAAATCTGCTGTTAGTCTTATTGGTATCCCTTGGAAAATAATATAACCCTTTCTCTCTTCTGGCTGCTCTTTGCTGATTTTTCTATGTCTTTGGCCTGCAACAGCTTACCCAGATATTTTATTTTGTGTTCATTTTCTCTCAGTATTTATAGAGCTTCTTAAATCTGTGGATTGATCTTCCATCAGTTTTGGAAAAATTCCAGTCCTTATCTCTTTAAATATTTCTTTTCTATCTTTTCTGTTTTCTCGTTTTGAGATTCTTATTGCACATTCATTAAACTTTGCTATCATGTCCCTTGGGTCACACCCTTATCTGGTTTTCATTCCTCCCGCTCTCCCCATGCCTCAATCTGGATAGGTTCTACTTAGTTATCTGTTATTTCATTAATCTTCTTTGCTCTATCTTACCTTCTCTAAAAATCATTACTGAGTTCTACATTTGAGTATTGATGTTTTTCAATTTTAAAATTTCTATTTCCTTTTTTCTCTCTTCGGTGTTCTAATCCTATAATTCACGATCTCTTTCTCTGTTTTTGGAAATAATAATAATGGTTATTTTAAAATCCATGTATGATAACTCAATATCTGGATTCTTTCCAGGCTAGTTTCTATTGTTTGTGTTTTCTTAGGGTTTTTAGTCATTCTGCTGTTTCCCAGGATGCCTGATAATTTTTTTTTTTTTTTTTTGTAGAATGCTGGATATTTTGTATGAAAGATAGTAGAGGCTCTGGACAATATATCTTCCTCTACAGGGGATATATTTTATTTTCTGGCAGGCAGAAAGAGTATGAGCAGATTACCTTGCTTTAGCAGAAGCTTAGGCTTCAGTTTTTGTAAGTATTGGCTGTATTTCCAGCTTGTACATACTCCTAAAGTGTAACCCCTAATCCTAGGGCAATGCCCATTGACGTTTCAACTCAAAATCTGCCCTGCACCACCACCCTCTCCCACTTCTCCCTAACAAGCGTCCATTATCTTTGGTATCCTTTGACCTCCAAAGTTTATCTCTGCAAATCTAGCTTTGTAGCTTCTTGGCTCATGCTTTCTTCCTGTGTTCTCAGCATTTTTCTTGATGTGTATGTACATCGCCGAAGCTCCCAAATCCCTTGGGAGAGAATTGTATGTAGAATTTCAGGCTCACTTTTCAGAAATTCTCTTTTTTTCTCTGAAAACTTAGACCTTCATGTTCTGGATGCTTTGGGAGTCTTGAAGTTCATTGCTAAGACAGCTGCAAGTTCCAGGTTGCTGATTTCTATTTGGCCTCAATGCCATGCACGATGACTTGGCAAATGCCTCAAAGGGAAACACACTGGATAATAACACAGGGCTCACCTCAATAGCATCCTTATCTCTTCATGATCTTGCCTTATCCACTTCTGGCTGCCTTGGTTGCCCTTCAGTGGTTTCAAGCAGCCTTATTTTTTTTTCACCCAGATTTTATAGTTATTATTGGCAGAAGATTTAGTGTGATATAAGCCACTGTCCTAGGCAGAAATAGAAGTGAGGTCACATTCCCTTTATTAACTAAATTAAATATCTCTGAAACCTTATACTGTGAGAATATCTTTTTTCCTGTCCTGAGTCTATTCTCCTATGGTAACTTCTCATAATACAGGGGTGATTCTACTATTTAAGGAGGCGGGTCTGCTTACCATAATTATAGAGAGATAAAAACAAAAACCTTCCTCAGCTGAGGAATAATGTTGTTTTTGGATTTGGTAGTTTTTATTTTCAGATGGTTGCTCTTTTTTATTTTTTTAATTTTATTTATTATTTATTTATTTATTTATTTATTTATTTATTTATTTATTTATTGTTTTTTGAGATGGAGTCTTGCTCTGTCGCCCAGGCTGGAGTGCCGTGGCTCTATCTTGGCTCAATGCTAGCTCCATCTCCCGGGTTCACAACATTTTCCTGCGTCAGCCTCCCGAGTAGCTGGGACTACAGGTGCAAACCACCATGCCTGGCTAATTTTTTGTATTTTTAGTAGAGACAGGGTTTCAGTGTGTTAGCCAGGATGGTCTCGATCTCCTGACCTTGTGATCTGCCCACCTTGGCCTCCCAAAGTGCTGGGATTACAGGCATGAGCCACTGTGCCCGGCCCAGATGATTGCTCTTGAAACACAGGTCTCCAGCTGTGCTGGTATAATTCATAAACTCTTGCATAAAATCAGCCATGACCTGGGATTATACTACTGCCAAACCCAGTTACCCAGTTTATTTTCCCATTTGCGCAAACTATTGTTTGAATAGGTGGTGTCTCTAGGTGCAGGTCCTAGGTTTCCAAAACTCTTTAATACATAGATCTCACAATTTAGCTGTACGTATACAGATACACATACACAGGCACACCCTCCCCTCCGCCCCACTCCCCCACACACATACTATTCTCTCTCACTTCCCACCTTTCTTGCAATTGTTTTCTTAAGGCAAACCACAGTAGCGGGGTAGCTGGATCTGTTATAGAAGGATTTCCACCCTCAACCACACAAAGAACAAAGAAACTCTGCTCTTTTAGGCCGAAGACCAGCTCTGACCTATTTTGCAATGTATGACATCTTTCTAGAGAAATATTTCAACTCATTACATAACCTATTTAAGTTTGTTACTTTCCCCCTTATGGTTGAAGCTAACAGCTAAGCTGTTTTACGTTGTGCTTCCTCCACCGCACACCCCACCAACTTAACACTCTATCTTGGACACCTATGTTGAAATATAATATTGGGATGGCGCAAAGTCATTGCGTTTTTTGGCCATTAAAAGTTAGGGCGAAATCCGCAATTCTGTTTGCACCAACCTAATACATAGGTCTACCGTATTCTTGTGTGATATTTGCACAAATCAAGCAATTGAACTTAGTTTTCATTCTGCCCCTATCCACTTGGAAAAGCAAGTGTGTTTCTGTCTTAGCTCTAGCAATTTGTTTGACCATAAGAAACACATGTCTCTATCACCCAGGCCTGTTTGGAAATTTGAAGTTCTAGCGCTAAGAATAAACACATATCAGAGAGATAGTGCCATAAAGTGGGGGAAAGTACTGGATTTGAAGTCAAGAGATATTTGGTTGATTTTCCAGGTTTATATAATTACTAGTCAACATACCCAAAGGGTGACCTTGGACTTGAATTACTGAAGACCTGGTTTCACAGTCTATACAGTGAGGATGGTCTGCTAAACTCACTGCACTTATGTGAGAACCTAATATATAGGTCTGAAATATAACAGTTGGTAGTAGAAACTGAGAAGTGGGCAAAATAATTATATCAGGCTGGTCTTCATCTGCAGAGCTGTTAATCTGGTAGGCATCAATATGATTGTTAGGAAGAAGCCCAATTCTTGGAGCCAGAAGGCCTCAGTTCTAGCTATGAAACTAAGTAGCTGGATGGATGTTGGTGTCTCTCTGAGCTTTTATTTCCTCATCTGTAAATTTTTGATGATAATACCTGCCTCAGAGAGTTGTCATAAAGATCAAAATGACATGCCTGTAATCCCAGCACTTTGGGAGGCCAAGGCGGGCAGATCACGAGGTCAAGAAATCGAGACCATCCTGGCCAAGATGGTGAAACCCTGTCTCTACTAAAAATACAAAAATTAGCTGGGCGTGTTGGTGTGCACTTGTAGTCCCAGCTACTTGGGAGGCTGAGGCAGGAGAATCAGTTTAACCAGGGAGGTGGAGGTTGCAGTGAGCCGAGATTGTGCCACTGCACTCCAGCCTGGTGATAGAGTGAGACTCCATCTAAAAAAAGAAAAAATCAAAATGGAATAGAATCCAAGAAGGTGTTTTATAAACTCTAAAATTACAATGTTACAATGCAGATGAAAGAGATCATCCACAACTCCCCACTGTGTTCATGCCACAGAGAGAATAGGACCAAACTTGGTGAAAGGTCTTAAATTTCATTTTGATACCATGGTATAATTTCACAGGAAATCTTACCAGATTTTAAAGAAATACAATAAAATTCCTCATGTTCATAATTTTGCATTAGATTAGAATAATCATTTCAAGAGGCATTTTTCATGTTTGGGGGAAGTCTTGGGGTTCTTATAATGAATGAGATGGTTTCCTGTTTTTTGTTCTCTCACCTCAGAAAATATTGATAATTATAGCTATTTCCTGCTATGAAATGATATTGAGAGTATAGACAGACTCTGATAAAGCTGTGTTAGTCATAATAATAGCAGCATATCTGGATTCATATTATGTGTCAAGCATTGCTCTAAGAACTTTATATGGACTCATTTAATCCCCACAATTGTATAAAAGGTACTATTGTCCTTTTAAAGATGAGAAAACGGAGGCATCAAGAGGTTGAGTTGCCCAAATTCTGACTATTTGATGGTGCTTGAACTAGTGTTTAAAGGCCCATAGATTAATTCAGAGTCTATGTTTTTACAAACAGGATAACTGAGCTTGATTAAACAGAAGCATACACAAGGACTATCATAAGGGTGTAGGGTAGCTCATTGAAACCAAGGGGAAGAAAGTAGATAGACCTTGAGAAGAGGAATTAGAAACTGGAAACCCATTAAATCAGTCAGCCAACATGTCTGATTCTCAGTCTCTCTCTTATTTCCCTTATCGTCACTTCTTTTGGTAGGCTTACATCCTTCTCTCTCATTCTGTAAACCATCTATCTCAACTTTGATATCTATGAAATACGATATGGCTGTCTCACAATTTTAGGTATTATTGTTACCATTCCAGCAACTCTTAGAGATTTACTTATAGCTACAGTCCCAATTTTAAATATCTGAGAGAGACACCTACTTGGTCTAGTTTGCTGTCTACTCATTATCAGTCACCCTGAAGGATAGAGATGGGAGTGGAGTCTCACAGTATAAGTATCATTCCTGGAGACCTCATCATACATAAAGGTGGCGTGTGGGGGGTGGTGCTGGTCCAAGAGAAGGAAGCAACAGTGCGTTGGCTGGCAGGCACCTCCCTCAACACAAGGTGTCCATTCAATGGGATTTTTAGTGGCAACATTTTTTAAATGATTGACTTATTGTGTATAGTTCTGTGAATTTTAATAGATATATAGATTTGTGTAACCACTACCACAGTTAAGATACAGAGTAGCTTCTCCTCCCCCAAAAATTCTCTTATGCTATCCCTTTGTAATCACATCCCATTCCTCAATTCCCAGCAACCACTGATTTGTTCTTTATCTTCATAATTACAATGAAGGCTTTCTTGAGTGATTCCTGGGTCCCCTGTTTCTGGGTAGAGGTTCTTGGCCAAGATGAGGCTGAAAATTTTCTTACAGTTTCAGCCTTGGTGTATATCAACACACTCCTTCATGTGTTCCCCTAATATCAATTCATGAAAATTCATGAAATACAGTCATGACTTAACTATCCCCACCTTTGACATGCTTGAAATGTAGGAAAGGCAGTGTTCCTGGTTATTTAAGTGTTTAGAAATTCATTCATTCAGTCAATATTTATTGCATTGTGAGCCTATTATGTGCTTGATAATGTTCAAGGTGGGGGGAAACAGTATCACAAATGAGATCCGTGTCCTGGAAGCTTACATTATAGAGGATTCACAGTCTAACTTGGAAAAAATATATAACAAACATCAAGTCATGTATGTCACACAGAAACTAAAGTTTCCATGTTACTGAATGGTCTCCTATGGGTTTCCTCTTGGGTCATCTTCCCCAGGGCCTCAACTCTTTTTTTTTTTTTTTTTTTTTTTGAGATGGAGTTTCGCTCTTGTTGCCTAGGCTGGAGTTCAGTGGTGCCATCTCGGCTCACCACAACCTCCGCCTATTGGGTTCAAGGGATTCTCCTGCCTCAGTCTCCTGAGTAGCTGGGATTACAGACATGTGCCACCATGCCCGCCTAATTTTGTATTTTTAGTAGAGACAGGGTTTCTCCATGTTGGTCACGATGGTCTCGAACTCCTGACCTCAGGTGATCTGCCTGCCTCAGCCTCCCAAAGTGCTATGATTACAGGTGTGAGCCACTGCTCCCGGCCTCAGTTCTTGGTATTGTGTTTATTCCTTCCAAAATTCAAGGTGGGTACTCAACATTTCACTCAGATCCCTGGCTTATGGTAAAGAAAAACTGTCCCAAATCTGGTTTGATACAGAAGTTTTTTCATGCTGTAATTCATAACCTCCTACTAGGAAGGAAATTAAGATTTGTGATAAAATGCTTAAGCAGTTTTATATCAAACTTTAATGAGATTATGACCTCTTCTGGGAAACTACCTACCCAGCTACTTAGCTGACTGTCAGTCAAGGGTCTAATGATCTTCTTAACCAGGCATTCTTTTTACATGTATTCAGTCTAACAGTGATTATCTCATTCTTCTCTTTTTCCAGAAAATGTCCCTTCCAAGGTCAGCAAAGTCTCTTGCCTTTGCCACAAATTTGAAATACATTGTTGATTCATGCTCATAATTAAATTATCTGATAGGATAGTTAAATTTTTTTTGAAATCTGCTCATTCTCAGAGCCTTTTATCAAAAAGAAAAGAGATGAGATACAGACTATAGTTATGCGAATTGTTACCATTGGGAAAAAGTGGTGAAGGATATATGGGATTTCTCTGTATTTCTTACAACTGCATGTGAATCTACAATTAACTCAAAAAATTTTAAAAAAGAAAAGAAATTCCATCTTTGCTTTGTTCTTCTGCATCCATTTTCTCTGTACTTCCATGGCATTTTTCTTAGCTGCCCAGAGAGACTCTTCCACTTTTCATTAGGGCCCTTATTCCTGTCGGTCCTCCTCCTTCCTATCTATCTCTGCCATATTCTCTTACATATTGTAACTATGTTATATACTCGTCTCTATGCTTGTATTATCCCATTATTAAGCTTTGGGGCCATAAAAGATCAAAGTTGTGCTTTGTGCCTTTTTATCTCTTGATATGGTTTGGTTGTGTCCCCACTCAAATCCCATCTTGAATTGTAGTTCCCATAATTCCCATGTGTCACAGGAGGGACCAGTGGAAGGTAACTGAATCATGGGGAGGGGCTTTTCCAGTGCTGTTCTCGTGATAGTGAATAAGTCTCATGAGATCTGATGGTTTTATAAAGGGCAGTTCCCCTGCACATGCTCTCTTGCCTGCCACTATATAAGATGTGCCTTTGTTCCTCCTCCACTTTCCACCGTGATTGTGAGGCCTCCCCAGCCATGTGGAACTGTGAGTTCATTAAACCTCTTTCCTTTATAAATTACCCAGTCTTGGATATGTCTTTATTAGCAAAATGAGAGCAGACTAAAACATCTTTTCAAAACAGGGGGGATGTGGGGATGGTTAATGGGTATCAAAAAAAGAATAAGATCTAATATTTGATAGGACAACAGAGTAACTACAATAGTAATTTAATTGTACATTTAAAAACAAAGAACTTGGCCGAGCGCAGTGGCTCATGCCTGTAATCCCAGCACTTTGGGAGGCTAAGGTAGGCAGATCACAAGGTCAAGAGATTGAGACCATCCTGACCAGCATGGTGAAGCCCCGTCTCTACAAAAAATACAAAAAAAAAAAAAATTGCTGGGTGTGGTGGCATGCGCCTGTAGTCCCAGCTATTCAGGAGGCTGAGGCAGAAGAATCGCTCGAACCCGGGAGGCAGAGGTTGCAGTAAGCCGAGATCGCGCCACTGTAGTCCAGCCTGGGTGACACAGTGAGACTCCACCTCATTAAAAATAAAAATATAGAACCTAATTGGATTGTTTGTAACACAAATGATAAATGCTTGAGGATGTGATTATTACACATTGTATGCTTGTATCAAAATATCCCCTATACCCTATAAGTATATACACCTACTATGTACCCCCAAAATTAAACCCAAAAAGGAGGTGTTCATGAAATAATAGTTGAATTGAATTAAACTTTTAAATACCAAACACCTGTGATATCTGTACCTCTAAGCTAACATCTAAGGAAGGGGAATCAGGTGGGCCTGGAGCATCCCCTGGTTGCTTTTTGATGAGGAGAGTGGATTAGTGCTTCTCAGTCTTGACCATATATTCAATTCCCTTGGTGGCTTTTAAGAAATACCAATTTCAGCCGGGCCTGGTGTCTCACACCTGTAATCCCAGCACTTTGGGAGACCGAGGCAGGTGGATCATGAGGTCAAGAGATCGAGACCATCCTGGCCAACCTGGTGAAACCCTGTCTCTACTAAAAATACAAAAATTAGTTGGGTGTGGTGGCGGGTGCCTGTAGTCCCAGCTACTCGGGAGGCTGAGGCAGGAGAATCGCTTGAATGTGGGAGGTGGAGGTTGCAGTAAGCTGAGATCATGCCGCTGCATTCTAGCTTGGCAACAGAGCGAGACACGGTCTCAAAAAAAAAAGAAATACCAGTGTCAAGGCCCCACCCCTAGCAGTTCTAATTTAATCCATTGAAGGTGGGGCACAGGCATTAGTATTTTTGTAAATTATCTGGTTTTTATAAGTCTAGTTTGTGGGCAGGTTTGGGAACCACTGGTCTAGAACAATAATTTCCAAAATTGTTTTTCTTTTTCTTCCCTATACGCTTGAGTGAGAAAACACACTTCCAATCACTAAAGGTGACTGGCCACCGTAAGGCTTTTCATCCAGCAGTAGCGGGTGGGAGTAGCTAAGAAACAGGTGGGTAGTTTGAAAAAAAAACTCCCTAGGGATTCCAATATATCCTTCTAGGAAGGTACTCATTTACTTCCTGACCACGTCCCCTACTACTGTGAGCGTTTCTGAAACACTTATTTATTTATTCCACAAGTACTGACCTATCTCCTCTCTTTACAATGGGCACCACTGTATAAGGTTAGGAGCACAGACTCTGATGTCAGTGTATGGGTTCGAATCCTGTCTCTACCACTTAGTAGCAGAGTCAGCCTGTTACTGCAGTTCCCTATGCCTCAGTTTCCTCATTTGTAAACTGTAACAGTAATAAAATCCATCTTGTAGGATTCTTGTGAGAATTCAATGACAATTCATGGAAGGCTTTTAGACTATAATGGGCTTATCATAATTACGTAATATATGTCAACTGTTATCTTCCTTTCTCCTTTTTCTTTTTCCTCTTCTTCCTCTTCAGCATCTTTCTCCTTCTCCTCTTCATTATTATTATTATTCTAGGCATCATGCTAAGTGCTGTAGCATTGAGTCAGACAGACTGAACTCTTGCCCTCATGGAGTCCACTGGGGAAGCAGGTGTTAAATGAGTGACAGCACACAGCATCATTACATGTCAATATCCAATAATCTTTGTACCAAACAATGGCATGAAAAGTTTAATTCTCCAAGTGCCACCTTACACAACCCATTGTCATCCTTGCAGTGATTGTGAGAAAAACATCCTGCATGAGACAGTTGGTTTCCATGGAACTTGAAAGTTTGCAGGTTGGTAGCATTCCATTGTACTTCTCCAAAAGAGACTTTCAGACATTCAGCCTTTCCCAGTCTGGGCTGGGCCAGCTTGACCAGACACCCAGCTGAACTCCCTTCTGTAAATGCAAGCTGGAGGCCACACTGCTGTGTCTACTTTCTATCCTTAGCCCAGCACAGCATGCTGTACCATTAAACCACTGCGCTTCCTCCCCAGCAAAGTCCCTTGGAATGCTGGGGTGTGATCCGTTGGCACATAAATTGAAGTTGCTGTTCCTTTGTCATGAGGCGAAGGGTGGGAACATTTGGGATGCTGTGGAACCGACATCCAGCCTGTTTCATTCTTCGTAAGCGTGGCACAGTGTTAAATTTTTCAGAGAGCCGTGCCTCTGTGCAGTCAACTTGGATTTCTCTATCTGAATTGATTGAGAGTGTAGAATCACAGAAGGTGATTAACATAAATTTCAACTTCTATTTCTGCCTGTTGTTGCTTCATAAGTTGAATGGAAACTTGTTTTTTTTTAATACCCACTCAAACTGCTTGGTTTTGAATCCCAACTGTGCTATTTGCTGGGGTGGTCCTGGCTCTGCGAATCTCAATTTTCTTATCTGTAAAATGACCATAATGATGGTATCTATTGCAGCGGTTGTTTGTAGGACTAACTGAATTAATTAATATAAGTACTTTTTTTTTTTTTGAGATGGAGTCTTACTCTCTCTCCCAGGCTAGAGTGCAGTGTTATGATCTCGGCTCACTGCAACCTCCGTCTCCCAGGTTCAAGCAATTCTCCTGTCTCAGCCTCTCAAGTAGCTGGGATTACAGTTGCGTGCCACCACACCCAGCTAATTTTGTATTTTTTTTAGTAGAGATGGGCTTTCATCATGTTGGCCAGGCTGGTCTCGAACTCCTGACCTCGTGATCTGCCCACCTCAGCCTCCAAAGTGCTAGGATTACAGTTGTAAGCCACCACCCCTGGTCCAGAGTGACTTTTCAAAAATGCTAAACTACTGCCAGGCCACTCGCTTAGGGTCCCTCAGTGGCTCCCCATTGTTCTTAGGCCAGAGCCAAGTCCTGACCATGGCCCTGCATGCATGTCCCAGCACTGTGTTGTGCTCCAGGCAACAGTGCAGCATGTGCAAAGGCTTCTAACAACCTTTCCAGCACCTTCATTCGCTTCTCCTCTTCTCTCCTAGCTCCAACCACACCAGGTTACACTGTTGCTCCTGACTTAGAGCCTTGGCATATGCCATAGTCTTTGCCTGGAACACATTTTCATTCTCCACCCCATTTGTTAAGTGGTTCTCATCTGTTAGTGTTTAGCTTAAATGCTACTTCCTCAAGAAAACCTCTGATTGTCTGGATTAGAGTGAGTTCCCCTGACACTCACATGCAAAGTGCCCTGTAGTTATCCTTTGAAGCGTTTGTCATGATTGTAATTGAGTATCTAACTGTATAATGCTATGTTTGATCTCCTTCACCAGCACGGAAACCTTACAAAACCAGACACTATGTCTTTCTTATTCTTCACATGTTAATTTCCAGCCCCTTGTGCAGAGTAGGTGTTAGATAAATATTTGTTGAATGAATACATAAACTTCAGGGGCAGATTTAATTTTTCTCCCCTACAATAGGCTGTGATCTAATTGGTAAGTTGTATTCTCTTAAAGCAGGATTCCAAATGTACCCACTATTTAAGCAGGCTTACTTCCATTACCATATATATTTTGGGGGAAATCCCATTAAATCAGGCCATGCATCTTAGTCACTAAATGTGCTCATCATTACCCAGTTCTGAAAAACAGACTTGTGTGCAATGGCCATTCCAGCTGAATCCCTGCTTCAGGCAAGCGTCTCCAATACGATTATCTTGCTTTAATATGTACGCAAAATCTGCCTCTAACAAATTGCTTTAATAATCACTATCTCCAGCAGAACAAACCTGTAAAGGAGGCATTGCATTTTTCCTTGGCTAGAGACATAAAATAGATAAATGCCATGATTGGAAGAGGTAGAAATTGGGTGACACTGGCTGTTCTTTCTTTTCAGAATTTGCCTTGGTTGAATCCTTTTCTCTTTTTAGGTGACAAAACTCATTTCTTTTGTATCCCATTTCTTGGAACACCTGATAGTAGCCTTGGCCTCCAAAATACATAGGCACAATGAGCTCATTTATCTTCCCTTCTAACTCTCCCCCTCACCATTGTTGCAGTCACACTTCGGTGCTCTGACTGCCAAGAGCAGATTCATCAATGACTGTAAGTAGGGGTGCTAATATCCACATCATTCACTCCATTGTGATGGTTGAAAAATGCCATTAGCTTGGGAGGCATCATTCTGGGTGGATGCTCAGTGGAACCAACTCATGATTCTTTGTCATTTCTGGTCAAATTTCAGAAGAGAGGCTTCGAGTGGACCTGGTGGGATAAAAACAGACAGATCTGGAAAGACCAGGAGTAGATAATGCCAGCTTTGTTCAGCCTCAGTCACATCTAGAAAGTTTGCTTGTCTTGGCCACTTGAGTCTTGAAAATGAACTGGGAATGTGCCTTCTTAGAGGGAGGCAGGGATATCTGATATTTACTCTTCTTATTGAGGATTAAACAGTCACAAAAATAACATATTTAAGGAACACTTATTAGACATCATGAGCTAAGTGCATTTTACATCATTATCACATGCAGTTCTCAAATCGGTCCCATGAGGTAGGCTTTATTATCAACTGCATTTTACAGAAAAGGAGTCTAAGGCTCAGACTGGTTCAGGACCTTTTCCATGGACACATTCTAGTGAGTGGGAGTGGCAAATTTTTGGTCCATATATGAGGAGCTTTAAATCCACGCTGGTAAGCACTGTTTCTTGCCTTTACTTAGGAAAGGATTATAAAGATGCCAACTAATAAATCAATCTCGTCTATTCAGGGAAGGACGATGTTTTGACTTCCACAATCCCCTTTCTCTAAAGAAAGCTACAGCTGGGAGATAAAAGAACCTCCTTCCCTAGAGTAATATCCTGTTTTCTATCAGCTAAAAGAATGGAGCCAGAGGGATGGTATCCAGAGCTAAAAACCTCTTCAGTTCCTCGTGAACTGCAGAACTTGTTAAATCACAAGCTGAGGGTAGCTTTCTCTCTCTGGAATTCAAGGTTGGGTTCATGAGCTATAGAAACGAATAAAAGTCAACAGCCTCTCTCGTGGAACTGATTATTGGAAGGTTTTTTTTTTTTTCTTGCTTAACACTGTTGGATATAATGCAAAACTCTAAAAGTTTATCTCGGTAAATATAAGCTGGCTCTTTCCATCTAAGGGGATTCATTTAAAAAATACTATAGAGCTGAGTCTGCATGGTCCTAGACCCTCTGATGGCAAAGTCACCATTAGCAAAAACTGCTGGAAAAAAAAGGAAGCCTGGACTGTGTTTTATGTTAAATTAGCCATCAGAGGGACTGTACTTGAAATTCAAGCCAAGTGCATTACCAAATGTAGAGCTAAATAATTCAAATATGTACACCCTTAATGAAAATCAGTTTTCTTGACTTGGGCTTCCTTCATAGAATGGAAACAGAGAACATAATTTTTTTAAAGTATTTGCTATCCTTTAATCACTAGACAATTCACTTAAGCATAAAGCCTTTAGGAGTTGCAAAGGGAAAATACTGGTCTCTTATGAGTAGCAATGCCTCGCACATGGTCTGAAATAACATCAATGTGGGTGATAGATAACTGCCTAATGCATAAAGAGAGTTTATTGGTTCACACACTGAACTAGTCAAGGGCTAGACTGAGTTCCCAGTGTAATGTGATTCTGGGCTGAAGTGAAGAATCAGACCCAATCTCTCTCCATCTCTCTTCTCTGTTTTTCTCTGTGTTGGCTCTAATAAGTCTGCCAGAAAAGACAACTATATGATCTTGTGGTATGCTTTTCAAAGTCCTGAGATTGCAACCCATTGGTCCTAATTGTACCATGTGCCCAGACCTGAACTAATAGTAGCCAGATAGACATGATGGCTAGGCTTATATCACATGCCCATTCCTGGAGCTATATTCTCTGAAGACTATGGACAGAGTGAGAAGGAGAGCGTGTATTCCTGGAAAAAAATAAAATACTATTTCCAGAAGAGAGGAAATGAATACTGGGTGGTAAAAATGAATAAAACATCAACAAAAGCAAAAAAGTCCATTTGAACAGGGTAAGAGAGGGCTATGCTTACAAATAATGGGATGTTTGGATCTGAAGAGACCATCCAGGAATTTTGGTCTCCACCCAGGAATGTCTCATGTATGTAGACAGGGAATCCTGAAGAATTCACGTATGAAAATCTATTAGAACTAATCAGTGAGTTCAGCAAGGTTGCAGGATATAAGAACAATATACAAAAACCGATTGTGTTTCCATATACTAGCAATGAACAATCCAAAAGGAAAGGAAGAAAACAATTCCATTTACAAAAGCATCAAAAATAATAAAAAAAACTCAGGGTTAAATTTAATAAGGGAAGTACAAAACGTATACAGTGAAAACTACAAACATCATTGAAATAAAAGAGACCTAAATAAATAGAAATATATCTCATGTTCAATGACTGGGAGACTTAAGATGACAATATTTCCTAACTGATCTACATGTTCTGAGCAATCCTAAAATCCCAGCAGAATTTGACAAACTCCTCCTAAAATTGATAGGAAAGTGCAAGGGACCCAGAATAGCCAAAAAATTCTTGAGGAAAAAAGACTTGGAAGATTCATGCTTCCTCCTTTTAAAATTTACTACAAAGCTACAGTAATCAAGGCAGTGTGGTATTGGCATAAGGATAGATATATAGATCCATGGAAGAAAACTGAGAGTCTAGAAATTAACCCTTACATTTTCTACAAGGGTACCAAGATAACTCAAAGAAAAAAAAAGAAGTCTTTTCAGCAAATGGTGCTGGGACAACTGGATATCCATATGCAAAAGAAAGAAGTTAGATTCCTCCCTAACAATATGTGCAAAAACTAACTCAAAATAAATTATAGACCTAAACCTAAGAGTTAAATTACAAAACTCTTAGAAGAAAATATGGGAATAAATCTTCAGGGCCTTGGATAAGGCAATAGTTTTTTAGATATGACAGCAAAAGTATGAACAACAACAAAAATCCAGATGAATTTGACTTAATTAAAATTAAAAATGTATACGTTTCAAAGTTAAACTATCAAGAAAGTTAAAAGACAGCTCACAAGATGGAAAAATATATTTGCAAGTAATATACCTGATAAGGGATTTGTGTCTGGAATTAAAAACTCCTATAACTCAACAGTAAAAGACAAATAACCCAGTTGAAAATGGGAAAATAATTTGAATAGACATTTCTCCAAAGAAGATACACAAATGGCCAGTAAGCACATGAAAAGATGCTCAATATCTTAAGTCATTGGGGAAATGCAATTCAAAATCACAATAAGATACCACTTCATACCTGCCAGGATGGCTATAATAAACAAGACAGTGTTGGAAAATGATAATGTGGGAAAGGATGTGGGAAACTTAGAACCCTCATACGTTGCTGGTGAGAACATAAAATGATGCAGATATTGTAAAAACCACTTTGGCAGTTCCTTAAAAGTTAAATATAGAGTTGCCATATAACCCAGAAATTCCACTCATAGATATATACCCACAAAAATTGAAAACATATGTCCATGTAAAAACTTGTACATGAATGTTCACGGCACATTACCCATGTTAGCAAAAAAAAGTGGAAGCAACTCGAGTGTTTATCCATTGATGAATAAATAAACAAAATGTGGTGTATCCATACACTGGAATATTACTTAGCCCTAAAAAGGATTTAAGTACTGATTCATGCTACAGCTTATATGGACCTTGAAAGCATTATGCTAAGTAAAAGAAGCCAGACACAAAAAAAGAAGCAGCCAGACACAGATATTTCATATAAATGGAATCATGTGAAATACTCAGAATATGAACTCTGTAGAGACAAAAAACAGATTAGTGCTTGCCAGAAGTGGGGTTAGGGGAATGGGAAGTAACTGCTAATGGACACAGGGTTTCTTCGAGGGGTGATGACAACATTCTGGAATTAGATATTGGGGATGATGACATAATTCTGTGACTATAGTAAAAACCATTGAATTGCATACTTTAAAAGAGTGAGAGCCAGGCGCTGTGGCTCATGCCTGTAATCCCAGCACTTTGAGAGGCCAAGGCGGGTGGATTACCTGAGATCAGGAGTTCGAGACCAGTCTAGCCAACATGGTGAAACTCCATCTCTACTAAAAATACAAAACTTAGTTGGGCATAGTGGCAGGTGCCTGTAGTCCCAGTTACGAGTGGGAGGCTGAGGCTGGAGAATTGCTTGAACCCAGGAGTCAGAGGTTGCAGTGAGCCAAGATCGTGCCGTTGCACTCCAGGCTGGGGAAGAGGGGCAAAACTCTGTCTCAAACAAAACAAAAAAAATCCACAATTGTTTAATATGTGAATTAAAGTTTAGTAAAGCTGTTATAAAAAAAGGCATATTTAGAGGAGAATCTGATTAGTTCAGTGCTGATTAAAACAATAAATTAAAACAAGATGCACAGACAGAGCTTGGAGTCAAATCCTGTCTTCGTTTCTGAGGCTCAATTATGTCATCTGCAAAATGGGAGGAGGGAGGGTAAATATCAACACCCACAGAGTATTTGTGATGATTAAATGAGATAATGTATATATAGTTCCCAGAACATAACAAGTGACTCAAAAATTGAATCTAACAATAAGGCAAGGCAGGATTCATAACTTTGATAAAGAAAGGTTTACCGATTTCAGAAACGTGATTTGGGGAGACACTGAGTGTTTTGGGTGATAGGTGGCTCCTGGCCTTGAGTACGTTACAGTGGACAGAGCCGAGGGAGCAGCAGCTTCCTCCTGCTGATCCCCAGCCCCTGTTTCTCTGGGCTTGTGTGCAGTCAAAGCTATAATAGGATCAACAGGAAGGAAGGACAAATTCCTTGAGCGTTGTAGGGGAATCTGGTCACTGGTTATAGGGCTGAGTCCAAGAAGTGAATCCACAGCCACGGGTCTGTCTTCCTGCCCTTTCTTCTCAGGGGTCTCTCTCACTTCACAGCAAAGATGGCTTCCTTGCACAGCTCATTGGGGGAAAATCAGAGGCTTCACATCCCCTGGATCCTATGCACCACTCAGCCCAGACACAGCTTAGACCTGGAACTGTGGGCTCTGCAGAGATGAGGAAGTTCAGGCAAGTGCAAGGTCAGAAAAGGCAAAGGAGAAGAAAGGCCATCTAGTCTGGATGGTTCCACCCCCAAGCCCATATCTGTACACCGATATTGACTTGACATTTACTATCATTCTCTTACTGATTAATTTAATGGTAACTTTTAGGGGAAGGCATGGTGTAGAAAGAGAGATACTATTAAATATGAGCAATTTTATTTTACTCATCAAAAATAGCTTTAGTTTGTCTTTAAAACTGAATTGTTTTCTTTTCTTTCTTTTTTTCTTTTCTTTTTTTTTTTTTTTTTGAGACAGGGTCTTGCTCTGTAGCCCTGGCTGGAGTGCAGTGGTGCCATCATAGCTCACTGCAGCCTGGAACTCTGGAGCTCAAGTAATCCTCCTGCTTCAGCCTTCTGAGTAGCTAGGAGTACAGGTGCATGCCACAACACTCGGCTATTTTGAAAATTTTTGTAGAGGCAGGGTCTTGCTCTGTTGCCCAGGCTGGTCTCAAATTCCTGGCCTTGGCCGGGTGTGGTGGCTCACACCTGTAATCCCAGCACTTGGGAGGCCAAGGCGGGTGGATCACCTGAGGTCAGGAGTTCAAGACCAGCCTGACCAGCCTGGTGAAACCTCATCTCTACTAAATACAAAAAAAATTAGCCACGTGTGGTGGTGCATGCCTGTAATCCCAGCTACTTGGGAGGCTGAGGCAGGAGAATTGCTTGAACCTGGGAGGCGGAGGTTGCAGTGAGCCAAGATTGCACCACTGCACTCTAGCCTGGGTGAAAGAGTGAGACTCTGTCTCAAAAAAAAAAAAAAAAATTCCTGGCCTCAAGCAGTTCTCCTGCCTCAGCCTCCTAAAGTGCTGAGATTACAGGCATGAACCACACACCTGGCCTTGACTCTGTTGTTTTTTCTCTCTCTCTGTCTCTCTTAAAGTCACAATTCTGAGTCAAGGCTCTTCTGAATGGCGTTGGCCTGCAGAGGTTCCTGCAGAGTCATTTCGATGAGCTGCTCTTTATCATGACTCATGCTCCTTGACCTCTCTCATGTTCTTAGTATGGATAATATAATTTTGAGTCAAATGAAAGAATATTGGGTTTTCATCTGCAGTTTCTACTCAGTGAAACTCTCAATCCTTTAATTGAATTAGATGCCACAGAAGTTAAAGGGCTTCTCTGAAAAGTCACCGGAAGCCTCATGATGAATAGATGTGCAGCCCCGAACTAGTCCTTCATGGCCCGTGAATCAATTAACACCAATCTCTCCTGGCTTAAAAAATTTCATGATTTATTAGGCTGTGATATTTGGTGATGTTAGCACATGCTCTGCAAGTGACAAGGTAAAACTTACCTTCTTTGCATTTCTCTGTGGCTTCCCTTGTGGTCTTCTGACTTTTTTTTTTTGTTACTTAGGGTGTAAACATTCTTTTTACATATAGGAGATGCATCCTTTGTGTATCTAGTAGGAAGTACTTTCTTGATTGACAGAAGCCAAAGAGAGCAAATATTCCTTTTTTGCTACCTCCTGGCACCTGGAGGGTAGTTACATAATGTAGGCTTGGTCAATCGGAAGCTCATGCCTAGGACTTTGCATCTTGAGGATTTAGTCATGAAAGCATCAAGCATCTGGTGGCACTGGTGGTGTTGAGAGCCCAGCAGGCTCTGAGCGTCCCAAAGTGGCTTTGTCAGTGATCGCACCCTTGACAGAATATCCTGCAAAGTGGCCTTGGCCGGGCATTGCACGGCTAGACCTCTCTGGGTTTTGCTTATTTTCTAAGTCTAGGTTCACTGAAAAATCATTGCTATGAAGCAGATTGATAAATAGGAGAAAAGGCATACAAATATACTTAATGTGTGTATATAGGAGCCCTAAGAATGAAGACCCAAAGAGTCAAGGGAAATTGTCTATTTTCATGCTTATGTCCAACAATGTATGGACAGCCATGTAGAAATAGGATGGGACAAAAAGGGTCTGATCAAATGCTGACAGATGGAGTGGGGAAACCCAGCAAGGCCTGTCTGTCTAGATTCTTCATAGTCTCTCTGAGCATGTATTCCTTCCTCTGCATGCGGGGCAGGGTCCTCTCTGGAAGTGGGGCGGGGTGGGGGATCCTGTGACCCACAATCAAACAAGGTAGGTGAGGTAATTTGTTTATGACCAGTTTTTTTTTTTGGTGCAATCTCGGCTCACTGCACCCTCTGTCTCCCGGGTTCAAGCAATTCTCCTGCCTCAGCCTCCTGAGTAGTTGGGATTACAGGTGCACGCCACCATGCCTGGTTTTTTTTTTTTTTTTCTTTTTGTATTTTTAGTACAGATGGGATTTCACCATGTTGGCCAGGCTGGTCTCCAACTCCTGACCTCATGTGTTCCACCCGTCTTGACCTCCCAAGTGCTGGGATTACAGGCGTGAGCCAGTGCACCCAGCATGGCCAGTTTTTACATAGAATATTTTTAGGTTTTAAGGTTGGCTTTGGGGAAAAGGGATTCTAGTTTCTTTGACCCATCCTTGGGGAAGAGGGATTCTGGTTTCTATGGCTAGCCTTGGGGGAGAATGAGACAGACAGACAGGAGGGCAGGAGAATGTCAGAGAAAACACAGGCTGCTTCTGAGGCCTTCATGTTGGGGTAATGTTTTTCTGAGCCCCAGTAATGATTGCCTGCTTTGCTGTTAATATGCATGAGCTTCTCATGATCTTTTGCTACCTAAGTAGGCCAGAGTTGATTTCTATTTGCTTTAAGAGTGTGTGAGATTTGTCTTAATCAGGTATGGAAGGAAACACAGACGTGGAAGTTTTTACTGACAGTTCTCTAGAAACAGGAGGCACTCCATGCCACACAGGACTTTAAGGGGGAGCCCCAGGGGTGGGTAGGATGTAGAGGGAGAGAAGGAAGGACATGGGCAAGAGACTTGACTGTGGTTTCTGCTGGAAGAAATGAGTTAGACAGGATAAGCTGCTTTAGGATTGGCTAGTTGGCATAATTTCAGCAAACCCTGGGGTGTAGGGGCTGTCTCTAGTTGTATGGTACCAGCCCTGGGGTAATATGGGCAGATGGACAGTGGCCCAGAGAGAGTGAGAGTCCCGTTAAGGAGACAGCTGGGGATATGAGCTCGGGTTGGTTGGTTGGTTGGTTTGCATATGAAAAGCATGCTCGCAGGTGAGTCATTTACTATTTCTAAGCATTGGCTCGCCCTGAAAGGGCCTATCCTTCTGAGGTCAGCAAGGCCCTAAGATGTCCAAGCGTTAAATACAGAAACCAGAAAATGTGGTTATTACACTATTGTTTACATCTGAGAACGCTGACTGTACAATTTTGATTTTAAAGAGTTCTGGGCTGGGTGCAGTCACTCACGCCTGTAATCCCAGCACTTTGGGAGGCCAAGGTGGAGGGATCACTTGAGGCCAGAAGTTTGAGATCAGCCTGGGAAACACAGCAAGAACCTGTCTGGTTAACAGGTTAAATCTGGTTAACTCTTTTTTAAGACTTACCCATGGGTATAAGTGGTAACAGCCTGATTCACCCATTCTAAAGTTCTTCTTTAGCTTTTCGCCTAATTATTTTAGCTACTATTGATGACCATTTCCTGGAGCCATTTTTTTATGGGTACAAAGTTGTGATAGTATAACTCTATCATTTGATTAGTAGCTGAGATTTTTCTAAAAGAAGAACTCTGCACTATCAACTCTTTGATTACCTCAAAGTAGAGTTAATATAGGAAAATCAGGTTAAACTTTTTTTTTTTTTTTTTTGAGACGGAGTCTCACTCTGTCACCCAGGCTGGAGTGCAGTGGCACCATCTCAGCTCACTGCAAGCTCCGCCTCCCAGGTTCATGCCATTCTCCTGCTTCAGCCTCCCAGCAGCTGGGATTACAGGTACCCGCCACCACGCCCGGCTATTTTTTGTATTTTTAGTAGAGACAGGGTTTCACCGTGTTAGCCAGGATGGTCTCAATCTCCTGACCTCATGATCCACCCACCTTGGCCTCCCAAAGTGCTGGGATTATAGGCGTGAGCCACTGCATCTGGCCTTTTCTTTGTATTTTTAGTAGAGACAGGGTTTAGTAGAGACAGGGTTTCGCCATGTTGACCAGACTGGTCTTGGACTCCTGTCATCAGGTGATCTGCCTGCCTCAGCCTCCCAAAGTGCTAGGATTACAGGCGTGAACACTGCACCCCGCACGTTAAGCTTTTTATGTTTTCCCTTTATCATCAGTTTTCTGAAAAATAAGTTGGTATCCTAACACCTCCACAGATGACCATTGAGGTTTCTTTTTTTTGTAAAGTGTTAGTTTGAACTCATTAATTTTTAACATATTTAGTTGTTTACATTTATTGCATATATTCTTTTTGAAACGAACATTAAGCAACCTTGGGCTAGTAGAAATATCTTCTTGGGAACCTCTCTTGAATTCTTTTGATGTGACCCCAGTGATCTTTGATAATCCTCCTGCCTTCTGGTAGAATAAGATGTTCTGGGCACACCTTTTGTATTTCCTGCCCCAGACCAGGAATTGACTACTTGTATCCAAGGATCCCTAGTTTCTTTAAGTGGCGAATAGTATTTAGAAACTGCAGTCTGGGCTATGTCATTGTTTCTGTTAAAAGTAACGGTGGATGGGCCCGGTGGCTCACACCTGTAATCTCAGCACTTTGGGAGGCTGAGGCGGGCGGATCATCTGAGGTCAGGAGTTCGAGACCAGCCTGGCCAACATGGTGAAACCCTGTCTCTACTAAAAATACACAAATTAGCCAGGCATGGTGGCACGTGCCTGTAATCCCACCTACTCAGAAGGCCAACAAGGCAGGAGAATCGCTGGAATCCAGGAGGCAAAGTTTGGAGTGAGCCGAGATCGTGCCAGTGTACTACAGCCTGGGTGGCAAGAGCAAAACTCCATCTCGAAAATAAATAAATAAATAAAGTAATAGCAAAAACTGCAGTTACTTTTGCACCCACCTAATAGGTCTTTAAAATTGACTAAGGTAGGAAATGAACTTTTTTCTTTTTTTTTTTAAAAGAGAGAATGCATCAGGTATTCATGCTGATACCTTCAACTCACATTTTAGGTCAAAAGGTTTACACTGAAGTTTTCTGATTCTATACTTGGGTCTTGCTTCCTTATGACAAAATCCTTGGCCCAAGTAGCATCAATGTAATTACTCACTTCTTTATCCTACCACATTCGTACAACAGTTCCAGAGTAACAGCAGCAATATCACAACTAACAATATGTTAACTGAAAATAACTTGCAATTTCTTTAGTTATTTTTAACCTTAAGCTGTATCCCACAGGGAGATACAGGCAAATTAGTGTATTTTAAAGTAGTGTAACATAATTTCTCACTGTTAAGCCGCGAACTTGACATAGTTTAGTTATTTTACTTCGTTTGGCTTTACGTTTGAAGGAATTGTTTTAGATTGTTTCATATAATTTGATTTTATAATTTTGTAGAATATTTACATGCTTAAAAAGTAAAATCTTTGGAACAGATTATATTCAGAGAAATGTAATTTATATCCACCTCCCCTTCACGTATTTCATACCATTTGTATTAGGTAACTTCTTTTTTAGTTTTTGTGCATTCTATTATTGTTTATATACACATATGCACAAAACTGAATATCTCTTCATATCTGCTTCATTTTTTAGGGAAAAAGTAGCATGCTATATCCACTATTTTGCACCTTATTTTTACTTAATATATCCTGGTGATCACATCTTAATGATATATAGAGGTACAGGTAATTCTCGTTATTCATAGTAGTTTTGTTCTGTAAAGTATCCATGAATACTAGATTAGTAAATCCTGAATTATTGGTCCTAGGGAAAATACATAGTTAGGTTCCTGTGAGCCTTGTGTGACAACATTTTCACCCACCAATCAACATATAACCTTGTTTTATGTGTGTTTCTGTCTAAAGACACCTGATTTAATATATAATGTTAATTCATTAAGAGTGAACTAAGGGACTATAACTCATGCCTGAACAAAGCTTATATAACATATTTTTTCTCCATAAGGTACTTCACACACAACTTTTTTTTTTTTTTTTTTTTTTGAGATGGAGTCTCCCAGTTTTTTCCCAGGCTGGAGCACAGTGGCATGATCTCAGCTCACCGCAACCTGTGCCTCCCGGATTCAAGCAATTCTCCTGCCTCAGCCTCCCGAGTAGCTGGGATTACAGGCACGCACCACCATGCCTGGCTAATTTTGTATTTTTAGTAGAGATGGGGTTTCTCCATGTTAGTCAGGCTGGTCTCGAACGCCCAAACTCAGGTGACCCACCCGCCTCGGCCTCCCAAAGTGCTGGGATTACAGGCGTGAGCCACTGCACTCAGCCCCTTCACAGCCTTCTCGTGCTTACAAACATTGGACAGCACTTCAGTACTTCACTTGGGGGCCATTTGAGACAATTAAATCACTATCAAAAAGCACAAAATGCAAACAATTTGGCAGTTCATAGACTGTGTAAAGGATATTTACATGTATAATACGAGAGATTAAGTAAGAAGACAGAGTGTCACCTTGTGTGGCCTCACCAGGAAATGTGCACATAAGCAGCTCAAATTTTTGCCATTCTGTTCACATGCCTGTCCACAATTGACTGTGAAAGTGCCTTCAGTATTGAATTTGGAGTTGCAAATAAATTTTAGCTAGTATGTGAATTTGCAACTGTAGAATCCACCAATAACAAGGATTGATTGTATTCCTCATTTCTTTTTTTATATTTGGACAGTACTCCATTGTGTGGATGTACCATAGTTTATTATACTAGTCTAATGTGGTGGCTTATGCCTGTACCCAGCACTTTGGGAGGCTGAGGTGGGCAGATCACTTGAAGCTAGGAGTTTGAGACCAGCAGGGCCAACACGGTGAAACCCCATCTCTTCAAGAAAAAAAAAAAAAAAACTACAAAAATTAGCCAGGTGTGGTGGCAGTAATTCCAGCTACCCGAGAGGCTGAGGTACAAGAATCACTTGAACCTAAGAGGTACGGTGAGACAAGATCACACCACTGCACTCCAACCTGGGCTACAGAGCAAGACACTGTCTAATAAAATAAATAAGGTCCATTGATGGAAATTTAGGTATTCTCCCATCCTTTGCAAATATTACAAATAGTACTACAATGACCAGGCTTGTGCATTTGTGTGTTCATGTTTTTGACAACTTCTCCTTGGAATAGAGTTCTTAATGTGGAAATCCTGAGTCGAAGGATCAATACATACATAGATTTTTTTGGTAAGCATTGCCAATTTTCTCTTCATAAGGATGGTACCATTTTTGCATTCACACCAGGATGGATGAGTGTGTTTCCCCACAGCTTCACCAACGGAATACATTGTTCAGCTTGTGAATATTTGCCGATCTAATAGGTAGTAAATGGTTATCATGGTGTCATTTTAATTGGTATCCCTTTTATTCTCAGTGATGTTGAGCCTCTATGCATAGTGCCATGGGGCATTTACATTTATTTTCTGCAAATTTTTGGTTCACCTATCTTGTGGGAGGCAGCTTCTTATTGGCAGGGAAGATAAGAAGGAATGTACAATACTGCCAGCGTAGGATTCCCCAGTCAGTGGGCAGAGAGATGAAGAACACAAGCAGTGGGTAGGGTCCCTGGGGCCAAGCACGTGGCAGTTTTCAAGTAGAAAACATAGTCATATCTAGAAGACAAGCTTCCTATCACAGGGAGGAGGAATGGTGTGAAAGAAGGCATTGGACTCCCAGCCAGTGCTCTGGAGCTTAAAGCATACTTACAGTTGTGAGGGAGGAGTATAGCAATGAAGGTTAGAGAGGGAAGCCTCAGATCTAAGGAAAAGTGAATGTGTTTGTCTGTTCTTCCGCTGTTATAAGGACATACCCAAGATTGGGTAATTTATAAAGAAAAAAGGTTTAATGGACTCACAGTTCTATGTGGCTGGGAAGGCCTCACAATCATGGCAAAAGGTGAAGGAGGAGCAAAAGCACGTCTTACATGGAGGCACGCAAGAAATCATGTGCAGCAGAACTGCCCTTTATACAACCATCATATCTCATGAGACTTATTCACTATCACGAGAACAGCACTGGAAAAGCCTGCCCCCATGATTCCATTACCTTCCACTGGGTCCCTTCCATGACACATGGGGATTATGGGGGCTACAATTCAAGATGAGATTTGGGTAGGGACACAGCTAAACCATATCAGTGAGCAAGGAGAAGCCCTTCCGTGTGGAATCGGTTCAACAGAGTGAAGAACGGAACTGAATGGAATCATTGTAGAGTTGTGAACACTGGTGCAGGAATCGTATAATGGAACCCTTTTCTTCCACTTAGTAGCTCCGTGTTCTTGCCTGAGCTTCATCCTCCTCCTGACTTTCATTTTTCTCACTGTATACACAGTAGATTTGGCCTCCTAGAGTTTCTGTGAAGATTAAATGATTTTTTGTGTGTGTGTGTAAAGGATTTTGCATCATACCAGGTATATCCTAAGGGAGCAATAAGTAATAGCTATTACTATAATAAAGAGGAATTTTCCTATCTTCATCAGGGCATGTTTAAGAGTAGATGTAGGGACAAAGAATGTAGGTAGGAGGCATAGATAGATATTTCCATGAAGAGCAGGGGCTGCAAGATGAAGTGGAAGGTGCATGTACCTTCATCCTGTAGATCATGCTTGCAGAAAGAGAAGACAGCAAGAGAAGACAGCTTATGATGCTCTGTGCAGGAGGAATTTTAAGTGGTTTCCTTAAAGGGCACATTTAACATTTTTCTTTAATATCTGTGTTAAATTTGAACTCTTTGCCACCAGGTCCAAACATGCTCCTGCTTGTACGTACACCTTGAATGAGCTTTGGGTCAATCAGTTCTCCCTGGATTCAATCCATGATTTTGGGTGGAGATGATGTCCTTCTCCCAACTTCTCTAACTATGAGGGAAGAGGTGTGAACCAGGGCTAAGCGAGTTTATACTTAGATCTATGCATTTGCCTCACTGATTAGTTCAGGGATTGGGTATGTGGCCCAAACAGAGACAAGGAGGCACAATATATTGTGTGCTTCACCTTCAGGAAAAGAGATTCTCCCTCTACTCACAAGAAATTTGAAACCAGGAGGATGTAAGTTCTGAAAACACTGCGTCTGTCTTTTGACCATGATGGAATAAATTGTATTAAAAAAAAAGAAAAAGAAAAGACAAAAAGGAAAAAAAAGGTTCCAACATAATCCAATATGAGGTAAGTCAAGTCACAATTTAAAGACAAAGGAAGAGAGGAATTAAATCTTGTTAACATCATTTTAACCCCTGATCAAGCCATGCCTGCAGCTAAACCAGGCCCTCAGTTTTTCCCTCGGTGGGTAAATAAATTCCTCTTGCACTCTGGCCAGTATGGAAAGTAGGTTTGTGTTACATCAAATGAATATTAGATGACAGAGTGTACCAGAGTTAATGTCCCACCCAGTTTGCTTATTTTCCCACATAGAGTACCTCCAGTATGCCAGGTCACTGTTTATCTCACTAAGAATTCAGAGCATCTTCCAGGCTCTAGGAAAATAGCACCTTAAACTTTAGATTTTGAACGTCTGGGAAGCAAGCACAGGATGACACTTGTGTACTAAGTTTTTATCCAATCAATTCCACTTTGAGAGGTAGCAGGTGTAGCGTTTCATTACAGACACTCTAAACTCCGAGATCCCGTCCCCATCCTCTGATGTGGCTCCTGCCCACCGGACTTGTGTGGCCTATTTAGAGACCATGATTAAGATAGAATCTGTATAGATTCTTTTCCAGCCAACGAAAGAATTTCCTTCTTACTTATTCAGAGGGTCTAGTGTGCAATATAAATTTAGCCAATTTGCAGAGCCTGGCTTGCCGATCTTGTTAGAGAGAGCCAAAGGCTATTGTCTGGTGTTAACACTGAAATAGAAGTCCTACTAGAAATCTCATTTCTAATTGCAGGAGGGTCATTTGAGAATGCAGGTGGACCCCTGTTTCCCAGGCTTATACAGTGTAAGGTAGCAATATGTTCTGAATCCCCAGGGAGTTTAAAACTTCTGGGATGCAATGAAACTGAATGTGTACCTCATCCAACCCCTGCAAAGAATGCCTTGGAATCTCTTGCCTAATGCATATGGCAGAAACAAAACTGGGAACTGGCCTGGTACAGAAAGTCCCAGGAGATGGCTCAGAATTGGCCTAAAAGTATGCACTAAAAATATGCATGAGATCAGGGGCTCTTTCAAGCTCTGGAATTTGGCCGAAGCTACTGTCCCAAAAATGCCCCATGAGAATGTATGCTTGTACATATGACAATTTCAGAATGGCAGAACTGTTTTTTTAAATCATCCCAGAAATCTCAAAGTTACTAACCTATTTCAAAAATTATATCTCAGCTCATAATAGTGGGTTGTTTTTATATTCTTCTCATATGTTTATTGAAAAAATACCTAGTGAACATTAAAAGGCATAAAGCAGAAGTAATGAGACCACTGAAAGACAATCACTATTTATTTGATGTTATGTCCTTCAAGAGTGCTTGGCAGATAGTCCTATCTTGGTGTTAGTTATAATTTTTGTGGTTGTTGCTTACAAAAACCAATGGAAACGGCTTACATTGTCTCATATATTCTTCTGAATATTGAATGCACATTTGTGCCATTAAAAACTTTCATTGCCTTATTCTCAGTGGCAATGTAGTAACTCTCCGTTATGTGAAAATATTTTTATTTACTTAAATCCCTTATTGTTGCATATTTAGGTGTTTCTCTTTCTTTCTCTGCACTGTTATAAAGAGTATTATACCAAACATTATAGTAAACACTTTTACAGGAAAAAATAGTTGCATATGTCTTTATGGTTCCCAAGGATAAATGTCTTGCAAGTGACAAATCTGGGTCAAGGGGTCTGAGTATTTATAAGACATTGCCAAAATACCCTCCAGGAACACTTCATTATTTTATACTACCACAAACAGTAAATGAGTAACAGTTCCTGTTTCTCTACACTCTTACCAAAGCTATATGAGCTTTTAATTTGCCATCTCTAAGTTATCCTTGAGTGTCTTGTTTTCAAATGTTGTCATTTCTAGGTGCTCAATGATTCGTGCCATTTTTATTCTTAGTGGAAGAGACTGTGTCAGTGAAATTGCTCTAATAGAAAGACATCAGGTTTTGCAATCATGCTTTCAAAGATAGGCAGTGTTTTGGTGTCTCTTGCTTCACAAAAAACACGTCAACACTTAGTAGCTTAAAACAATGACTTGTATTCTATCTTGTGTTTCTGTAGGTTGACTGAGCTCACTTGGGTGATTCCTCTGCTCCACATGCTGTTGACTGAGACTGAAATAATCTGAGGGCTTGATAGGGCTGGAACAACCAAGATGGCTCCCTCATGAAGCCGGTAGTTGGTGCTGGCTTTCAGCCAGGAGTTTACCTAAGGCTACTGACCAGAGCATCTCCATTCTCTTCCACGTGGTTTCTCCATGCAGCTTGAGTTTCTTACAATATGGTGTCTGAATTCCATGACGCAGGGAATAGGAGTGGCCAGTTATCTTACGGCTTGAGTTTGGAAGCTCAGAATCTCACTTGTGTCACATTCTCTTTGTCAAAGTTAGTCACAAAGCCAACCAAGATTCAAGGGTTGGGAAAATATACCTCTCCTCTTTATGTCAGGAGTGCCAAGTGCACGCAGGATGGGGAGGGATTACTGGGCACTATCTCTGGACACTAGTTAAAGACAGTGTGAGGAGGTGGAAGAAAAGAGAGGGGGAGAGATGGGCACTTTGTGACTGTTACTTTGAGCATGTTACTTAACTTCTCTGAGTCTTAGTTTCCAAAAATGAGAAAGAAGAATATCATCTATTTGTAATCATGAGAGTGAAAACACACACACACACACACGCACACACACACACATACATGTGTATATGTATATGGATACACACAACTATAATCCAGTCTATGTAATCTATCCTATCTATGCAGTCTATCTAATCTATCTATCTAATCTATGTATCTATGTAATCTAGCTAATCGATGTGTCTAATCTCATCTATGTATCTATCTAATCTATATATCTATAGCTAATCTATATATCTATGTAATCTATCACTGTGTATTGCAAGCACGGTGGGGCAGAAACGGTTACCATTACAATTACTGGTGATGTCACTTTCTAGCTGTGTGTTTCAGGGAAGTCACATAGCCTCTATTGCCTCATCTGGAAAATAGAAAGAAATAATATCTCACAAACTTATTGAGAAGATTAAATGAAGCAACGCAGGCAGATGTTCTTTGTCACCTCTTGACCTTGTTCTAAATATCTTCTTCCTTTCTTGGGATATGGAAATCAAAAGCAGATATAGGATATCCTATTAAATGTTTCTTTTTATAAGGATTCTTGGCTTATAATAGCAGGTCTTCTTTGATTGAAGACCATCATTTTCTCATTTCTTCTATCAGAGTACATAGAAGGCCCATGCTATTTGGATTTTTGTGTTCATTTTAGAAATAAACGTATACACAGACATGGTAGCAGGATTAGAAAAATTAAAATCTCACCATCTGGTATCAGCATTCAGTCTGGAGAAGAAACTATTACTTTCCAGTCTTCAGTCTTCTACAGGCAGATTATTTTCAGAAGGGTGTTTCCTTTGTGTTTGGGGGATTGGGAGATGGAATACTGAAATGACAAAAAAAAAAAAAGTCTTGTGTCTCAGATTTGAGATGATGCTGGGACAGATATAAAGAAAACAGTCCATCTGAGCAGAGAAAAAAGATTCCTAGGAAAAGTATAAATTTTGAGAATGATGAGAATCAGGTGAACTAGAGGTGAGGTTGGAATTCAAGATAATGTCATCCAGTTCTTTAGGGAGACAGAGTGGCCCTAGATAATTTCTGTTACTCTAGAAAATGAGGCCATTGTGAATGAGCAGCCCAGGGAGAGACTTTATCAGGGAAGCACATTCTCTGTATTTTTCCTTGTGTTTCCCACATGCAAAATCTTTCACTGAAAGAAACCCTCAGTAGAACATTAAACATTACAGTTAAACATTACAGATGGAACACACCCATTTATCTCCATTCCTCCCCAGAGACTCCCATTTAAATGGCACAGAAGAGATAAACCAGTATGAATAGAATGAGAAACTAGGATGAGAGGGGGAATCTAGAATAAGAGACAAGACAATATTGGACAAGAGATGTCAACTGCGTTTTGAGCAGTAGTATGTGGATTGATGAATGGTAACCAAAGTAACCGAGTGAAGAAAACTGAAATCTAAGGCCCCACTGAGGGGAGATTATAAACCAAAATCAAGGGGAATTGGGTCACAGAACCTCAGAAACTTTCAGCAGTTGGAGGCTTCAGGTACCTCAGATAGCATGAGCAAAGGAGGTGCTCGTGACAAGAGAGCTAGTTGATAGATAGACTCCCAGACACCCAATCCCACCCTGTGAACCCAGGCAGGGAAGTGGAGGTGAAGATTTGGAAAAATTGAACCAGGGCAGGGTCTTTATTCACAAATATCAGACAGTGGGTAATAGGCATGTGAGGTTCGACAATGGGAAGAGTGAATGAAAATCAGTACACTGAATGGTGTGGCTACCCAGCCCATTTTCTCTGAGCTTCTGGAATGCTGGAAGCCAGCATTTAAACATCTTGTAGAAATGGGGACTTACTGTGTTGACCAAACTGATCTTGAACTCCTGGGTTCAAATATTTTTTAAGATTGTTGTAGAAATGGGGTCTGGCTATGTTGCCCAAAGTGATCTTGAACTCCTGCCTCAGCTTCCAAAAGTGTTAAGATTACAGGCTTGAGCCACTGTATCTGGCTTAGAAGAATTTTTCTGAAAGTAACAGAAAGGACCAAGAAAAAAGTAAATATGGATACTGACATTTGGGATAATCTTAACAGAATGGCTTGGTCCATAAAATTCTTGAATTGGTGAATCCTATCCATAGAGCCTCTGATTAGTGTGAGGTGTGTGTGTGTGTGTGTGTGTGTGAGAGAGAGAGAGAGACAGAGAGAGAGATTTATCTCACTCAACTATTAATACAAAATAAAGAGTAATCAGGTACTTAAGGAAAGCCTTCAACATGGGGTGAGGAACAAACTAAAACATACAAACAATATAACTAATGCAACTTGTGAAAAGCAGACAATACAGGCAGCAGAAGAAAACTTCAAATAAATGATAATTAAGAGCCTCACAGAGATTAAAGAAGATATTCCATCCATGCCACAAGAGAAGGATGCTACTTAAAAAATGAACTGTAAGAGAATAAGAAACAACTCTTGGAAATTAAAAATCAGAAAGGTAAGTCACTTAAAAGCATAGTTGAAAAAGGAAATTTGCAAGAAGGCAAAAACATGATTCAAAGATTAAAAACATAGAGCAGATATAAAAAAAGTAGAAGAACAATTCAGAAGTTGTATGTGGGACTCCCAGAAATTGCAAAGAGAGGAGACACAAAATTGCAGGGAGAAGACTATCAAAGAATAAATACCGTAAAAGTGTTGGGGAGTGTGTGAGGGAGACAGGAGGGGGGTGGTACTAAATCTTCCAAAACCATTTACAAGAAGTTAAAATTGATAAATTAAGAAACAACCAATATAACCATGTTATTCAGACATATGGAGCAAAACTACCGGAAGTGAAAGACATGAAAATCTAGACTACAGGGAATCACTGAGTATCCAGTAAAATAAATTTAAAAACTTGTAATAAGGTGCATCATTCTTAAGTCACAGAATTCTGGGGATGCAGAGAAAATCCTAAAAGCTTCAAGGGAATAATAACAGGTCACATTAAAAGGATTAAGCATAAGAATTGATATTGAATGTCTTAATAGAAATACTAGAAGCTGGAAGGTAATAGGTCCATGCTCTCAAACTTATAACCTAGAATTCTATATCCAATCAAATGATTAATCAAGTACGAGGATATAATGAAAATTTTCAGACATGCAAGGACTCAAAATTGTACCTGAAAAGGCTTTGGGAGGCTATTCCTCTCCAAAAATTAAAGAAAGAAAGTCAAGGCAGGGCATGGGGGTATGCACCTGTAGTCTCAACTATTCGGAAGGCTGAGGTGGGAGAATTGCTTGAGCCCAGGAGGTCGAGGCTGCAGTGAGCTATGATCGCACCACTGCACTCCAGCCTAGGGGCCATAGCAAGACTTCATCTCAAGAGAAAAAAGAAAATCAAGAGAAATAAGATAGGAAATCAGAGAAATAGGATTCAGTGGAGGAGAGAAGTTCAATGTAAACCCAGCAGGATGGGAAGGGATGAAGCGTGGAAGGAGGTAGGTGAGGTAGCAGGTCTAGAGTGGAACACATTCACACGGGGGAAGGTGTCTCGAAGAGGTACTTCTTATAAAAGGACTGATAGCTTACTGATGAGTTTTATTATATTTATTTATTTATTTATTTATTTATTTATTTATTTATTTAGATATGGAGTCTTGCTCTGTCACCCAAGCTGGACTGCAGTGGCGCAATCTCGCGTCACTGCAAGCTTCGCCTCCCAGGTTCACGCCATTCTCCTGCCTCAGCCTCCCGAGTAGCTGGGACTACAGGCGCCCGCCACCACACCTGGCTAATTTTTTGTACTGATAGTAGAGACGGGTTTCATCGTGTTAGCCAGGATGATCTCGATTTCCTGACCTCGTGATCCGCCCGCCTCGGCCTCCCAAAGTGCTGGGATTACAGGCGTGAGCCACCGCGCCGGGGAGTTTTATTCCATTAAAATTTGTTTAGTGTTCTGTTGGAGATTTCTGGGAAGAATTCATGTTGGGTACATAAAAAATAAGTCAAAGGGCAGAAAAAAAAAGCATTAACATCAGGAAAAACTAAATCTATATGAAGAAGAAACTTAATCATTGTATTCTACTTGGATTAATAGCCATAGTAACACATATACTGATTATTAATTTAACAAAAGCAATGGGATATCACTAAATTAGCAGGATGTGATAATAGCTGTAGTAACATATATACTGATTACTGATTTAACAAAAACAACGGGATATCACTAAACTAGGATGTGAGTGCATGGGGAGAGGCAGGAGCAGGAGGAGGCACTAAGTCTTTCAATACCATTAACAAGAAGTTAAAATTGATCAATTGAGAAATAGCTGCATAACCATGTTATTTAGGTATATGGAGGGAAACTACCATGAAAAAGGCCTGAAAATTAAAAGTTATTTCCCCTTAAGAGCAGTAATTAATGGTAGAGAGGGGTGGGGAAGAGGACTGATGTTTTTATTGTTTTGAAAAAAAATTAACATTTTAAAGAGAAAACCTCTCAGAACAGGGGCTGGCCGCTGGAATGTGAAGACAGAACTTTGGTGAGACATAGCCCCTTTCCACTTTTGTATTCAATAATCATTCAATGCTGATTTTGTGCCTGACTTTCCATTACCTATGACATCTCATTTAATCTTCTGATCAACACTTTGAGGGAAGCACATTTTTTAAAAAATTTACTTTTTGTGGGTATATCTTAGGTGTATTAGTTCGTTTTCACGTTGCTGATAAAGACATACCAGAAACAGGGTAATTTATAAAGGAAAAAGGTTTAATAGACTCAGCTCCACATGGCTGAGGAGGCCCCACAATCGTGGCGGAAGACAAAGGAAGAACAAAGGGCTTTACGTGGAGGCAGGAAAAGAGAATGAGGGCCAAGTGAAAAGGGAAATCCCTTATAAAACCGTCAGATCTTGTGAGACTTATTCACTGCCACGGGAGCAGTATGGGATAATCCCCACCACACCCCATAATTCAATTACCTCTCACCAGGTTCCTCCCATGACATACGGGAATTGTGGGAGCTACGATTCGAGATGAGATTTGGGTGGGGTCACAGCCAAACCATATCAGTACGTGTATATGTTTATGGGATATATGGGATATTTTAATACAGGCATACAAAGTATATGTAATAATCATGTCAGGGTAAATGGAGTATCCATTTGAGGCAAGAACTTTTATCCTCATTTTATAGAGGCCAAGACTCAGGGAAGTTAAGTAGCTCTGTGGGTGAATCTCACAAGGATTTCAGCACATATTTGTCTGACCCCAGAATTTTGTTTTTCCCATCAGTTCAGGTTGACTTCTTGTAGTTGGGGTCTATTTATGCTCTAAACTTGCCATAGAAGAAGATAATTTTAGATCTAGGAGGGGCTCTTACAAATCTTCTCATTCAAAGTTTTCATTTTGTTGGTGAGTAAACTGAGATTATAGCACTTGACTAAAGGGGTGTGGTTCCTAGCAGCTGATCTGGCTCGAGCTCCACATCTTTTTTTTTTGTTTGTTTTTTTGTTTTTTGGAGACAGTCTTGCTCTGTCGCCCAGGCCGGAGTGCAGTGGTGCAACCTCGGCTCACTGCAAGCTCCGCCTCCCAGGTTCACGCCATTCTCCCGCCTCAGCCTCCCGAGTAGCGGGAATTACAGGCGCCTGCCACTACGCCCGGCTAATTTTTTGTATTTTTAGTAGAGACGGGGTTTCACCGCGTTAGCGAGGATGGTCTCCATCTCCTGACCTCGTGATCCGCCCGCCTCGGCCTCCCAAAATGCTGGGATTACAGGGGTGAGCCACCGCGCCAGGCCCCACATCTTTTAATCTGCCTGACACTGTCAGTGTTGTGGGGAAAAACCCAGAAAGTTAGGGCTCCTCCCATAAACAGAAATCACAGCTATTTGTTTATCCCCAAGAATAACCGCCCATCTGGCTGTTTTAAGACAGAGAAAAGTGAAATTCCAACCACGGAAAATCGAGAGGACCTGACGGTATGGGTGTGCCCGGCATGGTCTTGTTTGGTCTGAACCGTATTTAACGTAGCACATCACATCCTATAAAAGTCCTTGTCATCTCTGTGATGGGACATGTGTTGATGGCTCCCTGGGAACTAGGCTCTCGAGGGAAAGTCACCTGCTCTTCCTGTAGGAGTTTCCCGGCATGGGTGAAAACACGAACTGTGTGCTGTTGTCAGAATGTTTGCATCTCCCTAGATTCATATGTTGAAACCTCATCTCCAGTGCAATAGTATTAAGAGGTAGAGTCTTTGGGGGATGATTAGGTTATGAGAACAGAGCCTCCATAAATGGGATTAGTGACCTTGTGAAAGAGGCCAGAGGGAGCTTTTTCTCCCCTTCTTTCATGTGAGGACACAACTAGAAGGTGTCATCTTTGAAGCAGAAAGTGAGATCTCACCAGACAACAGATCTGCTGGCACCTTGATATTGGACTTCTCAGCCTCCAGAACTGTGAGTGATACATTTCTATTGTTTATAAATTACCCAGTCTGTGGTATTTTATTATA
This sequence comes from Homo sapiens, assembly GCF_000001405.40. Lineage (NCBI taxonomy): Eukaryota > Metazoa > Chordata > Mammalia > Primates > Hominidae > Homo > Homo sapiens. Next base: position 17,870,858 of record NC_000016.10, on the reverse strand, counting down.
GCAGCCTGAACAGACTAAGATACTGTGTGACAGTGTCCTGGTGCCAAAGAGGCTGAAAGGGAGGGAACTAAAAGAGAAAAATCTAACGTTTATTGAACACCCACTATGTGCCAGAAATTGTGCTAAGGACTTTATATTAATTATTTTATGTTTGGAACAATTAAGATTAGTACTCTTATTACTCCCATTTGACAGATGAGAAAACTGAGGAGCAGAGAAGTTAAACAAACTTTTAAGAAGGATCAGGGCTTGAATGAAGGGCACATTACCTTCTCTTACTCTTTTTTTTCCTTTTGAGACAGGGTCACGCTCTGTCACCCAGGTGGGAGGGCAATGGCACAATCATGCCTGGGCAACTTTTAATTTTTTATTTATTTATGTTTTTTTTAGTAGGGATGAGTTCTCACTATGTTGCCCAGACTGGTCTAGAGCTCTTGAACTCAAGTGATCCACCTGCCTTAGCCTTTTAAAGTGGTGGGATTACAGGCATGAGCCACCATGCCCAGCCTCCTGCTCTTACTGTTTTTATTGTTGTTTTGTTTTTTTTTTTGAGATGGAGTCTTGCTCTGTCACCCAGGCTGGAGAGCAATGGTGTGATCTCGGCTCACTGCAACCTCTGCCTCCTGGGTTTAAGGGATTCTCCTGCCTCAGCCTCCTGAGTAGCTGGGATTACAGACACCTGCCACCAGGCCTGGCTAATTTTTGTATTTTTAGTAGAGACGGGGTTTCACCATTTTGGTCAGGCTGGTCTTGAACTCCTGACTTCGTGATCTGCCTGACTCGGCCTCCCAAAGTGTTGGGATTACAGGCATGAGCCACTGCGACTGGCCTGCTCTTACTCTTAATTTTTTTGCTATACAGCCTAGTTTTTTGTCTGTCTGCCACCCAAGGTAGCTCTAAAACAAAGCTGACCAATGCGAAGCAAACACTATAGGCAGATGAACTGTACAACTGGACTCTCCTCGGCCTCTGGTGTGCTGTTTGCCTGCTGTGTCCTCATTTCCTGGACGACCCAACTTCCAACATGCTACCTTGCTCTCTTGCATGAGCATTCCTCATTCATCCTTGAAGACTAGCTTTAGACATCATTCTGTCTGGAAGTCTTCCTCACCCCCATTAGCCTGGGATGGAGGCCCATCATTTTACCCATCACTGCTTGTCACTTACCATGGTGTTTGTCATCAATTGTTTGTGCACCTCTTTCCCACGAAATGAAGATTGCTGCAAGGGCTAGAAAACCTCTTGACAGTCTGTGCCAGGCTGAATAATGTCTCTCCTCCCAGATATATTCACATCCCAATCCACTCAACCTGTGACTATGTTACCTGACGGCAAAAGCCACTTTGTAGATGTGATTTGGTTAAGGATTTGAGATGAGGAGATTATCCTGGATTATCCAGATGGGCCTGATAGAATCACAAGGGTCCTCATAAAAGGAAGGCAGGAGAGTCAAAGTCAGAAAAAGGAGATGAGAGGATGAAAACAAAGGTCGGAGCGATGCACTTTAAAGATGGAGGAAGGTTCCGTGAGTCAAAGAATGCAGATGGCCTCTAAAAGCTGGAAAGGCTGGGACCTGTGATCTCAGTGTTTTGGAAGGCTCAGCTGGGAGGATTGCTTGAGCCCAGGAGTTCGAGACCAGCCTGGGAAACTTAGATATACTCTGTCTCTACCAAGAAAGAAAAATTAGGTGGATGTAGTAGTGCATGCCTATGGTCCCAGCTACAAGGGAGGCTGAGGTGGGAGGATGGCTTGAGCTGAGGAGGTCGAGGCTGCAGTGAGGCTTGACAGCAATGCTGTATTCCAGCCTGGGCAATATTTCAAGACCCTGTCTCAAAACTTAATCAATCAACTATATATATATATATAAAATATATAATCATATACATGATATATATTATATCATATATATTATATATATCATATATAATATAGGATGTATTACATTATACATTTAATCTTCTGATCAATGCTTTGAGGGAAGCACATTTTTTTAAAAATTTACTTTTTGGGGGTATATATATAATGTAATACATATATAATGTATTACATTATATATTACGTGTGATGTATTGTTATATATTATATGTGTATTACATTATATATTATGTATGATATGTTATAATATATAAAATATATAATATATATTATATAATAGTTATATAATATGTACTATATATTATATATAGTATTATATTATACTATATATAATACTATATATAGTATATATAATACTATATATAATACTATATATAGTATATATAATACTATATATTATACTATATATAGTATATATAATACTATATATAGTATATATAATACTATATATTATACTATATATAGTATATATAATACTATATATAATACTATATATAGTATATATAATACTATATATTATACTATATATAGTATATATAATACTATATATTATACTATATATAATACTATATATATAATATATATTATAATATATATATTAGAACCTGGAAAAGGCAGGGATATGGATTCTGCCCAAGACATGCAGAAGGAAGGTAGCCCTGCTGACAACTTGATTTTAGGACTTCTGACCTTTGTTGTAATTTGTTACAGCAGCAATAAGAAGTGAAAACACAGCTCTAGTGCTTAGATAGAGCTAGGCACACAGTAGGAACTTAAGTGTTTCTTCCACAAATGAATATTTGAGCCATTTGCAGTGCAATGTTTGTGTCTCCGTTTCACGTATATCTTCTTGTAAGTCAAGGTTTATGAGTGGTCATCAAATGAAAAGTGGAAGGGACATTTCTCTGAAAGTCTGTAGCAGAGATTTTCCTGTCATAGACAACACAAGCTGGTTTGAGCAGCATTAAGTGTGAGGGAATTCAATAGATTTATTCTGTAACTTGGGAAAACTTGTTTGATCTCTCAGGGTCTCTGTTTTCCCATCTGTAAGAAATCAAAAGTTAGTCTCGCCTTCTTCCTGACGGTGAAGTTCATAAAGACAGATGATGTTATTCAACCAGAGTATTCCTTGGAAGACAAGGTTCTATATAAATCCTGGGTAGCCTGATTGTTGCATTAATAATAAATATTTAAGAAATAAAGCCCACGTTTTCAAAAACAAATAAACGAAGACACCCAGCATCACCTGTCACTTAGGGAAGGTTGTGCTCTCTTCCTGAACTAAAACACTTAGTGTTTTTAATAGCTTCACTTCTTAATATTCTGTAACCAAAGAAGTGGAATGCACAACTTTAGGATTAAATATTAAAATATTAAATATTAAATCAGACAGCAGAAATTCATCACATGCTTGAATCTGCCCAGTTTACTCGGGGTTTCCTAGGCACGCTAAGAAATCCAAGTACTGTTCTTATTCACTGAGGTCATTTCTTTCCTCTTTTAATGCCAGACACACAGGCACCATATACATCTTTTTATTGATCAATCTCAAAGAGTTGAATGAAATAGAACAAATACTAGCATCTGTACTTGAAATAACCCATCTGGCATGATGAATCTAGAGGTTGCATTTACTAGACATGGCCAGTTATTCCGAATGAGGAAGCGGCACATGATTTGTCTTCTTGGCCAATGTCTGTTTCTTCTTGACTCCTCGTACCAGCAGCTTTGTGTAGCCTGCGTTGCAACCCTGGGCCCGATCTTTGTGTAAATTTTGACTGCAACAGTGGCCTGACAGTCAGCTGGGTGTCATCATAATCCAAGCTCCAGTACTCAAAGAAGACCAGAGAACCCTGCTAACTTGATTGATGGAATCTGGTGTTTCTCTACCCAAGGAAAACAACTTTGATGTTTATCTTCACTCTTTCTGCCTCCCCTGTCTGTCTTTCAAATTCTTGCTCAGAGAAAGTCTTCTGCCCTCCAAAACCCATTTCTGAGAGATGACCTGATGCTAGGCATTTATAATTCATTCTTTAGGTAAGCCACAGGGTTTAGTGAAAAGACAGAAAGACCTACTCCCCTGCTTAGCTTGTGACCTTGAGCAAGCTGGTTCACCTTTTGAGACTATTTTCTCATCTGTTAATGAAGATGGAAGGAATAGTGTGATTATGTTTACACAGTGGTATGTTGCCATTCACAAGCTTGGAGGTATTAATTAAGTCACATTTCCTTTAGTGATTAGATTAACACAACCCTAAGCCTTAATGCTGGCCTGGCAAAAACTCCTCTGAGCATGTGTGTTGGAGGGAATATATAGCGGGAGAGGGAAGAAGGAGAAAGTGTTTATCCGTAACGATACTCAACCACAATTGCTATTATCCTAGCCCCAGTTTCTCTTTCTTATTTTTTATTTTTTTGAGACAGGATCTTGCTCTCTCACCCAGGCTGGAATGCAGTGGCACAATCTCAGCTCACTGCAACCTCCACTTCCCAGGCTCAAACAATCCTCCCACCTCAGCCCCCCAAGTAGATGGAACTACAGGTACGTACCACCACACCTGGGTAGTTTTTGCATTTTGTGTAGAGACGGAGTTTCACCATGTTGTCCAGGATAGTGTCGAACTCCTAAGCTCAAGTGATCCACCTTCCACGGCCTTCCAAAGTAGTGGAATTACAGGTGTGAGCCACTTTGCCCAGCCATCTAGGTCCAGGTTCTCAATTAAAGGTCTTCAATTTACATTCATATGCAAAGTCAGTAACTCAGAATATGACTATACTGCTCAGGTGTCTGGGTCCCCTGAAGTTTCCAGGCTCAAGCACAATTTGTGTGCAGAATCAGCTTCTGTAAGTGTTGAGATATTGGCATTGTACCAAGATAGCTGGGCGCATTTCCTCTCTATTTCAAGGTGAGTCATGGGAGGCCTTCAGTATCTTTTAATGTTCACTGGTTAATAGGTCTATATTTGTCTCAGAGATATTCTACTCTCATTGAAACTCAAAATGATCAGAGGTCAGTTCTCCCTATGGGAATTTACCTGTATCTCACTTCAGCAGCCACTGAGTTCCACATTCCAAGAAATCACATAAGGAGGTGGTCTTTGTGAAGCCATAACCTTGTCCTGATAGCATATATACACCGTGGTACAGTGGCAGATGCATAACCTCCTTATTTTCCTTTTAATACACTGGTACCTTCTTCATTTATCCATTTATCCAAAAACTTACCCATCCTTCCAAGCTCAGGCCAGTGCCTCCTCCTCTGCAACACTTCTACTCATCTCCTTTTCCTCCAAATACTTTAATGAGTGAACTCATCCTGTCTTTCATATTAAATCATAGTTCTGGAGCTTATAAGCCACAAGGGCAGTAACAATGCTAAATAAACACACAGTGCCTTTTCCATCTTAGACTTTGGATCAGGCTCTTTACATTTTATTTATTTATTTATTTATTTAGAGACAGAATTTCACTCTTGTCACCCAGGCTGGAGTGCAGTGGCACGATCTCGGCTCACTGGAACCTCTGCCTCCCGGGTTCAAGAGATTCTCCTGCCTCAGCCTCCTGAGTAGCTGGGAATTACAGGCGCCCGCCACCACACCCAGCTATTTTTTTTTTTTTTTTGTATTTTTAGTAGAGACAGGGTTTCACCATGTTGGCCAGGCTGGTCTTGAACTTCTGACCTTAGGTGATCCACCTGTCTCGGCCTCCCAAAGTACTGGGATTACAGGCATGAGCCACCGCGCCCAGCCTCTTTACATATTATTTATTCAGAGTTTTGTTGAGTAAATACCCAAGCATCTGATACTGTGGTGGGTGCTGGGTGCTGAATAACAACACAAAGACATGCCTGGTTGCTGCATGCTTGCAGCGTGTGGTCTTGATCAGCTGTGGAAAACTGTGACCTATGCCTGCTTCTGTATGGTCCATAAGCTCAGAATGTTTATTTTATTTTTAAACATGTTTAAAGTGTGTGTGTGTAAGACAGAGAGAGAGAGAAAAAATACGCAGCAGAGACCTCATGTAGCCTGCAGAGCCTAAAATATTTACTACCTGGTCCTTTACAGAAAAAGTCTGCTGACCTCTAAAGATCTCACTGTATCTATACAACTATCCTGCAAGACAGATTTTTTTTAAAAAATTACATCCGTTTTACTTATGAGAAAACTGATATTCATGGAGGTGAATTATCTTGTCCAAGATGATACACTTAACACTTTCTGAGCTGGAGGTTCAGATTAGAATATGGTCGGTTTGTCTGGGGCCCACAGTCGTGTGGTCATTCTAGACTTGCAGGGAGGAGGCCAGTGTTCCTGTCCTGGTTATACCCCAGTTTAACCATGGAAACCACGTACTCCCCTGCCACCATGTTCATCCTGCAATGCTATAATAGTAATCCATTCTATGGGATGAGGAGGCAGTGCCTTTAAAAAGTCAACTGCTGATAAGATCAAGAAAACAGACTTCCAGGATTAGGAAGAAAGATTGGCAGTCGAGAATTAGAAACCCCAGTTGCAGTCCTCTTTTGGCCTCAGAATTTCCATACATAAAATGTAGAAGTTGGATTGCTTGACTTCTAAAGTACCTCCCAATACCTCCCAAACCTGAAAATTCAGAGTTCTGAGGATACATTTCCTTTACTCTGGTTGGACTGTACTTATTTTTCTTTATAGTGACCATATCATAACTGTTGACCAACTGAATAATAATGATTTAATATTTAATTTAAATGTTTTATATTGGGAGAGTGTAAAGTGCTATCCACACCTCTAAGACATCTTGCTTGTTCAATCTGCAGGGCTGTTGGCATCCTCTCATGTTCTATCTAATACTTTGTAATAAGAAAGGCAAAGACTCTAAGACAACCAGGCAGAATGGATACTCCTAATGATGACTAATGAGGCTTCCCCATAGGAAGGCTGTACTCTGTATTCTGACCCCCAACCAAATTAACCAAATTAACATTGGCTGATTGGAAGTGTGCTCTGCAAATTTGCAATAGAAGATGTGCTGGCTGAGGTATCTAACTTCTATAGATACGACCCAAATTACTTCCACAGAGATGCTTACCCATCTATACTACACAGCCCTTTCCCCAAACCTGGTCCTCATTATTATGCCTATGTTCTGCTTGTCTGAATCCAGTGGTTTGAGGTATGTTTTGGAAAGTGAGAAGTTTGCTATTTAAGACAGACAGGTGATTTGCACTCCCAAATGTTTATTTTTATTTTTATTTAATTATTTATTTATTTATTTTTGAGATGGAGTCTCACTCTGTCACCCAGGCTGGAGTGCCATGGCACGATCTGGGCTCATTGCACCCTCCGCCTCCTGGGTTCAAGCGATTCTCCTGCCTCAGCCTCCTGAGTAGCTGGGATTACAGGTGCCTGCCACCATGCCCCGCTAATTTTTTTTGTTGTTGTTGTATTTTTAGTAGAGATGATGTTTCACCATGTTGGCCAGGCTGGTCTCAAACTCCTGACCTCAAGTGATCCACCTGCCTCGGCCTCTTAAAGTGCTGGGATTACAGGCGTGAGCAGCCACACCTGGCCTGAGTCACTGCACCCAGCCATGCACTCCCAAACATTTCTGAGGACAGTGGCTCTCTGTCTGGGTTGTGTATTGGAATCATCTGAGAAACTTTAAGAAATGCCATTAGAATCTCATACCTAGAGATTCACATTTAATTGAATTGAGTAGGGCAAACACTTAAAAAGCTTCACTGGATATTCTAACACGAATAGGGGTTTGAGAACTACCATTCTAGGAAAAGGTACATGTAGATCAAATGGCATAGTAGGTACGGTATCTAATTCTGAATTATCCAATTTAAGATAGAATCAAACTTCTATGTATTTTTGTAAAAATAATATACATGTAGTGTTTTAGATATTTGATCTTACAATGTATAAAGATTAAGGTTTTGGAGAGAACGACAAAGAAGAACTACAGTGTAAAACATGCTTTACTATTTTTTTATTAGCTCATTTTGAAATACCCAGGCAAAATTGACGGTAAGTGGACATAAATGATCACCTTTCAGTATTGCTTCTAATTATTTACAGAGTTAATTCAGTTCTAGTCAAAGCTTTTTAAATCATACTTTTGCATAACTGTTTCTTTATTGTTTTAGAATATGGATTTTTGTTATTTATTAACCCTATCAATTTGTTTTTCTTTTCTAGAGACAGAGTGTTGCTATATCATGCAGGCTGGTCTCAAGCAGTCCTCCCACCATGGCCTCCCAAAGTGCTGGGATTACAGGCGTAAGATACCATGCCCTGCCTTCATGTTTTTTTGTTTTTGTTTTTTAAATACCATCAGCACCATTTTGGTGAACTACACAGCATATAAGAAAAATAATCCCTTGCTTTTGCCGCAAGTAACATTTTATAATGGCAGAAGAGGCAACCCTGGCAGGCTTCGCTATATTTCCTGTAGAACTTCCTACCAGCGTTGGCTAAAAGGATGCTGAAGACCAATTGGGGCAGAGCAAGATTACGATATTGTAGGTAAATGGATTTTGATTCTCAGTGGCGGGGAGGTGGACACCAAGGCTACCTGTGACATCATTGTAGAATTATCTCTAATTGCATTACCCTTGTAATCAGAAGAAAACAAAAGAAAGGAGTAGACAGCACAACTAATAGTGTAATTCCATTAGTCTGAAGAGGTGGGTCAAGGGCTTATTGAATAATGAAAATGGCTCTAGTACCGACGTTCAGTATTGCACACGCAGGCTTACACATACATTTGCATTCAAAAGCCCCCACAGAGGGCAATCTGGTTCTGCCAGAGGCAGTGATATAATTAAAGGAATGGGATTATTTTTAGAAAAGAGTCCCCAAAGTGGCTTGTGATTGGTGCAAGATGTAAATGCATGGCTGTAAGCTAATTGTAGAATCCTGGTCTCCTGCGGTAAATAGGGCTTAGAACAAATCGATAGGAACCTAATTTTATTCTGCAGATGACATTGTTTTTAATTTGATTCAACAAACATTTATTAGGCATTTACTATGTCCCTGGTGCTGAGTTAGATAGTAGGGATATAGGGACAAAATCATAGACCTTGACTTCAATTTGCTCACAGCCTGGTAAGAGAGAAATCTGTAAATCATGAATTCCAATTCAATGTGTTAAGAGGTGCCCCTGGTGCAAGGTGCATGGGAGGGTTGGTTGCCTCTGTTTTGGTGACAAGGTGTGGTTAGTTCAGGATAGTTTGGTTTATGTGCCAGAGACACATGCAAAGGAGGACAAATGAAAAGTGAAGCAGTTATAAAGATTCAGAGGGGGCCAGGTGCAGTGGCTCACACCTATAATCCCAGCACTTTGAGAGGCCGAGGCAGGTGGATCACCTGAGATCAGGAGTTCGAGACCAGCCTGACCAACGTGAGAAACCCTGTCTCTACTAAAAATACAAAATTAGCCGGTCATGGTGATGCATGCCTGTAATCCCAGCTACTCGGGAGGCTGAGGCAGGAGAATCACTTGAACCCAGGAGGCAGAGGTTGAGGTGAACCGAGATCGTGCCATTGCACTTCAGCCTGGGTGACACAGTGAGACTCTGTCTCAAAAAAAAAAAAAAAAAAAAAAAAGATTCAGGGGGAATTTCATTGAAACAAATGCAAATGTGGGAGACATCATGGGAACTGTAAAATCATCAGGAACTCTTACTATGTCTCTGCCCATGTCATGTCCTTTCTCTTTAGTCCAACTCTGCTCCATCATCTGCTGATACAGAGGTCTACAGAACCTTCCAGTTCAGCACCTAATTCTGTCTCCATGCCTCAATTCCAGATATCCGACAGAGAGAAAGAGAATGTGATTGACTCTTAACTAGAGTCACGCACCACTCTGGATCAATCATCTGAGGCCTGGGAGAAGTGTCATAACACAGGTACTGTAGCCTTTTGGCAAGGTTTTTTTATTTTTTTAATTTTTATTATTTATTTTATTTTATTTTATTTTTGAGACGGAGTTTTACTCTTTCGCCCAGGCTGGAGTGCAGTGGCACAATCTCAACTCACTGCGACTTCCTCTTCCCAGGTTCAAGTGATACTCCTACCTCGGCCTCCAGAGTAGCTGGGATTACAGGCTCGCACCACCACGCCCAGCTGATTTTTGTAGTTTTAGTAGAGATGGGGTTTCACCATGTTGGCCAGGCTGGCCTCAAACTCCAGCAAGGTCAATATTTTAAAAACCATGTAAGGAAGAAGGAATTGAGGGAGAGTCACTAACTGGGGTCCCAATGGCATTAGCTTTTTGGCACTAGACAAGTTCCTAAACCATAAAGTGGCTGAGTAGGAAGTGGTTTATCCCACGTACATACAGTTGTGCACCTTTAGAATTATTAACCGGTTAACATTCCGGAGTGACCCCCATTCTGGCAAGACTAGGACTAAAGAAACTCTGTTTGCCTTTTGGCTGATGACAGGGCTCAGCATGACAGGGCTCAGCAATACCTCCCCTTACAACAGAAGTATGAAGCAGATCTTGAGGAATCTGAGAAAGATTAGAATCTCTCTCCCTTTTTGTTTTATAGCACAGTATATCATAATGGCACTGGGCTATAGTTGATTCAGTTAGCTGTTAATTGAACATCTATTATGCTCAAAACACTTTGGGGTCTATAGGCCAATCAACATGGGGACTATTCTCTAAGAAGCTGTTATGCAAACTCCACTTGAACAGAGTGCAATGGTTGTTTAGAAGATAAGCTCTGACAAATGATTTGGGAACAAAAAAAGGCTCCATGTAGTCAGGAAAAAGAGATGTCAGTGAAGTTGGGGGGCTGTTTAGGACATTAGGGAGAGAAAAACACAGTCTCTAGACAGTACGGAAGAGAAGGCTTTCCTTAAAAGAAATATCAAAGAGATTTTAGGTTGTTAACTTTGGTGCACAATGTAAACTCATATTTACCCCATGGAATCTTCAGTAAATATTACATTATTCACTGATTTATCAGAGTCAATTTTTGGGGGGCCCTTTAAGAAGACAGGTTAGGGCAGCACATATACAAACTACCCAAGTAGGGGAAAAATGCGTGGACTCATTCTCAAGTTGTTTATAATATGTAGGTGAAGGTCATCACCCTAGGATGGCGACTTTGAAATTCCTAGTCATCTATCAGTCTGCCAATCAGTTAAGCAAAGTATTGAAATAACACCCCATGTGACTATGTGACCATCATAGGACATGAAAGTATTGACTGCCTTGACTAACTGTTTGAACTCTACACTGTTTTATTGTGGGGGGGCACAAAATGAAATGACACAGAACCCCTGCCCCTTGGGAACCCACAGCCTATTGGTGAAAACAGACACATAAACATGTAAAAATATAAGACATAAAATGAATCAATATGACACCATAATTGAACTTCAGTAAAGAAATAATCTTCAACAAACATTGACACATTCCAAGGACAGCAGAAACTCTGAACCAAGAGCGCTGAACTCAGAAAGCCCCTTGATGTGTGATGATTGTTGGACATTTCTGACAGCATCACTATTAGCTGTATTGATAACACTTGGGAAAGGTCAAGTTTTGCAAAGACTTTCTGCCCACCAAGAATAGCAAGGAATCGATTGATTCTGAGCACAAAAACAATGTCAGAAGCTAGAGGGAAATGCAGTGCGATTGCTATTACTGGGAAGCTCCCCTTCTCTCAAATAAATGTCCTGGGAAATCTACATTCAACTTCCTGTAGTTAGACTGTTGGACTCTTTGAATACTCTTGGACCTTTAGCTTTTCACTAGCTTGGTCTTTTGTACCTTCAGTCTGAGCTCATAGGCTAATAATTAAGGATGTCTTCATTGACTATTTAAGGTAACATCCTTCCGCCATCACTGTGCTAACACCACACTAATAATTTATTTTTTTGCACTTAATATGAAGTCATCTTCAATATTTTAAGTTTGCCTCTTTACCTGTGGCTTGTTCCTCATTCTCTTCTAGAATAAAAGCTTCATGAGTGCAAGAACTACGATTATCTTGTAGACAGGGTAGAGGCTAGCCTAAACTAGATTCCTGTGCACCTCTGCGTGAATTAGAAAAAAACACCCTCTCCAAAAAGGTGGGTTAGAAAAAGTCACATCTTCTTGGTAGATGCCGGTTGCATGGGTTCATAGCTTTGACGAGTGGATTTCAACCCCTCGCTTTTCTTCGGCATGTCGTACAAGAACTTCAGAAATATATGTTGCAGCCCTGCTTGTCTAGTGCTATTTGGGATCACCCCTGGCACATAGTGAATGAATCAATATGATACCGTAATTGAATAAGAGGAGACCATAATACCCTCTTAGACCTACCAAACAATCCATGTTATACAGCAATATCTTATATAGGAACAACAACAATAAAAAACCTTGGAAGGCCTTTGAGACCAACCTTGATTCCCTTACAGACCAGCTAGAGCCAGTCAGAGGCTCACAGCTGGAACACAACAGCACTTCAATAGCACAGTAACCAATTGAGGCTGACTTCTGTGACCTTCTGATATTTCATAAATGCACCAGCCGCAGGAACTCTTATTTAAGTACTCCTGTTAGCCTTGTTCTTGCCTACTGACTTTACAGCCCCCTGTACATGGCTGGGCTAGTGGGACGGAAGCCTTCCAACTGAGCATCCCTTGCTAGAGGTCCTGTGAGTCCTGACAAAGCCTGTCTCCTGCCTTTTAAGAATAGCAGAGTCAAATAAAATCTTGCCAGTGACTTTGGCCCACGCGTGGAGTGACGCCGACGGATCTGCCTGAAATGGAGACATTAAAGAATTTTGCAAAGCAAAGAAAAACCCACGGTTGCTTCCATAAATCAAAACTTCAAATAAGAACGCAGCTTTAGCAATTCATTCCCTGCAGAATTAACCTTTGTTTCCCGGCAGGCTGCTTCTAAGAATATGCTTCGTGCCTAAAAGGAAATAGGAGAGCCCTTACAGAATGGGTTTTATGTTTACCACGCAGGAGGAAAAGCTGAAATGAAAGCAAAGTTGAAAAGGAAGCTTGTTTCTAACTAATCCAGCCTCTAGATAGAAGTCCTAAGATGCAAAAGCAATTATCATATACATGAATCTGTGTCCCTACTCACAGATGCACAAATGCCACTTCTTCGTCTGCTGTTTCTGTAACTTACTCCTGGCAAGGATAACAGAGTTCTGGGGACTGGAAAAGGACTCATCATCCAGATTCTTCTCTTCTTTAGGATTCAACTTGGGACCTCCTCCTGGAAGTCCTCCTGGATTTGAGAAGTACCCTTCCCCTGTGTCCCCATAAAACCCTATGAATTTCTTTATTATTGAATTTGTCACATTGTATTACAGTTATCTGTTCATGCGTCAAAGACAAGGGTATTTTATTTGACTTTAAAAAAATCATTAAAGTCAAATACTTAGCACATTGTCTGGAATAGAATGACATCTCAGTAAGGTCTTAATGAAATAGTCAATGGACCATTCTGTTAACAGTTGCCTATCGAACTCATACTATTTGTTGTCACTCTGCCACACACTAAGACTGTATACAAGAAATATAACATGTAATAACAGTGGTTGCTATCATTTTTGAATATCTATTCCAAGTCAGGTACTCTGCTAATTGCTTTACAAATGGGTTTCACCTGAATACGTCGCAGCAGCTATGACCTTCATTTCATAGATCAGACTGAGACCATAGTAGATGAACTGACTTTTCCCCAAAGACACACAACAGGCAAGAGGAAGAACCGGGAGTTGAACCAGTCTCCAAATCCTCTGATCTATTACCCTATAGGAGTTTGCTTCTCTGACCTTAAGAAACATGTGATATAATGGGGGTTCGGTGGAGTGGTGTCAAAAGTACAATGCATTTGAAATGCTGGAAAACCATTAAGTGTCAGACGGTAGGGTGGTGCCTTCATGGAGAAACAGGGATCAACGAAGCAGGAGCTCCCTGTGTACTGGATTAATCAAGGAAAGATTCATGGCGGGTCCAGAACTTGAACTAAAATCAGAATGGAATTTAAATATATGGAGAAGAGAAGGTAAAGTAGAGAAACTTACGTTCATTGAGTACAGAACATTGGTCTTGGTAAAGAGATTGGGTTTTGAAACTGGCAGAATCTGGCACTGAATTCAAACCTGCTATTTTAAAGCTGTGAGAACTTTTGCAATTTGCCCAACCTTTTGAGCCTCTCCACCACCATATGTAAATAGGCATAGTAAGACCTCTGGTATCAGTTAAGAATGCTTTCATATGCAAGTAAAAGACATGTTGAAAAATGGTGTAAAACATAAGGACACATATGCATCTCAGGGTTTGTTGAGTAATTCAGTGGTGTTATCAAGAACTCAGGCTCTTTTTGTACATGCGGTCTCCCATGCCCAGCTGTTAACTCCTCATCCTTATGTGTGAAAGATGGCTGCCACAGAACCAGCCATTGCAATCACATTCCAAGGCAGAAAGGAGGAGTATGGGAAGTGCTAACACAACTTGTCCTTTTTATCAGGAAACTAACTAACGCCTTCCCAAACACTCTTCTTTAGGAATTTCTCCCCTTTTATTTCATGGAACAAAGCTGGGTCTCATGTTGACTCTGAGCTGCAGGGAGAATCTATCTATCTGCAGCTATCTAGCCTGACTTTATTCTCTCCATAGTAGGAGGTAAGTAGAGGAAAACAGGTTGAGAATGGCTTTTGGGATAGCCAAACAAGAGCACTGGCCGTGCCTACCTCACTGGCAGTTTAAGGATCCAGGAAAAAGATGCAAGTAAAAGAGCAGTGAAGCACTCATAGAAAGCAGCCAGGACATGCTGCTCTGGGGAAACGTTGGACAAAACCATGATTAGGCTGGGTGCGGTGGCTCACGACTGTAATCCCAACACTTTTGGAGGCCAAGGTGGGCAGATCACCTGAGGTCAGGAGTTCGAGACCAGCCTGGCTAACATAGTGAAACCCCGTTTCTATTAAAAATACAAAAATTAGCCAGCCATGGTGTTGGGCACCTGTAATCCCAGCTATTCAGGAAGCCGAGGCAGAAGAATTGCTTGAACCTGGGAGGCAGAAGTTGCAGTAAGCCGAGATCATGCCATTGTACTCCAACTTGGGCAACAAGAGTGAAACTCCATCTCAAAAAAAAAAAAAAAATCCATGACTAACATTTGCATATTTTACTTGACTCAGAGATAAAAAGCCAGGTAGAGAAATTTGGACTTACTGTAACAACAATAAGAATAACACTAACACTTACTAAATGCCAAGCACTGTGCTGAGAATTGTCTTTCCTTTTCTTTTCTTTTCTTTTTTTTTTTTTTTTTTTGAGACAGAGTCTTGCTGTGTTGCACCCAGGCTGGTGTGCAATGGTGTGAACTTGGCTCACTGCAACCTCTGCCTCCTGGGTTCAAGCAATTCTCCTGCCTCAGCCTTCTGAGTAGCTAAGATTATAGGCATGTGCTACCATGCCCAGCTTATTTTTGTATTTTTAGTAGAGATGGGGTTTCACCATGTTGGCCAGGCTGGTCTTGAACTGCTGGCCTCAAGTGATCCACCCACCTTGGCCTCCCAAAGTGCTGGGATTACAGGCATGAGCCACCACACCCAGCCATGCTGAGAACTTTCTATCTACAGTATCATTGAACATTTCCAGGTACCATGATTATGATTTCTGTTTTCATAGGAGGAAATAAGAGGTGAGGTAACTTGACCAAGGTTCACACTGAGAAAGTAGCAGAGCCGGTAGTTGAACCCAGGTACCATACTAGGTCTTGATCCTTGAATGATGGGGTAGAGCCATGGAATGGGCTGTCCCAACAGGGTGGACTTGTGTGGAATGAAAATGCAGAAGTAAGAACAAGAAGAACTGGAATTCTGTTCTCATCTCACCTCTCATTGTGGAAACTTGTTTACCTCAATTATCAAATGAAGGCCATCCGCCAGCAAGGGTGACTTGCTCCCAAGACAAACTGTCTTGTGTCCCTCAAGACAATTGAAAATTGAAGATAACCTCAGTAGACCAGTTGAAAGTTCATACCATTTAACCCAGAAACCTCACTACTGTTTACCCAAAGGAAAATAAAGCATTATATAAAGAGACACCTACACTTATATGTTTATTGCAGCGCTATTTACAATAGCGATGTCATGGAGCCAACGTAAGTGTCCACCAATAGTTGATTGTATTAAAAAAGTGATATATAGGCCGGGTGTGGTGGCTCACACCTGTAATCCCAGCACTTTGGGAGGCCAAGGCGGGCGGATCACTAGGTCAAGGGATTGAGACCGGCCTGGCCAACATGGTGAAACCCCATCTCTACTAAAAATACAAAAATTAGCTGGGCATGGTGGCACGTGCCTGTAGTCCCAGCTACTCGGGAGGCTGAGGCAGGAGAATGGCTTGAACCCGAGAGGTGGAGTTTTCAGTGAGCCAAGACTGCGCCACTGCACTCCACCCTGGTGATAGAGTGAGACCCTGTCTCAAATAAAAAAGTGATATATATATTGTACATACATACATACATACATACATACATCATGGAATACTATACAGCCATAAAAAATAATGAAATCACGTCCTTTGCAGCAAGATGGATGGAGCTGTGGGACATTATCCTAAGTAAACTAACACAGAAGCAGAAAATCGAATATCACATGTTGTCACTCACAATTGGCTACTAAACGAAGGGCATACATGAACATAAAGATGGAGAAAACAGACTCTAGGGAGGAACTTTAAAAAGGGAGAGGGTAGGAGGGAGTGAGCGTTGAAAAATTACCTATTGGGTACCGTGCCTAATATTTGAGTGATGGGTGCGCTAGAAGGCCCTGCCCTCACCAGTATGCATGTAATACCCATGTTACAAACAAGCACATGTACCCCCTGAATCTAAAATTTAAAAAAAAATAGTTCAAAGTTCAATAGGAAGTTCCCCCCTCCCTCCCTCATCTTCCATCTCCTTCCCTTCCTTCCTTTCCCTTCCTTTTCCCTCTCCCGTCTTCTTCCCTCCCCTCCTCTCTTTTCCTCTCCCATTGATGATGTTATCCAGCATGTTGGTCAAGCTTCAGTCAGGGAAACAAAGCCATAATGATTATTATGAGAGCAAGGATTTGTTACAGGAATTAGACCGCATCTACCTGTGCAAGGAGCTGGGAAGTGGGGGTCTGGAGGGGGAGCTGGAGCTTCGGAAAAAGTCACTAGCCCACCTGCCTGAAGCACTGGCCCAAGTGGGAAATAGGAGAGTCTAAGCACATCCAGCCGAAGTGAGACCAGAAAGGGGAGCTCGCGGATATTTCTGCAGAGAACCATCCAGAGCGTGTGGCTGCGCTTCTGCGAGTCTGCAGCCAAGCATCTGGTGGTGGCCTGGAGCTTCCTTGGTTCGCAGGGCCAGGGTTTAGGAAGGCAAGCTAGAAACACGGCATGCAGCAGGGTGAGGACCAGCCAGAGCCTCCTGGGAACACCTGCCACCATTCTACCAGTCAGACACAATGGCGTTCTGAGGGCTATGGCTGAGCTTCACTTCTGCTTTTAAAATTCCCCACAAGTTCCTCTGTGGGACAGTTTTCTGCTGAAACCCTACAGGGAGGGAGTTTCTGGGAAACATAGTTGTCAGCTTAATAAGGTGACAATGGCACAAACATATTCTGTCACAAACATATTCAGAGATTGAGGTCCAGGTGAAATATGAGAGAGCCTGACTTCTTTTCCAACCTTCAGGCTCCATCCAGGATCCAGTTCCTACTCTCCTGTCTGTGTTCGAGAAGCAAAGTGAGAGGCAAGGAATGGAGTTTTCTGACCTCATCATTCTCCAGTGGAATCTCCCTCTCTCTCACACTCACTCTCCACAGACACACTGCTCTTTAGTTCCTCAAACATGCTGAGTTCTTTCTTACCACAGGACCTTTGCACATGCTGCTCACTTTCCCTGGAATGCTTTTCCCTCTGGTATATCTTGACTGAGTTGCCTTCCAACATTCTTCCTTGCCAAATCAATTCCTACTTGTCCTGGTGATGGGCTCCCATAGAACCTTACATTTCTTCTTTAGAATCCTATTGTTCCCCTTTATAATTCTTAAGAGTTATAATCAAATGAATTAAAAAATAGTTTTGAGTACCTTTCTCCCCAACTAAAATGTGAACAACCTGGAGGCAGAACTGTGCCTGTGCCCTTCAGCACTACAGCCCTGTTCCTGATGAGTATCTGGCATACAGTAGAAGCTCAATAAATGTTTGTAGGATGACTAGATAACAGCGGATAGGTGAATGGAAGAATGAAGAGATGAACCAAAAGGGAACTTATAAAAGGTGGGCCTGATGATGATTCTCCCATATGCAATGGGCTAGCACTTGAAAAGATACTGTATCTCTGTGGCTCTGGAGATTTGAACTAGTGTGGGCAGGCTGGGCTTCGGGCTTAGCATAAGAAAGATCTTTTTTTTTTTTTTTTTTTTTTTGGAGATGGAGTCACTTTATCACCCAGGCTGGAGTGCAGTGGCATAATCTTGGCTCACTACAATGTCTGCCTCACAGGTTCAAGCAATTCTCCTGCCTCAGCCTCCTGAGTAGCTGGGATTACAGGCATGTGCCACCATGCCCAGCTTGCCCAGCTAATTTTTGTATTTTTAGTAGAGATGGAGGTTTCACCATGTTGGCCAGACTGGTCTCAAACTTCTGACCTCAGGTTATCTGCTGCCCTCAGCCTCCCAAAGTGCTGGGATTACAGGCGTGAGCCACCACACCCGGCTGGGGAGAACTTTCTAACTATGAAGTTGGCCTCCATTTTACAGTGAACTCTCTTAAGGTATTCAAGCCAAGCCTGGAGAATGTCTTGCTCAGTATTAACACAGAGAAAATTCACACATCACATGTGGGTTGAATAAAAGACAATAGGAGACCTACGTGAATGCACAGTCTGTGGCTTTATATAGGTACACTGACAGTAGAACATAAGGGTACAAACAGGGTTTGGAATGATGAAGACATGGGTTCAAATCCCAGTGATGCCTGCTACCAGCTGGGGGGCCCCAAGCTAGTGATTTTTGTCTCTGAGAACCTCAAGGTCTTAACCTGTAGAACTGCATTAACGATGCTCCTCATCTCATGGGGTTGGTGTGAGGATTAATGCAATCATGAAAAGTGACAAGAGCCCACCAAGTGCTTGAAGATTATTCATGCTCTTAGACATGTGTTACCAGCAGGAGCTTTGGATGATGAGAGTAGCCGTTTCACCTTCTACCACTGATAATGATACTAACGTCAATAGTATGTACCTAAGAACTTTGATGGAGTACCAACCCTGTACTAAGTAGTGTGCTAAGCAGTTTACATGCATCCTTGAATCTTCCCCAAACTGTAGGAGTTAGGCAGCTCCTCAAGCTCTCGAGCTTCCCTAACCCTCAATTTCCTCATCTGCAAAATGGAGTTGAAGTATCTGTCTTATCAGGTTTGTGAGGAATGAGCTCTTCCAGGTAGAAGGCTAAAGGGAATGTCTTATTTATGCTCCAAAAAAATGGAAGTAATATCAGCACCCCCATTTCCAGGTGGGTAAACAGAGGCTTAAGAGGTTTCCTCAGTCACAAATCTAGCAAGTAGCAGGACCAGGGTTCATGCCCAGCTTGTCTTGACCACATCTCCCAAGCAGTGATACATTGGACAGGCCATATACATTGGCCCTGATGACACTCTTCTTGGGGCACAAACTGCCACTCATGCAGGCTGTCACACAGTGACAGAGAAGACAGAAATTTGGAGACCTTAGCTAGGCACAGTCCCAGCCGGAGCCCCTCCACAGCCAGGAACAGAAGTCTTTACGAGGATTAGCCATGCCTCTAACTCCCTGGAAAGCCAGGGTGGGTTGGGCTGGGGGGAGAGGGAGACAATCAGTCATGCCAAATTATCGTAATTATGCACCCTGCATGGGCCTGCCGCCCGGCCTGTGCATGCGAGCCCCAGCAAGATGGCGTTTAGCTCCCTAACGGGATTTGCCTTCCATTCCTATCAGTAGCCTGTTAACAATTCCTTAACAACAATGATTAAAATAAAATGCTGGGGCAAGAGAGATGACTGGTGTTTTAACGTGTATTTTAATAAACTAATGTTATCTGGTTCCTAGCACAGAAGTGTCTAAACAGTATTCAGGCGACCTATCAATCAGCTCTCCGTAGAGTGAGATCCGCAGACACTGTGCCCCCCTCCAAGGCCCTTCGTTGCTATAGCAACCCCAAACCAGGAGTGGTAGCTGTAAACTTTAAAAAAATATGACTTTTTTTTTCCCCCAGCCAGTCATGCTTCTCTATCAATACTGAAACCTTTGCCTGAATTCTAAGCGAGGCGGGGATTTTTCCCCCCTCTCTTCCGAGTCATAAGTCTGACTTGGAATCTATAGCAACCAAAATTAGACTATAAATCATCTTAATGGTGCTTTTCAGAGAATTCTTTACTGGATCAATTCAGATCATACAAGGTGGCAAGCTTCTGAGCCCAGTCACTAATAATGGTAGTGTCAGAGATGTATGGCAAGGAAGAAAGGGGTTGGGGTAGATGCTGTTGGAGTTAATCTCTTTGATGATCGGCCACCAAACTTCAGCAGTGGATTTCTTGTCTCAGCTCCATCTCCCTTTCAGTTGCTCTCTGGAGTCATCTCCCCGCAGGAGCTGCCTCAGACTCTTCAGAAATAACCCAGCCCCACAATTCTAGGATCCCCTAGCACATCATATCGTTGTGGGGTTACACACTGTGCTATAACGCAGTAGTCCGGAATTCAGCTACAGTACTCCAGATCCGGTTTAAATCTAACACTTAGTACCTGTTTGATTTTAGTGATGTAACTTCTCTAAGTCTCAGTTTACTCAGCAGCAAAATGGGGGAGAATAATAGTGCTTATCTTCTATGCTATTTTTCAGGATTTTAAAAATGATATTTGCAAATCACCTAGCAGGTGCTTGACATACAGTAAATGCCCAAGAATGATGGCTATTATTTAAAATATATAGGCTGTAAGATATGAACAGTTATTGAATCTAAGTGGTGTTCACTGTACTAAACCTTTCAACTTTTTTGCACGTTTGGAAAATTTTGTAATAAAACTTGGATGAAAAGAAATCTAGAGTCAAAATAATTTCTGTTTTTAGTTGACAAATAAAAAGTGTATATATTTATGGTATACAACAGGATGTTTATATATATGAATACATTGAGGAATGGCTAAATCAAGCTAATTAAATGTATCACCTCATATATTTTTTACGGTGATAACACTTAAAATCAACTCTCTTAGCAATTTTCAAGTATTCAGTACATTGTCATTAAATATAGTCACCTTGCTGCACAGTAGATCTCCTGAATGTATTCATCCTGTCTAACTGAAATTTTATATCTTTAACCAACATTTCCCCAATCCCATACCACCCCCTTCACAGCTCCTGGTAAACAGTCTCCTACCCTCTGCTTCTACAAGGTCAACTTTTTTAGATTCCACATATAAGTGGGATCGTGAGATATCTGTCTTTCTGCACTTGGGTTATTTCATTTAACATAATTTCCTCTAAGTACATCCATGTCATAAATGACAACATTTCCTTCTTTTTAAGGCGAATAGTATTTCATTTTGTGTATCTACCATGCTGTCTTTATTCATTCATCCTTTAGGGGACACTTAGGTTAATTATATATTTTGGTTACTGTGAATAACGTTTCAGTGAACATGGGGGTACAGATATCTGTTCAACATACTGATTTTATTTCTCTTGGCTATATACTCAGTAGTGGAATTGCTGAAATATTATATTGAAGGCTTACCACGTGCCAGGCACTGTGTGAGATGCTAAGACCATGGAAGAGTCTGAGACAGGTGAGGTCTCTGACTCCAAGAAGCCAACATTCTAGTGCGGGAGACAGAGAAATTAACTTAAGGACCTCATACACGATGGGAGAATTATTCCATGAGTAGCAAGCAAAGGTACTGTAGGAGAACAGATGGGGAGCAATGGACTCATGCTGGGGGCAGATCTATCTAACTTGAGACTTGAAAGATGAGAGACAATGCTGGTTGGCTAGGCAAAGTGGTGTGGGGGAGGTAGGCTAGTGCTGGTGGCAGATGGAACAGCGTGTATAACATGTTCGAGGACCTGAAAGAATGCTTTTCTCTCCCCACCCTGCCCAAATTGGACCCGTCTTTCAAGGTTCAATTTTATTCCATTGTATTCGATAAACATTTACTCTCTGACTGCTCTCTTCCAGGGTCTGTGCTCAGTAGAGCGAATTCAGAGTTGAATGGCCAGTGGGTCCTATTTGGCCTACAGTCCATAATTTGCTGACCTCAACTTTAGAGAAGGTATCATACTACTGAAGTGTCCCTCCATGAAGCAGGAGGGTTGGTCTCTTGTGCCCTTATATATCCATCAGCCATTGGCTGTGGGCTGCTTCTGGGAAGGTTGGAGGGTGGAGCGTAGTCTTTTTTGCAAGGTGGTTTCTGTCAGCTGTGGGCAATTTTCTGTATCAGAAGGGCATCTCCAAGCCATATCAGCCAACATTTATGGCAGCTGGATCATGGATGCAGCAGCCCAGTAGAGGGGCCTGGATGTGCAGTAACATCATTTATTCCTGCCTACCGTGTTCCAGACATGGGGCACATTGATGGGCGAGACAGACAAGTTCCTTAGCCTCATGGCCATGCTCACTCACTTATGTATCATCTGTGGCTGCTTTAGCACTGCAGTGGCAGAGTTGAGTGGTTGTGGCAGAGATCATATGACTGCAAATGCTCAATTAGTTATTATTTATCCCTTTACAGAAAAAAACCTGTCAACCCCTGTGCTAGAGACCTGCCCATGGGGATCTGGCGAAGGCTAGACTCTACCTGGACCATGTTCTTGCTCTCTGGTCTTTCCTTCGCCTTATTCCACTGTCCTTCCTTGAGAGGTTTTTCTTGAAGAGCTTTTGTTACTGAAATGCCAAGGGTTAGGTGTAGGTCGCACGGCTCGCTGCACAGAAAGCCAGTCACTCAGACAGCAAGTATTGCCAAGAAAAAAGGCCTTATTCAGGTGTGCAGCTGAGGAGATGGGAGATAAGTCTCAAATCTGTCTCCCCATCTGACTAAAATTGGGGGTTTATATAGCTGGGAAGGAATGCAGCTACACGCAGGAAAACAGAACTTAGGAAGGGGTAAAGAAGTGGAATTCCAGGTTCTTCGAAGCAGGGTCTCACTTTGTCACCCAGGCTGGAGTGCAGTGATGTAATCATAGCTTACTGCACCCTCAAACTCCTAGGCTCAAGAGATCCTTGCCTTATCCTCTTGAGTGGCTGGGACTATAGGTGTGCACCATCAAGCCCAGCTAATTTTCTAATTTTTTTTTATTTTTTGGTAGGGATAGGGGTCTTACCATGTTACCAGGGCTGTCCTCAAACTTCTGGCCTCAAACAATCCTCCTGCCTTGGCCTCCCAGTTGCGGTCTCTTGATATTATCCTGAGGGCCTGAAGGTTGTTTCCTAACAAAGGAAGTCAGATAAGACAAACATAAGTTTCAAGCTTTAAGAATGAGAGGGTCAATTTCAATGTTGGCTCACTGCATCCTCTGCGTTTCAGCTGCAAGCGATCAATTTCAGGTGCAAGGGTCAATTCCAATCTCGGCTTACTGCAGCCTCTGCCTCTCAGGTGCAAGCAATTCTCCTGCCTCAGCCTCTCGAGTAGCTGAGATTACCGGCATGTGCCACTATGCCAGCTAATTTTTGTATTTTTATTAGAAACAGGGTTTCATCATGTTGGCCAGGCTTGTCTGGAGCTTCTGACCTCAGTGATCTGCTCACCTTGGCCTCCCAAAGTGTTGGGATTACAGGCATGGGCCACCGTGCCTGGCCCACTGTTTCTTGATAGATCACCTGCCCCCACATCACCCTCTCAGCCACTGCTTGGAGAAATCCAACCTAAGATGAAGGCATATAATAAATATTCACTGAATGAATGAATATTTTGCTAAGTTGCATGGAGAAGATGACAGGAGATGAATCAACAATTGACGGAGCCTGCCAGAAAAGGCTGGAGAAAGGTCACTGGGCAGGAGGGAAGGAGGCTGGGATGGTTTTTGCCCATCCAGATCTGACCTTAGTTCATACACATACCTGGTCCTAGGACAAGAGTTGACTCACACGGGTGGCCAAGGAAGCTATTTTGTGCTACAGTGGATAAAAGGACAAGGGAATGAAGAAATATTTGCTAGGTCAGGAACTTACTTCCTCTGTACCCATTCCCAGTGTTTGGCAGTGGGGATACGAAGACCAATTTTATTTTGTATCACAAGGAAAAATCCTTGATAAATAGAGCTCCATGAGCCAGGTGTGGTAGCTCTCGCCTGTAATCCCAGCACTTTGAGAGGCCAAGGTGGGTGGATCACCCGAGGTCAGGAGTTTGAGACCATCCTGGCCAACATGGTGAAACTCTGTCTTTACTGAAAATACAAAAATTAGCCAGGCATGGTGGTGCACACCTTTGGTCCCAGCTACTCAGGAGTCTGAGGTAGGAGAATCGCTTGAACCCGGGAGATGGAGGTTGCAGTGATCTGAGATCGCGCCACTGCACTCCAGCCTGGGTGACAGAGCAAGACTCTATCTCAAAAACAAAAAAAAAAAAAATAGAGCTCCATGTATAGCAGGGTGATTAAGCGTCTTCTCCAGAGAGTGGTGGTGATTCCCTGTGGAGGCTGTGGGCACCTTGGAAAATGGGTTTAAATTAGCAGCACTTCTGCATCAGGATGCCTGCATGCAGCCAGCCACGAGGGCTTTGCTTCCGCTTTTGGATCTGCCAGCACACAGGCAGTTCCTTGGAGGTACACTCATTTTCAGTCTCTCATTGGCCTTGGTGTCCCATGTGTGCAAGCGTGCTCAGTGCATCCTCACCCTAGCTCCCACGTCCAAGGGAGAAGAAGAGGCTAATGTGATTAGTCAGAGTATAAACCCTGGATTGGGCCACACTGATTGGGGCCAGGGTCGCTGTGTTCTAAGAGACGTGTACCAAGCTAATCTCCCTCTGTCGTGTTCTGTCCATGCACCTGTGACAGTGCATGAGGTGAGCTGGACCAGCCATATCCTCTCCCTCCCTCCCTGTCCTCCTTCCCCGTTATGCACGTGGTGATCTATCTCCTGAGTTGTATCAGCTGCGCCTCTTTCATCCAGAGTTCCTTTATCGCTGCACCCACTCAAGATTCTGATCTAGGTTAAGAAGAAGGTACCTATCAAGTGTCTGCTGCATAGACCAGCTTTTTCCAAATCGTCCAACATCGGGCTATTGGGCATTGGCCCAGCTAATAACGAAGCGGTGTTTGCTTGCATTTGGCTGAAGTTCTTCACTTCCATTTCCTTCGGGAACTCCACCAAGAAGATTAAAAGGTGGGACAGAACTGGGGGCACAACTGGCTCCCTACCAGGAAAATATCATCAAATGCATCTTAAATCCTAATCATCTATTTGGTTCAAGAGAGCACAGGATGAAAAGACAATGCTTAGAGAATAATATTCTGCTGAAAATGTCACTTGGGGGCCTCCCTTTCGGAGAGGGTTTTCAGCTCTTGTTTTCTCTGTTCCCATGACTTCTTCAGGTGATTAAGCGTCTTCTCCAGAGAGTGTTGGTGATTCCCCATGGAGGCTGTGGGCACCTTGGAAAATGGGTTTAAATTAGCAGCACTTCCGCATCAGGATGCCTGCATGCAGCCAGCCATGAGGGCTTTGCTTCCGCTTTCGGATCTGCCAGCACACAGGCAGTTCCTTGGAGGCAAACTCATTTTCGTTTGGAAGTATTTAAAAACAAGCTGTCAGGGAGACCACCCACGCCCTACCCCGGCCTGCTGCAATGCTGATTTTTCTTGGTGTGCATCGGTCGACCTTATAAGAACTTCATTTTAGTGGCTTTCCTCCCTCTGAGGGGGAAGATCAGAAAGTTCGGGGGTCCTTGAGTCTGGATAGGGTCAAGACAGCCTCTAGATATGGGGGAAAATCCAACAGTTTCTTATTTTGCTAATGATGATGACGGTGGTGTTCATAAATAATAACAGCCACTCTGTAGATAGATGAGGGAGCAAGTGTTCACGGGGCAGGTTTAAAGAAGCCTTGGACCATATACTCACTGTCCATCTGTGGCCCTGTTTAAGGGGATAGGAGGACTTTGTTCTGGGGACCCAGCCACAGAGATCTGTCTTGACTCTGTGTAACTCTTTATTTTTTATTTTTTTATTTTTTTGAGATGGAGTCTCACTCTGTCACCCCGGCTGGAGTGCAGTGGCACAATTTCAGCTCACTGCAACCTCTGCCTCCCAGGTTCAAGCAATTCTCATGCTTCAGCCTCCCAAGTAGCTGGGATTACAGGCGCCCACCGCCACATCGAACTAACTTTTGTATTTTTAGTAGAGATGGGGGTTTCTCCGTGTTGGTCAGGCTGTTCTCGAACTCCTGACCTCAAGTGGTCCATCCACCTCTGCCTCCCAAGTAGCTGGGACTACAGGTACATGCCACCACGCCCAGCTAATTTTTGTATTTTTAGGAGAGATGGGGTTTCACTCTGTTGGCCAGGCTGGTCTTGAAATCTTGGCCTCAAGTGGCCCACCCACCTTGGCCTCCCAAAGTGCTGGGATTATAGGTGTGAGCCGCCGAGCCCGACCTAACTCTGTGTAACTCTCAATCATGTACAATAAAGAAGGATAAGGACTTTTTGGAGAACAATTGTGTGCTAGACACTGTGCTAAGAATTTTATACATTACTTCATTCTCGGCATAGGAAAGTGTTATACCCATATTACAGATGAGAAAACAGAATCCTAGAGCAATGCTGTGGCTTACTTAAGGCCATACAGCTAGTAAGGGGAAGCGGTGGGATTTGAGTCTGACTTCTGTCCATCTACACAGGTGATGATGATGATGATGATGATGATGATGAGTTATTACTACACCATGCTAGTTCAGTGGTTCTCAACTTGGCATTACTTAAATGTAGTGGGTAGAGGCCAGGGATGCTACGTATCCTGAAATGCAGAGGACAGACCCCTGCAACAGGTAATTATCCAGTCCAAAGAGTCGACCATGCTGAGGCTGGGAGACTTCGTGCTAGGTGAGACACTCACGGCTGATTCTTTTTGACCATCTCTCTAGTGTTGAGTTAAATAAAGCTGCGTTCAGGTGGTACTAAGGAGAGCCATCTGGGACAAGTGGGCCCACATGCTGTGTGCGAGAAAGGCAGTTCTGCTGAGACTGGGCATGCTGTTTGTTGTGCCTGCACTCTGCCCTGTCCCACCTTACAGGATGGAACCTGGAAAAGGGTGTGCTGTGGTCTGAAAGCTTATGTGCCCCTGACATTCTTTTTTTTTTAAGACAGAGTCTTGCTCTGTCACCCAGGTTGGAGTGGAGTGGCGTGATCTTGGCTCACTGCAACCTCTGTCTCCCAGGTTGAAGCAATTCTCCTGCCTCAGCCTCCCGAGTAGCTGGGATTATAGGCAACCACCACCACATCGAGCTAATTTTTGTATTTTTAGTAGAGATGGGGGTTTCTCCATGTTGGTCAGGCTGTTCTCTAACTCCTGACTTCAAGTGGTCCATCCACCTCTGCCTCCGAAAGTGCTGGGATTACATGTGTGTCCCCCTGAAATTCATTTGTTGAAACCTAATCCCCAGTGTGATAGTATTGGAAGGGCTTTGAGGAGGTGATGAGGTCATGAGGGTGGAGCCTCCATGAATCATATTGGTGCCCTTATAAAAGAGGACCCAGAGAGCTCCCTTGCTCCTTCCACCATGTGAAAAAAAACATCAAGAAGGTGGCCGTCTATGACCTAGAAGCTGGACCGCCCAGCTGAGACCAAATCTGCTGGTGACTTGATCTTGTACTTCCCAGCATCCAGAATGGTGAGAACTACATTTCTGTTGTTTATGTATTTGTTTTTGAGACATGGTCCCTCACTCTTTCGCCCAGGCTGGAGTGCAGGGGTGCAATCATGGCTCACCACAGCCTCGATCTCCTGGGCTCAAGTGATTCTCCTGCCTTAGCCTCCAAAGAACCTGGGCCTCAATCTCCCAGGCTCAAGTTGTTCTCCTGCCTTAGCCTCCAGAGTACCTGGAACCACAGACATACACCACCGTGCCCAGCTAATTTTTTTTTAAATTTTTTTGAAGAGATGGGGTCTCGTTGTGTTGCCCAGGCTGGTCTTGAATTCCTAGGCTCAAGCACTCCTCTTGTTTCAGCCTCTCAAATTGTTGTGACCACAGTCATGAGCCACCACACCTGGCCATCTGTTTTTTATAAATTATCTGGTCTGTGGTATTTTGTTATAACAGCCTG
Organism: Homo sapiens; assembly: GCF_000001405.40. Taxonomy (NCBI): domain Eukaryota; kingdom Metazoa; phylum Chordata; class Mammalia; order Primates; family Hominidae; genus Homo; species Homo sapiens. The sequence goes on along the minus strand of NC_000016.10, from coordinate 17,842,712 downwards.
AACAGACTAGACTATCCTCTACGGGATGGGCCACATAAACATGATTTTTATGCTTCTGTATTGAGAGCAGGTATGTCTGTATATCCATATCTATATCTATATTTATAACTATATCTGTCACCAGAATAGGGAGGGCATAGGAAGGCTGAGTCACTTCCCAAAAGTCCACCCACTGTGTGCAAGAGAACTCAAACCCCAATCCTCTGATGCCCAATTCAGAGAATGGCCCCACCTCTCACACTTACCAGGCATATGGCATAGCCTCTGCCTTCTTCCCAGTCCCGCTGCACCTGCAAGTGTGGTTATTACCTCAATTGCCTCAGCTCTATGCACACCCCCACGGGTGGCAGGTATGATTGCCACCTCCGTTTTACAGATGGAGTCAGTGAGGCTCAGGGAGGTTAAAAACTTGACTCAAGTTCACACACTGGGGACTGAAATCCAGGATTGTTCTACTCTGCTGTCCATCCACAGTTTCTCAGCCTTGGCACTACGGACATTTTGAGCTAGAGAATTCTCTGTTGTGAGGGGGGTCCTAAGCCTTGTAGGGTGTTTAGCAACATCCCTGGCCTTTATCCACTAAATACCAGTAGCGCTGCCTCTCAAGTTGTGACAACCAGAAATGTCTCCAGGTGCTTCTTAATGTCCCCTGAGATGCAGAATTGCCCCCAGTTGAGAATCATCACTCCAGAATTGGGCCCACCATCCCTCTTCTGTCTCATCTCTAGTAACTAGGTTTCTCATGGTTCTGAGATTTATCACACCCTCTCCTGCCCACATTTGCCCTTCCACATCCTGCTCTCTGGGCAAGGCAACCCACATAATACCATCTTTCTTCAAATGTGTTAGTGTTGATGACTTAAATATACTCAGCAAACTTCCCACTGTTTGCTCCTGCCTCTCACCATGGATGTCTTCAAATAGCTCATCCTTCTGGAAGATTTCCTTATCTTCAATTCGATTATTTAGCTGATAACCCTACTGTCACTCCCAAGCCCACTCAAGTTTCCATGCCTCCCCACCCACTGGTTACTACTGCTCTCTCCCTGTCATCCCTCATGGAGTCCAGCACAGTGCTGAATCATCAACCTAGCCACAGGAGTCTTGTAGTCAGATCCTATCACCCCTCCCCTTAAACCACTTTGGTTGGCGGCCAGGCGCGGTGGGTCATGCCTGTAATCCCAGCACTTTGGGAGGCCAAGGCAGGCGGATCACGAGATCAGGAGATCAAGACCATCCTGATTAACACGGTGAAACCCTGTCTCTACTAAAAATACAAAAATTAGCCGGGTATGGTGGTGGGCGCCTGTAGTCCCAGCTACTCAGGAGGCTGAGGCAGGAGAATGGCGGGTGAACCCAGGAGGCGAGGCTTGCAGTGAGCCTAGATCGCGCCACTGCACTCCAGCCTGGGCGACAGAGCAAGACTCCGTCTCAAAAAACAAAACAAAACAAAAAAAAAACGCTCTGGTTGGCTTCCATTGCAGTTAGAATAAAATCCAAACTCCTTCCTGCAGCCTACAAAGTCTTGCCTGGGCAAAGCTCTGCCTACTTCTCGGACCTCATCTCCTACCTGCCCCTGCTAGCTCACTGTATCGCAGTCCATGCACCTACTGCGTGTTGACTGGACACACCCAACCTGTTCTTACTCCCACATCTTGGCCTTGGTAGGATCCGTCCCCAGAGTACGTTTTCTCTCGATTCTCTTTTAATGGCTCCTGCATGTCACAGAATTAAATATCATCTCTGCAGAGAGGCCTCACCCAATCACCAGTACAAAGTAGCCCGTGGCAGGTCTCTATTGCACCACCTGCTTGCTTTTTTCTTGGGCACCGATTATGAACCTCTGTCCTCTTGTTTGCGTGTTTATTGTCTGCCCATCCACCCCACTCACAAGCAGAACTAACCTTCCCAGGAACAGAGATCTCACCTGGTTTGCTCACCTGTGCATCCCCAGTATCTAGACCAGCACTAGTTAAGAGTCGAAGTTCAAAAAATACATGTTGAATGAGCCTGTCAGGTCAGTTAGCACGCAGATTTCATTAAACAGAGGTAACTTAGGAATTCAAATTATTATGCATAAATAAAGCACACAACTACATATTTGGCTCTCCCTGTCCAGTTCCTTTCCAACTCATGAAACACAGCATGAATAATATATTCTGATTTTTTTTGATTGAACTGTCAGCATGATTTATTTCATAGCATCTTCTTCTCTCTCCCTTTTGTAAATAATGGTGCGTCTGCAGAGCTTTTTGCTAACATTTTTCTTGCTAATTTGTCTGGGGGGTGGGAGGATGATGGCATTTTTTTTTTACCCTCTTATAATGGGTTCGGAGGACACTTTTTTCTGCATAGCGTTGGGACTCTAAAAAATCAAGGTTATACAGTGCATTGATTACTCGCTGTTTTACAAACCGGCTCAGACTCATTTCACAACTTGAGAATAATTCTAATTGGAAATCACCTCCTTTAAAACCATCAGATTAATGGTATTCCCATTACACTTCCTGCCCAACCATGTGAACAATAGAGCCTGAACTGCAACTGCTAGAATTGTGCATCAAAGTAAATAATGCACTAACGAGACAGCAATTTCATTCCTCCTGTGGAATTCCCCAGGCATTTCTCCTTCAAGAGGCCAGGATGGGTTCAAGGCAAATCCCTCTGGACCGTGCAGGGTGACTGGAATGAATGTGGACCCCTGAGTATGGAAGATGGTGCTTGTAGGATGTGATACGCATTCTTCAATCATTGTAGTATTTTTGAACTCTCATAGACAACCAGTACGGGGATGAGGAGACATCAATAATTGCTGATGGGCTTGTTAGACTCTCTGGCACTAATATTATGTGAGGTGTATAACACATAATATATTTATGTATCAAGATTAAAAAAATGGAGCGTCACTTCCTACCCACCCTCCCTCCTCTTCTTTCTCAGCTCCCACATCTCATCAAACACAATTGTCAATTTTAGCTCCTAAAATATTGTTGTTTTGAATCTTGTCCTTTCTCTTCATCCAGAATTCATTTCCCCAGCACTAGCCTCCTGGATGCTATTTCTGCCCCTACACCAGTAGCGTGATTCCTGGCAGTATATTAGGATTGTCCGATGAGCTTTTAAAATATACCGGTGTCCAGACTGCGCTTCCAGAGTGCCTGATTCAATTGGTCCAGGGTGAGGTCCTGGCACTGGATTTTTAAAAATTGCTCCCTGGTGAGTCTCCTGCGCAGCCAGAGTTGGCAGCCAGCACTGGCTTTGCGTAGCAAACAGCAGGGTCTATGATAAAGCCCGCCTGACTGTGCCATCCCCGGCTTAGAAACCAAGACTGCTTCTGGGTGCCTTCAGCGTGGAGTGCAAGGTCCCTAGTGACCTGACACTAGCTGGCCTCTGGAGCCCCATTGCTCCTCTTCCTTCTCATGCTTTGTATAGTCCAGCAGAATGGCTGCTTGTCTTTCTTGAGGACAGCCTGCTTGTTCACACCTCATGCCTTTGCACACTGCTGCTTTGCACCTGCAATGCCCTTTCTCCCTGAAACCGCACGCAAGTGGTGTTTAATTTTTCAAAACCTGCTTTAGATTTTGCTTCTTCTAAGTCCCTCCTGAGTTCCATCTCTCCTCTGTGCTCTTATAGTTTTGTTGCATATCGGCCACAGGTTATTGTAATTGACTCAAATTTGTACGAGTTTTCTTGTTAAACCTTGAACGCCTTGAAAGCCAGGGCTACATCTTATTGATCCCTATGACCCCAGCACTAAACACTGTGCTAGGTACACAGCAAAGGCTCTATAAATGCATATGATTATGTCCCAAATGGCGGTCCCAGAAGATGTGCTCATTCCTTTGCCCTCAAGTCATAGTCCCTTTAAAGTTTCCAAAATATAGTTCCATAAAGATGCGTGGAGGCAGACAGTCCACGAAAAGTGAAATTGAATTACAGTATTGTTGTGAAATGAAAAAAAAAAAAAAAAAGGCACGTAGCCCTGGATTGAAATCCTGCGTCTACTACTTACTAGCTGTGTGGCCTCAGACAAGTTACTGAACATCTCTGAGCCAGAGTTTCCTCATCTGTAAAACTGACAATCATATCTAATTTATAGGACGGGAATAAAGATTAAAAGACAGAATGTTAGCAATGTACCTACCAAGAAGTCACATCATAGAATGGGCAAGTGCTTAATAAAAGATAAATCAGGGTCCCTTATCCTTACTTCGTTGCCCAGTTTGTTTGTTTTCTTTTTGAGGCAGAGTCTCACTTTGTTGCCCAGGCTGGAGTGCAGTGGCGTGATCTTGGCTCACGCAACCTCTGCCTCCCGGGTTCAGGAGATTCTCCTGCCTCAGCCTCCCAAGTAGCTGGGATTACAGGTGCCCAGCAGTATGCCTGGCTAATTTTTATATTTTTAGTAGAGATGGGGTTTCACCATGTTGGTCAGGCTGGTCTCGAACTCCTGACCTCAAGTGATCTGCTCACTTTGGCCTTCCAAAGTGCTGGGATTACAGGCATGAGCCACTGTGCCTGGCCTCGTTGCCTGGTTTTAATCTTCTTGGAAAAATCAGTGATTAAGAAACTACCCCTAAATAGCAATCATCATCATAGGCAATAACAGTTAAGCATCTTATTATCTTCTTGCCATTTTGCATAGGACTTTGTGTGCGTGATGCTACTGAATTCCCAGGGCAGCCCCATGAGGTTGGCACTACTTTTATACCCATTTTATGACTGAAAAAACAGAGGCTTTGAAAAACCCTAGAGGCAAAAAGGGAAAGATGGGCATCTAAACCAGGTGGGCAAATCTCTTTCTGGAGCTCATTACACTGCCTGTCCCACCCATCTCATTCTATCAGCTACCTTTCTTCTGGGGCTTTGTTGGATTGTGTTTAGGTAACAAAGAATAATAATAGAAGGGCCACCTGACTGGTTGTCAATATGAAATGAATCAATTGTTCTTTGTATTTTGTCTTCCCTCCTCCAGCCAAACCTTGAGAACAAGTCTGGAAACATTTTGCATGTACTGGCAAACAGGATGGTGAATTGACAACACTTCTTGTTAGTAATTAGGGCATGGTAATGTGCTCCTTTGGTAATTAGTGCATTAAGGTAGCATAGATTGTATCGCTTACAGTGATTGAAAGGTATGGCAAGCTCAGAACATTATTAACATTTGAAGCTGGAAGCTGCTGGGAGGTAGTGTAGTGTGGACACTACGAGGGCTGGAGGGGAGTCGGAGGCCCTGGGTTCTTGGCCTGGCTGTGCCACTTATGTGCTGTGTGAGCTTGGACAAGTCACTTGGCCTCTCTGGACTTCAGTTTCTTTGGGGGTAAAATAAAGAGATCCGATTCTGGTGTGTGAAGGGAAGAGAAGGAAGAAAACAGGAGATGCTATCAGTAAAGACCTTGGCTAAAAAAAGAGATGAAGCTGATTCATCCTTGCTTCCACCCCTGGGAACACAAGGACTCCCCAGTGGGTGATGCGTTTAATCAGGGTAATCTAGGCTGTGCTGTAAGAACAGACTAACCCAGAAATGTTAGTGGTTTAGCATGACAAAGGCTTACGTATCACTCACGCAAATTCCAAAGCTGGTTAGGCAACTCTATAGGACCGTCTTTTAGGTGATGACTCAGAAATGTAAGCTGCTTTGATCACATGGCTTCCAGGTTGCTGCCACAACAAAAGGGACTGTTGGAGGGTCTTGCAGTGGCTCATGAACGCATTAGCCAGAAGTGACACGGAAGACTTCTACTCACAATTGATTGGGCGGTACTAGTCACACGGCCCCACCCAACCTTGAAAAGAGCTGGGAAATGTGGGGAAGGTACAACTCTACCAGGGAAAGAGAGAAAGTGAGCACTTACTAAGAGCTTCCTATATACTCGCAATTGATTGGATGGTACCAGTCACACAGCCCTACTCACCTTGAAAGGAGCTGGCAAATGTGGGGAAGCTACATCTCTACCAGGGAAAGAGAGAAAATGAGCACTTACTAAGAGCTTATATGTTCCATTTGTTCTTCACTATCTCTTCTATCATTCTTATTTTCCACATAAAGACATCGAGTCTCAAGAGCTTAAGTGTAAGTGCAGAAATTTATACTCTTAGGAATTTGCTGACCTGGAGTTCTAGCCCAAGTTGCTGATCTCAAAGCCCAAGCCCTTTGTACCTTTGCACAATGTTTAAATGTAGTTATAGGGCCCTCCTAGCCTGGATGATCCTGGGACTGCCCTCTTCTTTGAAACTCTGTACCTCTCATGTCCTTAAATGAAATCCCTTGCTAGAACACAAAACAAAACAAACTCAATTTCCTTGGTGGATTCATATATTCAGTATACTGTATTATGGAGGTTTTGTTGATTCAAATATTTTCTAATTGATGTGAAATACTGCCTTATGAAAATTCTTTGTGCTGTCCTGTAAGATTAGGGGAGAAAAAAGAAAGCCACAGAGCCTGGATGTCTTAATCTCATAGCAGCACACAATGGGTTAAAACTCAGGGCAGAGGAAGAGTTTGTGATTTTTCCCGGTCACAGAGAGATGAGAAATAAAATAGGGTGCTCTGGATCCCTGTCCTTTCGTCTGTTTCTCCTGGGATGGGCAGTGGTATCCAAGGTGCTAAAGAAAAAATTTCAAGGAGTGAAAGATGTCACAGAAGACTAAATGCCATGGACAGCTGTGGAGATGAAGGGACCCATTGAATGTGGCAACACAGTGGCTATCGGTGACTTTTGCCAGAGCCACTTCAGTGCAGTTGTGCAAACAAAGACCTGATTTAAGGATGCAGAAAGAAGAGGTAAGGAAGTAGATAGAGATGGTGGGTGTAGCATATGCTTTTAAGAGACTTGGCAGCGATAAGAAACAGGAACCATGGCAGGATCCTGAAGAAGAACAAGTAAGTGCTTAATTAAATTTGTTGATTGAGTGCTTTTTTTGGCTTAGCCAGTTTAGTTCTTAGTTACTTCCTGTCCATTAGTTTGATTGCTACTTAGGGAACAGGAATAGGTTTTGTTATTGGCTATTTTAAGTGGTAATTTATGAAGGTCAATCTACTGAAAAAAAGCCCATATGTATCATAGAGTCCGCTGGGGATTATTTGGAAGTTACTCACTGTTTTGGATGATGCAGGACACTGCCTTGAACCATTAACACAGATAATTAAATGCTGGCTCTAACAGATGAGAATTCCATTCTTTTGTTAATCATTAGAGTGTGTGGTTGTAAGCATGCACTATGAACCCCAGTGGTGCAGCATACTAGCCTGTAACCTTGGACACATTGCCTAGCCTCCTCTGTGCCTCAGTTTACTCATCGGTTACCTTGGGGACAATCATAGAACATGCTGCAAAGGAGTATTGGCAGAATTGGGTGAGTTCATGCGTATGAAAGGACTAGAAGGGTACCTTGCACACAGTAGGTGCTCAATGAAATGGTGATTGTGTAAATATTTGTTGAATGCCTACTGTGAACCAACATGGTTGGTGGCATTGGGGATGTAAGTGTAAACAAGATAAATGTGATCCTTGCCTTCAAAGCTTTCAGACTAGTGATGTTACAGAGAAGTAAACAGGCAATTCCAATATACTGTGACATGTGTGAAGATGGAGAAAGTACACAGTGCCATGGAGCATATGAGGGGTACCTAAGATAGATTTGCAGAGGTGCAGAGAAGACTCCGTCACAGAGGCTGTATCCAAGGTAGGTGTGATGAATCGAGAGATGCTGCTTTGGACCAGGGAAGAAAGGAGGAGCTTACATCCACTCTCGTCCCTCTCCAGCTCATCTCCCACACCATCAGAGGGATCTTTTAAAAATGTAATTTGAGCCTCCTTAGAGTCTTAATAGCCTCCCATGGCATTTGCCATAAATGTGAACATTCTTAGCACAGTCTTTAGGATTCTGCATCAGGCTTCTCCTTTCTTGGGTCTTTTCTCTCACTAGCTCTTATGTGCTCTGGGAAATTCTAACCATTTTTATTTTTGAAATGAGTCGTGTTGCTTCCCTCCCCACCCTCTTGTCTAAGTTCATCTCTACCCATTCTTTATATTTCAGAGCACTGGTACATCCTAAATGGCCTTCAGACCACGGAAGGGGCCCCATCACAACACCCAGCTTCCTTATTATAGCACATAGCCATTTATGTACTTGCATGTGTGACTCTACCTCTCCCAGTGGGGTGCGAGCCCCAGACAGACAGGGATCTTAAATATTTTTATCCATCTTAGACTCTAGCACTCAGCACTATGCTGTGCAGAGTGAGCCCTCCACAAGTTATTTGCAGAAAGAAGGAAGGCTCCTTGAAGGTGAGTGTGATTTTAAACTGCGCACTCCGCAAATCCAAAGGCCCAGCAATGCTCATCACAGATTCTGTAGTAAACATCAACATCTGCCTTCTTGGTGCTGCGTTCGTGTGCCCAGACGGTCAAGCACATGGCTACCCACTCTCACCTTGCTGAGAGGTCAAGGGACTCAAGAAGACCAAGTGCTGGGGCTTCAGTAAAGGAATCCAAGTGGAGCTGGAGAGCAGGATGGATGATAGGAAGGCATCCTGGGTCATTAGGTGCACAATTTTAAATGCATAGACGCATGCCGTGTGTAAACCAATAGAAGCAGTAATCACTCAGGAACATCTGCAATGAAAACTGAAAAGGTCATTATCTTTGTGTTGAGACAGCATCTGCTTATGGAATTCTAGAAAGATCTAAAGGCCAGGTGAGCTCTAGTAGAAACAGTGAAAACACTAGAATCACACAGTTGAGTTTTATTCATACTAAGTAGAACTTGGAGAAGTTCCTTAGCTTTCTCTGTGTGCCTCTGTTTCCATATCTGAAACATACAGATCATATTTACTTACAAGGCTGTGACAAGGATTAGAAATAACATGTGTAGAGAGGATAGCACAGGGGCGGGCACATAGTAGGTGGTCAATAAATGGTGACTGGTGACCATTATCCCTCTCTTCCACATCATTAATTTCCTTGGCTTCAGGAACTCAGCAAAAATTTTAAAAAAAAACAGAGAAATTATTATTGCAGAAAATAAGGTTGATAAAAATTACTACAAGCCCTATGTTAAGACTTGGAACCATAATAGTGAATGAGGAACAAAGACTCTGGCCTCATGGAGCTTGGAGCCAGTAATATTTAACTTACATGTAAAGGAATTTTTCCAATTAAAAAAGCAAATGGGGAAATTTTTTTGAAGTAGCAAAAGGTATTATCAGTAGACTCACTTCTTCAAAAATGACCACTGTAAACATTTTGCTGTATTTTCTTCAGTTCCTTACTGTATGCTAATTATTTTTACTGAAATCTATAACCTAAGTATATTCCTTTTCCTGTGTTGTTGATAATGCTTTGTGTAAGTCATTTTTTAATGACTGCATAATGTTCCATATAATGAATGAATTTACTGAAGCAATTACCTGTTCTTATACATTCTTGCATAGTCTTTTTCCTCATATACTTTCAAATGTCTCCTTAGCATAAAGTCTCAGAACTAAAACATCTGGATAAAAAGCTAGCTGGAGATTTTTTAAGGCTCTCGAAACATCCCACACAACTCTTTTAAGCAGTGTATAAGCAAGAACCAATTATGTTGTAGAAAATATTTCTTATAATGTCCCTTTAAAAAGAGAAAGAGGATTGAAAATTCTGCAAAGAAGATACTAAGTTAAAACCAAATTAATCATCCTGGCTTAGCTTGGAATGCTAAATATTAATGTTCCTCTTTAGCATGTATGGCATATTATGTACAATTCACCTGAATATAAATAGTCCAGATTGTGACATTACATTATTCATGATGAATCAACTGTCCATGCTCTGTATGGCGCATCACTCAGATATGCAGGACTCTCGCTAATTAATCAGCAGGTAGAAAATGGATTATATTCCCCAGGAAGAGGTACTGAATGGGTATAATGTTTATTGAGCATTTATTATGTGATAGTTGTTTTATATAAATCATCTCACTTAATGAACAGTCCTTAAGGTTGGTAATTGATGTGCTGTAGGCTCCCCTTCCACAGGCTGCAAGAACTCCTCCCTCCTCCATCCCAAGTCTTCATGTGGTTAATGTGTAATTAACAACACTCCGGTAAAGAGACCAAGAACTATACTGCAACATCTTTGGAAGGGTATTATTTTTACCTGTCTACTAGAAAGGTTAGTTGGTAACAATCAGAAAATAAAGAGCTCAGGAGGAGAGAAGCAGGTCATGTGATAATGGGCAAGGTGAAGCTTCGGATGGTCAGTCTCAACATCCTATTTTGTTCTTTTTTTTTGTTTGGCTCATTTGTGGTATCTTAAATATTTTTGAGCATGACCCTCTCAGCACTACAGACTCCTAAACTGCATTTGAGAAGGAGCATAAGGGATCCTGCATAGTCCAATCATTCTTTGAAAAACATTGAATTAGAATCTTCAGTAATCTTTAGGAATGCAGTGATTTTAGTTCATGAGTACCAGTGTCTATTATCCTTAATTACACCTTTGGTAGCCTGTAGATATTTAGCCCTCGGTCATATATGAGCACATGGAAGTCTGTGGAATTATGTGCCATTCAACAAAAGAAGTGTTCTTGTACTGTTTGATTACGTACAAAGTCATTATATTTTCTGATTAGTTTGTAGCCAGTTGGGAGACTCTCCAAGCTGGATTAGGGAGCTCGGGTGTGTGTGGTGGCTTTTGCTGGATGGGAGCATTACAGTGAACCAGGTCTCATTTGGTTTTGGTGAGAACATGTCTACAGCTCATAAACCCTAATATGGGGCATATTAGCATTGTTTTTCTGATAACCCAGAACGGGTATAATGTTTATTGAGCATTTATTATAATCTCAAGTTTCCTTTACTTATAAGGCAAACGAAGAGGATAAATAAAGAATGAGTGTCCCCCAGACCATCTGGAAACCCCACCTGTGCATCTTAAATAAGGAAGGACCAAGCAGATATCAGAAAGAGGTGAGCCTAAATAATTGTGAGCCATAATTGCAGGACTTGGCCAAGAATGATAGGCTCAGTTACTCCTCTGTGACTTCCCCATTGCAAGCAGCCTCTGGAACATTTTAGGAAGCCCAGAATTTAACCAATCCATGTAGAAGCTTCTCTGGTTTAGTGCGTGCTGCCATGATGGCAGTGGGCGATGGGGAGAAATTGTCAAGATGGCAGCCAATTTGGGATAGGCTTTGGTTCCCTGAATCCTCCAGCAGAGGGACCTGCTCAGCTAGGGAGTCTTCCAATCTCTTAGTGGACTGGAGAATCACTGACGTATGCATGCAAAGCATCTTGCTACATAAAAGCTGTGATGTTTTATGACTATCGTTATTGCTATTGCTGTTCAAACAGAGGTAAGGCAGGGTCAGTCCTGGCTGCCGCAACTATCAAGTATGTAATTTTTGCCAGATTTCTTTCCTTCAACTTTCTTGTCTGTAAAATGAAATAATAGTGACTATTATCTCTTTTCTTCTATTTACTAATCTATAAAATAAAATAGGAGGGCATAGTATCTATCCTACAGAGATGAGGGAGTTTGGAGAGAGAAAGAGAGAGACAGAAGTTATCAAAAGAGTTACAGGTCTTTGATAACTACATAATGCTGTATAAAATAAGGGGTTACTGTTACAATGTAATTGATCATTTAGGTGAAAACATGCACAACATTTAATGGCAAAGGAAGAAATGTATGAACTATAACCCAAAACTCAATTTCTGTCCCATGAATTTATGTTAGAGAAACCAGTCATGAATCAATTGCAGCCCAATATCTAACCAAAAGACCAGTTAACTTAGTCATTTATCTTGAGTCTCCAAGTTCTAAATCAATATTTTATGAGATTCTCACAAAACCAAGCATGTGAAACTAATTCTCGGCCACACAGCAGGGCCTTAGCCGAGTTTCTATTTAAGGGCATATGCTGCCTTTAGGGAGTATCCCAGAAGGTTTGTCCATTTGAAGAATGCTTTCTTATATTTCTGTTTTAAAAAAAGAAAGCCAAAGATACTGTTCCCTGTTAACTAACATTTTTTGAATAAGAATGTAGATTCCTACCAAGTTGTCCAAGAAAGAAAAAAAGTTCACCCCTGCAGTAGTATTTGTATGCTATCTTGTATATGAAAGCAAATGCTATAGAATACAAGATGTTTGCCCTTCACTGTGGCTTCCAGGAAACAACAAATTCAACCCTGAGCTATAGCAATCAGTTGATGTTAGGTAGCTGGTGACAGCAGTGTGCTCTTTTCCAGACTGATCTCTGATTGTCTTTTCTCTTTGCATTTTGTTATGTTTAAAAACACAAGGGATGTTGGGGGAACAAGAAACTAACCAGCCTGCAGGAGTCGCTGGAGGTAATGCTATAAATCGGTTGGTATATATTCATTTATTTATTGACATAAAATTATACGAAGACCCTTAAATTTAATGATTGCTCTCAACAGTGTCTAATACAGTGATTTTCCTCCTCTCCCAGAATTAGAGATTTTAGAACCAAAAAGGACCGTAGTCCAAGTCCTCATTTTATTGTATGTTGAAGGACATGGGCTTCAAAATCAGACACACCAGATTTTGAATGCTGACTTTGCCACAGAATAGCTGTCTAACCTTAGGAAAATTTTCCAAACTGCCTGGACCTTAGTTTTCTCATCTGTAAAGCAGTGGTAATGACTCCTAAACCGCAAGACAGTTTACAATAATAACAATAATTTATGAAAGTACTTAGCGTAGTATCTGGCACACAGAAGTTGCACAAAACATGGTTGTTACTATATTTAAAGGTGAGGAAATAGATAAGGCACTGGAGGAATTAAATAGACACTTCCCCAGCTACTCAGGAGGCGGAGGTGGGAGCATGAGTTAAGTCTAGGAGTTCAAGACTGTAGTATGCTATGATGGTGCCTCTGAATAGCCACTGTACCCTAGCCTGGGCAACATAGTGAGACCCTGTCTCTTAAAAAAAAATACTTAATGCTGGGCACAGTGGCTCACGCCTGTAATCCCAGCACTTTGGGAGGCCAAGGTGGATGGATCACAAGGTCAGGAGTTTGAGACCAGCCTGGCCAACATAGTAAAACCCCATCTCCACTAAAAATACAAAAGTTATCCAGGCATGGTGGCGGGCACCTGTAGTCCTAGCTACTCAGGAGGCTGAGGCAGAAGAATCACTTGAACCTGGGAGGCAGAGGTTGCAGTGAGCCGAGATGGCACCACTGCACTCCAGCCTGGGTGACACAGCAAGACTCCATCTCAAAAAACAAAACCAACCAACCAAACAAACAAAACCCTTAGTGAGTGTTAAATGCATTATTGGATTAAAATACAAATATCCCAAAGTGAGATTGGTCACGCACATCTACCTACTATAAAACCGGAACAAGTTCACATGCTGATTTTTCAGATTTTTGAATGGAACAAGATAGAAGAATCGTGAGCTTTCAGAAGGCACACCATAGGGATTACGGATTCTTTAAGTCCATACAACGGGGACAGGGAAGGATGTGGGTGAAACATTTCATCTACCATACTTACTTGATTCAAAGATATACTTTCCCAGCACTTTATTATCATAATTATCACCATGCAGAAAGGTTGACTTTTACAGTGAACACCTATATACCAACCATCTAGTTTCTATAATTATATTTTACTGTACTTGTTTTATCACATATCCACCCATCTATCTCCATCCATCCACTCATCCATCCATCCATCCGTCCAGCTTATATTTTTGACGTATTTCAAAGTAAGTTGCAGGCATCAACATGTATGTTATTAACTAAAGTTTCCTTGAAACCCTTCCTTGTCAAGCCCTGATCCTTTGTCCTCCAGAACCAACAACTGTTCTTTTTTTCCACCAGAGGTTAGTTTTGCCTGTTGTAGTTTTCTATAAATGGAATCATACAATATGCACTCTTGTGTTTGAATTCTTTCACTTAGCATAATGTCTCTGAGATCCATCTATATGCTGTGTCTGTCAGTAGTTTGTTCCTTTAGCTTACAGAATAGTGCTTCATTAGGCCAGGCACAGTGGCTCACGCCTGTAATCCCAGCACTTTGGCGGGCCGAGGCAGGTGGATCACCTGAGATCAGGAGTCCGAGAGCAGCCTGGCCAACACGGTGAAACCCCATCTCTACTAAAAATAAAAAATTAGCTGGACATTGTGGCAAGCTCCTATAATCCTAGCTACCTGGGAGGCTGAGGCAGGATAATCACTTGAACTCAGAAGCCGGAGATTGCAGTGAGCTGAGATCGTGCCACTGCACTCCAGCCTAGGTGACAGAGCAAGACTCCGTCTCAAAAAAAAAAAAAAAAAAAAAGGTGCTTCATTGAATGAAGATGTTGCAGTTTGTTTATTGTTCCTCAGTTGATGCACAACTGTTTTAGCCTTTGGTTATTATGAATATAGTTGCTACTGACAACTTTTCCTTAGGTACAAGTCTTCTGTGAACACATGCTTTCATTTCTCTTGGATAAGTACCTAAGATTGGAACTGCTGAGTCATAGGATAGTTGTGGGTTTCATTTTATGAGAAACTGTCAGAACTTTTTCCAGAGTGGTCGGCCAATTTTACCCTGCCATCAGCAATGTATGTGAATTACGTTTGCTCTGTGTCCTTGCCAATGTTTGGTGTTGTCAGTCTTTTTAATTTTAGCCATTCTGTTGGATATATGGTGGCCTCTTATTGTGGTTCAAAGACATACTTTTATTTTTTTTCACATTTGATGTTATCTCAGATGCATTTTACAATTTATGTCAAGATTTAAGTTAGTTTGTTGTTTTTTATTTTTCTCCTTTCCCCCAAAAAGAAGAATTGATATATACAATATATCAATTGTGTTTCCTATAATGAAGAACATTATGGAATTGAGAAAATGTAATATCTTAAATCTTGCTGCCATGAGCTCCAACATAAGGAACCATCTCTGTGATGTTAACTGCTCCATACCAAAGGCCTAGGATCATAATGTATAATATTCTATTACACTTCCTAGAGCCCCCTTTTCTAATTATTCTGTGCAACCAAGATATCCAAAGGGACACATATAATGAATCCCATCTCAGGTCAGTTGCAAGGTCAAAAGGCCCTGCCTTGATGGGAAATCAAGCAAACTTCATGGCGACATTGAAAAGCCATGTCCAAGTCTTTGAGAGCCAGTCAGTTGGTACTTGGAAATGCTCAAAAGACTAGGAAAGTAATCACTTGGCTTTGATCCATTAGCTCAGCTGTAATGTAGCAGAGCTAATGCAGTCATAGGCAGCAGACAGCTTCTCTGGCAGAAAAAAAAATCAAGAGTTCCTCTCACTTTTGCAATGAAAATTAAATGTGGAAATAATTTCCTGCTCCTTTTTGGAATATTACTGTGCTATTAACTAGGCTAAGATCATTAAAAAGTAATGACATGAAGTTGCATGCATCATTATTTTAAGAGAGAGTGAATGAAAATATACTGTCGATCTTTTCTGCTTCTTGCCTTATCCCTGGCTTAATCAACATTGGTAAGGCCTAGAGTGAACATGTATTTTAATATTAAAGTTATAGCTTTGGCCTTGAAAAAGGAAATGTGGATCATTAGAAAATGGATTGACAGCCTTCATAACACATCTTCCTGATTTTTTAAATCAAGTTTTTATTAATACAAAATTAAGAGTGACTCTCAAAAAACTGAGTTGCTCAGAAAACGAATAGAAAGTTCACCACTGGCTTGAAAGAAGTAACTAGGTTTTTTTCCTCATTGCTATTTTCAGGGGAAAAACTGTCAGTGGCAAATTATATGCATCATGTTACAATCGCTGAGACCTATTTATTCTTCACCAATATGATGGCTCCTAAGGTCCTGGAGCAATGTAAATTAAGACAAACAGTCCATCCCACTGAAACATAGGAAATTTGACTGGTTGCCTAGCATATCCCACATGCAGAATGTCTGTATGTGAGGAAAGGAGGATGCATGGATCTGGATTCTGAAGAAACGGCTTTGGTAACAATAGCACAGATTCTCAAATTACAGTAACTGCCTTCATCGCCTACTCTTCCCTCCTTCCAGCACACCCCAGTAGCCACTCCTGTAACACAGGTGAACAGCGTGGTGGTAACAGGAAACTAATCAGAAGTGATTGCAATATTATCCGTTGTCTGGACAGATGTCATCTGCGCCCAGCCTGAATATATGTATCAGATGGGGTGAGAGAGAAATGAGATGCTTCTCTTCTCCTGTCTTCTAGGGTTGGAAGGAGAGCTGTAATTGGCCTCAGGTAGGCTTGTTTAACACAGATATTCTAACTGCATCAGCGGTGAAGGAAAGGAACAAACAGAAAATATTATGTCAACAAAATGTCGTCTAATGGGGTGAATAGATACAGAAGCAAAACCTGAAAGCTTTATTCTCCTTTCACGAAGTTTGCTATCAAATCTACAATATTAGACCTCTATGTAAATTTGAATATTATAACCTAACATGTTGTTGTTCATAAATGTTTATTTCCCCCTAGGCCAAAGACAAATATTTTCGCCGAGGAGAATTTGGAAAATTTCGCAGTATATAAAAAAAGAAAATTAAAAGTCTCCATCATACCATCTATCAGCAACCATTGTTAGCACTTTTGTGTATTTATCTGCAAGTACTTCCCCTGCTCCCACCTCTCGCTTTTAGATAATTTACATAATGATGATGATACACTATGTACAGTTTCACACCCTGCTGTTTTTTCCTTAACATACTTGCCTAAGGTTGTTCCTATATCATTAAAAAATTCTTTATAAAATACAGTCTTTCGAACTTTATACTCTTAGAGAGTTTTGCACAATTTTATTTGCACATGCAATTAAACATTACATTATTTGTGTAGGGTTTCAGTTATACTCATATGGGAAGGTCTTAGTACTCACTGCAAAACCCATGTTAATGGCCTTTATGAGTCATTAGAGAACTTGCCCCTTAATATGTCCAAAAAGATAGCCATAGTAAAATCCCTTATGGACCCTTCTTCAGCAGAGTGTTTTACCCAGACAGAACTGGACTCCGAAGTCAGGGAACTCTTTTGGACTGGAGAAGAGGTAGCTCCTCTGGACCCATAGGCCCAGGGAGCCTGGGGCAGAAAACTGGATTCCAGGACTAAGGCTTTGAGCTCGTAGTCTGACAGAGGAGGAATGGAATAATTTAGGAAGTTTAATGCTGAGTAGTTAGAAGTTCCCTGGTCAATTGGTGAAAAGAAAAGTCAACATAGGTCTGTAAAACTGCTTCAATGCCAAGGTGAAAATTTGCCTGCTTTGGAGTCAGAGAGATGTGACTTCTGATCCCACACTTAGAAGCTGTGTGTGCCTGGTCAAGTTGCTTAACCTTCTGAGATTCTTTTTTCATCAATAAAATAAGGCAGATAACTGTACCTACTTGATATGATTGTTGGGAGAACTAAATGAAATAATGTGTGCAAAGCTTTTAATATGTCATAAATAAATGGCACTTGCTGTTGTTTACAATTAGGGTTATCATTATTTTTTATTTGTTTTTTTTTCTTGAACTTTCTCAAATTCACCCAATGGTGGGTTGGATGATCTTACATACATAAACTTCAGAATTGGTCTTTAGTTTAAACTCAGTTCTAGCATGTACCAGCATGTGCCCTTAAGGGCTCATTTTATTTATTTATTTATTTATTTATTTATTTATTTATTTATTTTGAGACAGAGTCTCACTCTGTCACCCAGGCTGGAAGGCGTAATCTAGGCTCACTGCAATCTATGCCTCCCGAGTTCAAGCGATTCTCCCTGCCTCAGCCTCAGCCTCCCGAGTAGCTGGGATTACAGGTGTGTGCCACCACACCCTGCTAATTTTTGTATTTTTAGTAGAGACAGGGTTTCACCATATTGGCCAGGCTGGTCTTGAACTCCTGACCTCAGGTGATCCATCTGCCTCAGCCTCCCAAAGTCCTGGGATTATAGGCAGGAGCCCCTGTGCCCAGCTAAGAGTTTATTTCTTAAGCTTCTATGTTCTCTCTGAAGCTCAGTTGACTTCTACCCAAAGTACACAGAATGAAGAGTATGTTGCTGTGAGGTTGTGAGGAAGGAATAAGATAATACTCAGTAAAAGGTGGAAAGATACTTCATTTAATGAAATACATTGAAGTAGGGGTAAACTTACTTGCATGCTGGGCAAGTACATCTACTCCCATGAAGTTGATCATATTTGCAAGGGTGTAGGTTGTGGGTGTTTATGTATCTGAATATTTGTTAAAATGTTCAGTTCTGATGAGCTGAATACTTCTTGAAATCTAGGCTTGGCACATTTGCAGAGGGATGTGTGTCTTGGTCACAGGTAATTAGGACAACCTAGTGGGGGTCTTTGATGGGGCAGGACAATGCACTCTGGATCTGGTCTTGGACTGGAGAATTAGATTATTAGGATTAGGAAGACTTTCCAGAGCAAGAGATATCAACACTTAAGATACCTCATATCCTTTTCCCATAGAGTGTGCACAGCCCTAAGTAATCACAGGGCCTCCATTGCTAATACGGATTTTCCTGGGGACAGAGCAAATTATAATTTGGTTTTCAGGATACTCTTTCTCAGAATCATACATCATCTCTGGATAACTGTCGGTCTCTCAAGAACAAGATCAGGAAAGAGAGAAGACTTGTCTAAATCTGGGGCTTAGCCGAGGAAGAATGGCTGAATAATAAGATGGAGTAAATATTCCGAATGAAATATTCATGGTTGCAGAAAATAGGATCTGTCTAATAAAATGATCGCGCTAGGTTTCAGAGCCCCCTATGCCTCTCTGCAAATTATCCCCCAATCACATCTCTCCTGTGAGCATTAAAATATATAATTAATGCTCATTGTTAATAATACATTTCTAATTTCCAGTTGCAAAGATACAGCTTTTCCCTCCATTGGAGGATCACCTATATTTTGTCATTAACATTTTGTCATAAGAGGCAAGAATGATTTAAATGAACAATAAATCGACAGGCAAGCTGCTGATTTGGGCTTAAGCCAAACTCTTTGGGGAAGGGGTTCATTTATCACCTGGGACTTAGTGTAGTTCTTCTGCTGATTTATGTGGAAAGGAATGAGAGAGAGTTCTGTGGAAGGGTCTTGCGGCCCTGGGGGATTAGTAACAATAAATAGAGTAACTGGAGCAGCAGCTGTCACAGTCAGAGTAACTCCAGCTGAGAGAAGGATGGAATTTCTGGTTATTGGACCAGTTCTGGAGAACACCTGGCCCAAGTGTTCTGAATATCCAGCTGCCTATTGTACATCTCCATTTGGGTATTCCACTAACACAGGATACTCAACTCCCACCAAACTCTCTTCTCAAATGTGTTTTTCTTCCAGGGTATCTTTTCTTATCTACCTGTTTTGTCAAGTCAGGAACTTGGGGGTCACCCAGTGACACCTCCTGCATCTTGCCTTCTACATCCAAATAATCACAATTCTTTTCAAAGCATTCCCTCTTCCATTAGCTCACCAGGTCCCCACAAAAGCTTTGAGATGCAGGAGAAGCAGAATTTTTATTTCCTTTTTTCAATGGAAGAAACTAAGGGACTCACCCATAACCATACTGATAATGAATGACTTTCAGTATTTTTATATCAATGGTCCAGTGTTTTCCCCAGTATACCATCTTGAATGAGAAATTTGTTTTCTTCTTTATCTCTGACTTCTCTTACTTTGTGCCCAATAAATCTTTCTGGGACCTCGTGGTTACTCTGTCTTCCCAGGTCCCCACAAAAGCCTTGAGATGCAGGTGAAGCAAGATTTTTATTTCCTTTTTGGAATGGAAGAAACTCAGGAACTCACCCATAACCACACCGATAATGAGTGACTGTCAGTATTTAGGTGTCAGATATGTTTAACCCATTTATGCCAGAGATTGCAATTTTTTTGAATTGCAGACGTGTGAGAAATCAGACCTCAGCGATGACCTTGAGCAGTAGGATATAAATAACTCCCACATGCTTAGCGTTCCAGTAATGGAACACTAGACATACATGGGTTTTAATCAATGGTCCAGTGTAAGGAATTCCATTGTAAGGAATTCTCCTCTCTCTCAGGGAGTAAAACACAGACAGTATTCTTTTACCTAGTTTCCATCAAAGCTTGTGTATCCTATGTCCCATTCTCTAAGAATCTTTTTTGAATTTGTTAATGTGTTAATTCAATGAAGATAAGCCGACCATGGTTCCATGCACTCATTACCTTCTGTAGATAACATTTTTATAATGACATTTGCTCATCCTTCAAACCTAAGTGACTCCAGGTATTAAGTTTTATTCTTACTCAAGGAGGAAGATGGTCTTGAGAGTACGTCCAGTACAGATCTGGGTTAGAGAATTTGATTAAGAATTCTCTAAGCCACATCAGGAATATCAGAATCTTTCACTTTGCTCTTTTAAGGGAAAGGATGCACAAAAAATGGACATTTAAGCAGTGAGCATGTCCTTTTATGAAAACTCAATCTACTTGGCCCATTGGAGGGATGGTGGTCAATGAATGACCTTCCATTGTGGACTGCTTTGTTGTGCAGTACGAATCCTTGCATATAATTGTGTTTGGACTGCATAAAAAACCTGTTCTGTGGCCAGGCATGGTGGCTCACGCCTGTAATCCCAGCACTCTGGGAGGCTGAGGCGAGTGGATCACCTGAGGTCAGGAGTTCGAGATCAGCCTGTCCAACATGGTGAAGCCCTGTCTCTACTAAAAGTACAAAAATTAGCCGGGTGTGGTGGTGAGCACCTATAATCCCAGCTACTCGGGAGGCTGAGGCAGGAGAACCACTTGAACCCGGGAGGCAGAGGTTGCAGTGAGCTGAGATCACGCCATTGCACTCCAGCCTGGGCGACATAGCGAGACTTCATCTCAAAAAAAAAAAAAAAAAGGCAACAACAAAAAGTCTGTTCTGTGAAGCTTCTTAAAAAAATATGTTCAGAATCTAATTCAGAACAGAAATAATAACTTATTTAAGATCACACACAACTCAAGTCCAAGTACTTTCATGGGCCAGAATCCAGTTAGTTGGATTCCTGGATATACAATGTTGGGGGGAAAATTAAGGTTTTGAGACACCAAAGTAAGAGGTTCCAAAGAAGAATGGCGAATCTAGGACTCTTGGAGCAAACTCAGATACACCTTGCTCTAAATATGGTTGCACAGCACGTGAGCCATGAGATCCTGGAACAAGCTAATTAATCTCACAGACTTTCTGTTTTATCTGTAAAATTGAGATAATGACACCAACAAACCTCCTTATTTTTAACCTCACAAGTATTTAAGGATCACCAATTAGTGAAGCTATGAAAATACTGTGCGAACTGTGAAATACCATGCAGATGTCTGGGTGCAAAAATGCAATTAGAGAATTTTTATTTCTTCAAATGGAGCTGCACATGTTTGTAGGCATTTTAAAGCAACGAGGAAGAGGATGAGATAATGAAAGCTAGGGGATTATTTTTAGGATCTTGAAATTGTGTCTGTTAAAGGTTTTTGGCTGTAAGCAACAGAAACCAAGGCTAAGCAAAAAGGGCAGTTTATAGGAAAATGTGGGGGCATCTCGGGATACGTATGTTCAGTGATTATTTGAGAATTGAGTGGACAAAGGCTAAGATAAAGTCAGAAGAAGCAGTGGTGTTATGCTGACAAAGGTGGGTAGTTCAGTGTCTTTTTTTCTTAGGGTGTCAAACTTCTTGGGTATCCATATTCCTACTCTTCTTCTCAATATGACTCAAATATCGTCTTCTGTTTTTGTCTTCAGCCTGGGCTGGAAATGGTTTTCCCATCTAGAAATAAGCATGCAATGCATGCTTAATAATTCCTTTCAGCCTTAACTTTCCTTCTTAGATTAATGACCCTAGCTGAGAACTTTTCAGCAGAGAATATTTTCTTTTGAACCATAATTGAACTTCTCCAGTTGGTCTCAGCTCCCCATTCCTAGAAAAGACTGATAAGCCCCCTGAGTATCTGAGTCCCTTCATGAGCTTGTCTAGCTCTTTCTCTGTTTAATGGCTGTATCTCTCAGATAGACTTATCTGGCCTTCTAGTTCTGAGATTCTGATCTCTAAGTGGACTTCATATGGCCTTTGGAGTCCTCCCTCTGTAAATGAAGTGGTTAGCCTTCAGAGGGTCTATGTTCCAACTTCTTCTTCTTCTTTCTTTTTTCATCTTTCTTCTTCTTCTTCGTTTTTTGCTTTTGAGACACAGTCTCACTCTGTCGCTCAGGGTGGAGTGCAGTTGTGTGATCTCAGTTCACTGCAACCTCCAACTCCCTGGTTCAAGCGATTCTCCTGCCTCAGCCTCCCGAGTAGCTGGGATTACAGGCATTTGCCACCATGCTCAGCTAATTTTTGTGTTATTATTAGAGGCGGGGTTTCACCATGTTAGCCAGGCTGGTCTTGAACTCCTGACTTCGAGTGATCTGCCTGCCTCAGCCTCCCAAAGTTCTGGGATTAAAAGTATGAGTCACCGTGCCTGGCCTCCCAGCTTCTTGATTGGACTGATGTAGCAATCAGACTAAGACCCCACCCCGCACCCTTTGAGCGGAGGGTCCTATTCAAAATGATCACAGAGAACAGGCTTGTCTAGCACTCTCAAAGTCAGAACGTCTAGTCTCCTGAATAGAACAGTTTGCCCCTCAACTTGTGGGATTTGGATTTCCTGGGGCCCTTATGCTCTATCATGAAGCATCCATCTCTAGAAGTAAAATTGTACTAAATTTGGTGAAGGGGCTTTGTTTTCCAAAGACAGTGACTTCTTTCAGTTGAGCTATCCTTTAAAGAAAGTTGTAGGATGGAAAACTCTTTTTTTAAGACAAAGCTTATTCATGTGGATTTCTTTTCTTGTTTGAGACCTCCAGGAGGCAGCTTCTATTTGGGGCTGTGTTGTAAGGACTCTCATGGTTCTGTTGTGTGGGCCTCCTCAACGCTGCATCTTTGCTGATGCCTGCTCTTTAACGATATATGCTGAAATTAACATGTTTTGGCTCAATCGATGCTATTTCCAATTGTACTTCTTTTGGAGGAAATAAGCCCTTGGATGTATGTTATGATAGTGGAGCCAAATATCGGATTCCATCTATGCTGATGAAATGAGTAATACAACCCGGTGTGCCGGAGGATCGTGTTATACACAAATACACTTTTCCAAGGCCTTTTGGGAATGAGCTAATACAAGGATTTATAATTAAAACTCGCAGGGAAGTGGGCTATATTTTTATCCACTGGCCTTTAAGATGACCAGATCCACCCAAACCCTTATCTTTAGCTGGTTGCCAAAGTGAGCCCAAAACACAAGTAGATGTTATAAGCCAAGATCTCCCATTTGTGTCTCCCAAAACTTTTAGGCTATTTAGAAACTCATTGGAGGTGTTCTTTGGGAAGGAAGAGCACGTGTGACAGGTTCCAGTTGTCTCAGTCATAGGTCCCCACTCCCCTCTTTATTCAGAGATACTATTTTTATGCGTTAAATATGGAGTTCCTTATTTCTTTTGTTGGGAGAATCTTAGGTTTAAGCCACAGAAACAGATTAGCTTACTTAGGCGAAAAAGGAACTTAGTAAAGAGAAATGAGGAGACACAGAGAAGTAAAGGGGAAGCTGGACAATACTGGAAGATAGGACTGGGGACAGCACCTGGATCCACGTAGCAGCAACTAATAGACCAAAATTTCATGGTGCCAGGGTTGGGCTCCAGTGGTTTAGGGACTTTGTGTTAGGAATTTGTTTAGGAATTCAAATTCCCAGGCATAGGAGTCTGATTGGCTTAGAAGTATGACTGGGTTGGGTAAGTGGGCTCATTCTTAAAATAATGCGTTTTAAAATTAAGTAATATATTGATGTCTGTGATGAGACTGTATTGAAAGCTGCTGAAAAAAAATGGGACCTTGAGATGCATGGAAAAGGAGCCAATTATCATAGCTTATTTTTTGGTGCTCATTTTCTAGCAACAATGAAATCTCTACCTCACCTCTTCTTCTTACTCCCACCCCCATACTCACTGCTGGTATTAGATTATAGCTGGGCCCCTCCATGGCTTTTGTCAGGTATCCACTCTGTCCAGGTGAGAGTGGAAATAACTTGACTGAGTTTCCCACCAAGACAGTGTGGGAGGAGTGGTTTCCTGGTGTAGCCATGGATGTCGGGTGAGGACGGAAGACCACCCGGACAACAACAATGATGTCATGCACAAAAAGATTTTATGCTAAGAAGAAACCTGAAGACTGCTGGTCTGAGTAGTTATGCCAGATATTTAAGGCTAACCAATGGTCTAGAAGAGCGGTTCTTAAAGTGTGGCCCCTGAATCAGCAGCATCAGCATAACCTGGAAAGTTGTTAGAAGTGCATATTCCTGGGCCCCACACAAACCTTTCTAGTTGAAAACCCTGGGAGTGGGGCCCCAAACTCTGTGTTAATAAAACCTCCATGTGATTTCGATGCACATTGGCATCTGAGAAACTTTGATCCAGTCAATCATGCAGAATGCTAAGCACATATTCAGAAACTCCTTTATTCCTCTACTTCTAACCCTATATTTGCATTTTCTTAGTTCCCCCCACTAGTTCTGCATTCTTCGCTTCAAAAAACAGTTGAAACTCCTTGGAATGCAATGCTCTCCCTAACCCCATATGCATTTACAAGACCAGTTCTCTTGCAAGAATGAAACTATGAAGCTCACCCACTTTGACCCAGCAGCATCCTGTTATCTGGGATGGAGGAAATAATGTTATATTCTAGGTGCCAAAGAATTTTATTTTTATCAGAAAAAAAAAAGAAATTTAGATATAGGCTTGGGAATTTGGAGGGGTTCAGGAGTTGTTTTGACAGGATTAGTTTGTAAAGTACTACCAGATCACTAGGGTGAATGACTTAGAGAATGCTAAATATTCTCTTTATAGGTGAACTTCTAAGAACTTTTAATTAGCTGAGGAGAATCGAGAATCTTCAAGAAGGAAATGAAATGCAATGCAAGTATGCAATGTTACTTAACTCTGTCCCATCAGTGAACACACTCTAGGTAAAACATAGATGTAGACAATATGCCTAGATATTGTGACCCTTCCTAAACTCTTCCCTGTGCGTGGTGCTGGGAAGTTTTCTGATGAGCATGTGTTCTGAAATATTTAGTGGTGTCAGTGAAATTTGACATAAGGGTAGAAATGAAGTCATCCATCATAAATATTTAGCTCTTACTTTCCAAGTTAATGAATGAGTTCACTGGCCTGAGAGTTGAGAAATTTGGTCTCAGGCCCTGGGTTGTGCATTAGTTTCAACAATTTGAAAGATCTGGAGATGAGGATGTTGGAAAAAATCTCAAGGGCTCTGTGCTGTTCTAATCCCGTCTGAATGTTAAAATTTTGAAAGAGGCTATCATATTTTATGGCATTCCAATTGCAGCAACTTATCTTTAACATTCAACTTGCCTTTTTATGACCATTCCTATTTGACATTTGGAGTGCTTTGGAACATTCCCATACTGCCTTAGCACTTTTTTATCTCAAAAACAAATTTGACTGGACATCTTTAATTGCCTGCTTCTATTCAGAGCAAAATAAAGTAAAATTTGGGATGAAAAACCTCTGACATGAAACCTCCAAAGACAGTGAATTACCTGATCTATTGTTTTCTTCATAATAAATTTCCGAAGCTCATATCATGCCTCCTGGTTGCCAACTGAGAATTTGTCGGGTGAGTTATTTGATAAAAGACCAAGCTTAAATTAGGTCCATATTTCAAAAGATCTGACTGCCCTAGGGACTAGCCATACAGGTATACCAGGTGCTCCGTTTGGAGCCCTTAGAGGAGGGCCGTGGCTGTTTACGGCACAAAAAAACTCCTGAGTGCTGAACTGGCTTGCAGACTCACTCTTCTATAGAAGTTGTATTGGCATAATTTGATGCCTATTTTCTAAGAACTCGCTCTGCAGAGATAAGAGTATAAAATCATGAACTTTAGAGTCAGATAGATCCGGATTCATATTTTGTCTCTGATATTTATAAGTTAAGTTATCTTTGAAACTGGCCCAATCATCCCATAGAACTAATGTTTACAGTTTTTCGAATAACTATAAAAATTGACCCTCTAGTCTTAAAACTTGAAAAATTTACATTTATCTTATCTGAGTTCCTTTCTCAGGAAACTGACCATCAGGTCTCCCAGATAGTATCAAGGAATTGAAAATTAACAGATCACTGTATCTGGACAATGAGAGGCCAAACACTTCATTCATCATGATTGCTTCCTTACCCCTCCCTAATTTCTGTTTTCCTAATCAACCACCTGCTTCCTGTTGACAAACTCCTCTTCCTTACCGCTACTTAATTCCTAATTCCTGTTTTCTTATACGTAGCTACATTCCTTCCCTGCTATATAAACCCCCACTTCTGGTCAGCTGGGGACATGGATTTGAGACTGATCACCCATCTCCTCAGCTGCAGCACCCAGTTAAAGCCTTCTTCCCTGGTAATACTTGTTATCTCATTGATTGGCTATCTGTGTGGCAAGTAGCAGGACCTAGACTGAACCCCTGGCATTTTGATAACATCTTGATGGTTAATAATAACGTTGCAAGCTTTGTTGGCAGGGAAATGAGTTTTCTGGAGTGCTAGGGGCAGATATTTTTTTCAGGGACATCTAAGAACTGACTTAAGAATGGA
Source organism: Homo sapiens (assembly GCF_000001405.40). Taxonomy (NCBI): domain Eukaryota; kingdom Metazoa; phylum Chordata; class Mammalia; order Primates; family Hominidae; genus Homo; species Homo sapiens. The sequence continues at coordinate 17,816,087 of NC_000016.10, read as the reverse complement.
ACGTGCTTTTTCCCCCATTACATCTGTTAAGAACATGGGTCTTGTGAATACCGAATATGGGTTTGAGAACCAGGAGAACTTATTTTAAATAGAAATACATAGCTTGTCAGCGAAAGTCTTTGTGCAATTCTAATGCATACCTTGAGTATACAAAAATCAAAAATTAAAAAAATTAATTAAAAAAGCAAAAATCAAGAATACTGGTAAAAATGTGACTCTCTAAATTTGTTGCATTTATGTAAATGTGTACCTTTCAGAGACACTGGGGGCCAAGGGAAGCTAAAATGAGACACATTGCAGTGGCCTTTGTTTTATATGGCCACCTCGCATTCAATAGGTTTCTGTATCCTTAGCTAAATAAATTGGTTATATCGGGGAGGAGGGAGGGAGAAAGAGAGATGGAGACAGAAATGAGGAGGGAAGGGGAAAGAGGGAAAGAGAGAGAGAGATTTTCATAAACCAATAACCCACCCCAAATGTTGAACTTATACATGAGAATCTCTATAACTGTAACCCACATGTAACTTATGTATGAGAATCTGTATAACTGTAATCTGCACATAACTAGGACCCTATGTGGCCCTGTCTTATATAATGTCTCATTTTCATCAGAAAATGTTAAAAACAAATCAAAGCTTTCTTCAAACTCTTGAGAAAATGACAAAGGAAAGAATCATTTCTGATGTCCTATGTATCTCTTGAAAAGTTTCTCTATTTCCCTGCTTCCAGTCTCTTACATTCTTAGGAATGCTTCCTTGCAAACTCTCGCCTCTTTCTCTGTACTGCCCCCAAATGCTGCTTCATATATAATCTGGTAGGCTCTTCTGTTTTCCCACTTTTCTTCCTGCTTTTGCATTTTTAAAATTGTTACGTATAGATCAAATACATTTCTATTTCTTCATTTTCACCTCCATTTTAGCACTATTTGGATTCTGCTTGTATTAGTCAGCATTCTCCAGAGAAAAAGAAACAGGTGTGTGTGTGTGTGTGTGTGTGTGTGTGTGTGTGTGTGTGTGTGTGTGTTTCTATCCATCTGTCTGCCTCTCTGTCATCTGTCTCTATGTCTCTCTATCTACCTACCTACCTACCTATGTATCCACTATAAGGACTTGGCTCATGTGATTTTGGAGACTGTCAAGTCCTATGGTCTGTAGTCAGCAAACTGGAGATCCAGGAGAGCCCATGGTATAAACTGTAGCCTGAAAGCTGGCAGGCTTGAGACCCAAGAAGAGCTGATGTTTCCACTTGAGCCTGAAGACCGGAAAAGGCCAGTGTTTCAGCTCTAAACAGCCAGGCAAGAGGAGTTCCCTTCTACTTAAAAGAGGGTCAGTTTCTTGGTTCTATTTAAGTCTTCAGTGGATTGGATGAAGCCTGTATACCCTAGAGAGGGCAGATACTTCACTCAATCCACCAACTCAAATATCAATCTCCTTCACAAACATCCTCACAGGCACACCCAGAATAATCTTTGACCGAATGTCTGGGTACCCCGTGGCCCAGTCAAATTGGCTTATACTTTCTAGTAAGGAAGATCTCATGAGCTGGACCAAGATCTTTTCCCTTTTACAGGCAGGGAGTAGGGAGGAGACTGACTGTAAACATAATTTAATATCTCATCCTCTTATTCAAGTCACAATGACCTTGCAAGATCACTATGAGAATTAGAGATGATATACGTAAAACAGCTAGTGCATAGCATAGGGTAGAAGCTCAAAAGAAGGAAGCTATATTGCTCAATTATTCTTGGTTTCTCTCAGATTTACTGTATGTTGTTATGCTGGATGTGAGACAATACACAAAACACAAGCAAAAGAACAGTGAGCTCTGCTCTCCAAGACACACCCCCTCCAGGTGGTTTTATGGGTGAGTGTTAATGCAATTTAATGCAGCAATTGACAAACGATGGTTTATTCTACACAGTGGTAGGACAGCAGTAGACTCTGTGGATACACAGAGAAATAAGACAAAGCCTTTTCCCTGGAGGAGCTCGCTTTCTAATAGTAAAGATAGTCTGGTAAACAGATAAAAATCAATGTAAAAAGTGCTGATTAGAGACACAGAGTTCCCAGAGCACAGAGGATGGAGTGACAAAACCCACGTGTGAGAAAAGGAGGAGGCTTTGATCTGAGTTTTCAAAGATAAGTATGTGTTCTCCATACAAAACTAAGAGAAGGAAAATAGCAGTTATTTTGCTTATTGTGTGTTAGGCACATCCATATCTTTCAAATTTTCATGCATAAAATTTTTCACTTATTTCTAATGAGAGTTCCTAGGAAATATGTACTAGTATCCTCATTGTACAGATAAAGACACTAGGGCTCAGAGAGGTTAAGTGACTTGCTCCAATTTACATAGCAGGGAGAAGGGAAGCCTAGATTTGAACCAAGGTGGGTTTTTTCTGTTTTTTGTTTTGTCTTGTCTTGTCTTGTCTTTAGAAGCCCTCTATGCCTCTGATTCCTCTGTAAGGGAATGACTTCAAAGGTGTAGAGATGTGGACAAGGCCAGGCACAGTTTGAAGATGTTTTGGGAACACGTGATCAAGGGTCACATTACAGGAATGTTGCTCTTTTTCGGGGATATGTCCATTGATGACAGAGACAGAGAAAAGAACTGAGCAAAAGATGCATAGTAGGGAGATGGGAATTGAATGATGACAGGTTTGGGGAATATTGAGGCTTGTCTGTCCTCACACATAAAAGTGAAGCTCAAGCTTGTAATGACATATCATTAAAAGTATAGTGCTCAGGTGGACCTTCTTTTAAACCCCAGCTCTGTCAATTATCAAATGTATCACTTGGACAGCTGAGCCTCAGTTTCTTCAACTGTAAAATACAAATAATTATAGTATCCAACCCAAAGGATTATTGAAAGTGAAACTGAGGCAATGAATGTAAATTGCTTAGCAACATGTCTGATATATATTAATTGTTCAATAAATGTAATTGTTATTATTACCATCATTCATTGTCTTGGCAGGGTGTAGACTCATTTTTCTTGTGTGCCTAATTTAAGGAACTCTAAAGACAGTCATCATGCATTCCTGATAGGTTCTCTGTGTATGGGTGCATCTGTGTAATCATATGCTTTAGATACAGCTGTGCCTTTCATGGCTCCTAGTAATTTATGCCAAGCTGCTGGTCTCATGGGCTATTTGTGTTTGTTCTGCTATTACATAATGCCTGATTCTGTTACATGACTATTCTGCAACTCATCTGTAAGACCGATGAAAGCAAATCTCTGTGTGCACCTATGTCTGTAAGGCAGGAGGAGGTGAGTGCTATTGTCATGATATTGTTGGAGTCTTTGGCTAAACTTGCCAAAGTTTAGCAAGTTTAGCCAAAGATTCCAGTGATAATGCAGTATCAATTCTCTGAAGCACATTTAATTAGATTGCGTTTTCCATGCACCCATTATTGTGCCCAGTGCTTCATCCAGATCAGCATTATCAAAGGCTTTGTTGTCCCGTGGTCCCCAGTGCAAATTTTGACATGGCCATTCATTGTGTGCTCTTGGGTGATTTCTTTAAATTCTCCAAACTCAGTTTCTTCACCTGTGAAATGGATGATGTTCCACATACCTTTAGGGAAGCTGTGAATATCGAAATAAAGGATCCGGCACCTAGTAGACTTTCTGTAAATTGGAAGTGCTTAAAGTTACTCCGAACATTCATCCACTAGACTTTAAATTTCAAAAGCAAAGAAAAAAAAAAAACAAAAAACTATGTCTGTCTTGTTAATATTTGTATCCCTGTGTCTATCACATAGTAGGCACTTGTGTGTGTTTGTGGAATGAATAGTCAACTAAATAAGGCAGGTATTATTTCCCCCTGTTTTACATACAAAGAGACAGAAACTCAAAGAGTTTAAATAAATTAGCCAAGGTTACCACAGCTACCAAATGGAAGAGAAGGGATTTGAACTTGAGTTATAGTGAATTCCGAAGACCTTTTTATTTCCCTGAAATTTGAGTCTTGGGTTTGCCAGATTTTCTATAAAAAAGAAAAAGAAAAAAATAGAGTTCAATGTCTTAATCTCCCTCTGAAACCTGACCAATTTGTCTTAGAGAATTGATGTTATAGTTTTTTTTTTAATATATAAACATGGACATTGACCCTCCCAGTCTTAAAGCTTGAAACTTACATTTGTCCTATCTGAGTTCGTTTCTCAGGAAACCAGCTGTCATCCCTCACAGATAGTATCAAGGAACTGAGGCTTACCAGATCACTATATATGGACAATGAGATGCTAGACTCTTCATCATGATTGCTTTCTTTTTTTTTTTTTTTTTTTTTTTTTGAGACAGAGTCTAGTTATGTTTCCCAGGCTGGAGTACAGTGGCGTGATCTTAGCTCACTGCAATCTCTGCCTCCTAGGTTCAAGCAATTCTCGTGCCTCAGCCTCCTGAGTAGCTGAGGCACAACATCTGGCTAATTTTTGTATTTGTAGTAGAGACGGGTTTTCACCATGTTGGCCAAGGTGATCTTGAACTCCTGGCCTCAAGTAATCTGCCTGCCTTGGCCTCCCAAAGTGCTGGGATTACAGACATGAGCCACCTCACCCAGCCAATGATTGCTTTTTTACCCCTCCCCAATTCTTGTTTTCCTAACCGAACCCCTGCTGCCTGTTAACCAGCTTCTCTTCCTTACCACTCCCTAATTCCTATTTTCCCACATGTAGTTACATTTCTTCCCTGCTATATAAACCTGTAATTTTAGTTGGTTGGGGAGATGGATTTGAGACTTACCTCTTATTTCTTGGCTGTAGCACCCAATTAAAGCCTTCTTCCTTGGCAATATCTGTTGTCTCAGTAATTGACTTTCTGTACGGTGAGCAACAGAACCTAGATGGTACTCCTGGCATTTTGGTAACAGATTTTGGTTGCCCAACTGGGAACGTGTTGTTTGTGGCTCAGCTGCAGGGGCTAGAAGTGTTTTGGAAGCACTTCTAAGCAGCTGCTTGACCATTTTTGGTCAGAGGTGGGTTTTAGTCTCTCTCTTTGGCTCCACCACTGCCTGCTCCAACTGTGTTACTAATCGCTAAGGAAGAAGAGCCTTTGAAATTTGACATCTGGGTGTGGATGAGTGAATGTCTTCCGTGGGTACCAGACAGCAGGAATGGCTTCACACATTCCAGCAAATATCAGTGATAGACTGGACAAAGAAAATGTGGCACATATACACTATGGAATACTATGCAGCCATAAAAAAGAATGAGTTCATGTCCTTTGCAGGAACATGGATGAAGCTGGAAACCATCATTCTCAGCAAACTAACACAGGAACAGAAAACCAACACCACATGTTCTCACTCATAAGTGGGAGTTGAGCAATGAGAACACATGGACACAGGGAGGGGAACATCACACACCGGAGCCTGTCGGGGGTGGGGGAAAAGGGGAGGGAGAGCATTAAGACAAATACTTAATGCATGTGGGGCTTAAAATCTAGATGACGGGTTGATAGGTGCAGCAAACCACCATGGCACATGTATACCCATGTAACAAAACTGTACTTTCAGCACATGTATCCCAGAACTTAAAATTAAAAAAAAAAAATGATGCTCATGGGTTGGGAGGCATTTCTGATTGATTAAGAAAGGGTTATGATATGGGAAAATATGTTTTTAAAAATTGTGATATGTTCTCATCTAGAAAATGCTAATATCTGATAGTTCAGAATTTTTTTGTTTTTCAGGTTTTTACTGGAATTCAAGGTTACTAAGAATAAGAACTCTAGTTAATAGATAATAATTCTGTCTGTAAAATGTGCCAAAGAAGATGTGCTCTTATTGAGAAAAAAGAATAGTTTTGTCGAAAATTCAGAAGTTACCTAAAGTTTCATTAAAATCATGGACTTAGAAAGGTTATTTATAAACAAGGTAGAAAGGAACCAGTACATAGAGGAGAGAGATATGAAAAAGTTAAGATTGGTCCTCTATGTTAGAACAAGGGGATTTGACAAGAGACTGATTTGACAAGAGATTTTGATTTTGATTCTATAATCTGTTTCTTTTTGAAAACTTCTCACATTCCCACCTCAGAAGTGTAATTTCATTATGTCTTACTAGTGGCTTTCAATTTTTTCCTCCACTTGAAAAGGACTGAGATGATAACTTTCTCCTTCAACTTTTTTGTCAGCTACTGTAACTTTTTACCTCTGGTTCTACCTGCTGCTGTCTAACTGCCTGACGCTGAAATGTTTATCTTGAGGGTCTAGAACCATAATGTTTTCCCCCAGTATAATTTGATTCTGTACATTTGGATTTTCTTGATATGTCTAAAGTGTTCATTGGATTTGACTTTCAGGTTATCTAAGTAGGCTTTTCATAAGGAGAAGCAATCACACTGCAGAAGGTCTTTCTTTGCCTTTTGGTAACTGGTTAGGCCAGTTTTTATGTTTTACCTAGATAATTCCTATGTCATCATTCTTAGTTTTGTTTTTTTCAAATTGCTTAAAAAAACTAAGATTTAAGGTTTTGTATCCATGTAACTTTCTAAATTACTTCTTTTTTTTTTTTTTTTTTCTGAGACAGAGTCTTGCTCTGTCACCCGGGCTGGAGTGCAGTGGTGTGATCTTGGCTCACTGCAACCTGTCTCCTGAGTTCAAGCAGTTTTTGTGCCTCAGCCTCCCGAGTAGCTGGGACCACAGGCACGTGCCACCATGCCCAGCTAATTTTTGTATTTTTGACAGAGATGGGATTTTGCCATATTGACCAGGCTTCTCTCGAACTCCTGACCTCAAGTGATCTACCTGCCTTGGCCTCCCAAAGTGCTGGGATTATAGGCATGAGCCCCTGCACCCGGCCTCTGTGTTGCTTTTAAAGTCCTTGGGCCATTAAGTTACAGGACTTTGACTCCTGAAAAAGGCACTGACTACTGCTAAATCTTGAACATTGATACCAATCAAAGCCCCATTTTCAGACCAGGAGAAGGTGACCGTCAAAATGAACTGATTTCATGAGACACAGGGCCAGAAATAAAAACTATTCAATCCCTCCAGGCCTAGAGACAATTGCAGAAGAGGTGGGCACATCAGAATGTAAGGACTGATTTTTAAGGGCTAAGATTAGTTATAATGTTATTTTTTGGTGGTTGTAGGTGTCCTTACACAGATCTTCAAAAGAGATCACCCATTTAGGCCAGTGCTGAAGATGCAGCTCAGCTTCGGAGCCTTGGAAGCTGGGACTCCCAGGCTAGAGTGTGATCTCTTAAATGGCAAAGGAAATTCCTTTGAGTCATAAGCAGTTTTGTAAACTTCTTTCTAAAATTTGCCAAGAGACAAATCTTACCTGGGAAAAGGTCTTGCCTCTTGCCCTGCTGAACATACAAATAGCCCCCAGAAGTAAGTCAGTAGGTCGGCTCTTAGCCCCTTCTAAATTCTCATCACCCCTTCTCAGCATAAAGCAGACAGAAAGATCAATGACCAGATTCCCCATAATTAAGGAACTGATAAATAGAAAGCAGAGACTGAAACCAGCCCAATGGTCCCGCAGAATTTATGTTATTGGTTTTTCTTGAATAAACATAGAAATTGACCCTCACAATCTTTTTTGTTTTGTTTTGTTTATTTTTATTTTTTATTTTTAAAATTTTTTTTGAGATGGAGTTTTGCTCTTGTTCCCCAGACTGGAGTACAATGGCATGATCTTGGCTCACTGCAACCTCCGCCTCTCAGGTTCAAGCGATTCTCCTGCCTCAGCCTCCCGAGTAGCTAGGATTATACAGGCATGCACCACCACATCTGGCTAATACTGTGTTTTTAGTAAAGATGAGGTTTCTCCATGTTGGTCAGTCTGGTCTCAAACTCCTGACCTCAGGTGATCCACCCACCTCGGCCTCCCAAATTGTTTAGATTACAGGCGTGAGCCACCTTGTCTGTCCCTCACAGTCTTAAAGCTTGAAACTTACATTTATCTTAACTGAGTTTCTTTCTCAGGAAACTGACCATCAGGCTTCCCAGATAGTATCAAGGAACGGAAACTCACCAGATCACCACATCTGGACAATAAGATGCCACACCCCTCACCTGTCATGAGTGCCTAATGACCACCTGCTTCCTATTGACCTCTTTCTAGCTCCTCCCTAATTCCTATTTTCCCCACATTTCTTCCCTGCTATATAAAGCCCTATTTTACCTGGTTGGGAAGATGGATTTGAGACTAATCTCCTGTTTCCTTGGCTGCAGCACTCAAATAAAGCCTTCTTCCCTGGCAATACTCATCGTCTCAGTGATTAGCTCTCTGTGCTATGAGCAGCAGGACCTAGACTGAACCCCTGGCATTTCAATTATATTTCAACTCTGCTTTCTTAAAAGGATGCTAATAGGAATAATGTTTCGTTAATGTCTATCATGTGCCAGGGACCATGCTAGATATGTTAAAAATGTTATCTAACTTGGAAAATCACTCTTTGAAGTAAATATTGATGTTCTTACTGCTCATTTGGGGAAACTGAGGTCTTGAGAGGTCAGATAAACTGACTAGTGTCAAAAAGTAATTAAGCAACAGAGCCAAGATTCCAACCCCAGCCTGTTGGATGCCAAGATTATTTAAAAAATCCCCTTCCATATTTTCCTTGTTTACTTTAGCAAGAGTTCTGGGTTCAACACTGGCTGAGTATTTGGGATGAAGGATTTCCAGCAGACCTGTTACACGGGTCCAGGCGGACAAAGAGTGAAAGGCAGACACTGAATTAGAATCAACATGTATGTGAGGGGCTCCTTGAGATGTGGCTGTTTCTCTACCTCTAATCCCACTAGGATATGGCTGAACTCCATTTACATGCTGGGTGATTGGTATGTCCTAAGGCAGAATATTTAAACCATCAGATGCACAAATCAGATTCTAGTTATTAACAAAGATACATTGTATATCAACTCCTATAGAAAAATCAAAGAGTAAAAACCTTGATGAATAATTCATGCGTACCTCAGCTATCCTTCACCATTATTGATATTTGAGAACTCCTGAGGGAAAATTGGGGGTTTATCCTGATAGGAAGAAGTCCTTATGGAGCACCTGAGATGCTTGGAGACAACTGGAATTCAGGGTGCCCAAACAGATTTGCACTGATCATTCAGAGGATGTTTACCTGACATTGATTTACTCTTCTTTTTTATTAAAAAAATCCCATTTTATTCAGGGTAGAAATGTACCTAACTATAACTCCTGATTTCCCAGATTTCTTGGGAGCTAAGAGTAGTTATATGACATAGATATGGCCAAGAATATGATAACAGTTTGCTGGGAGAGGTTTCCAGAAGTTTTTGGTTTCTTGGTTAAACAAAAAAGGACAGCTATATCTGGTATACTCCCTGAATTCATCACTCTATATATTATCACACACATCCACACAGGCACACACATATGTATTTCCTGTTTTATGTTACCCAGGTTCTGGACATGATGCCTGGAACGAGAGCAGACCATGAGGAGAAAGCCATGAGAATCACAGAGATGCTGGCCTCAGGCCATTAGACCACTGAACTAAGGTCAGCAGCCTTCTGGTTATGAGGAAGGAGGGACGTATTTGTTGGCCATTCCATTACTTGAAGCTAAGAGCATTCTCAGATGAATTAGATGGATTTGCTGAGGCATGTCTTACAAAACCTGCCACTTACAGGAGCCAGTTGCCTGATTTTCAAAGTAGATCACCAGTGTGTTCCCTCTAGTGGGGCGGGGGACAAGATAGCCTAGTCCTCACCTCCTGAGCTGGCCTAAAAGTTTTATTTTTGGATCTTCTAACGAACCTTAGTTTAAGGAGAGAGCCAGGCTTTCTTGCCCCCTACATTGTACATCTGGGGAGCTATGAGGTCATTGGAGCATAAAGTGGACCCATGGAAGGAGAACTCTGACAATGGCTCATATTATAGATGGAAAATGTGAGATATTTGTTACCCTTTTAAGAGATGTAAATTTCCCAGGAGGAAGGCAGTTGGCTTTTTTTTTTCTTTTAGCTATGAAGATGATGGATCCAGAAACCGAGGAATATGTTGGAATCCAGGTATTGTCTCTGAGGCAGATTCATCAACAGAACCCAGAAAGACAGCCTGGTTTTTTTTTTTTGTTTGTTTGTTTTTTTGTGTGTGTGTGTGTGTGTGTGTGTGTTTGTGGTTTTTTTTTTTTTTTGAGATAGAGTTGTTGCCCAGGCTGGAGTGTGATGGCCTCATCTCGGTTCACCGCAGCCTCCACTTCCCAGGTTCAAGCAATTCTCCTGCCTCAGTCTCTGGAGTAGTTGGGATTACAGGCACCCGCCACCACGCCCAGCTAATTTTTGTATTTTTAGTAGAGACAGGGTTTCACCATGTTGGTCAGGATGGTCTCCAACTCCTGACCTCGTGATCTGCCTGCCTCGGCCTCCCAAAGTGATGAGATTGCAGGTATGAGCCACCGCAACCGGCCGACAGCCTGGTTTTTAAGGCAGTCACCCTGTATTTGAAATCCTTTCTTAGTGTTAGGAATGAAGGTTCTAGAGCTACCACAGTCAATAGGGTAACTGGGTTTGAATCCCTCTTAACTGGCTGTGTGACCTTGAGGATGTTGTTTACCATCTCTGAGCCCCAGTTTCCTTATTTGTCAGGAAATGATACTTATACATAAACTGTGTGGGTTGGGGAAGGTGTAGAGATATTGGCTACATGGTGTCTTGCACAACATCTGACACAGAATTAGACACAGGAACTAGAAATGATAACAATAAGCACAATAATAATGATAGTTATTATTATCACTATTCAATATACATTTTTTAAACTACCAAAAGAGCTGTTCCATTTGAAACAGCCACAGAGAAACAGAGTATCCTGTGGTTAGCGGGGAGAGAACACCCCAGTGAGATGAGAAAGTCTTGATCTGCAGAAGTCTGGGGCTGTGTGTGTGTGTTTTTTATAAGATTGACATCTCTAAAAAGAAGTTACAAGACTAGCTACCAGGGGAGAAACCGATCACAAAGCCGAGTGTAAGCAAGAATTACGCTTTCCTTCTGTGCTACAGCAACGCTGCACCCTCTGGGGGCTGGTTTTCATTTGTAATCTTAGTAAATCAGCCAAGTTGCAGACAGCAAACCTTGTATTGATTGGGAGCCCTGCAGGGGAGCTCAGGCACCAGGAGACCTCGGAACCTTGGTTTCACTTATTAGTTACCACTTTCTGGAGCACGCAGGCGTGTGTGTGTGTCTGTGTCTGAGATCACGCTAGGATAATTCTATGTATGTGTAGGTTCTGGTGGGAAGGCTTCCACAGGGAAAGATGGTTGTATTTTTTAAACTCTGTTGACAGGCAGAAGGTCAAGGGCTATTTCTCACCTTTTTCTTCCCCAAATGAGTGACTGTCCTAGGCCATGGTAATACAGTGCATAGATATGAAGACCAAGGGCATAAAATGGAAATGATCATCATAGCAACTGCCTAATGAAGTTGTCTTGAGGATTAATTGAATTAATTGACTGACCTGGAGAAAGAGGGCATTTCAGAGCCCTCCCTCCCTCCCACCCTCTCTTGGAGGATGCACCCTGAGCTCTAGGAATTTCCTAAAAATCTTATGTCTCAGGCCACACGTTCTTTCCTTTGGGCATGTCAGGGAATGTCCAAGGTGATGCTGAGAGGCATGATGCAGAAATAAGTGTAACTGAGCATATAAATATTATGCCAGATGTTCAGCAAGAGATTCCTCATCCTTCCTCTCAATTAGGCCTTCCAACAGAACTTCTGTTTATAAAGTAAGGGGTGAAAAGCTGAGAGTCATGTTGAGTTTATCTCATTTCCCTCCATTGAAAAGGTAGCAGGAAGAAAGGAAGAAAGGAGCAAGGGAAGGAAGTGAGGGAGAAGGGAAGAAAGAAAGGAATAAAGCAAGAAGGGGAGAGAGGAAAGTGGAAAGGAGAGAAGTAGTGACAAGTGACGTCACAGAATAAAGAGTTAGATTCCAGGCATGTTAAGGCACCCAGGTATACGCAAGATGAGAGCAGGTGGGATCTAGCAACGTGTGCAGAGCTCGTGGCTCCCAGGGGCCTATCCCTCCCCTGACACAGTCAGACAACTACCTCCCTTCTCTCCTCTCACCCCCACCACACAGAAATGGGATTTCTGTGGGTAATAAACCAAAAAGACTCAGGACTTAAGGGGTCAACAGAGACAGTAGACAGTGGGAAGAGAAATGAGTCAAGACTTGAGCCTTTCAGCCCTTCTCTCTTCTCATCCAAATGTTTAGAGGATTTTTATCTGGAGAAACTGACATATCCCTGAGAAAAGACGTCAAGATCCTGAAATATGGTAGCTCCCAATGAATAGGCTGACTCACTGCCTCATCATCCTACAAGGAATTTCATCAGTCAACAGTCCAGACCCCATGTGCATGGAACTCACAAATGGCTTCTTAGAGTCCTGATCTTCAAGCTGACCAGACCATGGGGAGGATTTCCAATGCAGAAGAGAGAGACCCAAACAAGCAACCTAAAAAAAAAAAAAAAAAAAAAAAAAAAAAAAAAAAAAAAGGTGGTGGAGGGATCTAAGAATGGAGAAATCTGCAGTATTTAAATCTGTAGAATATTAAAATAATCAGCCAGAGGAGTTGGGAGCAGCTACCCCAGGGAGTAAGATTCAGGGGTGATGAGAGTTGAATTTTTTTTTTTTATTAAAAGACTTTTATTAAGACTTTCAACACTCTTTGATTTTTTAATAAAGCAATGTGTACACATTGTTTTGGCAAATATAAGACTTATTTTTAAAATAATACGCTTACAAGAAAGCAATGTTTCCCATTGAACAGATGAGTAAACTGAGGCTCGGAAAGGTTAAGTGACTTACCCAATATCACATAGCAAGCAAATCCAAGAGCTGAATCTGAAGCCATAACTGTCTTTCTTACAACCTCAGGATGTTCCCTTTTTTTAAAAATGAGTGATTCTTTGCTTGCTAGGTAAAATCAGTTTTAAGAAAACCAGTTCCTGACAGATAACATTCCTGTTATGAGCCTCCTGTGAGGTCAGTTAGCGTCAGCTGGTTGTTCAGCAGACTCTTCAAGTCCCTTGTTAAGGGGATAAAACTGGAGGCCCTGGGGTGCGTTTGGCCACTCAATGCATGATTCTAGGCATGTTCTTCCTTGCGACCAGGATTGTGAGTGCTGAAACTCAATATGGCAGCCCCTGAGGGCTGCTGGAAGACAAGGAATGAAAAAAAAAGCAGCCTTAAATACATTATTCATGTCTGCCTGCATTGGGAACTAGGGAATTTTGAGGAACTCTTTTAGTGGTTGAAGAAAGTCCTTCCCTTTAGACAAACAAATAAATGCATGCATAAAATTGGCTCAGTGCTGGAACTCCCAGACTATGATGTGTTTGTCAGGGTTGTGGTTTTCAAGTGTTAGCAGGTTTTTTGTAGTTTGGGAAGCTCCAAGAAACATCACCCTCTTGTTCTCTGTGTCAACATTAAAGGCAGCCATGCAGAGCTGCTGGAAGTTTAGTAGATATTTATAAGTAGAGACCGATAGATTAGGAATGGGCTCAAGTAGGAGGTGGAGAGAGGTTGAGGAAAACACACTATGTCTTACTTCTTTGAGTCTGACAACTCAAGTGCCATTGGGGCTGAAATCTGGGAATCCAAATGTGGGAGGCTATTATCTCCTTTTGCTGGAAAGTGTCTTTATGGAGGCCAATTGGGATTACTAGTTCTGTCCATTGAAATTTATTTCCTCTTGGAAACTTTCTTGACTTCTCACCTTCCTCACCACTGGATAAGTTAGAGCTTCCATAGAAATCCGAATCCAGACACCTATCTACATCGCCTATGTTAGCACTTAGTACAGTTAGTGGAATGTTTGGTTTATTTTCTCACCTCTTCTACTTGATTTTTAGCAGCAAGGTTAGGGACTGAACCTGTGCTGCATAATACAGTATCCCATTGTGCCTGGCACACTACATACAGCAGCCATAATAAATATTTCCTGATAGGCAAAAAGAATGGAACATAACAATTCAACAATACATCCTCCCAGAAAGATGTTTTTATTCTATTTTTCTGAATGGCAGAGTTCACTTTCTCATCCCTACTTAGAATAGCTAAAATGTGCCATTCATAATTACTACAATTTTTTTTTGTTTAAAAAAATCCTACCAGCCTTGCCAATATGGTGAAACCCCGTCTCCACTAAAAATACAAAAATTAGCCGGACGTGGTGGCCAGTGCCTGTAATCCCAGCTACTTGGGAGGCTGAGGGGGGAGAATCGTTTGAACATGGGAGGCGGAAGTTGCAGTGAGTTAAGATGGTGCCACTGCACTCCAGCCTGGGCAACAGAGTGAGACTCCATCTCAAAAAACAAACAAACAAACAAAATCCTAGACAATGTATGGATTGTGTATAAAGTGGGGGAGATTATGTGCATATGTTAGAGCAACTGAGACAACTTCAACTTGGAGATCAATCATCAAGCCTTCAACCACTGCCCCTGGATTCTTTTCCTTAGAGCACTTTGTGTGTAGATATCATGTTTCAGCCTTTTCACTTTCAGAATCTTGGAATCCGCCAGGAAGTTTCCCTGCTCCATTTTAGTTAATTCCTTGTTACAATAGGATATACCAGGACCTCTGTGTTGATATGTCTGGAATCTGGGCTTTCCCATTTCACCTTATGAGAAGCCACCAGTCTCAAGCTTTAGCCAGTTAGAGGAGAACTTAATTCCTCTTGTCAGCTGCCATTTTGGTTTGCTTCTCCTCCTTTTTCTGACTTGAAAGTCACTTCCTGTGTTAACTGGATTCTTCATGGGTTATTCTGTGGTTTCTAGTCTTGTTGGATAAACTGTATCCGTAGCTACTTAGTAGTAAATGATTAAGTCTCAGGACTCATAGTAGGGTTTAGCTGGGCAAAAGATTGATAAGCTCAATTTTTTTTTTTTATTGGTAAGATGCCAAACAAATATACTCTAACTGGTTTGGGAATAGAATGACTCATTTGGAAAATTATCTGGAGAGCATTGTGAGCCTCTTATAGCATCTCATTGTTAAGTGAGACTAAGACACAAGAACTGGAAAGGATTTTAATGAATGTGAGGTCTAACCATGTTGTTTTATAGGTGGAAGGCTCACAGAGAAGAAAGTGTATCAACCTCAGTCAAGCAAATCTCTTTCAGCAATTTAAGAAATGATTTTGTAATGGAAATAATATTTTAAAATATTATTTATTTGTTTTTATCTTATACCACAAACATTGCATTTCCAGGCAACCATTGTACCATTTTCCCCAGGAAAAGCAAGAGGAAAAGAAATTTACCTCAGAAAACAGGAGGATAAAATATAGGCAAAACCATCACAGGATAGGAAAAAGTGGAAATCACGTGTTTTTCTGGCTCAGAATGGATTGAGATAAGGAAAAGAGGATGCTCTCATGCTGGGAGGTGTGCATGGGTCCTTCCTATCTCTTCTGAGGCTCAAGCCTTGGATGTAGGTTGAGATTCGGGAAATAGACACCTCCCAAGCTGCTTCAACCAACATTGAGACTTCCATAGCAAAGTGATAGTAGCATAACAATGGAGGGAAGAGAAACACAAAGTTAGAGATACGGAGATGCAGAGAAAGAGAAGGGTAGAGAGGGAAAGGGGTTGCATTATTATTCCCAAGTGACACTAAAATCTTGTATGGTAGAATGAATCAAACTATTTACCCATGCCTCATGATGGAAGAGGAGAAAGGTAGCTGAGATTCCATCTAGGGGGTTTACCAGGGTGGGATACATTACTCTGCAACTGAGGGCTATGTTATATGGTTCCCAGAGCAGGGCACACTGGAATCAGGTATGTCCAGCCCTCCAAACAGCCATTGTGAGGTCAAGTCAGAATCTGTGTCCAGACAAAGTAGGAAAATAGCCCATAAGTTAGCAGCCCCAGCTTTTCCATCAGATCCTGATAAAATGACCAATGACCAGAGGGGCACAGTGCATTGCTGCAGGGCACAGGGGAGCCTAAAACATGTAAGAACCCAAGGCTGCCTTCTTCCGCTCTCCCCAGTACCCAGAATCTATCTCAGGAATGATCAGGAGGAGAAGAGAGAAATTGGAAAGACAGCATTATCCAAAAGAGCATGAATTTCCTATAGAGATTATTTTCATCATTGCATAGGACAAAGCTGACTGGATTTAACTAAATGTAGCACCCCTGATCCACCCACCCACCTACCTGAGGGGATGAGGGGATTTCTAAAATGTGTGTGAGGCTAGCATAGAAGATAAAGGAGGCACACTTTTCTTTGCACATCTCAGTGTGGTGTGAGAACACTTACACTACAATTATCCAGTTACAATTTTTCAGAACTGAGCTTTCTATCCAGCTCAAATTCACTCTGGTGCTAAAAGTGGCTGCTTACTCAAAGGCATAACTTTTTGATGAAGCTTACTGATGGGCCACAGAGCTCTCATGGGTGCCAAGAAATAAATAAAAGGGTCATTGATTCAGTATTTTTTGTGAATGACCCACTCTATCCTTGCCATGAATAATGGGGCATGATGAACAATTGAATGAAGTCTTCTCTTCCTTAGCACCTGGAAGCTCATATTGAAGGAAAACTCAAAGTTACCCTTCTGCCATAATGTCACCTTCTTCATAAGCCATGACAACAAGTACCATAGCATTGTTCTTTAGTTAGGGAAGAATTTAAAGATGATCTAATCCAATCTTTTCACCTCAAAGGTGGGGAAACAGGCTTTGTGAGACAAGGTGGTTTGCCTGAAGCCACAAAGAAAGTTAGTGGCAAAAGCAAGGCCAGAACTCATGCCTCTCAATCCCTGGTTCTCTCTGCTAGTCTGCACTACATTTTTCAGCCTCCCTGTGTATAAAAGACCACACCCAAAAGTAAAAACCATCTGGTCTACATGATTGAAGCATTTGCCAATGGTAGCCGGGAGGCTAAGCCCTGATGGTTCCTGGGCACTCTGGAAGCTCTCTGACCTCTGAGACTCAGTCCCATATACTTTTCCCTTGAGCATTGGCATATCCAAACCTTGATGTCCCCAGAAGCAGCAGCAGCAGCAGCACAGTCACCTGGGACTAGCAAAATTCCAGGAAAACACTGACATGTGGATGGCAGGATTCACAGTGTTCTCTGTCTTCTGTAACGCAATCCACAGGATGCCAAAAAGACAAATGCATTTTTCTCCTCCAAATTATTCCTCCTACAAATGCTAAGTATCTCCATCTGGGAGGCATTTAACATTTCAAACAGCTATTGCTGATCTGTAGGAGGACTCGCCAAGCATCAACTGTCTCCCCAAAATAACTCCCCTTATTGCTGCATGAGCCGCCAAGATCAAGCCCAGGCAGGAGAAGAAAAATAGTGTGTTTGGGAAAGCTCAAAAATTAGAGGAGAGCAAGGTCAGCCAGCTCTCCTGACCTGTGTCCACCAAGTCTTCTCTCTTCAGAAGTATGCTTTGATGAGACAAGGTGGAGATGTCATTGCATCCCCCTCCTGGAAGAATGTATTTCCAGGAAGAATTTCATTCATCAATTTCTACCCTCCCCCCCCACTCAGATGATGGTCTCATGTTTCTCCTGACACTTTAAGTTCATTCGGATACTTATAGTAAATCACACACATTTCCTGGTAGGCCAAGTTAAAACACATCCCATAAAAAATGGCAGGAATGGAAATATTTGAGTTCCTAATAAGATCCAAGAGCTTGTCTTTACCATATCTCCTTCTGTTCAAATTTGCCAAATCCAGCCATGGAAGAAATGAACAAAGGGCTGACATCTCCAAGGCACTAATCCTGCATGTGTCCATAATAAGTCTATTATTAATTTATTGTCTATAATGTGGTCACTGGGAGGAGGACCAGGATAGAGGAGACACATAGTCTCTGACATCACAGAGTATATCAATTAATGGGGAGGGGCATGTAAAAATATGTCCATGAATAACACTAAGTCTGGGTAGAATGTGGGAAATTGATAAAGAACTGTAGTAGTTGGAAGAGGGGGAAGTCACTGATGGCCGAGAGGCCAGGGGAGTTTTCCTGGAGTAGAAGGCATTCATTCTAGAACTTTAAGGATGGAGGTTAGGATTTGAACATATGGAAATGAGTTGAGAAAAGGGCATCTCAGATGCATGGAACAGCTTAAGCAAAGGCAAGGAATGCAAGGTTGTAAAGGTGTCCAGAGATGAATTTCATTTATTCATTCTTCATTGATTGAAAGTGGTATATATTTGCCAAGCACAAAGTATGTCTAGAACACAGAGCTAGGAATTGGACCTACTGAGATACATAAAAAATGACTACGAAGAGCTTTGGTCTGGTCGGTGAATCAGAGAGGGCAAGAAGAAAGTAGAATATAGGGTGTCAAGAACAGTAACAAAAGGACCTTAGGAGACTGTGAGAAAAAGGAGGATGGGCATTTGACCCAGGCTTCCTGTGGGAGAGGAGAGAGCAGAATCAGATGCCCCAAATGGAAGAAGACCATTTGAAGAAGTTTTGGCAGGTGCACTGCTCTGTGGTTGCAGACTAGAAGACAACACCCCAGCTAGGGGGTGGCAAAAGAACAGACCCCAATAAAGGTGTTTGAATGTATTTGGTTAGCACGGGGAGTTCCTCAAGTCATTCCTCTATTTATACTGCTACGATGGAAATAGAGTTGATTCACACCACCACCGGGAGTTCTGCTGGCAGCCCGTGATGGGTGGGAAGGTGTAACTCTGAAAATGTGCAAAACTACTGTCTAACACTTGTTTGTCAGTGTTCAGATTCCATTTTGTGCTGTTGGTTTTCTTTTCTCAATGTGTTGGTCTCGGTGGCCAATGACCTCATCAAGGGCAGGGACTAAGCCCTCTGAACAGCTAGCTCTGGGCTGAGCTACGTAGTAGATGCTCAGTGTGCATTTGGTGACCAATTGCTATTGTCGTGTGTGTGTGTGTGTGTGTGTGTGTAAGTGAAGGGGTGCTAGATGTTTAATTGTGTGGGGGCTGAGATATGGGCTTGTTCTTATATTAATGAGAGTAAAATATTTCTCCAGATTTTACCATCATTGCTGATTCTTTTTTAATGTGCTCAATTCTTTGCTCTCTTCGGTAGGAATAACATTTTACCAGTCAGAAAGATAAATTTTTGAAAGAAGACAATTCTAGGTAATATATATATATATATTTATATGTGGTCAGCATCAATGACCAGCCACCTAAACACCTGTCACCTGATGTTAAAAAAAAATTGAAAAGTATCTATTTTAAGTGTTTTAAAAATTTAGATATTTGGCAAATCCCTATCATTTAAAGAAGAAATACTGTTTGTTTATGTTAAATATTTAAAAGCATTAATGAATATGAGAAAGAAAATTTAAATAATAAAAATCTAGTATTACTGTTAATATATTGATGAGTATCTTTTTATCTTTTATGCATATACTAATGTGTAATTTTTAGAAATGAAGATTGAGTGCTTATATACTGATTTATATGATGCATTGAAAAATAAATTCATATGTAGACATTAAATTCTTTTACATAAACATAATTTTAATAGCTGCATAGTGTACTCAGAACTTAAGCCTTGAGTAGAAAACAAATATTAATCCAATAATTCTACAAAAATATAAAACTTCTGCTATGGCAAGTGTGTCAAAGAAGATGATCCAGTTAAAAGTACACTTGGTAGGGGGTTTGGCTTGGGGGTCAGAAAAAGCTTCCACAAGGAGTGATGAATGATTTGAAACCTAAACAATAATTATAAGATAATGGCTGGTTGGGGATGAGGCAACAATGGGATGGGGAGGGCCTTGCAGTAAAGACAACAGTCTACAAAATCCAATTGTCAGCAAGAGGCCTGTTGAGACACTTCTAACTTCTAACCAATTTTCACTGCTATTTGTATGTATTTAGATGGCCTCTGGATATTTTATTAAACTCTTGGGTACTTCTAATCATTTATCAGTTGACCTTACCATGTTTTCTAGTAAAGAAACAACTGATATTTCTGAGCCTGGAAGCAGTTGTGAATTCAGACGCTGCCCTGCATCAGGCATTGTGCCAAGGGGTCTCTCTGTGTCTGCTTATTTTTATTTTTATTTTTATTTTTATTTTTTATTTTTTATTTTTGGGATGGAGTCTCGCTCTGTCGCCCAGGCTGGAGTGCAGTGACGCGAACTCTGTTCACTGCAACCTCCGCCTCCCGGGTTCACGCCATTCTCCTGCCTCAGCCTCCTGAGTAGCTGGGACTACAGGCACCCACCACCACGCCCGGCTAATTTTTTGTATTTTTAATAGAGATGGGGTTTCACCATGTAAGCCAGGATGGTCTTGATCTCCTGACCTCGTGATCCGCCCACCTCGGCCTCCCAAAGTGCTGGGATTACAGGCGTGAGCCACCGTGCCCAGCCTGTGTCTGCTTATTTAATCCTCACTGTCCTTTTACCATTCCTCATGCAGAAGAAACTGACTTACTGATTTACCAAAATAGGGCTCAACTACTGGAGAGGGAGGCAGCCAAAATCCAAGCCCAGGTCAAATGGCAATGCCTGTGCTTCCAAGCTGGTGGTAAACTAAAGTTTAGTTTTCCTCCTTGTCTTCTTCAGTATCTAAAACTGTTGAAAAGCAAGACCTCTGTTTTGTCCATGACTTTAACAGGAGCATTTCTGGTATTTTACAGTTCAGTAAAGTGTCAGCTGTTGATACATGAGAACTATTCTTTACAATGTTAGCGAAATACTCCTCTATTCCAAGATTTCTGCATTTTAAAGACTAAATAAGAGATGGTATTGCATTTTGTCAAAGACCTTGTACTATTTGACTATGATGTTTCTCCTTTGACCCATTGGTGTGATAAATGATGTGAATAGATTTCTGAATACTAAATTATTTCTAGTATTAAATCATCCTTGGTTTCTTGGAATAAAATCTACTTGGTTGTGGTGAATTATCCTTCAAAAGCATAGCCGAATTAGGTTTGCTTGTATTTTATCTAGTGTGTTTATAGCTATATCAATATGTAAGATTGGATCAGAGCTTCTTCCTTCTTTGGATTTTGTTAGGTCGCAGCAACAGACTCATGCCAACCTCATTAGAGAAATCAGGACACATTTTTTTTCTTCCTAAATTGTTACCTAGCATGGGAATTATTTATTTTTCCAAATTTTGAAATATTGAACATTTAGAATAATTTAGGCCTAGTACTTCCTTCAGAGATGATTTTTATATGACTTATTCAATTTCTCCTAAACTTTTGATATACTCAAATTCCAACTGAGTCAATATTTATAATTTATTTTTTAAGAAAGCCATAAATATCCTTAAGATTTTCAGAGTTATTTAGCATGAAATTATATGTTTAGTATATATATTCAATTACCTTGTAATTACTAATTTCTGGCTTTTACCCTCATTCTTCATATTGAGAGGTTATATAAAGTGTTGGTTAGGAGCTTAGGTCATTCTGTTACTCACCGCTTGGGTGCTCTTGGGCCCATTGTGGTCCTCTCTGTCTTCCTCAATTTCTTTACTTGTAAAATCAAGACAATAATAGGGCCCTCCTTGTTTGTTTGTTTGTTAGTTTATTTGGAAACAGGGTCTTGCTCAGTCACCCAGGCTGGAGTGCAGGGGCCTGATCATGGCTCACTGTATCCTCTACCTCCTAGCTCAAGGGATTCTCCTGCCTCACCCTCCTGAGTAGCTGGGATTACAGATGTACACCACCACATCTGGCTAATGTTTTAAATTTTTTGTAGACACGGGATCTCCCTGTGTTAACCAGGCTAGTCTCAAATTCCTGACCTCAAGTGATCCTCCCGCCTCAGCCTCCCAAAGTGCTGGGATTACAGGTGAGAGCCACTACGCCCAGCCTGTGGTATTGTTAATAACATACTTAATCACTGTGAGGCACATACTAAGTGCTCAATAAACATTAGCTATTATTCTAACTTCTAAATTGTTAATATTTCTGTTTACAAACAAAACACCATTTAGATTTATATATTAACTATACAGATTATTTGCTTTTCTAATTATTGGGATTTTAAAATCCGCCCTTTATTTATTCCTTATGCTTTTCTTAGTTTTTACTTGCTCCCTTTGAAGAAAATTCATTGCTGTGCTTTCCTCAGTGAATTTCATTTTTTCTTGTTTAATAAAGGCTGAAATTGTGGATTATCACATTTTTGTATATTGTTTTTCTCAGATCATTAATTTCTAAGTAATCTATAACCAATATTTTAATTTTCTCTTTGACTACCATGTTATTTAGGAGACAGATTTTCAATTTGAAAGATCTGGAAATTATTTTTAGCTTTTTGAAATTTTGGATGGGTTTTTGATTTATTTACTTTTTAGATTTTGAAGTGTTTTCTAATATGGATGCCCACAGAATACCATTTTATATACATTTCCTATATATCCTTATACATTAGTATTTTCTATATATGCCCAGAGAACGTGACCTGAACTACCACTTACCAAACTTTGTTGTTTTGGGTGTGTGTGACCTAAAATGATATATATTTTGGAAATTGTATTAGTTTATCTCTTACAAGAAGTTCAATTATTTTCTTGATATAATGTTTAAAAATCTATTCAGTCAGCATTAATTATATTATGCAGATCCACTGCATCCTTATTTATTTTTGTCTACTTAATCTGTCAAAAACTCTTGAGTGTTAAAATCTCACACCATTGATTGTGTTTATGTCATTTGTCTCTTGTATTGCTAGTAATTTTAGCTCTAGGTGTTTAATGATTTCAGCAAGTAAACATTTATGACTGTTGATTTGCCTTGTGAATTGGATATTTATCAGTATAAAACAATCCTGTTGTTCTATTTTAAGGTATTTTGCTTGAATTCTACAGTGCCTGACATTCAATTGCTGCCTCTGGCTTGACTTTTGTTTGTACTGGACTGGCACCTGTTTGCCTCTTCTTTTGCATTTAACCCAAATATGTGATTTTGTTTTAGGCTTAGCTAATGCAAACAGTATAAGGTGGGAATTTAACTTTTGATCCAATCTCAGAGTCTCTGACTTTCAAGTGGGAGCTTAAAAGATTTACATTTATTGCCATAACACATTTGTTTGGGTTTACTTACATCATTTTGTTTTCCAGCTTTTTCAGTTTTATTAACACCCCTTCCTCCCCATTTTTTTTTTTTTTTTTTTTACTATAGATGGTGTAATATTGAAGTAGTTTAGGCCAGGCACAATGGCTCATGCCTGTAATCCCAGCACTTTGGGAGGCTGAGGCGGGTGGATCACCTGAGGTCGGGAGTTCAAGACCAGCCTGACCAACATGGAGAAGCCCCATCTGTGCTAAAAATACAAAATTAGCTGGGCGTGGTGGCATATGCCTGTAATCCCAGCTACTTGGGAGGCTGAGGCAGGAGAATCGCTTGAACCCAGAACGCAGAGATTGTGGAGAGCCAAGATCACGCCATTACACTCCAGCCTGGGCAACAAAACAAGAGCAAAACTCCATCTAAAATATATATATATATATATATATGTATATGTAGTTCAAAGTAAACCTGGATCAACTTCCAGCTCTATTGCTAACTAGCTGTGGATGTGTGCCAGATAACAAAGAGTACATTTTAAGTCATATTGATTATAGAGAGAGGTGATTTTTTAGAGCTTTGGGTCAGAATTCTCGTATGTAGGTCTTAGGAAGTCACAGCTATGACAAAAACAAAAAACAAAATAGACTATGTTACCCCATAAAGTCATGAGTTCACAATTATTAGAGACGTACAAGAAAAAACTGGACATCAGACTGCCCTGGAGTTGATTCATATTTTGAATGGAGGCTGTAACTCATTGTTAGCCCGAATCTTTCAGACTCTGAGGGTCTGTAATTACTTGAGAAGTAGCAACACTGACAAGATCCTAGTGTCTTCTAAATTTGCAGTCTTTCCAACTTCTTAGATGGGAATTCTAATTTTGTATAGAAGTTTCAGAAGAAAATCCCCCACCTAAACATCCCTTCTGGATGTGTACACAAGTCTACATAGACACCGTTCTCAACCGTGGCTGAATGTTAGGATCATCTGGGTGCTTTTAAACCACCACTGTCCAGTTCCCACATTCAGGGAGTTTGATTTAACCTTTCTGAAGTTGAAGCCCAGATAGCAGCCATCCTTTTTTTTTTTTTTTTAGCTCCCAGGTGATTTTAATCTGCAACCAGGGTTAAGAATGACTGACAAAAAACATTGCCGTTGATTTTCAGCTGGGCAAACATGGCAAACAACTGTGCTTTGCCTCTGGTGCATTCATTTTTTTCATCTTCTGGTTACAGCTTCCTAGTTTGTTTGGGAATCCACCACTTCCACTTTCTTTTTCATTTTTAATTATTTTGAATATGTAATAGTTGTACATAGCTTTACATGTTTATGAGGTATTTGTGATATTGTAATACAGTCAGATAGTGTGTAATGATGACATCAGGGTTATTGGGATATCCATCACTCTAGACATTTATCATTTCCATTTTCTTTGTTTTTTGAGATGGAATCTCGCTCTGTTGCCCAGGCTGGAGTGCAATGGCATAATCTCGGCTCACTGCAACTTCCACCTCCCGGGTTCAAGCAGTTCTCCTGCCTTAGCCTCCCGAGTAGCTGGGATTACAGGTGCCCATCACCAAGCCTGGCTAATTTTTTTTTTTTTTTTTTTTTTGCATTTTTAGTAGAGGTGGGGTTTCGCCATGTTGGCCAGGCAGGTTTTGAACTCCTGACCTCAGGTGATTCGCCACCTCGGCCTCCCAAAGTGCTGGGATTACAGGCGTGAGCCATCGCGCCTAGCCCATTTCCATTTTCTATCCCACACAGTTTGGGAAGGGTTGACTCCAGGATTCTGGATGGAAAAGGACTCTCAGGCTTCAATCAGCACCCGCATTCCCCAGGCCAATCAAATAGCCTCAGGACTTTGGGTGAAGCGCCTGCATTTTAGCTGGACTTTAACCTAGGGGAAGGCTGGAGAAGCTGGGAGCACCTAGGATCCTAAGAACAAAGCTTGCATGGCAAAAGATAGGGTTAAAAGATGCAGAAGTAAGTGAGAGCTAAATAATGTGTACACATGGACGTAGAGTATGGAACAATAGACATTGGAGACTTGGAAAGGTGAGAGAGTGGAAGTGGGGAGGGTGACGATCAATTACCTCATGGGTACAATGTACAGTATTTGGGTGATGGACATGCTAAAAACCAAGAGTTCACTACTAGACAATATGTGTGTGTAACAAAATTGCACTTGTACCCCTTAAATGTATACCACATAAAATAATTATTGATATTTTAAAAAAGAAAGTGAATCTTCATGACATCATTTGAGTCATGAATTTAGTTCTATTTACTATGGTCATCTTTATCTCCATTTTACAGATGAGATAACTGAGGCTCAATGAGGTTAGGTTAGTGATGTGATTTGGCTGTGTCCCCACCCAAATGTCATCTTGAATTGTGGCTCCCATAATTCCGACATGTTGTGGAAGGGACCCAGTGGGAGATAATTGAATCATGGGAGGTGGTTTTCCTCGTATTGTTCTCATGGCAGTGAATGAGCCTCACAATCTGATGATTTTATAAGGGGAAACCCCTTTCACTTGGTTCTCATTCTCTCTTGCCTGCTGCCGTGTAAGATGTGCCTTTTGCCTTCCACCATGATTCTGAGGCCTCCCCAGGCACGTGGAACTGTGATTCCATTAAACCTCTTTTTTTTAAAATATAAATTACCCAGCCTTGGATATGTCTTTATCAGCAGCATGAAAAAGGACTAATACAGTTAGTTGCCCCAAATTCCACAGCCCGTTAGTAGAAGAGACTTACTCCATGAAGGTCTTATTTGAAAAGTTGGAATTTGTGTTCTACCCCACTGCTGCAACAAGTAAACATGCCATCATCCTCCATCCATCAGTCTCCCTTCTCCCTCTGTTAAACTGAATAATTATGAATTTTCAAACTGAGTTTGAGCCTGTCAAGGAGATTTTATGCCCTTGGGACAAAACTTGTGTTCTATGTGACCAGAACTTTACCTCCATTTCTCAGAGTAATTCAAGGTTTTTGTTTGTTTGTTACTCATTTTTAACAAGAGAGTCCTAACGATTATAGAAATGCTAATTCCATGTCCCTGAAATTGCCCCGCTCCTGGAGTTTCTCTTTGGGTGTATTCTTGCTGGTTCCCAAAATGTTAAGCGCATAGTAAAGAGTAAAGAAGGAAAAGAATGCGGTGAGAAGATGAAGAAGAGAGAGCGAGCCAAGAGACCATCAAATGTGGATGGCAGTTCTTTTAAGACTATGTGCTTTAGGCTCTTTTAAGAGCTTCCCTGAGCCATCTCAAGAGAGTCTCAAAATAACCCTGCTGGTTGTAGGTAGAGTGGGGAAACTAGGACATAATAACATGTATGGAGCCCTCACTGTGTAACTAAGTGACAGGGACAGAATTTGATTTCCCAGCGTAGGTGCTTTCTGTCACACTGCATGGCTGCAAAATATTTCTCACCCTATCACTGTTCTAATAAGCTTTTCTAATAAGCAGAATCATTATGAATTTTAAGACTATAAGAGTTATCTGTTGTTTGGGTGACTATAAGAATTTCTGTTCTTTGGGTGATGTTTATCAGCCTAATCTTGAAACTACTCTGAAATGGCAGACAGAATTGTTCCCTAGGACTGGGAGCTATGAGTCAAGCCCAGATATTTCTTTAAACAGAAAAACATAGTTAGGCTGGGTGTGGTGGCTCACACCTGTAATCCCAGAACTTTGGGAGACCGAGACGGGAGGATCACATGAGGTCCGGAGTTTGAGACCAGCCTGGCCAACATGGTGAAACCCCATCTCTACTAAAAATACAAAAAGCAAGTTGTGGTGGCAGGCGCTTGTAATCCCACTACTCAGGAGGCTGAGGCAGGAGAATTGCTTGAACCTGGGAGGTGGAGGTTGTAGTGAGCTGAGATTGCACCACTGCACTCCAGCCTGGGCAACAGAGCAAGACTATGTCAAAAGAGAGAGAGAGAGAGAGACAGGGAGGGAGACAAGGAAGGAAGGAAGGAAGAAGGGAGGGCGGGAGGGAGGGGGAGGGAGAGAGAGAGGGAGAGGGAGAGGGACAGGGCAGATACAAAGGGATATATCCATATTCTGTCCCTACAGGCTCTTTGCTGGGCTCATCTGGTATTCTACACTGATAGCATCATGCTATGATGATCCTAATCATAGCCCCCTTCGGGGCAGTTGTTATTAAAAGTCAAAGAGGCAAGCCAAAGTGGTAACATGTCATATTTTACAAACCAATTTAGTTAACCTGAGTAGTCATGGGGAACTCTACTCAACTAGCCGGTCAGTGGAACAGTGGAATACCATGTTTAGCCAAGGATGAGAGAAAATTGGAGTTGGACCCAGGAGGCTGAGTCTCAGTTCCCAGCAGAGAGACTGCTCACCTTCTTAGGTCTAATTGCAGCCATCAGTTTAATCCGTAAAGAATTATGTCCAATTGGTTTCGGTCTGTCTGCATTTATAAATGTCATTCTGCCCAGCATGTGTTTTAAAGATTAGCTGTACTTCATCGTTTTGTTAGCATGAATCAATAATGTGGGATTCTTGGCTCACTGAATTTTTAAAGTCATCTGTGAATCAGTGTAGGCTATTTGTGCAGCACCCTCTATAACATGCTAATTTTATATTATTGGATAAAATGCCTAGTTTTGGAAGATGGTTATAGAAAATTTTAAGATTCACTTAAAGGTTAGCTGAAGCTATAGAAGAGAGAAGTGATGTTATTTTGCTGATACTGACATGTGCATGGATTTTATTCTTAGGAAAGGGGTAAAATTAAATTATCAAAGTTAATGGTAGGTTCTAAACAGAAGTATGGCCAGGAAAATGCAAAACAAAAGTCGCTATATGGAACCTCCATGATGGAACCTTCACAATATCTGTCAGTGATTTAAAAATGCCTCCCTTGGAAGATGTTGCAGTGGTGCTGGAAATTACATCCTATGTGGAAAACAAGGGAAGTGCAATGCATTTCCTGAAAATTGTACTATAAAGGAGGTTCATCTTTCCCAAAGTAAGAGAAAAGCAAGTTGTACTTATGCTGTAATCCCATAGGTGGTTTACTACTTTTTTTCCCATGGCAGAAAATTCACAGCCATATTACTTGATGTCTTGGGTTTTAATACAGCCAAACTCTTTGTAAGCCTGTGGAAATGGGTGTTGATATAATGTTGTTATAAATCAGTCAAAGACGAACTAAATAAATATTCAGCTTCATTAGTTATAAGAAGGGACAATTTAAGAAATGAACCACTTTACCTATGAAATTAGTAAATACTGAAGAAAATATGAAAGCTGCTGAAGATTGGGTGATTTACTGCTAGAAGGTTGTAAGTTATTGCAATCTTCTGAGAAGCTATTTGATAAAAAGTATCTGGTTGCTGAAACAGATTTTACCCTTTGAACCTAGTAAATCCAGTTCAAAGTTATAGACAAATATTTTTGCTTAAATATGCTTATTGTTGTGTTAATTCAAATAACAAAAATTGTAGAAACCTATCTACCTAACAAAGTGAATGATTAAAATAGTTATAATCAGCTGGGTGCAGTGGCTCATGCCTCTAATCCCAGCACTTTGGGAGGCCAAAGTGGGAACATCTTGAGGTCAGGAGATCCAGACCATCCTGACCAACATGGTGAAACTGCATCTCTACTAAAAATACAAAAATTAGCTGGGCGTGGTGGCGTGTGCCTGTAGTCCTAGCTACTCAGGAGGCTGAGGCAAGAGAATCGCTTGAACCCGGGAGGCGGAGCTTGCAGTGAGCTGAGACTGCACCACTGCACTCCAGCCTGGGCGATAGAGCGAGACTCTGTCTCAAAAAATTAAAAATGAAAAATAAAAAAAAATAAAAAAATAAAAAGTTGTAATCTCTCCCTATGATAAGTTGTCCTGAATTCATAAAACAGAATGTTTGCAAAGAAGTTTTAATTTCCTGGAGAAATGCTTAAATATAACACTAGATGATAAAAGGAAAGAAAATTATTTGCATTATTTCATCTCACCTATGTAAAAAATATCTTTTTGGAAAGATGCTGGAAGTAAATTTACTGAGATGTTAAGTCACTAATTCAACAAACATTTGTTATCAGACACTGTTTTAAGGGCTTGGGATAGAAAGAGGAAGAGCAATAAAGAAAATAAAACACAATGATATACTGGAATAGAATCAGCAGTGAGGGTGAGGGTGGAGGGCTTCAGATGATGTATCATGGAAGCCTTCCTGAGGAGGTGATATTTAAGCTGATCCGAAGATGGGGGGCGGGGGGGAAATGTAAAGATCTGGTTGATAGAAAGGGAAAATGTAAAGATCTGGTTGAAGAGTGTGCCAGGTAGAGGGATGAGCAAGTGTCAAGGCAAGGAGAGTTAGGTGTGCTCTAGAAATATAACAAATTGCTGGAGCCTGATGAGTGGCCAAGTAGGTAAAGTGCAAAAAAAGTAGATATTGGAGACTAAAATCAGGCATTTAAATCCATATACATGCAGCAGAAAGCCACTGGAGGGCTTTGAGCTGGGGAGCAGACTAATGTGATTTATATTTTGAAAAACACCACTGTAGATGCCCTTGGAAATGTAATGTAGAAGTCAAGAGTGGAAACAGAGAAATCAGTTAAGTGGTTTTTGCATGTTTCCTTTGATTCCATAATCTTCTGGTAATTTATAATGCAGATATAATGGCATGTATGAGAATAGTATATACAAGAGCATTGCAGTATCATTTGAAATAGAAAAATATTGGAAACAACCCAATTGTCAAAGGATAGATTACCAGTGAAATAAATGTTGTCACAGCCACATGATGGAATGCTAAGCAACTAAAGAGAATGTTCTCTTCAACATCTATGTGGGAAGATCTCCAAGATGTAGGGCAAAGTGAAAGGAGCAAGAAACAGAATAGAATGCGTGATGTTTTAACAATTCTGTAAAAACACAGGAGGAATGGACATTTTGTATTTCCATAAAGACTCTTGAAGGAGTCTTTAAAAATGAAGTGAAAATTTGGTTACCTGTGAAGTGTAAAGGTGGGACCAGAGCAATGGGGGATGGAGGTGTATATATTTTGATGTGGTTAGATTTTTTTTTTTTTTTGAGGCAGGGTCTTGCTCTGTCACCCAGGCTGGAGTGCAGTGGCGCGACCTCAGCTCACTGCAACCTCCGCCTCCCAGGTTCAAGAGATTCTCCTGCCTCAGCCTCCCAAGTAGTTGGGACTACAGGTGCATGCCACCCCATCCAGCTATTTTTTTTTGTATTTTTAGTAGAGATGGGGTTTCACCATGTTAGCCAGGATGGTCTCGATCTCCTGACCTCAAGTGATCCACCTGCCACGGACTCCCAAAGTGCTGGGATTACAGGCGTGAGCCACCGTTCCCGGCCAATATGGTTAAATTTTTGAATATGTGTACTACCTACTCAATCAAAGCTCAAATTGGAAAAACGAGGCTTCCTAAAAATCCTGGGAAGAGAGGGTGGAGATGCTAGGGTAGTGGCATGGGAGATGGAAAGAAGTGGATGACATTGGGGTATATTTTGTAGGTTAAGTCTGTGGAACTTGATTGGAGGATTGGTTGTGAACCATGAGGGGAAATAAAAGATGATTCCTAGGATTTTGGTTTGAGAAACTAAGTTGTGGCATTTTCTGAGTTGGGGAAGACTAGGGTAGGAGGTGATTTTGGGGGGAACGTCAAAAGTACTTTTTAATTTTGTGATGTTTGAGATTATAAGACATCCAAGTAGTGACTGGAGAGACAATTGAATGATTGCCTGGAGATATATACAATTGCCTCAACCTGGAGATAAAAACTTAGCAAGCATCAACATATGGATGGTTTTTAAAGCCATGGGAATGGATGAGATTGCTCACTGGAAGAGGAGTAGAGTTGGAAAAGTGAAGGCTTCCCAAAACTGAGCCCTGGGACAAAGTATTTTAAGGGGAGTGGAAGAGAAAGGTCCAGGAAAAGGACTGAGAATCTGGGCCATGAAGTTAGGAGGAAAACTAGGATTTTGTGGTGACACAATGGTAAAGAGAAAAAAAGTAAGTAGTTTAAGAAGAAGGGAGTAGTTATTGATGTCAGATTTGCTGGGAACTAAAACAAGTGCTCAAAGAAGCAACCATAGGATTTGTTAATGGGATGATCACTGTTGATTTTGACTTGGTCCATTTCGGGGGGTGGTGGTGATTTGAGGAAATAATATAAAATGGAAGGTGTAAACCTAGAAAAAAGGACTAAAAACCACTCATTCAAGGAACTTCTCCTTGAAAAGGAGGAAATGAATGAGAAAGTTATTCGAGGTTTGGATGTGATGGCCAAGAGTCTTGTGTCTTCTCTGTAAGATGAGAAATCCTGAGGCATATTTGTGTGCCAGTGAGAAAATGGCATAGTAGAAAGACTGGAGATGATGGTTCAGGAGAGGGAAAGGTACCTGTGGGGGCCAAGACAAACCAAGTTGTGGAGAAGATGAAGAAAGACTGGAGCCAGAGCCGGTAGTGCAATTGGTCTTTGTAGGAGCCCAGGTGTTCTTATGTTGTTGATGTGGCTGTCACTGAAAGTTCATGTGAATGGGACTGTTCTTGCCTCAGTTTTCCTCATCTGAAAAATAGGGAATATGTAATACATAGCTCACAAGATGAAGTCAATAATGATGCCTGAAAAGTAGCATGCTCTCAGTAAATACTAATTATTTTTGTTGTTTTCATTCTGTGTGTTTCCCAAATGTTCTATACTAAGCATTTGCTAAATAATGTTAACATGTATATTAATGCCCATTTTATAGTCCCTGGCCAATATGAGTAATGGAAAAGCATAATCCTTAGCACTTGAAGACTTTTTCAGCACCAAGGACAGCAAAACGTCATCGTAATCAGCACCCATAAGCATCCACCTTAGGATTGCCTAGGGGCCGGCCGCTCTCATAAATACATAAAGGGGAGGAAGGAACAAATGTAGCAAGCCTTAGATTGAGCCCTGCGGGAAATTCTACTTCCCATTTGCAAAGAACAAGGCTGGGTTCTTTCTTCACGATGTCTCTGCCACCTGCACACAGTGCTAGTATTGTGTGTGACGTTTCTCTGTATCTCTTGGGAACTCATTGTGTTTGTTGGGGCTTAGAGAAAAGCGAGGGAAAGTGGGGAAAATCAGAATCGGTTTTTCAGAGGCAGGCTTAGAGGACACCTGCAAGGCAGGGAGAATGGCAGATTACATTGGGATGCAACGTGGGCCTGAGTTCTGAATATGTTGACTTTATCTATTAATAACGCATTTCATTAGGAACAGGGGCTATTGATGTACCTGGCAAATAAAATGCATTCTTCACAGGCAGCCTTGCTCTTCAATAGTTTCTTAAGCAGAGGAAGAAGCAGCAATGCTTGACAGCTGTTTTTCTTACTAAAAATTGCCCATTTATGGCTCTGGGGAAGGGGGATCAGAAACAGAGTGGAGAAGAGAAAGTCTCTTGGGCTCCTGGGAGAAGGTCTCTAAGTCTCACTGGGCTCCTGTTTTGAGCCAGGCACTTCACATAGTTTAGCTCATTTAATCCTCTCATCTACTTTTAAGGTAGGGATCAGCCCTATTAGTGCAAAGGAGAAAGATCTGAGAGGTTTTGCAACTTACCCAGGGTCACACAGCTAATAAGTAGGCAATTAACATTTGAACTCAAGGCTTTCTTCCTGCGTTTAGCTCCTGTTCCTCTATATCAGGGTTTTCTCAATCTTTGCACTACTGACATTTTGAGCTGGATGACTCGTGTGTGTGTGTGTGTGTGTGTGTGTGTGTGTGTAAGAGGTGTGCTTTCCTGTGCATTGTAGGCTATTTAGCATTATTCCAGGTAGAATACCATCACCTCCCATCCCCAGTTGTGGTCACCAAAATTAACTCTGGACATTGCCAAATGACCCCTGTGGTACAAAATTTCCCCAGGGTGAGAACCACTGGCTCATATCATGCTGCCTAAAGAATGATTCCACAGCTCACAGCCCCGCAGGAGCTTTCTAGATTGTGGTCATAGATCATATTTGTGTGTGCCATGTTCATTCATTCTTTTGTGCATTCACTCCTTCATACACCCCATCAATAGTTACTGCATGTCTAAGCCAGGCGCTGTGCTACATACTGGGGAAAGGCAATGAATGGTGCATAGTCTCTGCTCTTGGGGCATGTGGTCTGAGGGGCAGACAGACACACACAGCAGCAGCTCAGGGAGTACAATGACAGCAACACCTCTGAGAAGAGAGATGTATCCCAGGCTAGGTTGGGTCTTAGAGAAAGAAAAATTCACTTGGTATATACAGAATCCACTGATTGACTTAAAAGATAAGCTTATCTTAGGGGTTTTTGCTTAGGGATTATTCTGAGTTCTTGGTGAATGAATCCTTAGTGATCCAGCTGGCAGGATTTGTTTTTTTAAAGATTGTATATACATAGAGCAAAGTGCACATTTTTAAAATGTAAAGCATAATGAATTTTCACATGTTACATCCATAGAACCTCCATTCAAGGTCAAGAAACAGAACACTTCTATCACCCCAGAAGTTTTCCTCCCTTAATAATCAGTAGAGCCTTGCCCACAACAGTAAACACTATTCAACTTCTAGCACAATAGAATGGTTTTACCTGTTCTTGAACTTTATATAAATGGAATTCTACAGTATGTGTTCTTTTGTTTCTGCCTTATTTTTCTCATCATTATATTTGCAAGATTCATCCACACTGTTGCATGAAGCTGTACTTCACTTTTTTTTACTGCTGCACAAAATTCTATTGAATAAATATTGCCTTAATTTATTTATCCATTTTCCTATTGTTGAACATTTAGGTTTCTTGCAATTTTGCCTGTGTTAATAAAGCAGTCATAAACACATTCATCAATATCTTTGGATGAACATAAACACTTCTTTCACTTGAGTATATGCCTAGGAGTGGAACTGCTAGATCATAGGGAGGTGTACGCTTAGCCTTAGGAGACATTGCAAGGATTTTTTCCCAATTTATACCCCCACCACAAGCTCATGGGAGTTTTGGTTGCTGTCAGGCATCAGAAAGCATCACAGGCTAACATCATGCATAAGTAAGGCAGGAATTGTAACCTCAAGGCTGTAGACAGCAGGGGTGATGTTGGGAAGAAGAAGGATGGCATCACTTCTGTCCCACTGGCCTAACCTCTGTCACAGTCCCCATATTTGGCCACCTGAGCTCTGGGGAGAGCTTAATGGGCTAGCCCCACAAGTGAAGAGCTGGAGGAAGCTGCTTCCCTGTCCATGTTGATGAATAACAGATGTTGGTGAATAACAGCTAGTACCATGGGGTTTAAGAGAGAAATCAGGCTGGGCGCAGTGGCTCATGCCTGTAATCCCAGCACTTTGGGAGGCCGAGGTGGGCAGATCACTTGAGATCAGGAATTTGAGACCAGCCTGGCCAACATGGTGAAACCTCGTCTCTACTAAAAATACAAAAATTAGCTGGGTGTGGTGGCAGGCACCTGTAATCCCAGCTACTCGGAAGGCCGAGGCAGGAGAATCGCTTGAACCCAGGAGGCGGAGGTTGCAGTGAGCCAAGATTACACCACTGCTCTCCAGTCTGGATGACAGAGTGAGACCCTGTTAAAAAAAAAAAAAAAAGAGAGGGAGAGAGAGAGAGAGAGAAATCAGGAAAATTCACCAGCCCAACTTCTTTCCTGCCTATAAGAAACAGATCTGAATTTGGTCATCTAATGCAGCCAAGACACAAAACTCTTGGAGGTTCCATGATGTTGTGCAAAGAACTCTGAGGTTCCTGCCTCAGTTCCTTATGGGACCAAGGAGAAACACCTTGCTCACCTCCCAGGGTTGTTGAGAAAGCAAATGATAATATATACATAAATAATAGTGTGTGCATGAAGAGATGGCTGTGTTTTTCAAGGTTGTGGTCTGGTCCTCCTGGCATCTGGTCACAGGGGGTGACAGTCAGGGAAATGCTGTACATTGATGGAAAGAATATGCAGTAATAGTCAGGACCACCCCCGATCACTTACCACTGGGTGGACTGGCTTACTCACTTCACCTTTCTGGTCTTCGGTGTCCCCATCTGTGAAATTATGTCTTGGACCAGAACATCGCTGATGGTATTCCCCAGGAGACTCTGGGCAAGTGAGAGTGTAAATAACCTCAAACAAGTCATTATTTACTCAGACCCTATTAGAGACAGCAATGTTGGCTAACTTCTACTGAGTGCCTGGAACTTTCCTAAGCATTTTACATGCATCTTATCTTATAAGGAAGGCATTATTATTCTCATTCTACTGATGCAGAAACTGAGGCCCAGAGAAATTAAATAAAATTTACCTGAAGTCTCATAGCTAGTAAGTAGAGGCAGTATCTCAGCCCAGGCAGACTGATTTCTGAGCCAAGTTATTAAGGCTGTGATATCCCAGAGGCTTGCCTCAGGGGTTCTACCGTATGGGAAGGAAGGGAGTTTACAGAAACAGTTTAGGAATCAGACGTACCACCTTGCCATTTACTAGCTGTGTGCTCTTAAGCAGGTGCCTTAAGCCCACTCCGTTTCTCCAACGTTCATATGGGAGTGATATTTTCTATCTCACACGGATAATATGTAGGAGTAACATGGTGCCCAAGACAACACGAAATAACTGTTAGTTCCTCTTTCTCTATCACTATGTAAGTCAGGAGAGAAATGAAGAATGGTCGTTGGAAATGACCTAACCTCCCATCTCCTCGCCATGAGAGAATGTTCTTGGAATAATGCCAAGCTAAAAGCTGAAATGCAATGTAACATGACTGTGTGGAAAGAAAATACCCTTCCAGTATGCTTGTTTTTCTTTAATAGATGAGATCATATTGGGTATAAAGTTTTGCAGTTTGCTCTTCTCACTAAATAATGTGACATAAGCATTTCCCTGTGATAATGACAATCTCTTTGTAATCATCATTAAATGCTGGGTAATGTTTCATTATATCTATCATGATTTACTTACTTCCATAATGTTTCTAAATTTCTCACTATTATAGAAACACTAAAATGACCATGATTTTAGCCATAAAAACTTTATTCGAATTTCAAGCCATTTCCCTAAGGCATGGACATTTAAAAATTCTTCTGATAGGCACTGCCAAATTGCTTTCCCAAAATGTTTAACCGAGTTATACCCCCACCAAGAGAATAGGATTTTTCATCGCACTCATGCTAACAATGAGAATTATGAGATCTAGAATCTTTGTTAATTTGATTATTAATCAATTTTCATCTCATTATTTAAATTTACGGTTCTTTGATCCAAAATATTGTTGATTATTGATTCAAATTACCTCATGGTTTAAATTTTTCTTTATGTCTGTATTTTTTGTTTTTCAGTTTTATTTTGACACATATCAAAATAAATATGTGTACGTATAATTTAAATAATAATTAGTAAATATTAATCTATGTACCACTCAGCTAAGGAAATAGAGCACTTCTGTACCTTAGAAATCTCCTGGATATCTCTCTTAACTATTTTCCTCCCGCCTTCTGGTGTAGCTACAGTTCTGACATTTGTGGTCATTGTTTTCTTGATTTTTTAGTTTTAATACATATTCATGCATCTGTAAGCAACGAAGTTTATCTTGTATGTTTGTGAACTTACATAAATGGCACAGTGCTATAAGTATTCTTCTGTGATTTACTTCACCCAAAATTGTTATTAAGATTCGTGCATGTTAATGTTTATACTAAAATTTATCCTGTTCCCTGCTTCATAGTATTCCATTGTATGCACATGTTTCTCCAGTAGAATTACTGGTGTTTACAGTTTCATCTTTATTTGGTAATACATTGGGTTTTAAGCTCATTTTAATATATATTGTAAATCTGCCTTCCAGATTACTTGATTCGTAATCATCTCTCTTACCATTAGAAATTATTTTTATTCTAATATATAATTTTTTCTTTCATAACTTTTTCATTGCCTCAATATTTAGAAAGTTATTGGTCACCCTTAAATCATAACATTTTCCTCATATTTTTCTGTTTTGCTGTTCTTTTCCTTTCTGTCTTTGAATATTGGTGTGTATGTTTAACCCTTTGCACAACTTGGGATTGATTTTGCTTTACAGCAAGAAGCGAAAATGTTTGTTTTTGCTCAGTTACCAGCTCACTGCCTTCTGTAGCATTATCAAATAAATCCTCTTTGCCAAACATGGTCTGTCAAATCTCAGCCCTATGCCTGTCCTTATGTCTATTCCACTCTACACCACAGCGGGGAACCTGAAAACTATATTTCCAGAGTTCCTTGGCGGCTGGGTATGGGTCGATGGTGACCAGTGGGGTCGATCACATGAGATTCACAAATGGGAAAAGTGTAGAAACTGTTTTTCTGCTTCTGGCGACAGCATCAGCAGTATTGTAAACTCTTGACTTCTTGATAATACCTCTTTTCATCATCCAGCTCTAGAGAATGTACTGGCTTCCTACAGGTGTTAATCCCTGGGCAATCTCTACTTTGCTCCTCTTATTTTTCTACACATTTGTAATCAATTCCCTGTATTAAAGTCCCTACTGTTTGAAATACCTAGAGTGATTTATGTTTTCCCAAGGGTACATTAATTGATCTGATGGATGAATCTTCCTCTTCCTATTGATTTACAGTGCTGAACTTATTGTGTACATGTGTGTGCCCATGTATGTGCGTGCAGGTGTAGAAGAAAGAAGGGATAGAAAGAAAGAATGTGTACTATTTGTTTTGGAGCTATATATGTTAGTTCATTGATCCTTTTGCCAATTCTTGCCCATACATATTTATCATTACAATTATTGTACCTAAAGTGTGCATTTCGGTATCTGACAGTACAAATCTGCCCTCATCCTTCTTTTCTCATATGGTCTTCACTATCCTCATCTACTTATCAAGCTGTGTTTTTAAGAAGAAAAGTCTTAAGACCAAGCATGGTGGCTCACACCTGTAATCCCAGCACTTTGGGAGGCTGAGGCGGGCAGATCACTTGAGGTAAGGAGTTAGAGACCAGCCTGGCCAACATGGTGAAACCCCATCTCTACTAAAAATACAAAAATTAGCCAGGCTTGGTGGTGTGCACCTGTAATCCCAGCTACTCAGGAGGCTGAGGCAGGAGAATTGCTTGAACCCAGGAGGCAAAGGTTGCAGTGAGCCGAGATCACACCATTGCACTCCAGCCTGGGCAACAAGAGCGAAACTCCGTCTTAAAAAATTAAAAAAAAAAAGAAAAAGAAAAAGAAAAAAGTCTTTGAAGGAGAACTGATTGTGCTCTAGTATAACCTTTTTCTCTGCATCTCGCTGAAGCTGAGGGTATTGCATAAGAGAAGCTGACATTGCTTCACAGTGGAGACTCACAGAAACAGTCACACGCCATGTCTCCCCATCATGTGGGCACAGTGGGTGGTTGTGTCTGGGTGCACAGGTGATAAATGATTGCCATTCAGAATGTCTCTTCCTTACCACTTTGGGATCACCCTGTTTGGAGAAGAGGCTGCAGAATTGTCCTCCCTAACAATGAAAGGGGATCTTGCTTCCTGTGAGTCATCCTAACAATGCCCAAGGTCAGAAGAGAAATTTCCTGCAAGACCTTGCAATTTCTCAGTAATCCTATTTGGGCTCATTGGATGAAATGGCTGTGGGAAAATGATCTGATCATTATTGTAAACATCAGGGCAATCATGTCAGGAGATGCCTCTGAAACACACACCATCTCTGCTTCGGTAACTACTGAAAGGGAGGGGATTGGGGAAGGTGCTCATAGTTCTCTCTTTTTTTTTTTTGTCAGAGAAGACTTTCATGATATTCTGAAAACACCCCTAAGATCTCCCCTCTGGGCTCTCCTCGTGCTTTTCTGTGAAGCCTGGTTTGGTTGAAGACAAAGACTGCCCCCACTTTGGAAGTCCCAACCCTGGGGAAGCCTCTGGCAGTTTCCCCCGGTGCGGTTGGCTTTGTGTATAAGACCGCTTTGGAACTTGAAAGCACTCATCGTGACCCTCAGGGCTCGGTGCCCCGGGAGTCAGGCCCACTGAGAGTGAGTAGCAGTGAAGCTATTTCAGAGGGAACACAGGGACTGTGCCAGGCTGTCCTGGCAGGGAAAGCTGAGTAAAGGGCAGCATGACTTTGTGCAGAATTGGAGCAGAGTGGAAACAGCCCCCCACCTCCCACCACCGTAAGCTTTAGAGTCATACTGCGTGGGCTTGAATTCTGGCCGCTCTGCCTCCAGTTGGCAGGTGCTTTCTGTGCCTCAATTCCCTCCTCTGTACAATGTTAGAAATAACAATGACTGTGTTAAAGGCTAGACACAATTAAATGAGGCAATCCATTTAAAAACTAAAAATAGTGCCTGCATGTAATAAACACACCATCCCCATTCCTCACCCGACTCCTGACATTAATTCATTAGGTTAATTGCCTAAACTTTGGAGTCAGACTGCCCAGTTCATATCCTGATTCAGCCAGTTCCTAGCTGTGTGATGTTCAGTGAGTTGCCTAACCTCTCTGAGCCTCACTTATTTGTAATCTAGATTTCATAACAGTACCCCCTTATAGCATTGCTGTGAGGATTTAATGAATTAATTCACAGTAAACTGAAGACAAGTGTGGCCCCCAAGGGACATTTGCTAATGTCTGCAGATGTTTTGGTTGCAAAATTGGTGTGTGTATTTTCGGCATATGGGTTGAGGTCGATGCTGCTAAACATTTTCCAAGGCACAGGACAACCCCCTACAACAAAGAATTCCCATTTCAAACGTCTCAAGTGCCAAGGTTGGAAAGCCCTTATAGGCCAATTTCATGGCTCAAGGTGAGCCCTGACTATTGTTATTTGAGCAACAGCGCTGTGCCCTTATGCCATGTCAGGAGCTGCACTGTATGCTGGGAATATAAAGATGGATGACATGAAGCCCTGCCCTGAAGTGGCTCAGTCTAGAGGGAAATGCTTTGGGATTGGGGCAGGGAATGGGAGGCAGGAAGCTTGGTCTCTGACAACCAGCCAGAGAAGTTAATCAGAGGAAGACTTCTTTTTCTTTCACTGCCCCTCTAATTGTAGAACAGGCCAAGCTTCTGGTGGGATACCAGGCAAATTAGTTATTGCAACAATTTGATGGCTGCCCTTCTGGAAGGAGGTGCAGGATTCTATGGAGGCACATGGCAAGGTCTCCATTCCAGTTGGAGGAGGTGAGGACAGACGTCTTCTCAAAGGAGGGTACGCTTGTTGCTGCCTCATGAAGGGTGAGTAGGGGTAAGGACAATGAACATGGGGCAGGTGCAGGGCAGAGGAAACCTCACAGAGAGAGGTTTCTATGTATTCCAGAAATGTTTATTGAGCACCTAATGTGTGCCAGGTGCAGTTCTAGGCACTGGGAATACGGCAATGAACCAAATGCAAAAAATCTGTGCCCTCATGGAGCTTAGAGTGTAAAGGTGGGGCCTGCCTCTACAATCAGGCATGACCGACAAGCAAACACATAGGCAGTGAGGCAGGTGGTGACAAGTCCTTTAAGGAAAATCAGGGAAAGAGGAGAGAAAGTGCTTGAGAGGGTGGCAGTATTAAATAAGAAACTCATGAAAGGCCTCCATGAGGGCATGATCTTTGAGCAACAACTTGAAGCACGTGAAGGAGGGAGCCGTATGGATATCTGTGTTCGAAACAAGGGGAACAGCTCATGCAAAGGCCCTGAGGCAGGACCCTCCCTGGCACGTCTGAGGATCAACAGGAAGATGAATGGGGAGGAGGGGAATTGGACGGCAGTGGGAGCCATAGCCAGGTCAAGAAACATCTTGGATGCCATGGTAAAGTGGGTGGATCATCTTCTCTCAGCCAGCAGGGAAATAACCAGACATCTTCTGTGAGACACGGCCCTGTCTGAAGCACATGATACTTTCTCAGACCAAACAGGCTGTCTTCTGGGTAGCTGTGTCCGTTGAATGCCTCTCTGATTACTCAACACAAATACTATTACCCATTGCCTGCAAGATATGTTTAATACAGGAGGATTCTTTTTTGTACCCAATCCTGGCAAAGTTTTGTGGTGGCAACTGAGCCCTGAGTTTCAATCCCCATGACATGGCTTTGGGTACAACACTCTTGATTCTCTGGGTCTCAGATTCCTGACTTAAGGTATGAGGAGACTCAGCAATCACTAGCTAACTTCCTTTTCAGCTCCGGGATTCTACAAATGCCTCAAAGTTCTTCATGGATGCCTGGATAACAGTTGCTAAAATGTGGAGCATTAACTATATGCTAGCATTGAACTAAGCATTTTACATTTGTTTTTATTCAGTAAAACTTCATCAACACCCTGGGATAGAAGTAGTGTTAGCTCCACTTTATTTATTTTTTTTCATTTGTTTTGTTTTGTTTTGTTTTGAGATGAGATCTCACTCTGTTGCCAAGGCTGGAGTGAAGAGGGTGATCATAGCTCACCTCAGTCTTGAAATCCTGGGCTCAGGTGATCCTCCTGCCTTAGCCTCCCCAGTATCTGGGATTACAGGTGCACACCACTATACCCAGCTAATTTTTGTTTTATTTTATTTTTTTGTAGAGACAGGATCTTGCTGTGTTGCCCAGGCTGGTCTCAAACGCCTAGGCTCAAGGACCTTTCCACCTCAGCTCCACTTTAGAGATGAGAAAACAGAGGCACAGCGGGGCTAAGAATATGCTTTAAAGTTGCATGGCTTGTATGTAACAGATGGACCCAGCTAGGTCTGACTGCAAAGCCCATTCTCTGTGGGCTCGATGAGTGTGAATAGGAAAGACGACATCAGAATGGGGCTTCCAAGTATGTGTAGCTCACCAGGGGAGGAGGATGCAGGCATTCTGTTTCTCCTGTCTCTGCCTTCACACCTGTTCTGCTGATGTACCTGAGGGGCTGGGAAGACTCAGACAGGGTCCCTGGGGCCATTCCAGCAAGGTCACAGTTAGAGAGCTAAGTTGTTGAATAAGGGCTGAAGTTTTATCAATTACTTCCCCATGAGGCAGCTTTGAGCAGCAGGTCAGAGGCTTATTCATGGGGCTGCGTGGAGCATCCCAGACCCCTGTGGAGGGTCAGGTAGAACCAGACGTCAGTCCCAGACACTGGGAGACTCAAACAAGATGGGAAACACAGGCTGACACGTTCGCCTTACCGCTCAGAGTTGCCTGGCAACTGCAACTGACAAGCTGCCAACTCGTTGATACAATCACAGCAGGAAGATCAGAGTAAGCCAATTAAAACTTTTTTTTTTTTGCAT
This sequence comes from Homo sapiens, assembly GCF_000001405.40. Classification (NCBI taxonomy): domain Eukaryota; kingdom Metazoa; phylum Chordata; class Mammalia; order Primates; family Hominidae; genus Homo; species Homo sapiens. Next base: position 17,773,899 of record NC_000016.10, on the reverse strand, counting down.
TTTTCGTTTTTTGTTCCCATAATTTCATTTAATCCTGACTGCCCTCAAACATGGATTAAGAAGCCTGCCAGAGGAGAGTGGAACTCGCACATATGACACAGCCCATTTCCCCCTGCACAGTCAGAAAATATGCTCGTCACGTGCCAGCCATGGAACGGAAGGTAATTTAATTAAAATGTAGGCTTGTCTACCTATTTTACTTAGCTCCACTGTGAAATTTAAAATTTGCCTGGAGTTAGGACCAAATCTGATTTTTATTACTGTATCTTAGTGCTTTCCTGCCACCAATGTTAGCGTGGAGGACAATGCCTGGCACATAGCAGGTGCTCAATAAATGCTTGAACAAATAAATGCATGAATGAAACAGACGCTGGGGAGAATGGTAAAGCTAACTCACATAGGTGAGCTTGTCTTTAAGAAAGATAGTTCTAAAACCATAGGTATCTAAAGTGAAAAATAAGCACCTCCTTTACCTAAGATCTTTCCATGGCACCTCAAGGACCCAGAGGCTCAAACTGCCTAAAGTTCACACAGGGATTTGGTGAGAGAGCCTGGCATTGACCAGGATTTTTTCAACCCTAAACCCATGCACATTCCATGTGTTTCACGCAAAAATTCATGTACCTGTGAGCAGAGTCCAAGTCTCCGCATCTCATTAACCTACATCCCCCACAGAGGTGACACTTTGGAAAGGAAGTAAATGATCAATGTGGTCAAATTACACACTTTTGGGATCCTTCAGAAGAGATATGTTATCTTGCTCTCTGAGTGGTGAGACAGGGAACAGTCAGAGAATTGTAAAACTAGACTCACATAGGTGAGTCTAATGACAATGATTTATTGGATGATAAATAAAACCTTCATTATCATTCACTAGATTTTCATTTATCTTTTTCCATGTTTTCACCCCCTACCCCCTCAGCTTCTGGATGGATTTTAAGCAGCAAATTACAGGCGGTGGCTCAGGCCTGTAATCCCAGCACTTTGGGAGGCCGAGGCGGCGGATCATGAGGTCAGGAGATCAAGACCATCCTGGCTAACACGGTGAAACCCCGTCTCTACTATAAAATAAAAATAAAAAAAATTAGCAGGGCGCAGTGGCGGGCGCCTGTAGTCCCAGCTACTAGGGAGGCTGAGGCAGGAGAATGGCGTGAACCCAGGAGGCGGAGCTTGCAGTGAGCCAAGATTGCGCCACTGCACTCCAGCCCGGGCGACAGAACGAGACTCCGTCTCAAAAAAAAAAAAAAAAAAAAAAAAAAGCAGCAATAGAAGAAGTCAACTTTAGACATGAAGAGTGTATGAGGAGTCAGGAAGAAGGCTAATTTCCTACGCTGCACTAATTCTCTCCCACTTCTCTGAGCTCTGCGTTGCTTCTGATTCCTGATACATTTTTGCCCCGATGTTGCAGCTCTCTAGGTATTCTCTCTCTGCTCTGACTGTTCCTTGTCTCACCATTCAGAGAGCAAGACAACATATCTCTTCTGAAGGATTACAAAGGTGTGTAATTTGACCACGTAGATAATTTACTTCCTTTCCAAAGCGTCACCTTTGTGGGGATGTGGGTTAATGAGATGCACAGACTTGGACCCTGCTCACAGATACATGAAGTTTTGCATGAAACACGTGGAATGTGCATTGGTCTAGGACAGAAAAAATCCTGGTCTATGCCAGGCTCTCTCACCAAATCCCTGTGTGAACTTCAGGAAGTTTGGAGCATCCGGGTCCTTGAGGTGCCCGTTGGAAGGTCTTAGATAAAGGAGGTGCTTCCTTTTAGCTTTAGATACCTATGGTTTTAGAATTGTCTTTCTTAATTTCTTCAAATCATTATTATTGTTTCCCTTCTCCCAGAGTCAATTTAAACATTTATTCCTAATCATCCCCCAATGAGAAAAAAAAGTTTTTTTTTTTGAGAGAGTCTCACTTTGCTACCCAGGCTGGAGTACAATGGCCCAATCCTGGCTCACTGCAACCTCTGCCTCCCAGACTCAAGCAATTCTCATGCCTCAGCCTCCCTAGTTGCTGGGACTACAGGCATGTGCCACCATGCCCGGTTAATTTGTGTGTGTGTGTGTGTGTGTGTGTGTGTGTGTGTGTGTATGTGTTTTAGTAGAGACGGGGTTTCATCGTGTTGCCCAGGCTGGTCTCAAACTCCTGAGCTCGGGCAATCCACCCACCTCAGCCTCCCAAAGTGCTAGGATTAGAGGCATGAGCCACTGTGCCTGGCCTCCCCATGAAATTTTTAAAACCAGAGATACACTGGGTGTATCTGTTAATGCGCTGTATGTATATCTGTGCTTTATACATAAAAAGAATAAGATTGTTTTTCACCCTGTCCCCAAAAGAGCCAATTTTCACCCCCTTGGGGGCAAGATAAGCTCTTTGGAGAATTCATGTTGCAGGAAAAAGGCCTCTATCTTTTCCTCTGACTTCTGGAGCTCAGTAAAATAAAAAGCCAGTCTGTAGCCTGTGCTTTAAAGGACAAGACTCACTGAAGAAAAAAGTAAATAAACAAATAAACAAAGAATCAAAAACTAACTTCTTTGGAATGAGGTCACTGTAGCCTTTTTATGACGTTATTTTCAGAATTCAGCATCTAAACTCTCCTGGCTAGCATTACCTTCTTTTGTCTTGAGCGAGCTCAATCTATGCATTCATACTCCAGGCACAGAATCTTTGTGGCTTGAGTGCAGAAACTAATGAGAGTGTGAAGGTTAATTTTATGTGTGACCTTGACTGTGCCATGGGGTACCCAGATATGTAGCTAGATATTCTATGTCTATGAAGGTGTTTCTGGATGAGATTAACATTGCAATTGGTAGACTGAGTAAATTAGATAAAGCCCTGCCCATTGTGGATGGGCCCTATCCAATCAGTTGGAGGCCTGAATAGGACAAAAAGGAAGAAAAAGAATTCTCTCTCTCTGCCTGTTTTTGAGCTGCGATATCTGTCTTCTCCTGTGCCTGAACTGGAACTTACACCACCAGCTCTCTGGGGTCTCTAGCTTCCCAGTGGCAGATTGTGGAACTTCTCAACCTTTATAATCATGTGTGCCAGTTCCTTATTGTAAATCTCCCACAAGAAAGAAAGAAAGAGAGAGAGAGAGAGGAGAGAGAGAGAGAAAGAAAGAAGAAAGGAAGGAAAGAAAGAAAAGAAAGAAAGAATGAAAGAAAGAAAGAAGGAAAGAAAGAAAGAAAAAGAAAGAAAGAAAGATAGACGTAACTTACTGGTTCTGCTTTTCTGGAGAACCTTGGCTAATATAAGACCTTGGGGACAGAGGATAGAGAGCTTGGTGGAACAACATCATGTAGGCTTGTAAATGACTGTTGTAGCAGACATATATTTTGCCCCTTCCAAATCTCCTCCAATCCCTTTTAATAGCTCTGTGCATACCTCCGCCAGCTTTGCTGCTAATGGCTGGCACATGTGACCTTCTACAGAAGATCGCTCTGGGTCTATTGGAACCACCTCACCTATCCTGAGAACTGAGTTGGCACCCCCTGGAATATCCCATAGCAGTTAACCTGCTGGTGGGGAGCACAAGTCCCTAGTTTCCTTGTCTTGAGGCAGAACAAACTCAGGTGCAATTTATGCTCCACCGCTCCCTCTGGGGTCAGGCTGAGGGTAGAACATGGCCTGAAGTCACATTCTTCCTTACCTTCTCCTTCTCTAACCAGATCTCTTGGAAGCACTTCCTTCATCAATCACATGCACCAAAGTCTTTCCTACCTGTCCTATAGGAAGTTACCAGTTTCACATAACCAAAAGGAGAAGGAACTTTTCTCTGGATATCACCAAATGGTAGCCTAACACTAGGCTATGCAAATATACCATCAGGATGCTCAATTTATATTTGTTTTGTACTGTCGAATTTACAACACCTTTGTCTAAAAATTATTTTGTGGACTCAATGATGCTTTTGTGTTCTTACTGGTTTTCAGAGGCATTGTGTGAAATAAGGTAGTTTCTAACTGTCTCAGGACTTAAAATATGCTGACCTTCCATGGATTGTAAATATGTTTTTAAAATTTCATTTTCCATCACATGAATTTACTTATCACCTCTCCCCATCCTCAAGATCTGCTTCAGGGAGAAGTTGACCAAGCACAATCATAGTAAAGAGTTGGACTTTCTTCTACGAAAAGCGGGAAACCACTGAGTGGTTTTTGTGTGTGTGTGTGTGTGTTTGTTGTTGTTGTTGTTTTGAGATGGAGTCTCACTCTGTTGCCCAGGCTGGAGTGCAGTGGCGCAATCTTGGCTCACTGCAACCTCTACCTCCCGGGTTTAAGCGATTCTTCTGCCTCAGCCTCCTGAGTAGCTGGGATTACAGGCACGTGCCACCACACCCAGCTAATTTTTGTATTTTTAGTAGAGATGGGATTTTACCATATTGGCCAGGCTGGTCTCGATCTCCTGACCTTGCAATCCACCTGCCTTGGCCTCCCAAAGTGTTGGAATTACAGGCGTGAGCCACTGTGCCCAGCCCATTCAGTGTTTTTAATCCAAGAGATAAAATGCTTATATTGGAAAACTCCACCCCTTAGTACTAGTCATAGATTAATTGCATCATTGTTTTTGCTGAGCTAGTCTTCTTCCCCCTCTCTGGAGTGAGTGGAAAGACCCCTGGAATTTTTCCAATCCCCAGAAGCCAGTTGAGTCCCTGCATACTTGGTTTCATATGTATCTATGACCTTAAGTGGCCCACTCCTAGACCTCCATCTAGTCTACTTCATTCATTCAACAAGTATTTATGGACTGCCTACTATGCATTAAGCACTGCCTCCTATCAATCTAGTCTTTTGACTTTTTGAAGTCCCAAGCTCCCTACTGTCAGATGTGTCTCCTAGATCTGGGCCACCCATGATTCTTTCAGTGTTGTGTTTGACTATGTATACTAATAGCATGTAAAACAGAGTTTTGACAAGGAGTTTCCACAAACACCCACGGTGAACCTTGCAGGTGCGTCAAAAAGATTTTACATCACTTTCACACCTTGTGATTGGTTGTCCTATAGGAAGGTGCCAGTTTCATGTAATCAATACCAGAAAGAACTTTTTTCTGGATATCACCAAAGAGTAGCCTAACAATAGGCTATGCAAATATGCTCTCAGGATGCTCAATTTATATTTGTTTAGTACTATCAAATAAACAACACTTCTGTCTAAAAATTGTTTTGTGGACCCCTTGATTTTTTTGTTGTTGTTCTTATTGGTTTTCAAAGGCATTGTGTGAAATAAGGAAGTTTCTAACTGTCCCAGGACTTAAAATATTTTGGCCTTCCATGAATTGTAAATATGTTTTTAAAATTTCATTTTCCATCACATGAATTTACTTATCCCCTCTCCCTGTCCTTGCCTCATTATTCTGAAATGATGCAATAGTGACCCATAATAAATATTTCCTCACCAAACATTAGCTCTTTCCCATTCAACCCTGATTTATCTTGGCATATCACCCTCCTGCATAATGATTTAGGAATGTGCAGATTCTGTCTTAGTCATTGCTCTTCTGCCTTCGTGCTGGTAGCTTCTTGTTTTTCAGGGAAGAGCAAAGCATTAGAATGACAAGCCATTCTGACAAGAGTTGACAAATATCTATCAGGACCATGGGGAGAGTGAAATCTTTTTGACAACTCCATTATTTTTCTTTATCTCCAAGTTTTTAGGGGGGCAATCTTTCCTTCAGGAGGATCAAACTCTCCCCTCCTTCTCTTGCTCTACCTGGGAGAAAAGGAAAAACGTGATTTGTAAAGATCTTTCAAGATATGACTTTTTTTTTTTTTTACAAGTCTTTGCAATACACAATCTAAAAGAGAAAAATCCTGTGTTAGCTATCATAATTGTGGAAAGCTGTGTATGTCCACAAATAAGGTGGCCCCAAATGCATGGTGATCATCATTTTCTCTACTAGAAGATTCTTCACCCTTTAAAAATTTTTAACCAATGTACATTTTTACAGTTGTGAGACATTGATAACATTGCTTCATATCTAGTGATCATAGTAAGTTTGTTGTTTAGTTACACATACATTTGAAATTATATACAGAATTATAATGTATATATAAGGCTTCTTTTCTTGCATTTCAGTAAATCATTCAAATTTTTCCATGCATTTTCTATATGATTTTCTCTGGCATAACAGGGGGACACTTTTGAGTCATTTTCCTGACTCAAAACCAGGAAACTGACATTGGTACAATTCCTCCCACAATTTTCCTGAGCATGCTAATTTCACTTTCATCCGAAGTACATGAGAACTAGCAATTTTTGAGTTCACAAGAAATTGTATTCCAACCCGCAAGTACTAATTTGCACAACTTTAGGACACCTTTTCTTTTATTGTAAAACATAACGAAATAGCTGGGCATGGTGGCTCATGCCTGTAATCCCAGCACTTTGGGGAGGCTGAGGCAGGTGGAGCACTTGAGGTCAGGAGTTCAAGACCAGCCTGGCCAACATGATGAAACCCCGTCTCTACTAAAAATACAAAAATTAGCTGTGCATGGTGGCACACAACTCTAGTCCCAGCTACTTGGTGACTGAGGCATGAAAATTGTTTGAACCCAGGAGGCAGAGGTTTCAGTGAGCTGAGATCGTGCCACTGCACCCCAGCCTAGGTCACAGAGTGAGACTCCGACTCAATAATAATAATAATAATAATAAAATACAAAGATATCCACAACACATGTGAATGGCTCAATGTATAATTATAAAGCAAACACAACTGTCATAACCACCCAGAAAAAGAAATAGCATATTTCCAGGTCCTCAAAAGATCAAAACTCATTCTTTTCCCTGGAGGAAACATTATCTTAAATTTTGTGATAAGAAAAGTATGAACAGCTTTTTTTTAAAATTATTTAAGTTCTGGGATACATGTGCAGAAAGTGCAGGTTTGTTATATAGGTATACACGTGCCATGGTGGTTTGCTGCACCCATCAACACGTCATCTACATTACGTATTTCTCCTAATGTTATCCCTCCTCTAGCCCCCCACCCCCTGACAGGCCCTGGTGTATGATATTCCCCTCCTTGTGTCCATGTGTTCTCATTGTTCAACTCTCACTTACGAGTGAGAATATGTGGTATTTGGTTTTCTGTTCCTGTGTTAGTTTGCTGAGAATGATGGTTTCCAGCTTCATCCATGTCCCTGAAAAGGACATGAACTCATCCTTTTTTATGGCTGCATAGTATTTCATGGTGTATATGTGCCACATTTTCTTTTTCCAGTCTATCATTGATGGGCATTTGGGTTGGTTCCAAGTCTTTGCTATTGTGAACAGTGCTGCAGTAAACATATGTGTGCATGTGCCTTTATAGTAGAATGATTTATAATCATTTGGGCATATACCCAGTAATGGGATTGCTGGGGCAAATGGTATTACTGGTTCTAGATCTTTGAGGAATAGCCACACTGTCTTCCACAATGGTTGAACTAATTTACACTCCCACCAACTGTGTAAAAGCATTCCTATTTCTCCACATCCTCTCCAGCATCTGTTGTTTTCTGACTTTTTAATGATCACCATTCTAACTGGCATGAGGTGGTATTTCATTGTGGTTTTGATTTGCATTTCTCTAATGACCAGTGATGATGAGCTTTTTTTCATATGATGAACAGCTTTTTAAAAAAACATCTGTTCTGTGTACATCTGCTTATTGACTACAAAATACAAGCTCTTAGTCTGTTTCATTTTCAAGTAGCTTTACAGGTTTCATTTATCATGGTAACCAACACTTGCAGTGGTAAGGCCATACTCCCAGGAATAATTACTAAATGTGTTAAATTTACCTGCTTCTTTGTTTACTGATTCTGTCGTGGGACCTCTATAAACATCCAAAGCTAGCATTGATTGAGGTCGTTTCAGAATAATGTGTTTTCTCCCAAAGTACCTTGTTCTTTAAAGTAAAGTAATTGGCAAATGTGTCCCATAATTTGAGCGACTATAAAAGGAATGTGTAGAAGGTGACTCACACTTCTCTGAAGTCTAATTTTGAGCCAGTATCTTCCACCGTATGTGGACCTATGTGGCGTTTCTTTTTTGATTTAAATTTTCATTAATAGTAATGCATCTCAAATATGAAAAGTAAAAAGAATATAGCATGCACCCATGTTCTCGACAATATCCAGGTGTCACCCATGATGTTGTTGTATAATCATTTATGAAAACAAGCAACAAAAACTTCAAAGGGGTGGTTACCTTTCTGATATTTTGTAGGTGTTAGCTTCAGTTGCACCATGTACATTATTCTGAAACATACCTTTTCATTACTCAGTATACTGTTTTTGATATTTAGCCATATTGTTAAATGAAGATCTAGTTCCTTCTTGTTAAATGCTATAGAATCATCTGTTATAGACATATAGTATACTTACAGTGTATACTATAATTTACTTATTCATTTCCCTACTGGTGGACATTTAGATCAATTTGGTTCCCATATTATATTGATGAAAATTTGCAAGTATATAGACAAATGTCAAGAGTTGTACACTGAACAACCATATACCCTCAACCCAGATTCTTTAACATTTTGCTATATGTGCCTTATTACTCCATATATCTCCATCCTTTTGTCCATTTATCCATCCATCCATCTTATTTTTTGCTGCTTTGCAAAGTAAGTTGCTATGTCTTACTATCAAATGTAATGTTAGAGATGGAAAACAAAAATTCCAGGAATTAGGTGATGTTCGGAATTAGGGAGATGATTGAGACTGTACAGGGATGCCATGAGAGAAATCTCCGTGGTGCTGGAATAGCTCCCCATCTTGGTTTTAAATAATTGTGGTGGCGGTTTCATGAATCTGAACATGTGATCAAATGACCTAAAATTATATACATGCACATTGTAGCAATGTCAGTTTCCTGGTTCTGACATTGTTTCAAAGTTGTGGAAGGTGCAACCATTGAGAGAAACTGGGTGATTGGTATACAAGACCTCTTTGTACTATCTTTGCAACTTCCTGGGAACCTACAATTATTTCAAAATTAAAATAAAACAATAGCAGCAATAATGAGATCATTTGAAGCCCCTGCACTTGTTAAGGTAGGGAAGTTGTGATCAGGAAGTGAGCAAATATAAATAAATGGGTCTAAAAGCCAACTGTGGCAAAGCAGAGAAATAGGATAAATCTGAGATCTTGAGATCATTATTGAGTCAGGAAATTAAACAACTCTTCTCGACCTCTTATGGGAAGTAATACATTTTTCTCTGTGTGTAGGCAACAGTATTCTTACTGAAATAAGCATGAAAGAAACCAATTTTTTAGCTTCTTAGAGCAAAACTTTTAAAAGAAAATCAAATTTTACAATGAATAGCATTGTATATGTCTTTGTGTATAGATGTGAGTTTTTCTAGAAACCCATCTAGGAATCAAATGGCTGGATCCAAAAGGGTGAACATCTTCAAATTTACTACTTATTTTATGAAACCTAACAGGCCATCTAATGTAAGTTGCACCCAAAATGTTGTTTAAAATATTAAGAAAGCAGCAACTGTAAGATGGATTTGGATTTAGGCAATGTTAAAATGTGGCAGTGGGGGACAGTACGTGTGGAGGTGGAGGAGGAACGTCTTAGAACCAACGTAACAAAGCAGATAACTCCACATTCCTTTACAAAATGGTTGTATAAATTTCTACTCCCACCAGCTGTATCAAAACATGAATTTTCCACATCCTTATGAAGAAACTTTGATAATTCAATGGCTATGAGATGATTTTAAAAACTGCATTTCCCTAAGCACCTTTTCAAAATGTTTATGGAAGATTTGTGTTCCTTCAGGTATGAATTGCTATTCACAAGCGTTGCCCATTTTTCTACTCAGTTTTGTCTTTTTCCTTACTGACTTTAGGAATTTGTTGTATATTCAGTTTTGTTTACTGCAAACATCATCTTTATTCTGGATTGTTTTCGTGGATATTTTTAACATTGTTCTAATAGTCTCTCTCAACACCAGATCCACACTCTTTTATTTAAGTTTTATAACCAGTCTTAACATCTTACAGGTGTTTCATCTTTGTTCTTCTTATTCAAAATTGTTTTGGCTGTTCTTGGCTTCAACATGTCTTTGTGAATTTTCGGGTCTGCTTGTCAAGTGTTATGAAAAATGATCTGCTTGAATTTTGATTGAAGTATTGGTTGTATAGATCAATCTGGAGCATTTCCATCTTTATCATAGTGCTTTTTTCCATGAACCTGGTGTTCCTCTCCAAATGATCTTCATTTCTATCCTTTAATTAAATGTTATATTTGTCCCTATAACGACAGGTCTTTCAATACATTTATCCTATAAAAGCTTATTTTCTGTTTGCTATTATGAATAAGACATTAAAATGATGTTTTCTAACTTATTGTTGATAGTGTTCAAATATGCTAATTTTATTTGACTTTGTATTCATAATGTTTTTTTTAAAAAATGATAGTTTGCCCTAGATAGTCTTGATTTTCACATATAGACAGTCATATCAAGTGCAAATTTGCTTCAAATGTTAAGAATTTCTCCTACTATTCCTAGTTTGCTAACATTTTTCTTTTAACACATGAATGAATGTGAAATTTTACTGAATGTTTTTTCTGTCTACATGAAGATGGTTATTTTTCAACTTGAATCTGGTACATAATAACTTACATTAATAGATTTTCTAATGTTATACTGTCTGTACATTCCTAGAACAAACTCTATTTGGTTATGGTTATCTGTTTGTTTCTATTCACACTGCTAGATTTTTGTTTACCAATATTTTGTTTAAAACTTTTGCACATAAATCTATAAATGAGATTGACATAACTTTTCTTGCCTGTCTTTGATATAAAGGCTATATTTTATTACAAAATCAACTCCTCCATTCTTCTTTTTCTATTCTTTTAAAAATGTTTTATAAGAAATAGGATTATTTGTTCCTTGAAAATTTATAGATTTTGCCAAAAAAAATACCAAATGGCCCTGATAATTGTTTTGTTCTCTTCTTATTCCTGTTATTTACGTTCCACTAAACTGTGCTCATTTAAAAGACTCTTCTTTTTTTCAATTTACTGTTTATTTTTTAATATCCCAAGGTAAATGTTTAAATCATATTGTATCTTTATTCCTGGCTAATATATCTACTTAAGGTTACACATTTCCCTTCAAGTACTTCATAAATAGAATATCTTAAGTGTTGACATTCATTCATTCATTTATTCAGCATGCCCCTACTGAAACAAGGTTAGATCTGTATATATGCTGTGGGTAGTACAATGAACATAGCTCCTCGACTTCATGAAGCTTGCATTCATATGAGGAAAGGCAAAAAACGCACAAATAAATTACGTCAGATAGTATATGAATTATTCAGAAGCATGTTTTTAAAACTGCAAATATATAGTGAGTTTTTCACATAGCTATCAAATTGTTTAAAAGGAGTTGTCTTAGTTCATTTTGTGCTGCCATAACAGAATACCTGAGACTGTGTAATTCGTAAAGAACAGAGACTTACTTCTCACAGTTCTGGAGGCTGGGAAGTCCAGGATCAAGGCGCTGGCAAGTTTGGTGTCTGGTCTTTCTGCTCAAGATGACACCTGAAATCCTGCATTCTCTGGAGGGGGAAAATATTATTCCTCATGTGGCAGAAGAGCGCAGAGGCAAAGGGAGCTGAACTTGGCCATTTATTATGGCTTTAATCCACTCATCAGGGCTCTGCTCTCATGACTTAATTATTTCCTAAAGGCCTCACCTCCCAACATGATCACATTGAGGATTACGTTTCAACTTATGAATTTTAGAGGGGACCCAAACATTCAAACCATAGAAGGGGTTTTACTTTTATTTTCCTATATGGTTTTAGAATGTGGCCCAAATTCTATTGATACTTGCTTTATGGCCAATATATGGTCAAATTTTGTAAATATTCCATATGCGATGGGAGAAAGTATGTGTTCTAAATCTTGGGTGCAGGGTTGTTAACATTTTGCTTGATTCAGTTTATTTCTGCTTCTCCTCTAACAGAGGAGAGATTAACCCATGCCCTGACTCTGTGGGATGCCTTCAAAAACTTCATTGCTTTATTAGTTTCCTAAGACAGAGTAAATGGCATATTGAGCTAAACCAGGAGAGAAAATACTGGGTACATGTAGCACCACGTCCATGCCTTCATCTGTGGTAGACATTACTAATCAGTTATGGAGATTAACCCAGCCGTCCTGACAATCATTTATCAATCAGAGTTGGCGTGTGTAATAAAACCTTTTGACAGAAGTGTCTGCTTTAGGGGAAGACCACTTGATAGTTTGCCCTGGAAATTTTGACTTTTTCTTGAAACTTCTTTAAAATATATCTGGTAGGTATATCAGAAAAACTGTGGATTTTCTTATGCAAGAGTTAGCATTTTAAAAAGTGAATAGATGTCCTAACGTATCACCCATGGCGGACATTACTGAACTTTTTCACCACATTTTCTCATCCTGTCTGAACCCAGCCTCAGAATTTTCTCACCACAGCGTGCCAGACAACACTACCCATTTATTTGACTTGACATGTGAGATGAAACCTTTGATCATCCCTGAATTACTGGGCTTTGATTTGAATAATATGCTCCCTCTTCATCTGTGCAACTTTCATCCTTAAAATCAATGGTGACCGATTTCCTCTGAAGTAAAAATGGGGACATAGTCTTATAGAATATTCAAAATCTTGAAGAATTTACTCCTTCTCTCCGTAAGTAATATTCCAGAAAGGGATATTAAGTCACGGTGCTGGAAAGGAAATCTCAGTTGTGTACTAGAAACAACCAAAGACAGCAAAGTCTAATTTCTAAGGATGAGGTTTGAAAAAAGAACAAAATGCAACTTAGCACAGAAGAAGAAACACATGCTTTCAGTTCTCAGTGGTGAGGTTGGTAATCTGAAACAGATATTAAAGGGCATAAGACATCTGGAAATCAGAATTTCTGAGACTAAGTTAGGAGCACACCAATTTGCTGGGTCTGAATTAGAGAAAAAATTTTTTTCTCCACAGAAAGAAGCTGAAGGACAAAAATGGGTATGAAGAAGCATCGCTTTATGGCTCAGGAACAGGGATCTCTCAGACAGGCTGGCTGAGCACTGGCTTCAGGGTTAACCTTTCCCTTTTAGGCAGTTTTCACATCAGAGCATCCTGGCTTGGCTTCTAGAACTTCGTTAGGTAATAAAAGACAGAAGGAAGGGTGAAGGGAACACTGGACTCATTTGGGAAGAGGAAATGAAGGCGTGCAGGATCAATGATCACCTTGACTCAGTACTTAAGAAAGACCACATCAAAAAGACATGATATAGTTGCAGTTTTTCATCAAGGAAGAGTGAAGATCAAAGGTTACTGGGGATAATCATTCAGTGAAAGGGGCACTGCTTGAAAAACGGGAGCTGAATTAAAGGAAAAAAAATCTACATCCACATCAACCTCAGGCCATCAAGAGAGGCGGGAGGCAAAAAATACAACCTCTTTCCTTAGAACCTTCGTAGTGCAACCAGAACAGAAAATCTCCATAGTCCGGTCTCAGAATTAGATTTATGCGTGGGCCCCCTTCTTCTGTTTCTAGTTTCTCCATATTTCATGATGTATTTTTGAGAAAAAAATACTTTTAATGATGCCAACTTGCCTCCTTTCAGCACATTAAAAAAGGAAACGATTGGCTGAGGCTGTCATGATGATGGGAATAATTTTGTCGCTGTGCAATTTGGCTCCTGCTCTAACGTGAAGCGCACATTTTCCTCCAATGTATTTTAAGCCAGAGACTTCTAAGTAAATGGGAGGTGGCTGATTTTATTTCTGTATGCAGCCAGCCTTCACTGGCACGAGCTCTGATTTGGCCCAATCAATTTTGCATTCATGCTGAGAAGCGAGTTGATCAAGTTCAAAGAACATCTGTATGCATTTATCTGGATAGGGTGCACACATCGGAGCCAGTCCTTTGAAAGGTCCCTCAGCCCTCCAGAGACGGGCACAAGATTCCTAGACAATGACCTTTGTAACTCTGGCAACTGCATTCCATCCTTTAACAACTGCAAGGTCTCTTGAACATGCCACCATCTTTGTAATTTATAGGGTTGTTTTAAAGAGTCTAGCTCTGGCAAGTTTGAGAGTTTATTAAGTAAATCTTCATTAGCTGGTGAAATGGCCTCCAAAAAGTTACCCAACTGAATGTGCAAGTGTCAGAATGTCAACCCATACATTAGCACACCATTTCCACAGTTACATCTGTCTTGGTCTTCCCCCTTCTTTTTATTTCCCCTTTCCTTGCAGTCATAAATTTCATGTGCCAGGAGCTCTATGACTCAAAGAAGGTTGTAAACATCCTTTTGTTCAATTACAGCAGGATTTTTCCTCCTTATGTCAGCATTTAAATTTATGAGGGAAAAAAGTTCACTCTCTAAAACTAAAGAGACACAGCCAAGCTCAAAGTAAATAAAAAGAGAACACAATCAACAACTTACAGTTAAGTATAAACGAGGCAGTGATCTCAGAATCAAAAGATGTGGCTTCAAATCCCAATGCCAACAATGGCTATTGCCCAGGCTGGAGTGCAGTGGTGTGATCTTGGCTCGCTGGAACCTCCGCCTCCTGGGTTCAAGCGATTCTCCTGCCTCAGCCTCCTGAGTAGCTGGGATTACAGGTGTGTGCCACCACATCCGGCTAATTTTCGTATTTTTAGTAGAGTTGGGGTTTCGCCATGTTGGCCAGGCTGGTCTTGAACTCCTGACCTCAGGTGATCCACCCACCTCGGCCTCCCAAAGTGCTGGGATTATAGGTGTGAGCCACCGCGCCCCAGCCCTGAGCTATCCTTACTCGGCAGGCTGTAGTTGCCTAGTCTCTAATGTGGGTTGAATGGTTGCAATTTCATAGAATGTTGGGAGAATTCACTGAGATGTCATATGTGAAGTGAGTACCCCCCAAATGGCCAGTCCCCTTCTCTTTTCCTTCTCCATGTGCATAGGGTGGGCAAGCTGATTGAGTACAGGGCCTATGTTGTATATATCTGTATTTTCCCAGGACCTGGAACATAGTAGATGCTTAGAAAATATTTAACGGAAGGATGAGAGAATAAGCCAATTAATGAGAGGCATTGGGTTGCATTTTCACTCTTGGGCTTGATAACTTAGGTCTTAGGATGATGAAAGTGATCTTGCGGATTGGGGCCAGACTATGCCAATGGCGGTCAATGGAATAGCAGCATGGGGAGATGGTGGGAAATGCAGAATCCCAGGCTCCTCCCCAGTCCTATTGAGTCAGAGTCTGCCTTTTAACAAGATCACAGTGATTTGTGTGTGCTTTAAAGCTGGAACATCTCTGGATTAGAGCGCTTGATTGAGATGGAGAGTGTGAGCTGGTTTCCCACATCAGCCAATTTGATTGGCTCTGCTGACTGCACATCAACTTCACCTTGCATTTGGTCTTTCAGGAAGCTCTGTGTGTTAACATGGATAAATCAGGGCAAACAAATTCCTTTTCACTGTGAGATGGGAGAAACAACCCTGTTCATGGCAGGGCAGTACTGCCATGTGTCTACCTTCACCTACTGTATAGTAACATCCTCTTAAGTGGAACATCGACATCCAGATCTAGTAATAACCACTTTTTATATGTAGCCCTTGCAGCAACCCATTTGGCAGCTGAGGCTCTGGAAGGTTTGGTCAGTTGCCTGAGACCACTCAGGTGGTAACTGAGAGCTGAGATTCAAGCTCAGAGGGGTCTGATTTTAAAGGGCCCTCTCTCAATAGCTCTGCTACCTACCCTCCCAGCCAGCCCTGCACTCAGCTGCCGGGTGCCTTTCCAACAGCACAGCTGGGAGAGATCTACAAAGCAGCGGATGCTTTTCCACTGGTGCATCAGCATTGCAGAAGGCAGACGCTCAACCCCTGCAGTGCCTAGTTGGAAGAGGCGCACCTCCTTCCTCTGACCTGGTACCCTTTTTTGCTTTATCTCCTGCTGTCCTCCTTTGCACATTCCATGCCTCAGCACTTTCCTGAGGAGCCTAGGCTGTCTCCTGCCTCTGCATTTGCTCAAACCACTCCTTCCACCTAAGGGGCCCTTTTCTCCACTTGCCCACCAGGCTAACAAATGCATGTAAGCATTTAAGAGTCTCCCTGAAGTCCTCAAGTAGAACTGAATTCTTTCTCCTCAGATCTCTCCATCAAAACAGGCTTCACACTCTAAAAAAAGATGATTTCATGGGTGCAGCACACCAACATGGCACATGTATGCATATGTAACAAACCTGCACGTTGTGCACATGTACCCTAAAACTTAAAGTATAATAATAATAAAATTTAAAAAAAAAAGATTATTTCTTTCTCTCTTCTCTACTGACATGCGAGCTTGAAGACCAAGACCCTGTGAGGTAGTATGCTATCAGCACAGTGTGGAAGCCAGACCCACCAGGGATCAAATCCCAAAGGCTGGCCAGGCGAGGTGGCTCATGCTTGTAATCCCAGCGCTTTGGGAGGGCGAGGCAGCGGGTCACGAGGTCAGGAGATCAAGACCATCCTGGCTAACACAGTGAAACCCCGTCTCTACTAAAAATACAAAAAATTAGCTAGGCGTGGTGGCACGCACCTGTAGTCCCAGCTGCTCGGGAGGCTGAGGCAGGAGAATTGCTTGAACCCAAGAGGTGGAGGTTGCAGTGAGCCAAGATTGCACCACCGTACTCCAGCCTAGGCAACAGAGCAAGACTCCATTTAAAAAAAAAAATCCCAAAGGTTGCATGATTTTGAGCAAGATAACACATAACTCTCTGTGCCTCAGTTTCCTCTTCTGCAAAATGGAGATAATGCATAGCTACCTCTCTGGAATTTTTTAAATGAGTATGGAATGAATGAACACATGTAAAGCATTTGGAATCATGCCTGATACATAGTAGGTTTTATCTAAGTGTTTGTTCCATAAAATGTTGTTTCTATCTTCACATCTCAGTCACCTACACAGCAAACATTCAGAAAGTAATTTTTCAAATGAATGAATAAATACATGAGTTCTTTGGGGGCTGCCTTTATTGGTTAACTTTTGAAACTTTAAGAATGGAAAAACGTTTGCAAAAATATTCTCTGGTTTCTCAATATTTCTAATCTCTTCCCACAAATCTTTTTCTTGTACAAGAACCTACCTTTTCATCCCTTCAATTTCTCTCCCTGGTTGTTGATTAATGATGGTATCAGTGTGTTCTAACCAGAATCTCTCACATTTTCCTAAGTCTGTATACAAACATGCAATCTGGGGAGATTCTCCCTTATTTGGGTAATGTCAGCCCTGGCCTACGCATCCAGGGTGGATGGAGGCGAGAACGGAGCCGCCAACTCCAGCGGCTCCTGAAATAATCGCCTGGCTCTGCTGGCGTGCACACAGGTATCTCGCTCCACTGAACAGCTGGCCTTTATTTCTGTCCATGTGCCTCTCTTTTCATTTTGAAGGGAAGACAACCTGTCAAACCAAACCCGGAGAGCCTGGCTGGCTGCAAGGATCTGAAAGGGCAGAGTTTTTATTTTTCTTTGCTTTCTCATGGTTTTCTGAGGAAACACAAAACTATCTTAGTGTTTGGAAAGAGGCAATATAGCATAGTGATTAAGTAGTTTGGAGGCAGACACACCTGGTTTGAAACCCAAATCTGTGACTTATTAGCTATGCAATGCTGGGTGAGAGACAGAAACTCTATGAGGCTCGGGTTTTGTTTTTTCTTAGTTTTTTGTTTCTTTTCCTAAACCATAAAATGGTTCTTATGATTAAAAAAAAAAAAAGTTAAGGCTGGGTTAGTGACTCATGCCTGTAATCTGGGCACTTTGGGAGGCCAAGGCCGAAAGATCATTTGAGCCCAGGAGTTTGAGACCATCCGGGGTGATATAGTTAGACCCTGATTCTATAAAACATTTTAAAAAAAATAGCCAGGCATGGTGGTGCATGCCTGTGGTCCCAACTACTTGAAAGGCTGAGGTGGGAGGACCACTTGAGCCTGGAAGGTCCAGTGAACCATGATTGTGCCACTGCACTCCAGCCCAGCCTGGGCCACAGAGTGAGACTCTGTCTCAAAAAAAGTATTTTAATTAAAAAAATCTCATAAACTAATTCATTCAAAATACTTAGCACTGTGCCTTACGCATAGTCAATCCTATTACAGGTATATATTACAGGTATATACATATACATGTGTGTATATATATGTATAGGTGTGTGTGTGTGTGTGTGTATATATATATATATATATATATATATATATCTCACATGTCCTATTTGATATCACTTCCTACAATCAATTCTCTTTTATTCAAACACCTTTTGCATAGAAAGTGCACAATATGTATTTGAACAGATGGATGGTAGATATATAAATTCATGAAAGAAATTTTTTTATGTGTGAGATATTTTTATTATATGTATATAATATATAATATATAAAATATATATATTACATATATAAAAGTATATATATTACATATATAAAAATATATATATTATATATAAATATATATATATCAGTCAGGATAGGCTAAGTTTTGCTGCAGTAACAAACAACCCATATTGCTGTGGCTTAGAGGAAGGTCTATCAGAAGTTACTGAAGGTTCTCCTAGCTCCAAGATCCAGGCCTATGGAATGTCTACTTTGGAGTGTTGCCAGCGTGGTAGAGGTAAAAAGTAGATGGAAAAAAAAATCACACATTGGCTGGTAACATTTCCATTTGTAAGTGATATGTTCTATTTCTGCTCATGCTTCACTGGACAAAACAAGTCACATGCTCATGTCTAACATCAAAAGAGTGAAGAAGTACAATTCTGTATGTGCCCTTAGGAGGATCCAACATCATTTGATAGAGTACTACCTTACTAACCTGTTATACTGTTGTAAACATGAGACTCAGACCTATTTCTCATTGTCATGACTAGATGGTGTATAGATAACCAACCTTATATTAAGTGTCCTATGTATAAGTGCAGGACACATAACACTGGGAAAAGAGTGATTAAACCATAATGCCCATTCATTGCATTTTCTAGGGCTGGGGGAATACGTAATAGCATTATAGTTATACAAAAAGTATCATGGCTACATTTCCCTATGCAACAGGGAGCCTGTTTATAGCTCAGATTTCAAAGAAGAATAACGAACCCTTCTCACCCAAACACAATAACCAGCCCTCCCTGAGTTCCACAGAAGAATATTAATTCTGCAGGAAAGACTCTAATGAGAAACAGTACAGAGGTGCGGCAGCAAAGTACTTGGGTGGCAGGGAGGAGAACCAAAGAGAGGAAGCAAGAGGGAAAGGGAAAGGGAGAAGGGGAGGAGAAGGGGTTGCGAGAGAGTGAGCTCAAATCTTGCAACAAAATGCATTGGAAGAAAGCAAGCATCTGCACTATTATGGGTAATTCAGAAGCAAACTTAGGGCTTTAGAACAGAAGCAAAACATAACCATTCCAACATATACTAAAACCATATGGGAGCCACCGAAGATCACGCAAACCAGACCAGGATAATTCCCTTAGCCACACTGAACGAATAATCCTTGTCATGCCCTTAGCAAAGAACTGAAGGCTGAGATCAAGTTTTGGGGTGCCTGCTCTATCCATATTTCCTTCTTTGGAAGTTCCCTACCCATCCCTGATCCTAGAGTGCTATTTCTACTGTAGAATCCATCCTTGTGGCCACAGCTGAATGGATGGAGTGAGTCATGTGATCCAAGATGAATTACTGCATAGTCTGGACTGAATCAGTCAGATTTGTTCTTCACAAATCTAATGTAAAAGACATAAAGAAAATATGTAGGCTCTTAATTTGCAACTTAGGTAGAGTTCATTCATTCATTCATTTATGAACTAATGTTTGTTGAATGCCCACTTGCAGAAACAGCACCCTCAGATCCTGACTTCACAGTTTTCATTCTCTTGTGGCTGTCCTTAATTTTATATCCCCGGTTGTTTACAAGATTGACAGGAGTGTACTTCAACTAATTGAATGGTTCTTATTCCACAGCAGGGACTCTATTATCCTTAATTATTTTGGCATTTTAAGAAAATTTAAAATTAAAAAATTTCTCCAGGTATTACTCTATAAAGACATCAACTTGAGAAGCTTTCTTCTGATTATTTCAGGGCAGGGATCCAGAGGAGAGAAAAATCAGGACATCCCACTGCAACTGCCAACCTCCTTATCGTATTCTGTCTTCATGGGGCTTGTTTATGCCTGGGAGTTCTATATTCCACATACAGGAAAGAGTTCTGGGCTCGCATCTCCCTTCCCTGTCTATTGCAAAGCACATGCAGACACAACTGCTGGCAGATGCTTTGGGTATGTGAGAAAAGCACAGAGACAGACGCTAAATGGCACTTGTGCAAAACTCACTAGAGGGAACACCCCACTACAATTGTCATCAGCTTCCACCCCGGATTTTCGGAGGGAGTCCCACCTTAAAAATAGCCTGTCTCTCTGTCCCCACAGGGACTTATTTTTGGCAGATCGCATGTCTCAATTTTTGGTTGAGAAAACACTACCACTTTACATCTACCGTACCCTCAAATGTACTCTGGAGAGGGTCCCGTTCCAGCTGATCATTTTCACGGCGGTGTGAGAACTTCCATCTTCTGAAGCTGCATGAGAATAAGTGACTGAAGGAAAGAATAAGGGGAGGAGGGGAGAGCCTAGGCTAGGGCACTACTCCCATTTTCATGATCTACAAATTCCAAGAAATAGTCACCCTGCAGTGACTTCTCATAGGATGGTTCTCTAAAGACCCTGAAATTGCCACCTGATTAAAACCTCAGTTTCCAGCCAGGGCTATCAGTGAAAAGAGCACATGTAATGGTTGGAATCATTAGGTAATGCTGTAGGATGTTTCTTTTGAGTTCCTCTGGGTTTTGGCACGTGATAGATACTCATGAAAGGGCTGATGAGTTGACTGGAGGTCAAAGCATAAAACTGAACGTCCGTCAATACAGCAAACACCACACACAGACTCCATCCTTGCTTTCCTTTGCCTCTCTCTGCTTGAGCATGGCCATCCTTGATTCTTGCCTCTTCCTACCCTCGGCTCTTAACTAAGTTTGTTTTTGGACCTCTGTGAACTGCTGGTCAATGAATCCCATTTTGTAGTTGCTGCTCTTTGGGGTCCAGGTTTTAATACGAAGAAGTCAAAGGTGATTGTGGATGGAAAGGGAATTCTCATTCTATATATAGAGAACCCGCAATGCAGACGGTCTATGGCTTCCGATGCTGTGTTTAAGATGAGCATTTATTTTTTAATTCTTCACTTATTTATTTTTGCATTTATGCAAAATCCAAGGGATAAGCATTTATGACCAAGGCATATAGAAATATATGTGGGGGCATGTATAGCACCCCACATAGGGCTATACGATCTTCTCCCAGGAGCAGCCCTCCTGGAAATTTCAGCCCTTCCTCCACCCACATCTCCTCACTGAAAGGCAGGTGGGGAAAATATGATTAAGGTGAATTTTCAACTTCATTTCTGTTGTCTCATGGAGATCTCCTGCGCTCTCCTATTGGATCTTCAGCCTTGAAGGACTCAGATGGTGGTGGACCTTATAACACATGCATCCAGAGCTTATTAAAATAATTATTTTAATTTAAAAAATGAAACATCTTTCCAAACAATAGGAATAAGGATTCCCTCCCAGGCATCTTTATTAGAGTATTGCCCAAACCTTGATTGCTGTCATTCCATCATCATTCATTTTTGACATATTGCATTTCATAGCTGTTAGGAATTAGTCATTTTTTAAAAATCATCTCATTTGATTTTTTAAAAAATACGCTTATTTTAAAAGGAAGCTTTGTTGTGCATCTCTATTTTACTTGAATAAAAATTTACTTTCATTATTAGGAAGGAAATTTTGATTCAAGACTCCACATGTCAAATCAGTTCCCATGTCAGTGTGACTTGCCATTAATAGATGGAAAGAGAGTAAAAATAAACATAATGATATTTTCACTTATGTTCATCCAAGTTGAATAAGATCTTTAAAAAGAATTTTCTGTCTCTGTCTCAGGATGCCTGAGGGTCTTTTCCACCCTCTCCCCCGTCTTCATAAGTTGTAAGGCCACATATATATTTAACAAACATCTGTATAGCACTCACTGGGTGCCAAGTACTGTTTGAATGGCTTCACAAAGAGGAACATAGTTAATCCTTTTAACAATGTAACAAAGTGGAATATATTATTGTTACTACCCCCATTCTACAGATGAGAAAATTGACATACAGAACTGTGAGGTGATTTACATGAGACCACACAGCTAGTAGGTGGCTGAATTAGACATTTTTTTTTTTTTTTTTTGAGACAAAGTCTCACTCTGTTGCCCAGGCTGGAATGCAGTGGTGCAATCTCAGCTCACTGCAACCTCTCCCTCCCAGGTTCAAGTGATTCTCCTGCCTCAGCCTCCTGAGTAGCTGGGACTACAGGCATGTGCCACCACGCCTGGCTAATTTTTGTATTTTTAGTAGAGATGGGGTTTCACCATATTGGCCAGGATGGTTCTGAACTCCTGACCTCAGGTGATCCGCGCGCCTTGGCCTCCCAGGCTCAAGCAATTATCATGCCTCAGCCTCCTGAGTAACTGGGACTACAGGCATGTGCCACTATACCTGGCTATTTTTTTTTTTTTAATAGAGTCTCACTGTGCTGCCCAGGCTGGTTTTGAACTCCTGGGCTCAATCGATTCTGCTGCCTCAGCCTCCCAAAGTGCTGGGATTACAGCCGTGAGCCACCATGCCCTACTTGGATTAAGATTTAAACCCATGTTATCTGGCAGCAGAATCTGTGCTTATCACATCTGAAGCCCAGATTTTGGTTTAAAAATGCCACCCCCTGCTGAAAGGAGCCTCATTCTTTGGAGGAATGATTTACTCCGGGTCTGTGGTAGAGATGTATGAAGTGAGCTTGGGTCATCCAATTGTTTCAGAAAGCAAAGATGTGTCAAAAATGATGGAAATGTGTCAAAAGAGCCCCAAATCCAGGTTTGTGGGGCTCGCAATAGCCAAATTTGGGAGAATTTTAGTTTGAGAAATGACAGAAGTTGTCTGTTATATGTTGAATGGCTAAAATTTCTAAGCCTATAGGGACTTTTAGAAAGAAGAGGGAAAGAAAACGAAAGAACTTATTTAAGAATTCTTTTTTTTTTTTTTTTGAGACGGAGTCTCACTCTGTCACCCAGGCTGGAGTGCAGTGGCTCGATATCGGCTCACTGCAACCTCCACCTCCCTGGTTCAAGCAATTCCCCTGCCTCAGCCTCCCGAGTAGCTGGGATTACAGATGCATGCCACCATGCCCGGCTAATTTTTTTTTTGTATGTTTAGTAGAGACGGGGTTTCACCATGTTGGCCAGACTGGTCACGAACTCCTGACCTCGTGATCTGCCCTCCTCGGCTTCCCAAAGTGCTGGGATTACAGGTGTGAGCCACCGTGCCCAGCCAAGAATTCTTATACCAGCTAATACAGAAGGAGAAACAGAAGGAAAGACAGAAAAAGTATCATTTTTTAATTTTTAGTTTTTGTGTGTACATAGTAGTGTATATATTTATGGGGTACCTAATGTATTTTGATACAGGCATACAATGTGTAATAATCACATCAGGGTAAATGGGGTATCCATCACCTCAAGCATTTGTCATTTCTCTATGTTACAAACATTCCAATTAGACCCTTTTAGTTATTTTTAAAAGTTTTAATGTATAATAAATTACTGTAATCACCCGGTTGTGCCATCAAATACTAAGTCTTACTCATTTTATTTAACTATATTTTTATACCTATTAATCATCCCCACCCTCTGCCACTACCCTTCCCAGCCTGTGGTAACTATTCTTCTCCTCTGTCTTCATGAGTTCAATTGTTTTAATGTTTAGCACCCAGAAATGGGTGGAAACATGCAAAGTTTGTCTTTCTGTGCCTAGTGTATTTCACTTAACATAATGTCCTCCAGTTCCATCCATGTTGTTGCAAATGACAGGATCTCATTCTTTTTTATGGCTGCGTAGTACTCCATTGTAAATATGTAGCACATTTTCTTCAACAATTCATCTGTTGATGAACACTTAGGTTGCTTCCAAATCTTGTCTATTGTGAACAGCTCCAACCAACATGGGAGTGGGGCTATCTCTTTGATATGCTGATTTCCTTTCTTGTGAATATATACACCTATCAGTGGTGAAAAGTATCATTTTTAAACTTGCAGTTTAATAAGTATTTCAGGCAGGTGTTAGCAATAGATGCTATAACCATTTGGAGAAAGATTGGTGGAGAAAAGAGGTGTTGCCTAGTTCCAACCTCAATCATGGCTATCTTTGTAAAGTAAAGGAGGGTAAAGTGTGTCTTCACAATAGGTGACCAGCTGTCACCGCCTTAACCAAGTGACACACTTTTCTTCATTGATAGCGTGACACCCTTATGTTATTTACCACTGAATGTAGTAATGTAATGCCATATGAAGTGCAGAGTGCCCTCTAAAAAGGTTCCTTGCTGAAAAGGTAAAGCATAAATCTAATTCACGAAATTAACTAGAATCGAACCTCGATCATATCGAGGCTCAAATTCCAGTTCACAGAAAATATGTGAGACAGAGAAAAAAGTGAAACGACAACATGGGAAAGCAATCTGGCAAATCCAGAATGTGGGACATTCTGCAAGACAACTGGACTCTACATAAAATCAGTGTAATAAAAATGTAGAGGGGGTTGTGGCGGGTCCAGATTAAAAGATGCTACAACGACATAGTAAATATATAGTGCATGGATCTTGATCGAAGTGTCACAAGAATGCATTTTTGAAAATGTGTTAAATGCATTCTTGGGACAAATGAGGAAATTTGAATTTGGATATTAGATGATATAGAATTTTCATTTTCTTAGGTGTGATAATTGGTGTTGTGGTTGTAGAAGGGAGAATGCCTTTTTCCTAGAAGACAGAAGTATTTAGGGGTAATGAATCACGATGACTGCAACTTCACATAGTGCAGAAAGAATATACACACATACATCAAACAGGTATGATAGAGCATTGCTAACGAAATATTAGCCATTGAATCTAGGTGCTATTTATTGCATTACTTTTACAACTTTTCTGAATATTTGAACCTTTTCATTATAGCCAGTTGGAGAAAAGTAAAACAGAACTTGTGTTTTTTTATGGCCCTGTCCTCCTGCCTGGAATTAGAGAAGAGGCTGTGATCCTGGGAGTCCCTACCCTAAAGTCACCTCCTTTACCCCCTTGTGGTCCCCAGGAGGCCATGCGTCAGAGACACATTGGACCACCGTGCTCCAACAGATGAGGAAGTGTGTTTGAGCTGCAGAGTTGAGATACTGTTCTCTCCTCCCAGCCCTTTCTGCTGGAGTGGGGAGGCCAGCATGCTCCCCTTTGTTATGGAAACACCCTGGTTTGCTGCATTGCGCTCACCCACCCCTGCAGACTTCAGTGCCTTCTGTAGACAATGGCTGCAGGGTTCTTATGCCCACCCCACCCTGTAGCTCCAGCCTGTCTACACAGAAGGTTAGAAAGGGATTCAGAATCATCTGGATCCTGAAGCCTCCTTTTTTTCTGAACTGTCCTCCTTTCTTTTCCTTTCCTCTGAAGCACAAAGACCAGCTGTGACATTCATTTGCTGATAATATGCTGTAAATCTGCCTGGCCTGAGACCTGCTGCAATGCCAGCCGCCGGGTAAGAGGCGTGCACCGCAGGGCTCTTGGAATTGGAAGTTAAGGCCTGGTGTCTGCAGCCCGGATGGCTATCATGAATCTTTCTATCAGAACACTTTCTCTGAGATTAGGCTGCGTGCCACCAAGCATATGCCTGCCCCTAACCTGCTCTGTCGGAATCGGGCTGAGCATCTTTCCTGAGCCTCTGATGTCTGGCATTTGGAAATGTACTGCTGGCTCTGCCGAGGACGATGGGTCACAGGAGAGCTGACCCGGTCACAGAGGGCAACCAGCAGCCAACACGGACCTTCCATCCCCAGAGAGGCGCTTCGCCGTTTCTCCTAGTTGCCTCCTGAACTCTGAGCTTTCTTCCCAGTTGCTAAAGGGCGCGCCCACCCGTGCCTGTTGTTCAGTAGCCAGGAAGTCCTGTATGAGATCTAACCTCAATTGGTTGTGCTGTAGCTTGACTCAATTTCCTTGCTTTTCTTTTGACTTACTTTGCGCTTGAAGAATTAAAGTGTACTGCTTTAGACCTTTCCTTAGAGCAACTAACTCATCTCTATTTGCCTAGGACTTCCCTGGTTTTACCACTGAAAATCATTCATCTGTGAAAACCTCTCAGCCAGCCTTCCTTCCTTCCATCCTTCCTTCCTTCCTTCCTTTTTCCTTCCTTCCTTCCCTCCCTCCCTTTCCCCCTCCTTCCTTTCTTTCCTTTTTTTCTTTCCTCCCTCCGTCCCTGCCTCCCTCCCTTTCCCTCTCCTTCCTCCCTCACTTCCATCCTCCCTCCCTTCCTCCCTCCCTCCCTCCTTTCATCCTTCCTGCCTCCCACCATCCGTCCTTCCTTTCCTTTCTTCCTTTCCTCCCCCCTCCCTCCCCTCCTTCCTTCCTCTCTTCCTTCCTTCCTTTGTTGTGCCACATCCCAATCATAATCATTTCCAGCTGTTCTATTTTTCTCCTCATCCTTCCCACCCAGGAGATGGTTGTCAGTGTCAGCAATGGTGAGTATTTTGTTTACTCAGGCGGGCAGGGTGCTCCATGCTTTTCATGCCTCGTCTCAGTCAGTCCTCACCACATCCTCTGAGGGAGGTTCCTCACCTCCATTTACAGGAGAGGAAACCAAGGCAGACACAGGTCATGGACCTTACCCAAGGCCATGCAGCTGGAGAGTGGAGGTGTTGAGTTTGCAGCCCAGATTAGAGGGGTTTGACCCCAGAACTATCTCACCCAACCAACTTCAGACACGGATCCCAATTGTCTACGATTTCGAAGCGCTAGACCAGGGTCCATGGGCAAGACCCAAGGACCGGAAGTTAGGGGACCTGCGTTCCAGTCATTCTCCATCTCCATGTGGACGCAGAACCAAAACCTCAACACAACTCTCCATCTTTGACATTCCCTCCAGAGCTCTTGGTGCCAGCCCTGCCTCCACTCCCCCCAACTTCTTCCCACTCCCAACACCACCCAGAGCCAGTACCTTTCCCAGAAGCCCCAGGCTGCTTCCTATGGCTGAACAAGCTGCTTCCTCCAACTGGAACACCTCTTTCTCTGTGCTGATGTCCACGAAAGCTCAAGCCCTACAGGCCAGGGTAAAACAGGCCAACTGCCCAGCCTCTTACCAGCTTGCACAGGCTTCTACCCTTACTAGCTCTGGAGGGCCACAGTCAAACAGTCATGGTGAAACCTAGCCCCTTGCCCAAGTTTCTTACTCTCTCATGCCTCAGTGTTCTCATCTGTAAAATGGGGACGATGAAGATGATAATCATGGCCTAGTCCATAAGGAAGCTTGCAGGAAGAGCTAAACAAGAGGAGATAAAAAGCAAGGTAATAACAGTTGCAAACACTAATATAGGGCTCACTCTGTGCCAGGCACTCTCCCATGCACGTTGCCTTTGTTGGCTCCTTGAATCCACACTAGAATCCTTGAAAGCGTTATCATTCCCAGTTTACAGAAGGGGGAATTGGGGGCACAGAGAATAAGTGACTGGCCCGAGATCTCCTAGCTATGGAGGAGTGGCTTGGGGATCGGAACCCACATGTGCTGGCTTGAGAGGCCAGGCTCTTAATCACTGTTTAGATGGCTGCTAATGCTTGGCAGCAGATGAATGGGGGATTGTGATCAGGCATTGTTTCAAGGGAAGGTTACTAGGGAAGGCCTCTCAGAGGAGGTGTTGCCTGGTTTGAGACTGGATGATGATGAAAAGGCAGGTAGGGGATCATCTAGCTCAGCAGACCTTCGTCTTAGCTGCTCATTACTATCACCTGAGGACAGGTTTGAACGCTGCAATGTCTGAACTTCAGCCCAGAGCAATGAAATTTCAACCTCTGTGGGTGAGCCCAGGCCTCAGCATCTTTTTTTGTTTGTTTTTGAGAGAGTCTCGCTCTGTCACCCAGGCTGGGGTGCAGTGGCATGATCTCAGCTCACTGCACCCTCTGCCCTCCGGGTTCAAGCAATTCCCTGCCTCAGCCTCCCCAGTAGATGGGATTACAGGCGCCGGCCACCACACTCTGCTAATTTTTGTATTTTTAGTAAAGATGGGGTTTCACCATCTTGGTCAGGCTGGTCTGGAACTCCTGACCTTGTGATCCACCTGCCTCGGCCTCCCAAAGCGCTGGGATTACAGGCATGAGCCACTGTGCCCGGCCCCCTCAGCCATTTTTTTAGCTTCCTAGGAGAGTCCCACATACAACCAAGCTTGAGAACAGCTGATGTGGGGGGCTGGGAAGTGGGGAGGGAGGCATTGCAAGGAGCAGGGACACCCCACCTTTCCCTGGGAGGAGCAATCCCCCCTTCCTGCCTGTGGCTTCCTATTGTTCCCATAGCGCTGCCCTGATGAGCAAACAGAGAAGGAGAGAGGAATTAAAGCTCCATTTAAGGGAAAGGTTAAGAGCAGCTTTCGCTTTCCTAAATTCCAGGGAGGACAGGAGGGGGCTGAGTCGATGCGGCCACCCGTCAGGCCTCCAGATGACAAATGACATTCTGAACCAGTATCTTCTCAGATACTTCTAAGCTGACCCTTGGAGATAGCTAATAAAAGACCAACCTGCCCTCCAAGATTAACGACTCCCGAGTTAGAGGGAAGGAGCGCGGGCGAGGGGGGCTCTGGAATCCTTGGCTGCCCCCAAGTTCCCAAGCCCTCTGCCTGATGGTGAGGAGGAGGTGGAGGAACAAAGAGGGCTCGGTGGGAAACCTCACGGGGATACACCATGCAAGCCCCCAGCCTAGGTGGAGCTGCTTCTGCCCCGCTGCTGCGGGCCCACCCAGCCCCTCCCTCCCAGCCCCGCCCCTGCCAACCAGTCTCCCTTTGGCACTCAGCCACATCTATGCCCCTCCATTTCTTGCTTTTCTTTTTTGAAATGTATTTCCGTCTTGCTGTGGGTCTCTGCGGTCCCCCTGTGCCACTCCATCCATGCCTTCTCCAGCTTTTCCTCCCTGCCTCCTCCTAACTCACTCTTCTCTCATCTTTTTATTTCCCTGTCTATGTTTTGCTTTGTCTCTCTCAGCCTGTCTTCCCATCTCTGTCCGTGTGTGTGCGTGCGTGCGTGTGTGTGACTTATGTTTCTTGCTCTGTCTTGCCCTGTCCCCCATCCCACTTATTCTTTTTGCTTGTCTCTCTGTCTCTGACTCTCTGCATCTCTCTCTCTGTATCAGTCTCTCTATCTCTGCATCTCGGTGTCTCTTTCCATTTCTGTCTCTGTGTCTCTGTCTCTTTCTCTGTATCTCTCTGTCTCTGTCTTCATGTTCCTGCATTTCTATCTCTGTCTTCTGTCTCTGTGTTTCCATCTCTCCGTGTTTATCTCTGTGTCTTTCTGTCTCTTTGTCTCTGTCTTCATGTCTCTGTGTTCCTGTGTCTCTGTCTGTGTCTCTATCTCTCTGTGTCTCTGTCTTCCTGCCTCTGTATTTCTGTGTCTGTCTCCATGTCTCTGCCTCTGTCTCTCTGTATCTCTATTTTCATGTGTCTATGTTCCCGTGTCTCTCTCCCTCTGTTTCTGTCTCTGTGTCTCTGTCTCTCTGTGTCTCTAGCTTCCTGTCTCTATATCTCCATGTCTGTGTCTCTGTCTCTGTGTCTCCATCTCTATATCTTTGTGTCTCTGTCCCTTTATCTCAGTCTGTGTTTCTGTGTCTCCGTCTATCTATGTCTCTGTCTCCATGTCTCAGTCTCTATGTCTCCATGTCCATATCTCTGTCTCTGTGTCTTCTCTGTGTCTCTGTCTCTGTGTCTTGGTCTCTGTGTCTGTGTCCCTGGCTTCCTGTGTGTCTCTGCCCGCCTCACCCTTGCGGTTCCCTGCCCCTGGCTCTGTGCATGGCCTCCTGTCTGCTCCTTTGCTTTCTGTTGTCCCTGCTTCCATCTGTTTCCTTCTTGGTCCCTGTCTCTCTGTCCTCAGTCTTTCCTGAGTTTGCAATGAACTCACATCTTTGCTCTCCTCTCCCTCCCTCCCTGTCTGCTTCTCCTCATCCTTGCCCTCTTAGGAGAGGGGCCTCCTCTCACCTTGGCGGTAATCAGGGAGGCCCGGCTGGTGGGGGCGGGGAAGGGCAGCTGGCTGGTCCTGCTCGCCCAACAATGCCTCAAGTCCACCTTCTGCCTGTTGGGGGGCCCTGAGTCTGAGCTCATCCTGCTGGTTGAGCCCTGCAGGATCCCCATTGCCTCCAACACAGAAGACCCCTCATTCCTTACCTCCACTTTGCCCCGTCATTGTTAGCAAGAGTTCGTGTCCACAACTGAGAAATCCCAAGTCAATTGTGAAGCCACAGACATACTTATGAATTAATAACTACAGCTAAGATTTACTACTTGCACATGGCCTGCTGTGTATTCTGTGCATGCAACTCATTTCCACCAAAATCCTGCAACACTGATATCATCATCCCCATTTTTCAGGTGAGGATGAGAGAGAGGGTCAGAGAGGTTAAGAAACCTGCCCAAGGTCACACAGCTAGCAAATGATAGAGGCAGAATTCAAGCCCAATCTAGGTGGGCGTGAGGATCATGCCCTTTCCACTGAGTCTTTCAGCACTGTGCTATCCAATGAGATAGCTGCTGGCCACCCGAGGCTATTTAAATTAATTAAAATGAAATAAAATTAAAAATTGAATCTCTTTGTCACACTGGCCACATTTCAAGTACTCAGGAGTCACATGTGGTTGGAGATGCCCTACTGAATATTACAGACATAGAACATTTCCATGAATGCAGAAAGTTCTACTGGACAGCAATGTTTTCGATAAACATGGAGGAGTCTTTTGTGGGAGAACAAAAGAAAACACAATGATATCAAAATAGCCCTGGGTCGCTCCCTGGTCCCAGCCCTGGCCATGTGTGAAGTTTCCTAGAAGCCTCTGGACTGAAACAGCCATCTCTGTGTCTGAGTACCTGCCAGTGGTATCACCTATGCCATGCAAACCTGCCTTTACGACCCCGTTTGTGTCGGAACGACTGCAGAGGAACACGATGCTTTCATTAGGGAGAGAAGAGGGGCAGATGTGTACATTCTTCTAGAAGGCAGAAAAAACACAATCTTATGCCAGAAATTGAATTTTCTTATTTCAGCTGGTGTCCAGGGCTTTGAACCCTTCCGCAACATGAACAGCTTATCTTGTTCCACTCGATCAAAAACATTTCATAGTGCCGGCTCCTTCCACAAGGTCACCTTGAAATCGTTTCCCTCCTCGAAGCATCCTGAATCTTCTTTAGCCTAATAGAAACATTCTTGAAATCGGAGTAAACTGGACTTGTTCAACTCTGCTCCCCCACTCCAAGAAAATTGTATCTCGCCTCTCTGTAACGAGTCACGAAAAAGAGGGAAATATTTACAATTTCTTGCAAGCTCACCAGGCTGGGCAATCGGAATACCCCAGCATCTGCTGGCCCCACCTGCTCCCATCAGTAGTCTTGGCCTCGTGCAAATGTCTCTGCAGGCAGCTGGGGTCTCAGTGGTTCTTCCAGGGTTTCTCAAGAATGAGTTCTCTCCTTTAGCTTTCAGGCATCCCTGAGCTACTCTTCTAGGCACTAGTCATTCCTGCCATAGAGCTCTCTTCTGCTGGTGGCTCTGCCCCCAGCCTGGGCTCCAAAGAATCCCTCTAGCTTTGATGGTTGCCATTGTAAGCCCAAGCTACTCTATGGTGTAGGACAAAACAGAGAATTGTTCTCTCCCCTTCTTGCCTTATTTTGATACCCAATTAGAAATGATCCAGGGCAATGCTGCTTGGCCCTAATGACTTATGGCATTTACTGGAGTCCTTCTTATGAGTTTTATTTTTGTCTAACATTAGAGGAGTATGTGTAGTGGTTAAGAATATTAAAAACAGGTCTGGGCACAGTGGCTCACGCCTGTAATCCCAGCACTTTGGGAGGCTGAGGCGGATGGATCATCTCATGTCAGGAGTTGGAGACCAGCCCGAACAACATGGAGAAACCCAGTCTCTACTAAAAATACAAAATTAGCTGGGCATGATGGGGGGGTGCCTGTAATCCCAGCTACTCAGGAGGCTGAGGCAGGAGAATCGCTTGAACCCGGGAGGCGGAGGTTGCAGTGAGCCGAAATCACGCCATTGCGCTCCAGCCTGGGCAGCAAAAGGGAAAAACTCCATCTCAAAAAAAAAAAAAAAAAAAAAAAAGAATATTAAAAACAGGCTAGGCACTGTGGCTCGCATCTGTAATCCAATCACTTTGGGAGGCCGAGGTGGGAGGATCACTTGAGCCCAGGAGTTGGAGACCAGCCTAGGCAACATAGTGAGACCCTGTCTCTACTAAAAATAAAAAAATTAGTTGGGCATGGTGGCGCAAGCCTGTAATCCCAGCTACTCAGAAGGCTGAGGCAGGAGGATCCCTTGAGCTCGAGAGGTTGAAGCTACAGTGAGCTGAAAAAAAAAGAATATTAAAAACAAATTATTAATGACATCTGCTAAAGATGTCTTTAGACTTTCAAGAAAGACTATTCAAGGGAAGCTACTACAACGGGGTTTTGAAGTAGGGGAGAAATACTGAGTCCCACTCCAAATAAAATCAGAAAACAGGCAATTTACAGGCAAGGAGTGGGATGTGGGGTGGAGGTTGGTGGGTGGAAGCTCACTAAGAAATAGGGTAATTCTTTACTAAGCTGACCTAACAGGGTTTCTTTTGAAGGTGGACCAGGGTGATAAGATACTGAGGGTGGGAGATTTTCAATAAACTGACTCAACAGGATTCTTGCTAAAAGTGGGCCTGGAATAAGGACAAAGACCAAGGTCAGGACCTGTTCGGACAGAGGTCTCTGAGAAGCCTGACTACAGTCAGATCAAGTTGAGAATCTTTGTCAAGAGCACATGCAATGCAGCCAGGTGACCTCGGTTTGAATTCTAGCTCTGTCACTAGCTGGTTGGGTGACCTGAGGTTAAGTTACCCAAACCCTCTGTGCTTCAGTTTCTTCCTCTTTAAATCAGGGATAATAATATTGACCTTATAAGTATGAAGACTGAATTAGTTGGTTTTGCTTTTGTTAATATCATCTGTTTGTGTTCTTTGGATACAAAAATGCCCCCAGGAGCCAAATGCAGTGGCTCATGTCCATAATCCCAGCACTTTGGGAGGCCAAGGCAGGAGGATCGCCTGAGCCTGGGAGTTCAAGCCCAGCCTGGGCAGCATAATGAGACCCTATCTCTACTAAAAATAAAAAATTTAGCTGGGTGCTGTGGCTCACACCTGTGGTCTTGGCTACTCAGGAGGCTGAGGTGGGAGGATTGCTTAAGGAGAGCAAGGATGCAGTGAGCCATGATCTTACCACTGCACTCCAGCCTGGGCAAAAAAAGTGAGACCCTGACTCTAAAAATTAAAATTAGAAATAAAAAAAAAAAAAGGCTCCTGGCCTGGTTTAAACCATCCCCATCACTCCATGCTCAAAACCTCTCCTCCTCCCCCAGAGGGCTTTGTCCCTGGATATTTGCATTATCTGACCTTTTTTGCCCCATCTTCTAGCAGGCTTTTCTAGACCATTCAAGCCCCCAGTACACTTCCTTTCTGGCTGCCATCTATCCTGTTTGGCTGAAGCCTTCCCATTCACCCCGACCATCTGCAATCCGCGTGTACTTTGCCTTTCTTCCAGATTTTCCAGCCTCCATGCAAATCCTTACTCTGAGATCCTGGAACTCATCTTCTGCCCCACCCTACACCACTTCTTGCTGGGCTGTCTACAGGGACACATTCCTGTTGTTTCAGCCCAGCCTCTTCCTTGGGACCCAGAATAAGCATGGATCCACCGTGGACACACCGAGGCTCAGAAACAGCTCTCCTGCTCCCAGCCTGACCCCAGCAGGATGGAATGACCAGACCCCCTCCTTCCTGGCCTCCATCAGTGGATAAAGATGCCACAGGCATGGACACAGGAGCCCCTCGATTCCCAAGTGTACTCTGATAGTACAAAGTGCTGACAATTTCAAGGAGGGTTTTCTTTTTGTTGTTGTTGTTTTTTTTTTGTTTTTTTTGTTTTTTTTTGTTTTTTTTTAACAGTAAACTCTAAATCCCTTTCCAGGCTGCAGGGACTCATGACTTTTTATTTAGTATGTGCTCTCCCTCTCCTTTGTTTCATTGGCTTCAGACTTATTATCTCACATTTGTCTGCGTTACATTACCTTTTTCTCTGACCGTCTGAGTCACCCACAATAACCCAGGCCAGAACCATCCCAATCTATTTCTGGGTGTGTGCCTGTGTGTATAGGTCTATTGTTCCTATCAGAGCAGTTTCAGGGATGGGGTGGGGTGAAGACAGTGCCCCAAGTCTCAGGCCAGGTTGCACTTATGGAGGGAGGAGACCTGTTATTGCAGGAACAATATTTCTGCCTCCAGTTTCCTGATGTGTAAAATGGGAATGATAGTTACCTCATAGAGTTATTTTGAGCCAAATCAGTATTCAGAACCCCGCCCTGGCATGTAACAAATACTATATCAATACAGGCTATCATCACTGTTGTTTTTTTCTTAAATATTTTTTATTATACTTTAAGTTCTAGGGTACATGTGCACAACATGCAGGTTTGTTACATATGTATACATGTGCCATGTTGGTGTGCTGCACCCATTAACTCGTCATTTACATTCGGTGTATCTCCTAATGCTATCCCTCCCCCATCCCCCCACCCCACGACAGGCCCCAGTGTGTGATGCTCCCCTTCCTGTGTCCAAGTGTTCTCATTGTTCAATTCCCACCTGTGAGAGACAACATGCGGTGTTTGGTTTTTGTCCTTGCGATAGTTTGCTGAGAATGATGGTTTCCAGCTTCATCCATGTCCCTACTAAGGACATGAACTCATCCTTTTTTATGGCTGCATAGTATTCCATGGTGTGTATATATGTGTCACATTTTCTTAATCCAGTCTATCATTGACAGACATTTGGGTTGGTTCCAAGTCTTTGCTATCGTGAATAGTGCCACAACAAACATATGTGTGCATGTGTCTTTATAGCAGCATGATTTGTAATCCTTTGGGTATATACCCAGTAATGGGATGGCTGGGTCAAAAGGTATTTCTAGTTCTAGATCCCTGAGGAATCGCCACACTGTCTTCCACAATGGTTGAACTAGTTTACAGTCCCACCAACTGTGTAAAAGTGTTCCTATTTCTCCACATCCTCTCCAGCACCTGTTGTTTCCTGACATTTTACTGATTGCCATTCTAACTGGTGTGAGATGGTATCTCATTGTGGTTTTGATTTGCATTTCTCTGATGGCCAGTGAAGATGAGCATTTTTTCATGTGTCTGTTGGCACATAAATGTCTTCTTTTGAGAAGTGTCTGTTCATGTCCTTCACCCACTTTTTGATGGGGTTGTTTGTTTTTGTCTTGTAAATGTGTTTGAGTTCGTTGTAGATTCTGGATATTAGCCCTTTGTCAGATGAGTAGATTGCAAAAATTTTCTCCCATTCTGTAGGTTGCCTGTTCACTCTGATGGTAGTTTCTTTTGCTGTGCAGAAGCTCTTCAGTTTAATTAGATCCCATTTGTCAATTTTGCCTTTTGTTGCCATTGCTTTTGGTGTTTTAGACATGAAGTCCTTGCCCATGCCTGTGTCCTGAATGGTAATGCCTAGGTTTTCTTCTAGGGTTTTTATGGTTTTAGGTCTAACATTTAAGTCTTTAATCCATCTCAAATTAATTTTTGTATAAGGTGTAAGGAAGGGATCCAGTTTCAGCTTTCTACATATGGCTAGCCAGTTTTCCCAGGACCATTTATTAAATAGGGAATCCTTTCCCCATTTCTTGTTTTTGTCAGGTTTGTCAAAGAGCAGATGGTTGTAGATGTGTGGTATTGTTTCTGAGGGCTCCATTCTGTTCCATTTGTCTATATTTCTGTTTTGGTACCAGTACCATGCTGTTTTGGTTACTGTAGCCTTGTAGTATAATTTGAAGTCAGTAGTGTGATGCCTCCAGCTTTGTTCTTTTGGCTTAGGATTGACTTGGCAATGCAGGCTCTTTTTTGGTTCCATATGAACTTTAAAGTAGTTTTTTCCAATTCTGTGAAGAAAGTCATTGGTAGCTTGATGGGGATGGCACTGAATCTATAAATTACCTTGGGCAGTATGGCCATTTTCACATTATTGATTCTTCCTATCCATGAGCATGGAATTTCTTCCATTTGTTTGTATCCTCTTTTATTTTGTTGAGCAGTGGTTTGTAGTTCTCCTTGAAGAGGTCCTTCACGTCCCTTGTAAGTTGGATTCCTAGGTATTTTATTCTCTTTGAAGCCACTGTGAATGGGAGTTCACTCATGATTTGGCTCTCTGTTTGTCTGTTATTGGTGTATAAGAATGCTTGTGATTTTTGCACATTGATTTTGTATCCTGAGACTTTGCTGAAGTTGCTTATCAGCTTAAAGAGATTTTGGGCTGAGACGATGGGGTTTTCTAGATATACAATCATGTCATCTGCAAACAGGGACAATTTGACTTCCTCTTTTCCTAATTGAATACCCTTTATTTCTTTCTCCTGCCTGATTGCCCTGGCCAGAACTTCCAACACTATGTTGAATAGGAGTGGTGAGAGAGGGCGTCCCTGTCTTGTGCCAGTTTTCAAAGGGAATACTTCCAGGTTTTGCCCATTCAGTATGATATTGGCTGTGGGTTTTTCATAAATAGCTCTTATTATTTTGAGATACGTCCCATCAATGCCTAATTTATTGAGAGTTTTTAGCATGAAGGGCTGTTGAATTTTGTTAAAGGCCTTTCCTGCATCTATTGAGATAATCGTGTGGTTTTTGTCTTTGGTTCTGTTTACATGCTGGATTACGTTTATTGATTTTTGTATGTTGAACCAGCTTTGCATCCCAGGGATGAAACCCACTTGATCATGGTGGATAAGCTTTTTGATGTGCTGCTGGATTCAGTTTGCCAGTATTTTATTGAGGATTTTTGCATCGATGTTCATCAGGGATATTGGTCTAAAATTCTCTTTTTTTGTTGTGTCTTTGCCAGGCTTTGGTATCAGGATGATGCTGGTCCCATAAAATGAGTTAGGGAGGAATCTCTCCTTTTCTATTGATTGGAATAGTTTCAGAAGGAATGGTACCAGCTCCTCCTTGTACCTCTGGTAGAATTCGGCTGTGAATCCGTCTGGTCCTGGACTTTTTTTGGTTGGTAGGCTATTAATTATTGCCTCAATTTCAGAGCCTGTTATTGGTCTATTCAGAGATTCAACTTCTTCCTGGTTTAGTCTTGGGAGGGTGTATGTGTCAAGGAATTTATTCATGTCTTTTAGATTTTCTAGTTTATTTGCATAGAGGTGTTTATAGTATTCTCTGATGGTAGTTTGTATTTCTGTGGGATCGCTGGTGATATCCCCTTTATCATTTTTTATTGCATCTATTTGATTCTTCTCTCTTTTCTTTATTAGTCTTGCTAGTGGTCTACCAATTTTGTTGATCTTTTCAAAAAACCAGCTCCTGGATTCATTGATTTTTTGAAGGGTTTTTTGTGTCTCTGTCTCCTTCAGTTCTGTTCTGATCTTAGTAATTTCTTGCCTTCTGCTAGCTTTTGAATGCGTTTGCTCTTGCTTCTCTAGTTCTTTTAATTGTGATGTTAGGGTGTCAATTTTAGATCTTTCCTGCTTTCTCCTGTGGGCATTAAGTGCTATAAATTTCCCTCTACACACTGCTTTGAATGTGTCCCAGAGATTCTGGTATGTTGTGTCTTTGTTCTCGTTGGTTTCAAAGAACATCTTTATTTCTGACTTCATTTTGTTATGTACCCAGCAGTCGTTCAGGAGCAGGTTGTTCAGTTTCCATGTAGTTGAGCGGTTTTGAGTGAGTTTCTTAATCCTGAGTTCTAGTTTGATTGCACTGTGGTCTGAGAGACAGTTTGTTATAATTTTTGGTGTTTTACATTTGCTGAGGAGTGCTTTACTTCCAACTATGTGGTCAATTTTGGAATAAGTGTGATGTGGTGCTGAGAAGAAGGTATATTCTGTTGATTTGGGGTGGAGAGTTCTGTAGATGTCTATTAGGTCCACTTGGTGCAGAGCTGAGTTCAATTCCTGGATATCCTTGTTAATTTTCTGTCTCATTGATCTGTCTAATGTTGACAGTGGGGTGTTAAAGTCTCCCATTATTATTGTGTGGGAGTCTAAGTCTCTTTGTAGGTCTCTAAGGACTTGCTTTATGAATCTGGGTGCTCCTGTATTGGATGCATATATATTTAGGATAGTTAGCTCTTCTTGTTGAATTGATCCCTTTACCATTATGTAATGGCCTTCTTTGTCTCCTTTGATCTTTGTTGGTTTAAAGTCCATTTTACCAGAGACTAGGATTGCAACCCCTGCCTTTTTTTGTTTTCCATTTGCTTGGTAGATCTTCCTCCATCCCTTTATTTTGAGCCTATGTGTGTCTCTGCATGTGAGATGGGTTTCTGAATACAGCACACTGATGGGTCTTGACTCTTTATCCAATTTGCCAGTCTGAGTCTTTTAATTGGAGGATTTAGCCCATTTACATTTAAGGTTAATATTGTTATGTGTGAATTTGATCCTGTCGTTATGATGTTAGCTGGTTATTTTGCTCGTTAGTTGATGCAGTTTCTTCCTAGCCTCGATGGTCTTTACAATTTGGGCATGTTTTTGCCATGGCTGGTACTGGTTATTCCTTTCCATGTTTAGTGCTTCCTTCAGGAGCTCTTTTAGGGCAGGCCAGGTGGTGACAAAATCTCTCAGCAGTTGCTTGTCTGTAAAGTATTTTACTTCTCCTTCACTTATGAAGCTTAGTTTGGCTGGATATGAAATTCTGGGTTGAAAATTCTTTTCTTTAAGAATGTTGAATATTGGCCCCCACTCTCTTCTGGCTTGTAGAGTTTCTGCCGAGAGATCAGCTGTTAGTGTGATGGGCTTCCCTTTGTGGGTAACCTGACCTTTCTCTCTGGCTGCCCTTAACATTTTTTCCTTCATTTCAACTTTGGTGAATCTGACAATTATGTGTCTTGGAGTTGCTCTTCTCAAGGAGTATCTTTGTGGCGTTCCCTGTATTTCCTGAATTTAAATGTTGGCCTGCCTTGTTAGGTTGGGGAAGTTCTCCTGGATGATATCCTGCAGAGTGTTTTCCAACTTGGTTCCATTCTCCCCGTCACTTTCAGGTACACCAATCAGACGTAGATTTGGTCTTTTCACATAGTCCCATATTTCTTGGAGGCTTCGTTCGTTTCTTTTCATTCTTTTTTCTCTAAACTTCTCTTCTCACTTCATTTCATTCATTTGATCTTCCATCACTGATACCCTTTCTTCCAGTTGATTGAATTGGCTACTGAAGCTTGTGCATTTGTCACGTAGTTCTCATGCCATAGTTTTCAGCTCCATCAGGTCCTTTAAGGACTTCTCTGCATTGGTTATTCTAGTTAGCGATTTGTCTAATCTTTTTTCAAGGTTTTTAACTTCTTTGCCATGGGTTCAAACTTCCTCCTTAGCTGGGAGAAGTTTGATCATCTGAAGCCTTCTTCTCTCAGCTCATCAAAGTCATGCAAAACAAAACACCAGCTTTGTTCCGTTGCTGGTGAGGAGCTGCATTCCTTTGGAGGAGGAGAGGCGCTCTGATTTTTAGAATTTTCAGCTTTTCTGCTCTGTTTTTTCCCCATCTTTGCGGTTTTATCTACCTTTGGTCTTTGATGATGGTGACGTACAGATGGGGTTTTGGTGTGGATGTCCTTTCTGTTTGTTAGTTTTCCTTCTAACAGTCAGGACCCTCAGCTGCAGGTCTGTTGGAGTTTGCTGGAAGTCCACTCCACACCCTGTTTGCATGGGTATCAGCAGCGGAGGCTGCAGAACAGCGAATATTGCTGAACAGCAAATGTTGCTGCCTGATCGTTCCTCTGGAAGTTTCGTCTCAGAGGGGTACCCGGCCGTGTGAGGTGTCAGTCTGCCCCTACTGGGGGGTGCCTCCCAGTTAGGCTACTCGGGGGTCAGGGACCCACTTGAGGAGGCAGTCTGTCCGTTCTCAGATCTCAAACTCCGTGCTGGGAGAACCACTACTCTCTTCAAAGCTGTCAGACAGGGACATTTAAGTCTGCAGAGGTTTCTGCTGCCTTTTGTTTGGCTATGCCCTGCCCCCAGAGGAGTCTACAGAGGCAGGCAGGCTTCCTTGAGCTGCGGTGGGCTCCACCCAGTTTGAGCTTCCTGGCTGCTTTGTTTACCTACTCAAGCCTCAGCAATGGTGGGTGCCCCTACCCCAGCCTCACTGCTGCCTTGCAGTTCGATCTCAGACTGCTGTGCTAGCAGTGAGCAGGGCTCCGTGGGCTTAGGACCCTCCGAGCCAGGCACGGGCTATAATCTCCTGGTGTGCCGTTTGCTAAGACCATTGGAAAAGCACAGTATTATGGTGCGAGTGACCCAATTTTCCAGGTGCCATCTGTCACAGCTTTGCTTGGCTAGGAAAGGGAATTCCCTGACCCCTTGCACTTCCCACGTGAGGCGATGCCTCACCCTGCTTCTGCTCACGCTCGGTGCGCTGCACCCGCTGTCCTGCACCCACTGTCCGACACTCTCCTGTGAGATGAACCCAGTACCTCAGTTGGAAATGCAGAAATCACCCATCTTCTGCGTCGCTCGTGATGGGAGCTGTAGACTGGAGCTGTTCCTATTCAGCCATCTTGGAACCGCCTATCACTGTTGTTGTTACAACGATTGTTCTAGAAGCTATAGCAGAGGAAGAGCCAAGATTCACAGAATGATACAATCATGGCCACCATTACTAAGTACCCTTTGAGTTCTAAGTACTGTGGGCTGAGTACTTCGTTTTTTCAGCAAAATAAAAGCTCTCTCTTTTCCTGTCCTGATTTTTTTGATGCATGTTAATTATAAGGCAAAAGATCTGTAAAATACTAGATAAAACAGGGAAGTATGGGTGGCTAGCAGTGTCTCTGATACACAGTGAGAACTTAATAAGTATTAACCAAAGAATGGCAAGTTGAGCAAATGATTAAATAAAGGTCTATATACCATACCCCACCCAGAGCAACTACTCTTGACATTTTAGTGTGTACATTTCCAGATGTTTTCCTATATATATGGTTATACACTTTTTTATTCTTTTACAAAAGCAAGGTCATATTGTACATAATTATTTGTAAATCACTTTTTATTCCCACTCACCTATTTATTGTGGTCATCTTTTCATTTATTGCAGTCATCTTTTCTTGGTAGCAACTATGGTAGAAAGACTATACTGTGATTTTGAATTCTCCAGTGTTGACTATATCAGAGTAGACCCAAGGAAAAGAGATGTTTTTAATTCACAGAGTTATTAACTGTCTAGTTAAAAATGAGACTATAAAATTTAAGTTTTAAAAACCTCAAAGAAGCATATATCAGTGATTATTTGGTGGTACTTGAATTAAGATACAGATAACACACACACACACACACACACACACACACACACACACAATGGGTATTAACATCTTTGAATATCTGCATGCTGTTTGAATAAATGGATGTGCTGTATTATACTGAATTCCTGCTTGATGGATACTTAGGTTATTTCAAAAGTGTGACCAATTTGATTGACAAGCCTCAAGTCATTGAGGTAAAACCAGAAAAATGTATTCTTTTCCAATAGCTGCTGTTAACTCTGCCCTTTCAAATTTTTCCTATCCTGTTACCTAGCAGGCTTCCTCAAGGAAATCACTAGTGTGGTTCAGACAGATACATCCTAGTATTAAAAGTCTCTGTTTGAGCTTGGTTCTGAAGATTCAGTCTTGATCATTGGACAATGTCAATTTCACACGCTATTTAGAGTGCCCTTTCCCCTCATCCATCTTCCATTCCACTTGCAAAGCTGGGACTTGAAAGAAAGTGGTCCTTGTCTCCTATCAGCCTTGTGGTCAGTCTGCACCATTATTGTGTCCCAATGCCTTCTTAATTAGCTCAGGAAGCACTAAACTGGTCAGCAAGCAGAGAGAGAGAGTCTGGCAGCCCCTTCTTATAAA
Organism: Homo sapiens; assembly: GCF_000001405.40. Taxonomy (NCBI): domain Eukaryota; kingdom Metazoa; phylum Chordata; class Mammalia; order Primates; family Hominidae; genus Homo; species Homo sapiens. Next base: position 17,731,831 of record NC_000016.10, on the reverse strand, counting down.
TGCCTCCCAACTTAGTGAGCTATTTGCTTTGTGCATCCCTCATTTTGCAACGAGGAGTAGAACCTCTGGGGAAGTAAGCGGAAGTAGGGAGAATCTCTCTGCACCAACGCTGCGCCTCTCCAAAGGATAACTTCACTCTCCCTCCCTGACTTATATGTGCTGTGGAGCATGCATTGCAAGGAATCAGCATTGCTTCAGCAGAAGTGGCTCCTCTATCCCATCGTATGCTGAAGGTGCTCATATTGGCTCGTGAGGGCCAATTGTTAGTATCTCTTCAAAACTCTGCATTCAGCAAGCACGCATTGGAAGCGCAGAATCAGCCCTGGTGGGAGTATTTACACCATGGAAATTTGTATCATCTGACAACCCCCCATCTCCACCTCCACTCCATAGCTGTTTGTTAAACATTTACCAGCACACCACTACCTGAAACCTAAACTTTCAGGGAGAAAGCTGGCCAAATATTGGTGGTTACTATACTTAAAATGTGGAATGTTTATGACCTTTTGTTCTCAGCCTTTAGAGGCCAATTATGGGAAAGATCACACCATCATAACAAGAGTTGCATCTTCATGATGCTTTGATGAGCAACTTTTTACACTTAATCTGCCCCATTTGAGTGATTATTTTCTTTGGCTAAATTCCTAGAAGCAGAAATGCTGAATCCAAAGGTATGTCTAGTTTAAAGTTTCAGATACTATGGTTCAAATATCCTTCAGAAAATATGAACCGATCTACACTCCTATCACAAACGTACCTGGTATACTGTACCCTTACTGCAAGCAAATATTATTATTTTAAATTCTATTTTTTTCTCTTTTATGCAAAGAATATGATTTGTTTTCGTCTGCATTTCTTTGACTATCAATATGTTAGCATAGTTTTCTGGAACATTAATGAACAGCATTTCCTAAATATGCTTTTTTTTTTTTTTTTTTTTTTTTTTTATACAGAGTCTGTATCTGTCGCCCAGGCTGGAGTGCAATGGTGTGATCTTGGCTCACTGCAACCTCCACCTCCCAGGTTCAAGCAGTTCTCCTGCCTCAGCCTCCTGAGTAGCTGGGATTACAGGCACCCGCCACCACACTCAGTTAATTTTTGTATTTTTAGTAGAGACGAGGTTTCACCATGTTGGCCAGGCTGGTCTTGAACTCCTGACCTCAAGTGATCCACCCCCCTCGACCTCCCAAAGTGCTAGGATTACAGGCATGAGCCATCGTGCATGGCCGTTTTTTTTTTTTTTTAATGAATTTATAACAAGGCAGGTGAAAATGGCAGCCACAGAGGAGGACAAGGAATGGGAGGGCTGCCTGTTGGATAATACCCAGCTTGCTCCCCACCTGCCCTGAGCTCTGTCTGAGCAGAACAGTGAAATCTGTGAGTCTTGGAGCAACCTTCTTAGAGGCCACACTTTAATTAAAACTTTTCTCACATAATACATTATCTATAAAAGCAATTCGGTTAGAATATTGATTTTGCTCTGTGGTTACAGAACTCCCATAGGAAGTCTTATTCCTTTATCTGTGGCTTTCTGGTCGTAGTATCTGCAAACTTCTTTGTAAGGATGTGTACTCACCCACACTCATATGCCTGGACACACACACACACACAAACTCACACACTCATTCAGACACATGCATAAACACATGCTTAGACACACATGCACACAGACAGCCATTCAGTCTTGCACACACTTGCATGGGAACACATGCACACACAGACTCACATACATGGAGACACACACACTCGCACTATGCTTAAAAACACAGACACACTCAGACACACATACCACACATGTACATACATACCGAGACACACATGCACACACTTATTCAGATACACACTCATAATCACATGCCTGGAAACACATACAGAGACACACTCATACTGAGTCACACACACACACATGCATGGACACATATGTACACCCATTCATACAGCCTTTCCTCCCCTTTACACACAGTGCTGCTGCTGTATTCAATATCCTCCAGCTTTTCAAACGTGCCATAATTGCTCTTGCCTCAAGACCTCTGTGCACACTATTTTTTCTGCCTGGGACTCTTTCCCCTCTACCTGTCACTTAACCGATTCTTATACATCCTTCATGTCTCGGTGGAAGAGTCACTTCCTTCAGACACCTTCCCTGCTTCCCTGGGCCACCTTGGAGCCTCTTGCCATTCTGGCACTCACTGAGTTTTAGAATCATTACTCAATGACGGTGGGGATTGATGTCTGCTCTACTCCTTGCTATGTCCCAGGGCGGGGAACGTACCTCACACATGGTAGGTGTGCCAAAAATATTCAATGTGAGTAAACTGTGGCTCTGATTGACTAAGGAGGTATAGCTGATTAGCAACAGAGGCAGGACGTGTTGACGCCGGTGTCCATGTTCTTCATTTTTTGTTTCGTTTTGTTTTGTTTTGAGGCACAGTCTTGCTCTGTCGCCCAGGCTGGAGTGCAGTGGTGCGATCTCTGCTCACTGCAACCTCTGTCTCCCAGGTTCAAGTGATTCTTTCACTTCAGCCTCCCGAGTAGCTGGGATTGCAGGTGCCTGCCACCGTGCCTGGTTAATTTTTGTATTTTTAGTAGAGGCGAGGTTTCACCATGTTGGCCAGGCTGGTTTCGAACTCCTGACCTCAGATGATCCACCCACCTCAGCCTCCCAAAGTGCTGGGATTATAGGCATGAGCCAATGCACCCGGCCCACGTTCTTTATTTTTTATACATGGACTCTGTTCCTCACTGGCACTTCATTTTTCAAGTAATTCTTTTGTCTCTTTATAAATACCTGTGTGCACATACATACACACGTGCACACGTTTACACACATGAACCACAGGAAAGGTACTTATATGACTTTTCATTTGAGAATTCATCCTTCAGCCCATTCGTCCACCTGTCTCATGCTCCTAAGCTCCATGAAGAAAGAATCTCTGTCTTAGTCACTGTGGTAATAACCTCTGTGCGTAGCACAGTGCCAGGCCCTCAAAATTATTTGTTAAATGAACAGATGAAACTGTTCAATAGACAGTTGCTGAACATCCACAAGGCACCAGGCTAGGTGCTAATGGGATTGCAGAGACAAATAAAAAACAGCCCTTGACCTTGAATATATTGCCGCCTAGTTGGGGAAACTATCATCAAATAAATCTTTGCCCTTTGGGATATGCAGACAGTCTAGTCCTTTTCTGACCCTCTTTCATGTGTATACACAGACAAACCAAAGGCACACATACAGTCGCATATGTGTGGTTGAAACGCACACATACCCACAGATAAACACCCAAACGCCCTTTGCACACACACCTGCTCTTCTAGGCCCCCCTGTCCAAGATGGATACAAACAGGCTGCAGCATTTTTAGCCCCACCTGGTTTGTTTCCTCTGAGTTCAAAGGAGTTTATTAATTTCAGCCCCTTCATGTGGAACTTGCAAAGCCTCCTGTAGGAGATATCCATGGCAACTGTGGGAACCATCTGAAAAGGAAGATATTAACCTTTTGGAGTCTGCTGTCCACTTTGTATGTCTCCCTTAGCCTATTTAACATATTTCTCAGAATCTCTGAAACAACGAGAAGCAGCTGCACTGGGGAGTGGTCAAGTCTAGGATGGGAGATGCCTCCTTCATGCACCAGGATCTGTTCCCCCTGCAGACTAATGTTCCAAGAGCTAAGGGCCAGCTGGTGTTTGAGCTGGAGGTGGAGAGAGGGGCTGGGACGATGTAGGCCTTGGCTTCAGCTTTGCCTCCAAACTGCAGGTGGAACTTTCTGAAATTGTCAAAAGGTGTCACTGGGGCTGCCTCCAATACGACCTTTTCAGTAAAAGTAAAAAAATGCCCAGTGCCTCCTCTTTGGATCCAGAATGGATTGTTTCTTCAAGCAGGTCAGCTCATTTCCTGACCTTGGGCAATCCACCCCAATTTTCTGATCTCTCTAGTTATTTATTTATGTATTTATTTTTTGAGACGGAGTCTCGCTCTCTCGTCCAGGCTGAGGTGCAGTGGCTCAATCTCAGCTCGCTGCAACCTCCGCCTCTCGGGTTCAAGCGGTTCTCCAGCCTCAACCTACTGAGTAGCTGGGGCTACAGGCGCTTGCCACCACATTTGACTAATTTTTGTATTTTTAGTAGAGACAGGGTTTTACCATGGTGGCCAGGCTGGTCTCGAACTCCTGACTTCAGGTGATCCACCTGCCTCGGCCTTCCACAGTGTTGAGATTACAGGTGTGAGCCACCGCGCCTGGCCTGATCTCATCCATGGGACAAGGAATGCATTTGATAAAGCCCTTGGCAGATGGGAGACCTCTAGGGTGCAGCACAAACTGGGGAGAATGTGGGTTCAAACCCTAAGCCCATTCAAATACTTGCCATGTGTCTCTAACTGAGTTTCTTCTAAGCCTCAGTTCTTCATCAGTAAAATGGGCACAAAAATAAATACTTGACCAACCCATTGAGAAGATTGAAGGAAATCATGCCTGCAAGCAGTTTAGGCTTTGTCTTTGGTATACAGTAGGTGCTCAGAAAATAACAGTTTATTTTTTAATTTTTTTAAATTTTATTTCAATACTTTTTGGGGAACAGGTGGTTTTTTGTTACATGGTTATGTTCTTTAGTGGTGATTTCTGAGATTTTGATGTACCTATCACCCTAGCAGGGTACACTGTACTCAATATGTAGTTTTTGATGCCTCATCACCTTCACCCTTCTCTCTGAATTCCAAAAGTCCATTATATTACTCGTATGCCGCCTTTGCATCCTCATAGCTTAGCTCCCACTTATCAGTGAGAACATATGATACTTGGTTTTCCATTCCTGAGTTACTTCACTTAGAATAATGGCTTCCAAGTCCATCCAAGTTGCTGCAAAGGCCATTATTTCATTGCCTTTTATGGCTGAGTAGTATTCCATGGTGTATGGGTACCAAATTTTCTTTATCCACTGGTTGGTTGATGGGCATCTGAGTTGGTTCCATAATTTTTGCAATTGAGAATTGTGCTTCTGTAGACATGTGTGTGCGTGTGTCTTTTTCATACGACTTCTTTGTCTTTGGGTATATACCCAGTAGTGGGATTGCTAGACTGAATGGTAGATCTACTTTTAGCTCTTTAAGGAATCTCCATACTGTTTTCCATAGTAGCTATGCTAGTTTACATTCCCACCAACAATGTAAAAGAGTTCCCTTTTCACCACATCCATGCCAACATCTATTATTTTTTAGTTTTGATTATTATTATTATTGTTATTTTTTCTTTGAGACAGGTGGGGTCTTGCTCTGTTGCCCAGGCTGGAGTGCGGCGGTGTGATCTCATCTCACTGCAACCTCTGCCTCCTAGGTTCAAGTGATTCTCCTATCTCAGCCCCCTGAGTTGCTGGGACAACAGGCCACCACGCCTGGCTAATTTTTGTATTTTTAGTAGAGACAGGGTTTCACCATGTTAGCCAGGCTGGTCTTGAACTCCTGACTTCAAGTGATCTGCCTGCCTCGGCCTCCTAAAGGGCTGAGATTACAAGTGTGAGCCACTGCGCCCGTCCTCTTTTGATTTTTTAACCACTTTTTTGTTTAACCTTTCCTGCTCTGTTCACTACCTTCCACTCTGTGCCAACTCCAGACACAGATCTGAATGAAGCTGGCCCTTGTGGGGCTCCCAGTCTAGCAGACCACACAGATAAGCAAACAAACACTTACGAGGCAATGAAGGGAGCGGTGAATTCTGCATAAGGAAGGCAGGGGGTCTTCCCAGAAGAGGTGGCATCCACCCAGGATACAGTGACCAATTAGACTAGGAAGGGAATCCACTTCCTGTAGAGCAGTATTCCTCAAGGGGGGCAGTTTTGTCTCCGTGGGACATTTGGAAATGTCTGGAGACACTTTTGGTTGTCACAGCTGTGGACAAGTGCTACTGGCATCTCATTAGCCAGTGATGCTGCTGACATCCTACAGTGCATAGAGCAGCTTCCCGCAACAGAGAATTATTCAGCTCACAATGTGTATAGCACCAAGGTGGAGAAACCTTGCTGTAAACCATCATGATATTCTTTTTTTTGTGGGGGAGAGAGTCTCAGTCCGTCACCCAGGCTGGAGTTCAGTGGTGCAATCTTGGCTCACTGCAACCTCTGCCTCCCGGGTTCAAGCCATTCTCCTGCCTCAGTCCCCTGAGTAGCTGGGATTACAGGCACACGCCATCATGCCTGGCTAATATTTTGTATTTTTAGTAGAGATGGGTTTTTGCCAGGTTGGCCAAGCTGGTCTTGAACTCCTGGCCTCAAGAGATTCACCTGCCACTAACACAGTGAAACCCTGTCTCTACTAAAAATACAAAAAAATTAGCCAGGTGTGGTGGCGGGCACCTGTAGTCCCAGCTACTCTGGAGGCTGAGGCAGGAGAATGGTGTGAACCCAGGAGGCAGAGCTTGCAGTGAGCCGAGGTTGTGCCACGGCCCTCCAACCTGGGCGACAAAGTAAGACTCTGTCTCAAAAAAAAAAAAAAAAAAAAAGAGAGATCCACCCGCCACCTGCCTCAGGCTCCCAAAGTGCTGCGATTACAGGTGTGAGCCACCATGCTGGGCCAGGATCATGATATTCTTCATCATAAAAATGATAATTACTACAGATAATTGAGCACTTACCGTGTGTCAAGCATCACACTGGGCTTTCTGCATGCGTTACCACATTTAGTTCTTACAACCAGTCTGTGGGAGAATTTTCACTGACTCTATTTTAAAGCTAAGGAAACTGAGGCTCACAGAAATTAAGGAACTTGCCCAACACTTCCCAGAATCAGCAGCCAAGTTTGGAATTTAGGTCCCTTAGACTCCAAATCCAATTTCCTTTTTTAAACCTCACCATGCTGTCTCAGATGTCTCCACTGGAGACGTATCTGGGGCTTGCTTTGACCATCCACCGCACATGTGGCATGGAGGGTGAGTCAAACCAGCTTAAAGATTCGCGGACGAGGGGCTACTGCTGCCTTTGAAGGTGCCCTCTTGGGTCTTTCTTCCGGCAGGGAAGGTTCATGTGGTTCAGCCCAGTAACATGGGCACTTCCATGAGTGGAGTGTAGTATAAACAGAAGAGGAGCAGCTAGTCCTTTCCTTCACCTCCCTCACGTCATGATGCAAGTTCTGCTAGTGTTGCTGCTGCTTCTGTTACTATGATTATTACTACATACATATTAATTAATGAACACGCCCTCAGCTATGCCTTTTATTCACTTGATATTATTTAAATCTCTTAGCAACCTAGTGAGGTAGTGATGATCGCTTCTATTTCACATATACAAAACAAAACTGAGGCCCAGAGAAGGGCCAAACACAAGAGGCAGGGCTAGTAATTGAATCTATATTATTCTTAGTGGTTCCAAGCTGGGGAGCAAACTTCTCCCCCAAGGGTGGGATATGATTTGGACATCCAAATATCTGGAGACATGACCAGGCACGGTGACTCATGTCTGTAATCTGAGTACTTTGGGAGGCCTAGGCAAAGATAACTTGAGGTCAGGAGATTGAGACTAGTCAGGCCAACGTGGTGAAACATTTTCTCTACTGAAAAATACAAAAATTAGCCAGGCGTAGTGGTGTGTGCCTGTAATCCCAGCCACTTGGGAGGCTAAGGCAGGAGAATTGCTTGAACCCAGAAGGTGGAGGCTGTAGGGAGCTGAAATCGCACCACTGTACTCCAGCCTGGGTGACAGAGCAAGACTCCATCTCGAACAAACAAAGAGACAAACAAATATTATCTGGAGACTATTTTAGTTGTCACACAGGGGATGGAGCGTGTCATGTGCACTACTAGCATTCAGTGGATAGAGGCCGGGGATGCTGCTAAGCACCCTGGAACGCACAGGACAGGCCTCCCACTGAGTTTCCTAGCCCCAAAAGTCAGTTGTGCTGATATTGAGAATCTGGCTCTACCTCAAAAACCCCAGCCTTCTCAGCATGCAATGGGACTGATGGTTTCTGGATTGTGTTGAGTAAATGTTTATATAAAGTTTCCTAAGGACAGAAAACTCTTTGCATCATGCCAAGATGCACAGAAGAGCAGCATGAAAGTTAAAAATTTGTTTCTGATTCATTTTCGACACCGGGATGACTTTTGTGGCAAAACTATAAGAAAAGGCGGGAACAAGAACATTGTGAATTCATCCGTTTACGCTACGTGACAGTATTTTTTTTTAAGATGGAAATTGGGAAGGCTGGCAGTGAATCCTAGTGAAATATTCATGACCCCCATCTAATTTCTAATTCAATTAAAAGGTGCTAATGTAGTTAACTGTGACAACAATGATTTTTGTTAATGAATATATTTAAATGCTTATCAGCCAAGGTGATAAGGAGTGCCCAAAAGACCCAGCCACAAACTTGAATTTCAAATTGGTTTCGAAGTTTACAGGTTGTTTTCACAAGGTTGGGAACCAAATTCCAAATTTGCAAAATGGATAATTTTAGGAATAGCTATTCAGTTTCAACGGCAGTCTTCCATTTTCTTGAGGATTCAAGACAGGATTCTTTTAAAGTGCAAGTTCTTCAATTGCATTTGAAATAGGATTTGATTTATAAAAATTCAAATTATGGTGACTTTGCAAGAACCCAAGGACAAGAAACTGGGCAAATCCCAAGGTTTGTTGCTGAGCAGAGGACAGAGTTTCTCTGCCCGGGATGTTACAACATTGTTCCAGGAATGGCAGGTTATGTTCTGGAAGCCCCTTTACAGAGGGACTGAATAGCATCTCTTCCTAAAAATTCATTTCGGCCTGTGGGGTGGATGGGTGAACACAGACGATGTGTTGGAGCTGGTATACCAGCTGTCTAGACATAGTCTCTCATCCTTACACTGGCATTTAAGCCCTGTACTTGATATTGCCTAGTTTCTAACACAGCCATCAAAATGTGAAATTACCTATTTTAAATTTTACAGTGTTTGCCTGACTTTTAAAAGATGGATTTCTAGCTTTTGAAAGAAAAATGTCTCTTTCATGTTCTGGATTCCTCCTTGCACTGTTCCAGTAGTAATTAATTATGACAATAATGGGTGTGATGTCATCTTTGTGACCAACAAGTCTGGTTTTAATACTTAGTTCCGACACTCACCAGCTGTATGGTTTGTGGCAAGTTATTTCACTTATCTGAGCCAGTTTTTTACATCTGTGAAGGGAGGATTATATCTTGTATGCTTTTCCAAGTTGTTGGATGGGTTAGAGAGATAATACATATTAAGTGACTTATAACTTCTTGACAAATAAATGCTCACTTAAATGGTGGTGGTAGTGGTGGTAGTAGTAGTAGAAATAATAATTGTTGTGGTGCTTGTCAATCCCACATATTTTAATCTTGAAACACCATATAGAATAGGTGACTGATATGGTTGGGCTCTGTGTCCCTACCCAAATCTCACCTTGAATTGTAATAATCCCCACATGTCAAGGGCAGGGCCAGGTGGAGATAAATGAATTATGGGTGCAGTTTCCCCATACCTTTCTCCTGATAGTGAGTGAGTTATCATGAGATCTGATGATTTTATAAGCGTCTGGCATTTCCCCTGCTAGTACATTCTCTCTTTGCCTGCCACCATCCACGTAAGATACGGCTTGCTCCTCGTTGCCTTCCGCCATGATTGTGAGGTCTCCCCAGCCATGTGGAACTGTAAGTCCATTAAAACCTCTTTTTCTTCCCAGTCTCTGGTATGTGTTTATCAGCAGCATGAAAATGGACTAATACAGTGACATTATTTCTATTTTATTGGTAAGGGGACTGAGACTCAGAGAAGCTTAGCTAACTTGCCCAATGTTGTGCAGTTGGTAAGTAGTGGGATTAGGATTTGAACCCAATTAGTTTGATTCTTAAGAAAATGCTCTGTTCCCATGTCATGTTCCTTCCAGTTACAATTCATATTCTATCTTCCCCAAAATAGTTTAAAATCTCTTTGCACAACTCGCAATGCCTAGCACCTTCAATTCACTTGTAGGTCGTTAATAGACATCATTTAAGAATGACCACTTCCCATCATTGCTTTGAACAAAAATCACTTATTTCCTACATTTTCACAATGATGTAGCCTCTTCAAGATAATGCAGAAAATAGAACAAAAGGTTGTGAAGATGCATTCAGAAGTACTGCCTTTGACGGTGCTTGGAGAAAGGTCTGGGTACTAGTTTCTGCATTTAGACCCACTCTAAACATAGAGACCTCTTGAACAATGCCTGGGATAATTGTTTATAAATCCAACCCTTCTCCTAAGTCAGGACTGGGAATGCTAAGTTATCAGAAAGGTAGGGGTAAGAAAAGAAAAAGAGGGCAAGGACATCAGTGTTTGATTGGTGATGTTTAAACTGAAAAACGAACTGGCAGAGGACTTCTGGCTTATACTCCTGGAAATCCCAGGAGTAGCCAACTCTAGAGCTTTTTCTGGAGATTTCAGGGAAGGGATGGGGAACAGGGAGATGAAGGCTAGAGGGCACAGGGCTTCTTACAGGTGGTAAAAATGTTCTAAAATTGACTGTGGGGATGGTTGCACATGTCTGCAAAAATACTGAAAATATTGAATTGTATACTTTAAATGTGCAATTTGTGTGGTATGTGAAGTATATCTCAATAAAGTTGTTTTTAAACATCTCAACAGGCCAGGTGTGGTGGCTCACGCCTGTAATCCCAGCAGTTTGGGAGGCCGAGGCAGGTGGATCACTTGAGGTCAGGAGTTCAAGATCAGCCTGGCCAACGTGGTGAAACTCCATCTCTACCAAAAATACAAAAAATTAGCTGGGATTGTGGGATGTGCCTGTAATTCCAGCTACTCAGGAGGCTGAGACAGGAGAATCGGTTGAACCCAGGAGGCAGAGGTTGCAGTGAGCCAAAATCTCACCACTGCACTCCAGCCTGGGTGACAGAACGACACTCAAAAAAATAAATATAAAATAAATAAACATCTCAACAACCCACATGAGCAATTCACTGTCCAGGTCATGCTCTCCCTCTCAGTGTCTACCCCTTGCTTTCTCAAAGCCTTTTGTGGTCTCCCTTCCTTATCCTTCCAATCTTAGGCCAATTGATATTATCCATATGGTCCCAGAGTACACAAAATGATAAATATCTTGAAAGCTACAGTCTTTTCATTTTTAGAACATGCGATTTTTCTGCTCACCCTAGTTTGTTTTTGTATATTCCAGATATACATTTGGAGGAAATTGATATACCACCGCCACCACCCAACCACCATCTGTTCTCTTACTTTTAAGCCCACTCTGGGAATCTTTGGAAGTTGGGAGGGGAAAACCACTTCAACATTATGTTGAACTTCCTACTCTGTGTCCTCAAGGGAGACAAAGAATAACACATAGATTGAGGGAGCTCATTTTCTAACAAAATTCAGGTGTTATCACCTGTGATCTGCAGGAAAACGAATTCCCCTCCCTGAGTGTGTTTTCCCATCTATACAAAAGGGTTAATTATGGCCAGGCATGGTGGCTCACACCCGTAATCCCAGCACTTTGGGAGGCCAAGGCAGGTGGATCACAAGGTCAGGAGATCGAGACCATCCTGGCTAACACAGTGAAACCCCGTCTCTACTAAAAATACAAAAATTAGCCAGGTGTGGTGGCGGGTGCCTGTAGTCCCAGCTACTCGGGAGACTGAGGCAAGAGAATGTTGTGAACCCGGGAGGCGGAGCTTGCAGTGAGCCGAGATGGCGCCACTGCACTCCAGCCTGGGCGACAGAGTGAGACTCCGTCTCAAAAAAATAAATAAAATAAAATAAAAAATAAATAAAAAGGAAAAGGGATAATTATAGTACATATTAGGTTTGTTGTGCAAACGAAACAAGACGACTTCTATAAGTCACTTACCCTGACATTAGTACATAGGCACTTGGTGAACTGAAGTGATTTATTATAATTGCTATGGTTACATTTCAATTGATTTGTATGCGTATACCTTGGAAATTCAATCTTTTTGAATATCTTAGGGTGTCTATCCTTGAGAATATCCTAGGAATACCCACCTTCCTGAAGGCTCCCCCTTTATTGAGGCGACTGCCACTTTAGCCTGGCCCAGAATTCAAATAAACAAAGAGTTTGCATGTTACAAAGACCACTATTGGTGGCCAGGAGGGGAGTGTTCTGGAGGCTGGAACTTCACCAGGTCAACCACATCTGTTTAGAATTTGCATAGGCACTGACTATTTGGTATCTAAAAGTTGCTTCTGTAATCCTTTCATCGTTGCATTTCTTTTCCAGTCCTGCTCCTTCTGTAATTTTTTTTTCTACCTTTGCATTTTGATAGTTATTTCTGGGAGAACCAAACCAGAGATCTCAAACCAGGGGTTGGGATGGGGGAAATCACAGATGTGTGTTGTTTGTAGCTGGAAGTGTCTCGATTTTTTAATTAGTCACCAGCACCAAATAAGCGTCAGACTTCACTTGTTATCTGGATTTGTGACTCCTCTGGAAACATAAGGCACACATTTCTGCATGCCAGCAACCAGCTAGAACTGAAAAGCAGTGACCTCCCTTTGAAGGGGATGTGCCTGTTCCGGTTCCCCAGTCTCCATCCTTCTTCCTGACTTATTTATGCTATCTGTCTGGTGTCTGGATGCATGTGAGTTCATAATCCCCAAAGTAAGTCTTTGTGATACCCGGGAATGAAGTTATGGGGTTGCTCATGTTAGAAGAGATATTGAGAGCCCTTACTGGTATCCCTAAAAAGATCACAGTCTATGAGGCCAAGTACAGGAATGAAGGTGTTTTATCGAGGAATACATAGTAACAGGAGCTCTGCCAGGACTGGAAAGCCTGGTTCCAGTCCCCATTGTAGAGTGGCTGAGGGTCGATGATGAAACTTCTAGGACCGGGAAAGTGTACGCCTTCTCTCCAAGTTTAATATGTCATCGTTACATCAAACCCTCTGAGAGATGATGTCAGAGAATTTGCGTTGCTCCCCCTCTCTTCCTTTAAGATGTCAAAAAAAAAAAAAAAAAAAAGGGATAACTCCTTGGCTGCAGCCACTGCTACAGGTTTCACAGCAGGTCTATGAGGGCCTCTCTTCCTCTCCAGTCCAGAAGCACATCAGCTCACATTTTAAAATCTCTAATAGAAGCATAAATGAGGTTTATGAACCATTAACCCTAGGTCAGTTTTCCAAAGTCTAAAAAAGCATTTTGAAACAATTAATTACTTTGCTTCACTGGAAACAGATTGTAGATGAGTGCAACTAGGCAGATGCTCGAGATGAAAGATTTCACTAAGATGGACAATAAGCTCCCACCCCAGAACCTGCTGGGGAAGGGGGAAGCCTATTTCTCATATCCACTGCTCTCCCACCCATTCTGCAATATCATGGTCATTCCTAAGCGGGAACTGTTTGCATTTTCCAAGCCCCTTTCTTCTTATACCTTTGAAGTATAACCTTGATTTTTTTTTTAACTGTTCTTGGGAAAAGGACCTTTTGGAGTAAATGAATTTGTAGGTTAAGAGGAAGATTCTTTTTCTTTTATTATTTTACTTTAAGTTCTGGGATAGATGTGCAAAATGTGAAGGTTTGTTTCATAGGTATACATGTGCCGTGGTGGTTTGCTGCACCTATCAATCCATCATCTAGGTTTTAAGCCCTGCAAGCATTAGGTATTTGTCCTAATGCTCTCCCTCCCCTTGCTCATCACCCCCGCCAACAGGCCCTGGTGTGTGATGTTCCCCTCCCTGTGTCCGTGTGTTCTCACTATTCACCTCCCACTTATGAGTGAGAACATCCGATGTTGGGTTTTCTGTTCCTGTGTTAGTTTGTTGAGAACGATGGTTTCCAGCTTCATCCATGTCCATGCAAAGGACATGAACTCATTCTTTTTTACGGCTGCATAGTATTCCGTGGTGTATATGTGCCACATTTTCTTTATTCAGTCTACCATTGATGGGCATTTGGGTGTTGGTTCAAAGTCTTTGCTACTGTGAATAGTGCTGCAGTAAACATACATGTGCATGTATCTTTATAGTAGAATGATTTATAATCCTTTGGGTATATACCCCAGTAATTGAATTGCTAGGTCAAATGGTATTTCTGGTTCTAGATCCTTGAGGAATCGCCACACTGTCTTCCACAATGGTTGAACTAATTTACACTCCCACCAACAGTGGAAGATTCTTTTAATTTCATTCAGTTCAGTTGAAAATGCCTTTTAAAAAATAGGAGTCCCCCATTCTTTTGTATTAGGAGGAGCTTAGAAAAGATCTGCATAAAAAAACAACTACTGTGCTGAACCTAGGTTATGCCTGGGCTGAGACATTGACTTTTTTTTTTTTTTTTTGAGACAGAGTCTTGCTCTGTTGCCCAGGCTGAAGTACAGTGATACACTCTCGGCTCAGTACAACCTCCACCTCCCAGGTTCAAGCGATTCTCCTGCCTCAGCCTCCTGAGTAGCTGGGATTACAGGCGCATGCCACCACACCTGGCTAATTTTTGTATTTTTAGTAGAGACGGGGTTTTACCATGTTGATCAGGCTGGTCTTGAACTCCGGACTTCGTAATTTACCCGCCTCAGCCTCCCAAAGTGCCGGGCTTACAGGCGTGAGCCACTGTGCCCGGACAACATTGACCTCTTATAATGACTCAGGGTTCTTGGAGCAGGGGACAATGGTCAGAGGCCAGTGTAGGAGACAAGTGACTGCCCTCTTTGTCCAAGCTTTGCCGTTACCATGCTGTAAAGGTCTGTGTGAGTCACTTTTCTCATATGAGTCTCACTTTGTACATCTATAAAACGAATGGATTGGACTGGATCTCAGATTTTCTTTCTCCCCTGACATTCTATGATTATTTATAAAACTAATTCTGTAGACACAAAAGCTTAAGAAATAGGGCTACTCCTTTCAGTTCAAGATGGCTGACTGAGCACATCTTGACAGAGGAAATATAAGAGCAAGAATAAATCAATGGCAATGCTGGAAAATGGAAAATGTCACCATCAGCAAGCCAGAAGTTTTGAGAAATGTGTGAAACAGACAAAATATATGGCATCAGATGAATGGTGATTCCTTAACAGCCTTCAGGAGACCATAACCCCAGACAGATGAAAGAGGAGACAGTTGTAAAACTGAGTTCTTCCAACAGAGCTCTGGAGAAAAATCAAGATTGGAGACAGCAGGCTGGGAGAAGCAATGGTCTGTGGGATGGTCTAAGGGTTATAAATTAGAGAACAACAGAACAATTACACGAATTCCCCATTTGAAAGAGAGGCTGGCTACAGCACCTTGCTCCTAGGTTTTCTGTGAAGTCAGTTTTCTGCATAAAGTTAGGACTGAAGTTTAGGTAGCTGGAGAGGACATGGGTCCCTGCCCCAAGTAACTTGTGCTGAACCCAACTAAGACAGAGCATTCACAATGAGAAGTCAAGTTTCCCTCCCATCATGCAGGGAAGCCCACATGGATGTAGCTCTTCTCCACTCAAGGCAGCTCTAAGAGTGAAAGAGGAAAGAAACATGAAAAGTGGCTTAACAGTTAAAGACAGATTTATTTTGGAGAATAAACCTGAGAGGGGCTTTTGGCCGATTTTGGTTAGGAGCGTGGGGAACGTAAAATGGTGGTGTTTGTCCAAGATGGCGATGCTCCTGCTCTGTCAGCAGCCATTTTCACTACCTGGGGGACAGTGACTGCCTTGCGTTGGAAGGAAAACCATTTTAGCAGCTAATACTAATCAGTCTAGACCAGCACTATACAACAGGTCAGTCTGTGATGATGAAAATGCTGTACAACTCTGAACTGCCCAACACTGCAGTCTCCACCCACATGTGGCTATTGAGCATTTGAAATGTGGCCAGGGCAGTGAAGGAACTGAATTTCAATTTCATTTAACTTTAACTAATTTAAACTGAAATTGAAATAGCCACACATGGCTAGTGACTACCACATGTAGCTAATTAAATAGCTGCCATACTGGACAGAAAAACCTGGAGTAATTCATAAGAATAACTTCATAACCCAAAAAAGAAAACCTTGGAAATTAGAATATAATTGATAACATTAAAAATTAAAATGGGGCCGGGCGCGGTGGCTCACGCCTGTAATCCCAGCACTTTGGGAGGCCGAGGCGGGCGGATCACGAGGTCAGGAGATCGAGACCATCCCGGCTAAAACGGTGAAACCCCGTCTCTACTAAAAATACAAAAAATTAGCCGGGCGTAGTGGCGGGCGCCTGTAGTCCCAGCTACTTGGGAGGCTGAGGCAGGAGAATGGCGTGAACCCGGGAGGCGGAGCTTGCAGTGAGCCGAGATCCCGCCACTGCACTCCAGCCTGGGCGACAGAGCGAGACTCCGTCTCAAAAAAAAAAAAAAAAAAAAAAAATTAAAATGGAAAGGCTGACGGCAGAAGTAAAAATTAAGTAAAAGCACTGAGGTTGGGCACAGTGATGCCTGCCTATAATCCCAGCCCTCTGGGAGGCTGAGGCAGGGGAATCACTTGAGCCCAGGAGTTCAACACCAGCCTGAGCAACAGAGTGAGACCCCCATTTCTACAAAAAATTTTTAAAAAACTAGCTGGGTGTGGTGGCATGCATCAGTAGTCCAAGCTATGCAAGAGGCTGAGGAGGGAGGACTGCTTAAGCCCAGGAGGTAAAGCAAGACCTGTGTCAAAAAAAAAAGAAAAAAAATGAATTGACTTAGTGACTTTGTGATATGGAATATCTAGCTAAAGCATTCTCTCCAATAACATAAAAATTACATTGGAAAAGTTGAGAGATGAGAGATAGGTCCAGGAAACCCAAGGTTCATTAGAATGCTTCTAGACAGACATAATGGAACTAAGAAAAGCCAAAGAAATAATAGGGGGAGCGTACAAATAGTTGCTCACAATGCAGGTGTAAAATCCCAATGCAGTTACTAAATAAGTTAATAAAATAGAAAGGGGATGACATAAAATCAAATAGATAAAGTCCATGCATACCTACAACAAAATATTAATCATACACCAAAATTCTGCAAGATGAAACCTGGGAGATGAATCTCCGAGGAGGGAAGAAATGAAAGACTGCCTTTTTAGTACGTGGGTGAGAGTAGGCTTCAGAATATTGATTTATTTTTGAAATTGCTAAGAAAACAGGATTGGAAACATAATTATGCTTGTAAAAATATACATATAAGTTAAAATACAAAAAAGAGGAAACATTTCTATTTCACCAAAGAAATGAAAGGAAGAAAGAACATTTGACCAATTAGCTAGAATCTAGAAAGGGGAACCCTCAAGAGATGTAGAAGAGCAGACACCATAAATTAAGATGACAGAAAGAAAACTAACACACAGTGATTACAGTAAATATAAATAACTTAATTTCTTCTATTAAAAGACAAACACTATTAGGATTTTTAACAGGGAAATTTAACTATATGTTGCTTAGGAGACCATAGGGAAAAGTCAGAAAGAAAGCTTGAAAGAAAGATATAAATGTTGAATTAGATTGGCAACTATCTTTTCTAAGGAAGAATTTTCTTTGCTTAAAGATAAAATGTCCCACTATTTTTTATTCTTGCTCTATTAAAATACTCTTGTTTTATGAAATGTTAGCCTTAGGTCACTTGCTAAACTATTTTGAAATTTTCACTCTTGTAAAAAATTCTCAAAGTCTAGCCTCAGGGACATTAGGGCTAGAATAATACATCAAGCTCATGTCAGGAATTCCAAAAATAATAAAGCCTAGTAGTCCAGGGTCATAATTACATTTAGCCATTTTTTTCATATTATTCTATATCTTTTTAATATTACAAAATCAAACTTAGCAGTTGGAAGAAATTCAAAGGATTGAATGTTATAAAGAACACATAACTCCTCTCTCTGTCTCACACACACACAGACACACACACACACTGCTACCAATTAACTCTTCAAATATTGAAGTGTGTGGAGAATCAACTCTTCCTACCAAACACTTCAAATATCCTTTTCCCTTTCTGCAAAGACTTCTTGATACATTTGCTCCAATCCATCTGTTTTTCCTGAGGGCCTAGATTCGGGTTGTTCTGCCTGTCTCCTCTGACAAAAATCCATATTTGAAACAATAATTCAGTGCAATACCCTAGAATGCCAAAGCTCAAATATCTGCCTCATCTAATGACTTCATTTCATAGATGAGAAAACCTAAATTTAGAGGAATAAAGAGGCTTGCTCCACGTCACACTGTTAGTTTGTGGCAGGGCTTGGACTTGAACCTAAGTGTAGAGCTCTTTATTTTGTTTGTTTCAGTTGATAGAGAACCAACCCTGAATGGGTCTTAATTCCTATAAATGAAAGTTTGAGGACCAGAACTAGGTTCAGGTGAGGCCTGACCAAGGTGTTCAAACTATGTAATCAGAATGATGTTTCTCTTCATCTGCCAGAATACTTTCCTCTGTGTTGGCTTCATTCTCAGACTCCGTGGGATGGCAAGTTTAATTCTAGATTCAATACAGCTGTGGAGAACCTGTACCTCCGATCCTTTAACCATGACGTGTATTTATATCTCATTGGTTCAACTTGAATCATGTGACCATCCCTGAACCAATCACTATAACCACAGTAGTGCATGCTAGGATGGGTCTGGTTGGAGCCACATGCCCATCCCTAGAATGGGAAATGAATTCAACTCCACCCAAAGGATATGAACGAAGAGTCAGAGAGAAGTGATTACATGAAGGAAAACATGGACACCCTAAACAGGAAAAGGATGAATGTCAGCTAAGTGGCCCAGTCAACTCTCCTTCCTCCTGGTCTGGTAAGTTAACAATGCACAATCATTAACATGTGTTAATTCATCCTTTATTAAAGAAAACAACTGTTACTGAATCTAGTCACCCTATTTCAGGGGCAGGAACAGCCAGGCAAGAGAACTCGGAGTTTGTTGTTGTTGTTGTTTTTGAGCGCTGCCTGAAGGGCAGTAGTGAAGGATCACAACACTTAAGCTATCGTTCATTATTCTGTCATCCTCTAAATCATCCAGATCAGGAAAGGCAGCAGCTGTCTGGAATGACAATCCTTTGATAAATTGAAGCCTCCCAGGTTGCCGAGCACTCACCTTGTTTCAATCATTGATTGTGTAAAATCAATGGAGAATATGGAACCTGAGATAGTAATATTCTCAATTCTATGCACATTCAAAACTGGCTACCAGAGTATTAAATTCAGGCAGCTGCCGATGCCTCTAGCTGCTGCTGATTACAAGATAGTCTTTAACTTGTGCTGGTCCATTAGAGGGCAATAAATCAGAAGGGTAGAGAGAGGTAACCCAAACTCTCTTGAACTTTGGAATGTAGTGGGAAATACCATCAAGATAATATTCTCAGCTCTATATGCTTTCAAAATTGACTTGCCAGAGTATCAATCAAATTCAGACAGCTGCCAGTCCTGCAGATGTTGCTTATGGAATCATGTTTAAGTCTTGATGGTAGACTTTAGGAAGATATGTAAGAATGGTGATGCAAGATATCCCGGCGTCTCTTGGACCTGGGATTGTAGTGGAAGACCTCTATAGTTTGTGACTTCTTAACAGTGATGAGCTGGTTCTTCTGGGGAAAGGAAATACCCTCCCTTTCAAATTCCTTATTTTTTTTTTCCTAATTACAGTCATGTGTCTTTCTTTCGATTTTGTAGCTTGCATTTTCTAAAGTTTTATGTTAATTGATAAATATATAATGGGGTACAATGTGATGTGTCAATACATGTATGCATTGTGGAATGATCAAAAAATACAATCATGTACTTTGAATGAACTTGAAAATTATAGCATCTTGCCTACAGAACATACAGCCCAGGACTGGACAATCTTAAATTTCTGTTCCTCCCTCTCACAGTGATTGGACCCAAGCTAGGCCAATCAGAAACTTATCCTGGAATTTTTATATGGAGAGCTGATAGAAAAAAAAACTCTTTTCTTCTTTCTTTTTTTTTTTCTTTTTTTGAGACTGAGCCTCACTCTATTGCCCAGGCTGGAGTGCAGTGGCACAATCTAGGCTCACTGCAATCTCCACCTCCTGGGTTCAAGCGATTCTCCTGCCTTAGCCTCCTGAGTAGCTGGAATTACAGGCACCTGCCACCATGCCCAGCTAGTTTTTGTATTTTTAGTAGAGACGGGGTTTCACCATGTTGGCCAGGCTGGTGTCAAACTCCTGACCTCAGATGATCTGTCCGCCTCGGTCTCCCGAAGTGCTGGGATTAGAGATGTGAGCCACTGTGCCCGGCCTATCTTTTTTCTTTAAATGTGAGGTTGTAAATATTGGATCCCATGGATAATTATTTGTTGGTGATTGTGGGGTGGGGAAGGAATGGAAGAATAAGACCAAGAGAGAAAGAAAAAGCACAGTGCCAAGCACATAGTTGATACTCAGTACTTTTGCCATGGATATTTTGTAAATGAATAACACATTCTCATTACAGGAAATAATCTGGAAATTACAGGTGGAAAAATGTCATCCATAGTCCCATCATCCAGGCAGCTGCTCTATGGCAATCAAATCTTCTCCCATTATTAATTGAACTTCAACATCAGGCAATAAATCCTGATCAAGAAAAGGGTTTTTAAGGCCAAATTCTTGTACCTAAATAACAGGGCTCTTCTGACAAAGGGAACAAGTCATAGTGAAGTAAATTGCCAATGTGAATTGCCTGAATGGTATTTTACGTAGAGTCCCCAACTATCTCCAAGTTAATCAGGCTTAGTTTTCTGAAGTGACAACCCCTCTAATCCCAACCCCAGCTCCCACCCCTACTCTTACTTCTGCCACCCAGGTGAAAATTTGAGTGTTCTCATTGTTAATGATTGTTGCCTGAAACATGTTGAGACTTTGGAATCTGTGAATTCAAGGCTTTAGTCAGTTAAGGAAAGTCATCTTCTGTTGTATCTCTGATTACTGTTTCTGTAGCATTTCTGGCTCTCTGACATGTTAACATATAGGCATATAAAAAACAAACTCTCTGCATGCACTGCTACAATGGCTAATAATCATTGAAATATGTTTCTCAGGAATAGTTCACATTATAAGATTTTCTGTTCACCATCTACTCTCATCCTTGTCATCTTTTTTGTCTTTTTCTTTTCTTTTTTTTTTTTTTTTTTTTGATACACGGTCTCATTCTCGTCGCACAGCCTAGGGTGCAATGGCTTGATCACACCTCACTGCAGCCTCGACTTCCCAGGCTCAGGTGATTCTCCCACCTCAGCCTCCCTAGGAGCTGAGACTACAGGCCATGCATCACCACGCCTGGCTAATTTTTTGTATTTTTAGTAGAGACATGACTTCTCCATGTTGCCCAGGCTGGTCTTGAACTTCTGGGCCTAAGCGATCTGTGCACCTCAGCCCCTCAAAGTGCTGGATTATAGGCATGAGCCACTGTTTGGGCCTTTTATGTCATTTTGTCAGTTTCTTACAGTTTGTCTCCAACATTTGTGATCTCATTTTTCCACATTGTCAATCCTGGTTGTTGCAACATTAAATGTGTTTTTTAATTTTATTATTGCACATTTAAATTTCCCTATTTTCTAACTACACTCCATTTTTATCACATTCTGTGTTTCAGCTTAACCTAGTCTCTCTCTTGATGTTTTGCTCCTGTTTCATAATGACTGTTTGTCAAATAGTTTTATATATTTGCTTTTCTTTCTATAATAAACCACATTGAGAAAACTCCACTATTTTCTTCCAAGTGTTCATGGTGGCATTTTCTTTTCTGTGTCCTGCAGCAGTTCTTTATGGGCTCATTGTGAATGGCTTTTCTTTTCTTGCACTCGAACATGGAGGCAGTGATCCAAATTTAGTGGTCGCAAACAGAAAGAATGTGTGGATTTTTTATAGATTATTTCTCTCTACTTGGGTGCTGTTGAATCAATTTTCCAGAAAAATGTTTTTTATCTAGCTTGGCTATACTGAAGGTTCTAGCATCATTTACTCCACTAGTTCTTAAACATTACTGTTACTAGAATAGAATCACCTGATATGGGAGATTGGCCAGAGTGGTAGGAAAAACTATAGGGAAAGGATGCAAACCTTCTGAAAGGTCAGAAGATTCTGCAAATCCCCGGGGGAAGAATAGCTAAAGGCAGCTGTTCTATAATCCTGAGACAGAGGGCAAGAAGTAGGTACAACGGAGTGTGGGGGAATTTATCTTAAACAAGCTTGTTTACTTATGTTGACCAGGAACTGACTTTTGATTATTTGTGTGATGTTCCCTGAAAGGGGAACAATAAATATTAATTACCTACAGGTTTTGTGGGCTCCAGGTTTTCGGCATTGTGCCTGCACTGAAAGCAAGTAGCTCCAGCTTCTCAGGGCTGCTCTCTGGCCACTAGAGCCAGGCAGTCACCTAGCTGCTCTTACACTGCATACCTGTGTCTGAGTACTCATTTCATCCATGGGCTGGGTTATGCAGGACAGACTTGGCAACCTGGGAGGTGTTTTAAACTAGAATGCTAGTCTTTATCCCCAGAGTTTCTGATTGACCAGGTCTGGGGTGAGGCCTGAGGATTTACATTGCTAACAAGTTCCCAGGTGATACTAATGCTGCCATTGCAGGGACCATACTTTGAGAGCCACTGTTCTGTTTACATTTCTGACCTTCTGAAAAGTTGAAACAATAAGCATAAGAAGAAAATAGAGTTTGCGGCATGTACTGCTGCAGTGACTCTATCTGGCTGAGAGTGTGGTGTGTGTGTGTGTGTGTGTGTGTGTGTGTGTGTGTGTGTGTAGACACATCTCTTAGGATTAAGAATGCTGCTCCTCTTACCTTCTGGCCAGTACTTTTCTCCAAGTTAGATTATTTGATTGGATGTAAAAGAATGCTATTGATGATAGCAAAGACTTGGAACCAACCCAATGATAGACTGGATAAAGAAAATGTGGCACATATACACCATGGAATACTATGCAGCCATAAAAAAGAATGAGTTCATGTCCTTTACAGGAACATGGATGAAGCTAGAAACCATCATTCTCAGCAAACTAACACAGGAACACGAAACCAAACACCACATGTTCTCACTCATAAGTAGAAGTTGAACAATAAGAACACATGGACACAGGGGAACATCACACACCGGGGCCTGTGGGGGTGGGTGGGGGGGTGGGGGCGTATAGCGGAGGGAGAGCATTAGGCCAAATAACTAATGCATGTGGGGCTTAAAACCTTGATGACAGGTTGATGGGTGCATCAAACCACCATGGCACATGTATACCGATGTAACAAACCTGCATGTTCTGCACAAGTATGCCAGAACTTAAAACAAAAAGAATGCTATTGATGGATGTGGCCTAGACAACACTAAACCAAGTGTCGATTCTGAAGAGTAACAGTTTCTTTCTGCTTGGCAAGTACCTTACATGTCTGAGACAGTGGTAAGGTTGTCGAAGAGATGTGTGCAGGAGATACAAGGGGCTGTAGGGAGAGTGAGTGTCCTACAGTATGTCTAGTGAGACATTTACATGCCCATTTTCAGTTTTATCCATCAGTCTTGTTAGTGGAAGCTTCTCCCTGATTTTGACAGTAGGTTCATACTGAGTCCCTGTGGAGTGGAATAGCCAAACCAGATTTTTCCCTTCTTTAGCTAAAGAAGCTGCCAGCTGCTCTTCATTCTGGTGGGGAAAAGAAGGTCAATTGAGAGCAGCTGTCTATGCTCTTTAATAAGCAGATATAAGCTGAGCAGACCTAGATTTGGAAACTATTATAATGAGGTCTTCGATTTGACATAGAGGCCCTACCTACACACTTCTCTTTGTCTGCAAAGGGGAGAAGGGCACTTTGCATATAGAGGCCAGGGGTTTTCTAAGAAGACGCTAACATTCCCACAATACTTGGTCCCGATTATTTCACTTAAGACGTTCTACTAAGAGGGCTGGAGGGTACCTAACTAAGAGTCAGTGGAAGAGCAGAGTAATGGGATAATCATAATGAAAGTAATTATAAGCATAGAGAGAAACTAGACCAATGGTCTCTTTTTGGCACTGATCCATAAAAACATAGCAAATGGTGGTTCTGGGCGTCTAAGATACATAGACCTTAGGAAGACTTCTCATCTTGTATGTCGGCAGTTAGCTTATGGCAGGAAGCAGCTGTGTGTTAGCTAAGTGCTAAGGTCCAAAGCATCTAAGGTTTCAACCTATGAGAAGGCTTCAAATAGGGCTATCCCCCCGTGGCCTGTTTTTCACCAATGCTACAGTTAGTAGACTCTAAACTAAGCCATTCTGGGGGTGCCCGAGGATCTCTACATTTCTAATTTCTCATACCAGTAGACCAAGAGGTGGCCCAAGTGAAACTAGTCCCAACCCAAGGAAGTTTAAACTTGCATGAAATGGGACTGTGCCCAATCATGACTACTCCAATCTTTCTCATTTTCTAGAATACAAGATAAGGGAAGTTGTATGCGTGTACATAAGTTTGTGTTTTTCTTATTACAGAATATGCCAAGTGTTCAAGTTGTAGTCTATTATTAAAACTTAACAGTTTTTAGTAAACTTTTGTAATCTATAGGGCATGTTCCATAGGGGTTATTGGCTTTCGACTTGAAAACCAATACAGTGTCTGCAAACATGTAAACAAACTTGCCTGTGGGATAACTTTTTGCACTATGGTTAGACTATATTGGGTGGTGTGTGTAAATGGTTAAGTGAGGAAATCAAAACACTTTTAACCTGAAGGACTGGGCTTATTTAGATTTGGAATCCTCCTAATCAGCACACTGTCAAATAATTGTTTTTTTCTAAGAAAAGATTTTTGCCTAGTACCTATGACTTCTAGAGGACCAATGGCTTCTCCTAAGCTAGTATACTTTGGACATCACCTACAAGACCAGCCTCTACTAAGCAACTAACTTCCCTCGCAATGGTCCAGACACTGAAATCGCTCTAAATTGAACCTGGGCTTCTTCATACCAAGAAGGTGGTAATCACATTTTTAGATGCATCAAGAGGAAAGGATTGGGACTTTTGAGAGATACAGATTTGATTTTTGGACTGGCCCACTAATAGCAGCGTGTGAGACCTTGAAACCAGCAACGGTGTTGGAACCATCTCCTCCTACCAGATTGAGGGAGCTGACTATGCATATAACTTCCCAAATCCAAGCTCAGTGATGTCATGGTAGTAGCTTGAAATCAGGCTTTGTATGGGTGCTTTCTCCATAGAAATTGGCAAATGCTACAGAATCTTGGCTTTTTGTTTCAGAGATCCATCTGTTAAAACATTTATTAGGCCACCACTGCCTTGAATATTGTGATATGGGGCCAGACAGGAATTAAGGACTCTGCACTTAAATTTATGTTTTATTCCTCTCTCCTCTCCTTATCTCTTTTTCTTCCTTCCTACCTTCTCCCTCCTTTCCTCTTCTTTCCTTCTTGTGGTAATTTTAATGAGATGCATTACAGGCCTGCAGAAATTAAATTAAAATCTGAAGTCTTTCCCTCTTTAAAGTTTTCCCCCTTGCCATCTTCAGAGACTAAGCCTTCAGAATGATCTTTATTCTATTGTTACTAATGAAGTCAGCTGTAGGGCTAACTGTAAATCTTTTGAAGGTAATTTTTTTCTGACTTCTTTTATGTTCTTCTCTTTGTAGCTAGTATTCTGCCATTTCAGTCTGACATGTCTAGATGAGGGGTTTCATTGTTTGTTTTGCTTTTCTTCCTGCTGGATATTTATTGGGCTCCTTGACTCTGTGTTTACTCTCCTGTAATCATTCTGAAAAATTCTCATAATATCATCATAGGTTTGCTTTTCTTCATTCTTTCTGCCTTCACCTGCTTGAATTCTGATTATAAATACGTTAGAATTCCCTGGTCTGTTTGGGTCGTCTCTCAGCTGCTGCTTCATAATTTCTTTCGACTTGTCTTCCAGTTCCCCTATTCTTCTACATTTGTATCTAATCTGAAGTTAAACCTGCTCATTGACTTTTTTAAACCATTTATATATGTTTTATCTTTAGATTTTTGATTTCTTGTCATCTATTTAATAGTCTTCTGTTTAATGAAGGCTGTCTGAAGCCTGTATTTTATTTCATTAAACGTCATAATTATAGTCCTAAGGCAACACACAGATACAGAAAAACACACAAGTCAATTGTATGGTTTAATGAATTTTTATAAAGTGAACATTACAGCTGGGCACGGTGGTTCTTGCCTGTAATCCCGGCACTTTGCGGGGCCAAGGTGGATGGATCACAAGGTCAAGAGATGGAGGCCATCCTGGCCAACATGGTGAAAACCCATCTCTACTAAAAATACAAAAATTAGCCGGGCATGGTGGTACACACCTGTTAACCCAGCTACTCTGGAGGCTGAGAGAGGAGAATTGCTTGAACCCAGGAGGCAGAGGTTGCAGTGAGCCGAGATCACACCACTGCACTCCCGTCTGGGCAGCAGAGCAAGACTCCATCTTAAAAATAATAACAACAACAAATAAATAAAAATGTAGTTTCAAATTGTTTTTTTTTAATTTAAGGAATATTTTCTTGAAATAGCATTTTTAGGATTTCTTCTGTTCCCTTGCTTTGGTTTTCATCTGCACAAATTCCTGCTATCCCTGTGTTCAGCCTCTGTTGCCTGTTTTCAGTATTTCTTAATCTCTCAGCCTTTTTTCTGTTTCTTTTTAATTTTTACTTTTAAAATTGTAACATATTTATTTATTGGTGGTTGCAAAATGTTGATTGTCTTATTTTCTTTCAATGGCTGTGGTAACAAATTGCCACAAACCTAGCTATTTAAAATGACACAAATTTATTCTTAGAGTTCTATAGGCCCAAGGTCCCAAGTGGGTTCATTGGGCTGAAACTAAGGAGTTCGCTCCCTTAAGAGTCTCCAGGGAAGAATTTGTTTTCTTACCTTTTCCAGAGTTGGGAATTGGATTCCTTGGCTCATAGCCCCTTCACCCATCTTCAAAGGCAGCAATTTAGCATCTTCAGATTTCTCTGTGCTTTCACTACTGTTTTGTCTTTCGTCTCTCTGATTCCCTCCTATAAGGAACCCTGAGATTACATCTTGCCCATCAAGATCACCTCCCTATCTCAGGATTCTTAGTCACACCTGCAAAAACCCTTTTGCTGCCATATAAGATAGCATTCATAGGTCTAGGGATTAATATTTGGACAATTCAGGGGGCTCTTATTCAGCCTAACACGATAATGTTCTGATGCTATGATTTGTGTTTCACTTATCAGTCAAGCACTTTGACAGAGGCCGTTTATTTCGTTTACTATGTGATTACCCAGTATGTTCACATGAAAAATGCAGAATATGTGCTTATTTTTCTTTATTTACCAGTTTTCAATATAATGAATTGGTTTCTTGTCATCCCCAAAAGGTATCAGTTTTTTTGTTGTTGTTTGTTTGTTCTTTTTACAAATTGCATTATGAACTCATAGGCTTCAACATACTGGAATTTTAATTCACTACCCCTTATTATCTTTGTTGAAGTTCAACTTCTCCCATCTTTGCCAATGCAAGCCTGTTTGAGTTTGCTACTGGGCCTTTTCTATGTGACCCTTGTGGTCTTTGACAGCTGTAATCCTATCTGGAATTATACTGTATTCCAGGCTAGTCCTGTATATTTCTGATCCCACACTTGGAATCAGCTATTTCTCCAAGAAGCCCTGGTGTCTTTTAGATGAATGGTATTTCAAGACCATAACTTGGGCACTTAGGGATATTCATTGCTGTTGAGTTGGTTGTTGTCTCTAGAAGTTTTTAAGAAACAAATTATAACATAATATACAAAATATCTCATGGATTCATATTGATATTTCTAATTCTAAGTCAAGATT
The DNA here is from genome assembly GCF_000001405.40 of Homo sapiens. NCBI lineage: Eukaryota > Metazoa > Chordata > Mammalia > Primates > Hominidae > Homo > Homo sapiens. Next base: position 17,704,107 of record NC_000016.10, on the reverse strand, counting down.
TCTGAGGTTTTATTTTAAACCTCATTTCTATTATATCAATAAGTACTCTTCCATTCCAAGAAACTTAGTTTTCAAGGACCTAGAGGATGATAAAATTATAATTCCTCATTTTATCCAATTTTACGTATATAACAGTCCCTGAATAGTAATAATATAATAATAATCATATCATCTCCATTATGATTACTTAAAACACTTAAAATTTTTTGGTGTATGTTCTTCTTATCCCCTTCTTTTTTCAAGTTCATTGAGCTAAAATTTAGGGTAACAGCAAAGTTATCCATTTCAGGTACACAGATCTACGAATTATGACCAACCTATATAGTCTCACTATTCTTTTTTTTTTTTTTTTTTTTTTTTTTTTCTGAGACGGAGTCTCGCTCTGTCGCCCAGGCTGGAGTGCAGTGGCGCAATCTCAGCTCACTGCAAGCTCTGCCTCCCGGGTTCACGCCATTCTCCTGCCTCAGCCTCCTGAGTAGCTGGGACTACAGGCACCTGCCACCACGCCCGGCTAATTCTTTTTTTAATTTATTTTTTATTTTTAGTAGAGATGGGGTTTCACTGTGCTAGCCAGGATGGTCTCGATCTCCTGACCTCATGATCTGCCCGCCTCAGCCTCCCAAAGTGCTGGGATTGCAGGCGTGAGCCACCGTGCCCGGCCTAGTCTCATCATTCTTAATAGCTATACTATATACACATTGCCAGAGCATATAGCCTTTCATAATATTTCCTTCCCCTCTTTGTTTTCATTTTGTCTTAATTCTATTTACCTTAATTGATTTTTATTTGATGCTCATTAGCAATCATTATGTTATTTACCCTTAAGTTATTTTGATTGTCTAAAACTCATTCTACAGTAGATTACTCAGGAAAGGCTTAGAAAAACAGTATTTCTTGAGTTCTTGAGCTGTGATAAGTTTGTCTATGGCTTTTGTACTTGAAAATCAATTTTTGCTGGATATAAAATCCTTGATGCTCTCTTCCTTTGAGTATCTTATATATATTACTCAATTTTCTTCTGGCATAAAGTATGGCTTTCAATGCCTGATACTCATCTAATTTTCTTTCCCTTAAAAGTTACATGTTCTTTTCTGCAAGATGCTGAAAGAATATTTTAAGTCCCATATTATATTAGGATATGTCTAAATATTAATTATTCCAGGTCAACATTCTCATGTTTGCATTGTGTACTTTAAAAATGTAGCTTCAAATAATTTCTTTTTAATTTTAGGAATGTTTTCTTGAAATATCATTTTTAGGGTTTCTTCTGTCCCTTTGCTTTGGTTTTCATGTACACAAATTCCTGCTATCCATCTGTTTGATCTCCATTGCCTATTTTCAATGCTTGTTACTCTCTTTTTTCCCCTCTACATTTCTTTTTAAAATTTATTTTATTTTTAAAAACTATGTTAAAGTATACAAAACATAAAATTTACCCTCACCATTTTTAAGTGTACAATTCAGTAGTATTAAATACATAATGTGCATCCATCACCAGGATCCATCTCCAGGACTTCTTTGATCTTGGAAAAGTGAAACTCTGTACCCATTAAGCAATACTTCATTTCCTACTCCTCTCAGGCCCTGGCAACCTCTATTCTACCTTCTGCCTCTCTGAATTTGACTACTCTAAGTACCTCACGTGAGTCAAGTAATACAATATTTGTTCTTTTGTGATTGGCTTATTTCACTTAACATGATGTCCTCAAGTCTCATCCATGTTGTAGCATGTGTCAGAATTTCATTTTTTTTAAGGCTGAATAATACGTCATTGCATATATACTGTGCTTTTTAAATTATTTATTTATTCATTTATTTATTTTTGAGACAGAGTTTCACTCTTGCCGCCCAGGCCGGAGTGCAATGGCGCCATCTTGGCTCACTGCAGCCTCTGCCTCCCAGGTTCAAGCGATTGTCCTGCCTCAGCCTCCCGAGTAGCTGGGATTACAGGCATGCGCCACCATGCCCGGCTAATTTTTTGTACTTAGTAGAGACAGGGTTTTGCCATGTTGGTCAGGCTGGTCTCGAGCACCTGGCCTCAGGTGATCCACCTGCTTTGGCCTCCCAAAGTGTTGGAATTACAGGCGTGACATGATGGACATGTGGGTTGCTTCTACCTTTTGGCTATTGCAAATGATGCTGCTATAAACATGGGTGTACAAATATCTGTGTTCTTCATTTCTTTTTGTCTTCTTAATATTTCCTCCTCTCCACTCTCTGTTTCTTTAAGGCATTGTTTCTTTGGTTCTTTCTAGTTGGCTACCTTGGGGTTCACTTTTTTCCAAGTCCATCATATTTTGCTTTTATAACTTCCTTCTTTCCCATGTTCTACAGATATCAATACTGTGTGGGTCTTGTATCTGTTAGTGGTCTGTCCCCACCCTCTTGTAATTTGGGGTTCTTGGTTGTTTAGATGTTGGCCACGTGTTTTTAGTTTTTCTATATAACTGCTCTGCTTTCGGGTAGGGGTTGAAAGAGATTGAAACACGAAGTTGCCATTGCTCCCATCTTCCAAGAATCTCCCGTGGTTGTTTCTCTATGTCTCTTATGCTCTGCTCATTGTGCCTTTTGTCCTTGTGTGCTTAAATATTTATTACTATGTGCTGCTTATTTTCCTTGGATTTTTATATGTGGTCATCCCTTGAGGATTGGGGGGAATTCACCTTCTTCTGAGAGCATTTTCCTTTGCCTCTACTGGACACCTGGGGCAGAGTCTGCAAATGTGTTAAACTCGTTCACAACTTAGAGTTTGTTGGACCCTGTGGGTGGCTCATTTTGGGCTGTAACCCCCGTGGTTATGTCTTTTTAGAGAAGGTGTTTTCCTCCTTGCTCTGCTTGTTGTGAAACAAAATTTTCTTATAGACTCTGGGGCTTGGGACCTATGTCTGGTTCATCCTCACACTGATATTATAACCCTTGGGGTCCCATATTTGGTAGAATCTTGCATTTAACTTCCCACTTTGGGAAGGCTTTAGGCTTGGTAATAAGTCACTTGTTCCCCCATGAAGTCTAAGCTCATCAGATTTGGGAAATACTTTCAGGACGAAAGTGGATCAGCACTCTGTTTATCTTTCTGAGTTCCTGCTTTTCCTTAGATTTAGGCCTGATAATTTCTAACTATCAGCACTTTTAGTTGTTTTCAGGGGGATGGTAGGTCATCCATTTGATTAGAAATGGAAGTCCAAATGATCTTTTAATATGTAGGTTTTTGTAGAAATATTGTCCCTCTATGCAGTCATAAGAATGGCTCCTCTTTCTTTCAATTAGATATCAGGCACCAGGCTGGGTGAGGCTGGGAATCTCACCCAGGTTGGTGCCCAGACCTAGTCTGGGCATCCAAGGGCATCTAAGATGGCTCAAGGAAGCCAGATACAGTCCCGGAACCCAGATAAGATCTACATCCATGGCCAGTCATGTTGGAACAGTCCTTCCTTACCTTTCTCTCACACAATATAACCTATATCCTGGCTACAGGAGACTCAGGCTCAATATCTGAGCTGATACTAAATGAATTTTTCTTGGTTGATAAATCTTGGACAGGACAAGGGTTCTGGAAAAGACTGCCTAGGTTTGGATCTTGGCTTCCCTGCTTACAGTATTATGACCTTAGCCATGTAACTTCATCTCTCAAAGTCACTTTTCCTATTTTCAAGGGAGATCTAAAAATAGTACATATCTTATTGGAATGTTTGAAGGATTGTCTGTGATAAAGTATTTAACACAATGCCTGGCACATTTATAATCCCTCAGTAAAAATAGCTATTTTAATATGCTCAAAATGAAGGTGTTGTGGCTTTTTTTTTCTCCAATTGCTTTTTCTTCTGTTGAGCCCTACCCAATCATCCCTCATACCTTCATACCATCTCTTTGGTTTATCACAGTTACTCTTTGCCATAGTAGAAATTTGGAATCAAAGTTTTAAGCGTTGAGATGGGAAAACAATTTGGTACCACGAGGAAAGAGAATTTTCTGAGTGAATGGAGGAGGAAGACTGATGGAGCAATAGAAGCTACAGTACAGGGACCAAGTTCTGTTGCATCCATAAAAATATTGGCGCCAAAAAGAGAGGGAAAAGATAAGGCTGAAATGAGGGGTGGAGGAGAAAGATGGAAGTGGACAAGTCCGGTGCATTTGAGAGATTGAGCCACTGGTTGACTAACGCTGGAGTATTTACTGTGCTATTGATTGCAAGAATTCTGCAGACAGTAGGATTGAGTAGACTTCAGGGAACTGATCCCTGAGTATCTGGGTTTTCAGAGTTCGTGAAATTTGCTTTTGGCTGCTGTCTCTTCTTTTCACTTTACCATCAAGAGACACAGAGCACTTTGGGTAGCGTTGCTGTGATTGTCCTGAACAACACAAGCTTTTCTGAACTTCTCCCACTACATCCCCAACAAAACTCATCTCTCTTGAGATCCGTTCTTCCTGCATTTTCTCTGCCTTGCTAATCTGACAAATATATCCATTCTAAAATATGGTGAGCTGATGGATTCATTTCTTCTCCATCTAGGAACCTTCTAATGAGTTTCCTGGAAAGTTCCTCGTTGCTTTAGCACAAGGATAACATATTGATTCTGTCCAGTATGCCAACTCCAATCTAGTGCTGGTGAAAATGTGGAGAAACTGGATCACTCATATATTGCTGGTGGGATTATAAAATGGCACAGCCACTCTGGAAAACAATTTGACAGTTTCCTAAAAAAGTAAACGTGCCACTACCTTACAACCCAGCAATGGTACACCCGGGCATTTGTCCCAGATAAATGAAAGCAGGTTTGTAGAAAAATCTGTGCACAAATGTTTATTGCACTTTTTTTCTTAATATCCCCATGCTGGAAACAACTCAGATGTCCTTCAGTGGGGGAATGGATGAAATGTGACACAGCTGGCTGGGCACGGTGGCTCACGCCTGTAATCCCAGCACTTCAGGGGGCTGAGGTGGGAGATCACTTAAGGTCAGGAGTTCGAGACCATCCTGGTCAACATGGTGAAAATCCATCTCTGCTTAAAATACAAAAATTAGCTGGATGTGGTGGTATGCACCTGTAATCCCAGCTACTCCGGAAGGCTGAGGCAGGAGAATCACTTGAATGAGGGAGGTGAAGGTTGCAGTGAGCTGAGATCACACTACTGCCACTGTACTCCAGCCTGGGTGACAGAATAAGACCTGTCTCAAAAAAAAAAAAAAAAAAAAAAAAAAAGAAAAAGAAAAGAAAGAAATGTGGCACATCCATATCATGGAATACTACTAAGTGATAAAAGGAACAAACTATTGACGCATGCAACAATCCAAATCAATCTCCAGAGAACTGTGTTCAGAGAAAAAATGCAGTCTCAAAAGGTTACATACCATATGATTTCATTTATATACCATTTTTGAAATGGAAAAGTCATTGAAATGGGGAACAGATGAGTGGCAGCCAGGGGCTAAGGAGGGGATTGGGGTAGGAAGTGTGAGAGGCTCTACAAGCACAATATGAGGGATTCTTGTGATGGAAATGTTCTGTATCTTGACTATATTAATGTCAATTTCCTGGTTGTGCTATTGTGCTGTAGTGCAATACGTTGCCATTAGGGGAAAATGGATAAATGGTACATGGGGTTTCTCTATTATTACTTACAACTTCATGTGAATCTACACTTATCTAAAAATAACAAGTTTAATTTCAAAAAGTGCTAATATCCTTCAAATACCTGATTGGCACAAGGCTAAAGCTATTTCAGCGTTTGCTGTTATTAGTAGTGACAGTATATTAATTTGTTGGCCTTTTAGGTTTCCAGCTTCATGGATGATAGGAGGTGAAATCTCTACCCCTGTGGGTTGAAAGTGAGGCAGTGGTTAGGCGGGTCAGCCCCTGCAGAAGCACCTAGAAGAAGCCTTTCTGACCTCTTGAACTTCCCTGTCTCAGTGTCAGGGAGAGCTCCTTCTTGGCCTCCAGAGGACTTTACACACTGTTACAAACTAATTTTAGCTTTCTCAGAAAGACACAGATCTCTAAGATGCCAGTTCTTCCCAGGAGCTGCTGTTTGAATCCTGCAGCTACAGGATTTACCTAGCTTTGGAGAAACAAGTCTCCTCCCCAGTTCTCTCTGGAGGGATTTAAGCAGAACCTATGGCCTCATTTGCTTCCACCTGCACATGGATGACATCAAGGTTAGACCTGTGATTGGAGGAGAAAGATGTCTCATTCATGTTGCCATGCTTTCCAGATGCCCCACAGTACTTTCTTTCTTGGGAATGTCACTAGGATACTGTATGTCCAGTATCTCTCAGCTTTCTCTCTGGAATATCAGTATGGCGCCACATCCCAGAACCCTCCATTGCCCTCCCTCTGGAATGCCATTAGAATATTCCCAGGTTTCCCTTTGGCCCTCTGTCTGAAGGCCCTCGTGCCTCAGTGATGTTTGCATTTGGGCTAGTGGTTATCAGCGAGGGATGATGCCATCCCCTAGGGGGTGGGATGTTTGAAAACAGTCCCAGACTATTCACAATTGCAAAGACATAGAATCAACCCAAATGCCCATCAGTGATAGACTGGATAAAGAAAATGTGGTACATATACACCGTGGAATACTATGCAGCCATAAAAAGGAATGAGATCATGTCCTTTGCAGGGACTTGGATGGAGCCGGAAGCCATCATCCTCAGCAAACTAACGCAGGAACAGAAAACCAAACACTGCATGTTCTCACTCATAAATGGGAGCTGGACAATGAGAACACATGGAAACAGGGAGGGGAACAACACACACTGGGGCCTGCCGTGGGGCAGGGAGGGAGAGCATCACGATAAATAGCTAATATATGTGGGGCTTAATATCTAGGTGATGGGTTGATAGATGCAGCAAAACACGATGGCACATGTTTACCTATGTAATAAGCCTGCACATCCTGTACATGTGTCCCAGAACTTAAAAAGAAAACAGTGCCAGATATTCGGTTGTCAACATGAAAAGCCACTGCCTCTGCCACAGTGTGTCTGGCACATGGAAAACAGTATTTTCCTTCTCCTGCTCCTTGGCATTCCTGCATGGAGTGTTTTCCTCTAGCTTTTATCTTCATTGTAACCACACTACAACATGATTTAAAAAGCCATGAAGTCTAAACATGCATGACGGAATGTAGTGTTGACATCAAGAAAAACTTCTAACGAAGGTGATCCAGCCCCTATTTAATGATAAGCATCATTGTTGCCATGCTTCAGGGTAATTAGGCACACATTGCATATGCTGCATGCTCTTCACATAAATGAAAGCAATTACTCTCTCCAAACACCAGGCTAAGTACTCCTAGAGTTAAGGGAATGCCGGCTGGGAAGAAGAAATTGGGACTCAACAAAGCCTCCATTCTTGCTGGAGGAAGGCATTTCCCTTCCTGGTCTCCATCTGGGTCTGATTCTCACATTCCTTAAACTCATACCAGAACTAATACCAACACAGGGGACTCAACTGTTAACTGTCCTATATATCCTACACTTATACTTGCCTTAAGAACCATCTTAAAATTCAGATTCTTACCCAGTTTAGCCTGGCCTATCTCCAAAATTAGCAAGATTTTATTCTGGTAACGGAAAATTGCTCACATGTGTGGGTTTCCAGCTATAAGTATTTCCCACATTCAGCCCCAGGAACTTGCTCTTCTTCTAAAGTGGTTGGAAAGGACAGTTTAAGCAGATACGAATTCACTCCCACAAGACACTGAAAGGTAGTTTGTCTCTGGAGCTGGAGAGATTTGGGTTCATCTTTTAGCTCTGTTACCTAACACTTCTGTAATTTGAACATGTAACTTACCTCCAAGGCCATTAACTCTCAAATGTGGACATACTCATCTCGCTAAGTTTGTTTTGAAGTTTAAAATCATACATATTCAGCTCTTGGTACCTATTAGACACTTGGTAGCTATGAACTATGATGATCACAATTCAGACAGAAGTAGAGAGATGACAGCCAAAGCTCCATGATCATTGCTGACATGTGTAAACTTGATGTCTGCTGGGGTTACCTTATCCCTTGAAATTTAAGTGAAATTGACTCTACCTTTACTCCATATATGGTGGGAGAGCCAGAGTCTCTTCCCATCCCTCAAGGACTCTCAGCAGTATGGTGCAGAGCAGCTTCTATGAATTAGGCTTCTCGGATCACTCTGCATTTGTGTTTCTCCTTTTGTGAATTAGATCAGTTTTGGGGTCACTTGGCTGTTTTGCAAGCACTGGCCTGAGTCAAGGTTATATTTGTCAGATTGGTGGTAAAGCTTTAAGGCAACAGAAGAGATTTGTGTGATAACCTCCCTAAAACCTAAACTGGAATATTAGACATCCTTGTCAAAAAAAAAAAAAAAAAGCCCTCTGACCACCTTGCCATCAGGAACTTATCACTCTACAGGTGCCATCTTCCCGTTACTTAGTTCCCTTTTCGTTTCTCATTCCTCTCCTCTTATCTCAGCCTAACCATCCTCCACCTGCCTCCTACCAAATTCCTGTTAACCAGAGAGAGACTCTACCTATAAAGCCATCTTCTTCCATGAGGGGTCTTTCTGCACATAAAGTAGCCCATCAAAGCATTTTCCTATCAAGCTTGGTTCCTAAGAGGGTCTTTGATGCCAATCTGTTGAAATAACATTTTTATTCCACAATATGTAGAAATTCAGAAGCACAAAAATCTTAGGACTCTGGATCAGGGTTGCCATATATGGTTTTGCAGGTCGTGCACTGAACAAGGATGTCTGGCCAAGAAGGTAAGTAGTGGCCCAAAAGGTAGCTGGTTCTCTACTCCCCAAGCCATGTACCCTTTGATATTAGGTACATCCAGAAGGGTAGTTTTTCCTGTGTTAGCCACTGAGATGGGAATAGCTTTTTCTAATTTTCTACTAGGCGGTGGGGGAGTGGTAATGGTGGTACTTTCTTCTAATTTATCTGTCCAGAGGAAGCACAGTTTTCTAATTCTCACAAAGGTGTTGTATGTGCTAACAGTGGCCTTTTTTTGCTGGAAGTCAGTGCGTTTGCAATGAAACTGGGTATATCAAAGCTCTGAGTTGAAGCAACACAGTGTCAGTAACTGAGTGCGAGCAGCAGTGAGGCTGTGTCATTTTCAGGGAAAGACATCTGCCGTTTCCCTGGAGCTGTCATTGGGAGGTATCATTTGCATATTAAACAAATATTTAAGATTAGTCATGCAGCAAACAATCAAAAGTGACATCACAAACATCACTCCCTCAAACAACAGCGGAGACGAAAATGTCCCTCTAGGTGTGCTCATCTGGATGGCAATGGTGTGATTTGAGCCGGAATCAGTTTCTTTGACAGGTGGACTTTTCAGGTAAGAAAGAAAAAATTAGAAAACAGTAGAATAGGATAGGGACTTTATATCCCCAATCTCAGAAAGCTATTTTGAGGGCTAAATACTTTTAGAATAGTGGCTGGCCACTGTAAAAGCTCAATAATATTAGCTGCAACTATTATTCCCAGGATGACAGCCGAAATATTTACAAACTGACCCATCAGAATAGACAACACCTATACACAATCGGGTTTTCTGACCCTATTTTTCTCCCTTGATCAAAACGTATTATTGAAATAATAGCCTAATGTCTTTTGAGCAGTTTAAAGAGCTTTACACATTTTATTATATCGTATTATTTATTGTGAGTCCTTTATCCAGTAGGGAATACCATTACACCCACCTTACTGAGAAAACTGAGGCAAAAAATGTAAAGTAAGTTGGCTAAAGGTCACATTGCACGTGGTAGAACTCAGACGAGAGCTCATGTCTTTGACCACTGTGCTATACTGTTTCTTTCTTTCTTTCTAGGCATGGTGTAAGAAGATACTCATCTTCTTTGATTTCACAGGAAAGCCCTTTTTATTTTTTCTTTTTCTTTTTTTTTTTTTTTGAGATGAAGTTTTGCTCTTGTCACCCAGGCTGCAGTGCAGTGGTGCGATCTTGGCTCACTGCAACCTCTGCCTCCCGGGTTCAAGCGATTTTCCAGCCTCAGCCTCCTGAGTAGCTGGGATTACGGGTGCCCACTGCCACACTCAACTAAATTTTTTGTATTTTTAGTAGAGACAGGGTTTTGCCATGTTGGCCAGGATGGTCTCGAACTCCTGGCCTGGAAAGCCCTTTTGATGATGTAGTCATTGTACCTGGATAAGTAACATTTTTTAACCACTTTATGTTCTTTTCCTATTTTTCACTTGTTCCACCATTGTCATAGGATTTTTATAGTTGGGAAAAGAGTGATAAATAAATAAAATGTTAGTAAAATTTAAAGAAGAAAATAAATGAAAGCCTTCTACCCAACCCATGGGACTATTGATTTATGTCATTAATTAGAATGCTCTCTTAGGCATGAACACTGCATATCCATTAGCTCATTTCTTCTTCACGGTGTGCCAGGAGGGAAGGGGGTTCATGTCTGTATTTAAATGAGGTTAAACATCCCCCACGGGAGTGGATGCAAGATGCAGGGAGCGTACTGACGAGCAGACTCGGTGCTAGAGCCCCTGGTCCTCCAGAGCCTCCATCATTCATGCTCTCTGTGTTTAGAAGAACCTGCCTGTGTTGACAGAGCAGCAGCACCCCGCTTTTGTGATATGAGGTGACTGTTTATTTTTTCTCCAACTGCAGCAATATTTATTTTTAATTAGTGAATATAAGAATGATGTCGGGTGCTTGTTTAAAATGTAAATTCTCGCCTTGAGAAATATTGACTTATTTGAAATAGGGTGGGTCCCAGGAGTCTTGCTTCCTATAATGCATCTTAGAAAGTTCAGTTAGAGTTTTCCTTTTGGTTTGTTTTGGATGAGGAATGGGGAGATACAGACTTACTATCTTTTCTATGTCAGGTCTGGGCTAAGCATTTCAGAAATATTTTCTCAAATAATCCTCACAAACGTCATCATTACAACCATCTTACAGATGAGTAAAGTGAGCCTCAAAGATTAAGCCAGCGTCAGAGCCAGAGTACTGACCCAGACCTGCCAAACTGCAAAGCCTACCCTCTTGCCCGGCATGTTAACAGTCATTTCCAAGTTGAAGTCACTGAAGACTTTTGCTAATGTACCTATTCCCAGACTCAGCCTAAAATCATCAAATTTGAATCTGAATGGAGGACATAGAATCTGATTTTTTATCAGGTGACCCAGGTGGCATCAGATGCACAGACAGGCTTACTCCCAATGCTTCGGTTCCAGAAGGGCTGTTGCTCAGCTGGTGAGCACTAACACAGTCATCTAACTTAGTTACAGATTGAAATACCTCCATTCTGATTGGTAAATACCTGCTCTCCCATCTCTCTAGTGCCCCCTTCACCTCCTGTATCATCCCAGCCATTCACCGAAGATTTTCCGGTATCTTGCACATAGAATGCTGTTGCCTGGGTCACTGAGTCTGCAGGGGTCTGCTCCAGTGCTGGAAGCCATTGTTTGTTCTGATTTGTGGGTGTGATGACATACATGTTGCCGAGGATTTGAAATAGCACACTGGGTATGGGTGCATCTTCCTCATTAGATTGTCCACCCTAGACAACAGGAAACATGACTTATGTGTCTTTGCAGTGCAATTGAGGCCCTAGACAGAGTTAAATGTTCATTAAATTTAGGGTTTTTTTTTTCTTTTTTTTGCACGATGACTGTCATTTTTCTTCTCACTGCATTGTAATGCGGGCCTGCATAGAAGGGGCTATGGCGGAGGATGGGGGTGGCGTGGGGAGAATGAGGGGAATAGGACCCAGAGCTGATTCCTGGAGGCTGCATATCAGGGTGGACCTGGGACATTCAGGACAGAATAAGGTCTCCCTCTAAACTTTCAGGGATACTGGAAGATGAAAAAGCAGCGAAAAAGGCTGAAAGAGAAAATGGGGTACTTGGCAGACAACAGATCCTCAAAGAGACATTTGCTCAGTGTTAGGTGAGTGAACATAATGAGAGAATTGCAATTGGGCACATTTTTCATATAATCTACAGAGAAGAAAGGGACCTGTGGGTAGAAGTATGTCAGTTTCAATTCCACTGTAGCCTGAGCAGGTGGAAAAGACATCAGATTCTCAGGAAGGAACCCATTAAGCCAAACAAACGTCACAGTAGCCAAACATTATTGGCTCCCTGACTTCCACAGATAACTTTGGAGATGGTTATTTCCTTAGCTGAGGAATCATGGCCAGATATTTTCAATGTAAATGAGTTTTGCAACCTCTAACATGTTTGAGGAAAAGAAATATTTTGACATTCCATTCCAATAATAGATAATGCAGAATAATCTCTTGGGTAAATCAGCAATGTGGAACAATTTGCTTTGTCATCAAAAAGCTGTTTTTTCTCTCCCAACCCTTGCCTTTTGTTTCAGAATATGATCTCCCATACTACTCTTGGCGCTTCACAAACATACTAAGAAATTTAGGATAATATACTGTACATGCATTTGTAGCAGAGAGTTGTGTTTCTGCCCTGCTGGCATGTCCACCGACTTCCTTGGCACCAGTCAGGTTCACTGATCAGAATGTTGCAGTGGAATCTGAGGATGCCTATCTAATTAACCCCTGATTATGGCAAAATGAGGTTTATAATAGAGGAGAGTGTGCCAAGACTACATTTGGGAGACATGGAGGAAAAATGAAAAGTAAAACTGTAACCAAGCCAACTCAGAGCATGAGAAAGAAATCAGGACAGAATGCAAGCGGACGACCAGACGACTCCCCGCAGCTCAGGGCCAGGATTTCCAAGTTGAGGTCAACTTTGAAAATAAATTCTCCAACCTGGCCATCCCCTGCAAACTCCTAGCCATCCAAGAGCTTCCTGGCAGGAAAATGAATGCAGTGTCAGTTCTTTCCTGGAGGGATGATTCCCAAGGCAACTGTGGGGAGTCGGGGAAGTCCCTGGTCCCAAGGAAAAGCAACAGTGGTAGAGACAGGGAGTTGAAGCCCCACATCTCTGCTTCTTCCCTTACTGTTTCCACTCCCCAGTGGAAAAACTAAAAGGTATGAACCATTCTGGCAGGGAAGGTTTTCCATTCTTTGTTGCAAAAATGAGCTGGTTTCATGTCCTTTCCACAGCAGTGGCCTGTTGCTTGAGAATGAAGTCACAGGGCTTGCGGATGTCTTTGAAACAACATGAAGAGATTTCTTAACACAGAGAGCCACTCCTAAGTGCCCAGAGAAACTAATGTCAGGGAGATATTAACTAAAAAAAAAAAAACAAAAAAAAAAACAAAAAACCACAGAACCCTCTATTGTTTTATTCCCAGTTCCCCAAAATACCATGGTTTTCTATCTTGAAATGAGCAGAGAATTTGTTGTTTGGAAGATCTGGGTTTAAATCCCAGCTCCATCCCTCCTTGGTGAGTGATGCTGGGCAAATCTCTGACTTTATCTGAGTCTCAGCTGTGAAATGGGGGCGGCTATTTCTGATCAGTGCTGCTCCAGAGGTCTCAGATCAGAAGAGAGAATGGGCTTCTCCCCAGTTGTACCTTATACTTTATCATCTGCCCATGAAATAGCTCTGAAAATATCCAGAGCTCAAAAATCCCCTAAGACAAGGTAGTTTGTACACTTGTAGCACATGCAAGAAATGTGCACTCTAAGAAGGAGAAGGTAGACATCAAGCGGTCCCATCCATGGTCAAAGAATTTCTCCTGCTGGCATTTTATCTAGCAACACATCTGCCCCCCGTTATTCCTTGATTCTAAAACAAAAGCCTCCATGTTTATCAATAAATGCACACAATTCCTGAAGGGAAAAGAGAAAAAGTTACAACATCCTGTGTCTGACAGCAGTTGGCCCAGGTGTCCTGACACTTTATCATCATCATGGTCATCATCATAATTATTTATTATTAATGTTTTGATTTAAAAAATATGCCTCCACCTTGCTGTTGGCTAAAAACTGTTGCAAACTTTCAGAGCAAAGAAACGTGTTGATCTTCACAAATAGTTCCATTCTTCAACGAACACAGAATGAACATGAACATATTTTATATTTTCACAGTGAATTTTATAAGAGAAGTCACCAGACCAATACAGCATCATGCTGATTAAATGAGAGAGTCTAAAATAGTGGTTTTTACACCTGGCTACATATTAGAAACAACTGGAGAGCTTAACAAAAATTTAAAAAAGTCCAGGCACTTCCTCTACCTTGAGATCCTGATTTAATTAGTCTGGGGAGGGCCCCAGGCATCTGTGATATTACAGCTTCTAAGATGATTCTAACATCCAGACAGGGTTGAGAGTTACTGCTCTAAAACAGTATCTGGTGGGGTTTTTTTTTTTTTTAAGGTGTCAGATGTTGACATTTATTATATGTAAAGCTCTGATATCCAGCAAAAGCTAACTATAATGTCCTGAGCCCCAAGGAATATTGGGTATAATTTCAGATTCAGACAGCCCGACATAGGTAGTAAAGATCATTTAACTGAGAAAGTTGTGCATGCAGATTTGCTGAGATAATCTGGGTGAATTAGCTCAGCAAATCTGCATTCACAACTTCCTGACATAAATGATGGGCCATCTAACTTTGTTCATGGCTGCATTCTCTGGTGGCCAAGAAAAGACTAGAAAGGCTCCTTCAAGAAGCAAGAGGTGAAATTGACAAGGAAACACAATCCTTCTGAATCACTGCATGCTTCCTTTAAAACTTGACCCTGACATAGCCCAACAGAACACAAATTTAATCATCTCTTGGGCTGGCTATGTTAGATCCACAGTAAGGCGATCTGAGGATCCTTCCAGAAAAGGAAGAAACCTAAGTCTCAATCTATAACCTCTACCATTGCATCTTTACTAGTTTATAACTGGCCTGAACACAATTTCAATTGAATCTTGAGTGATTCTTCCCACTGAGCTACCTTAGAAATAGCCATGGCCCATCTAGTGATGTCCATCAAGACCTGGGAAAAGCATCCCCGCCTCCCCCTATTCTCCTCTGCCATTCTCTCATATACCTCATCACCTTGATGGGTACTTCCCCAGTCTCCTTCTCCAATGCCAAGGACACTGCCTCACACCTTGCTTCCTTCTTTAGGGTAGACCCTTATATCACTGTAAAACAAACTCTGTTTTTCTTTTGGGTCTGTATGATATGGTTTGAATGTGTGTCCCCCCTAAATTTCATGTGGAGATGAGACCTCCAGTGTTGGAGGTGGGGCCTCATGGGAGGTATTGGGTCATGGGGGTGGATCCCTCATGAATGGGTTGGTGCCATCCTTGCAGTAATGAGTGAGTTCTTGCCCTGTTAGTTCATATGGGAGCTGGTTGTTTAAGAGCCTGGAGGCTTCTCCTTTCTCCCTTGCTCCCTCCCTTGCTATGTGACCCACCTGCTCCCTCTTCCCTTCCACTATGAGTAAAAGCTTCCTGTCACCTCACTAGAAGCAGATGCTGGTGTCATACTTGTATAGTCTGTGGACCTGTGAGTCAAATAAACCTCTTGTCTTTATTAATTACCCAGGCTCAGGCTGGATGCAGTAGCTCACGCCTGTAATCCCAGCACTTTGGGAGGCCGGGGTGGGCAGATCACTTGAGGTCAGGAGTTTGAGACCAGCCTGGCCATGACAGCGAAACCCCGTCTCTACTAAAAGTAGAAAAATTAGCCAGGTATGGTGGTGCATACCTGCAGTCTCAGCTCCTTGGGAGACTGAAGCAGGAGAATCACTTGAACCTGGGAGGCGGAGTTTACAGTAAGACGAGATTGTGCCACTGCACTCCAGCCTGGGTGACAGAGCGACTCTGTCTCAAAAATGAATAAATTAATTAAATTAAATACATTACCCAGTCTCAGACATTCCTTTATAGCAATTCAAAATGGACTAATGCACTAGAGTAGATTTAGTTGTTAGTCTTAATTACTTCCTCTCCTAGGATAGTATCAGGACTAAATCTACCTTCCTTGCCATATCCTCATATATGGCACACAGTGTCCGATGTCTTTGAGGTTGGCCATATGAGTTGGTTTTGGTCAACCAAACTCATATGGTTTGGTTGGTTGAAATACACTAGTATAAACTTGCTTTTGTCAATGCTGTTATATAAGCCTGCCCTGGCTTTCCTGCTGGTCCGAAGAGGATGAGAGATATGTAGAATGGATCTGAACCCAGTTTGCTGCTTCAAGCAGAGCATAGCCTAGATGTGCTGAACCCCAGCTGGCCCACAAATCTGTGAACAAGAAATGAATGTTTGTGGTTGGATGCTACTGAGTCTTGGCATGGTTTCTTACCTAGCATTACTATGACAATGATTATCTAGTACAGTACCCCTCTATCTAAGTGCATAGCCTTTAACCATCAGACTTTTCTTTATTTGATACATTAAAAAAATCATCCTTTGGTGCCCTCTCATTGTTTAGTCTCCATTCTGAGCTGGTATCTTCAGCCCTTCCGCTCCATTGGCTGACATGTCCACATCTTCTTGCTGTCTGATCCTTGACTGTTGATAGCCTTATCTTGCTCTGTGGAAATGGTGCTCTTGGCTGCCTCTCTGATTCTAACTCCAGTCCTCTTCAAGCATGAATTGTATTTGGTCTGTTGTCTGCTTTGCTGGCATGAGTTAGGCATCTTTTGTGAATACTGTGACTCTACAACTCTCAGAGCCCCAAAGGCAGATCCTGACCTGGACTCACCAGTTCCTATGAATGGATCCAAATTCATTTCCATTTTCCCAACTTTGTCTTAAGCACACAGTGGAGAAGCAGTACAACCTACTGGTTAGAGCACAGACTCAGGAACCAAGGTGTATGAAGTTAAGCTAGCATTTCCATTTCATCACCTGTAAACTGGGTATGGAAATGAGGATTAATTCATGGAGATCACTTAACACAGCCTGGCACGTAGCAAGAACTATGAAAGTTTTTGCTATTAGCATCATCATCATCACACTACACCTCCCTCAAACTGCTGCATTCTACATCCAGTTCTCTCAATATCCTACCCTGTGACCGCATAAAACACATGGATATTCAACCAAGAATTCTTGTTTAAGCAAATCATTGAAAAAATAATTTTCCCTGAAATGTAAATGGTGGCTTCATGCTTCAGTGCCACACTTCTCAATCTAAAGTATGCACATCCCTATAGTATATATATATATATATGTGTGTGTAATCCTGTGCTAGCAAGTTGTAGGAAGCCATGGAACAAATATGGTGCAAAGTTCTAGAATGTTCATTTTGCTTGGCAATAAGTTATTAGAAACACTACTTTTGTCTAGTGGGGTTAAAAATGTTTTACTTTATTAGTTTGAGGAGAATCTCTCTTAGGGAAGAAATTACCTATCTTTTACCGAAAGGCTTGATTAGCCTTGGAATGGAAAGTAAGGCCCCTGAGCTTAAGAGTCAAGACAAATATAAAAGTTAAGGATCTTTTTGGTTCCAAGTGATTGAAAACCCAACTCAAATGGGCCTTAAAAACAAAGGAGATTTATTCATACTTGTACCTAAACCCCAGGAAGATCTGGTCAGGTAAAGCTTCATCTAGTAGCTCAAGTGATTTTACCATGGACCTAGGTTGTTCTCTATTCTGTTTATGTTCTATGGATTTGGCCTCATTCTTGGGTTCTGGTGGTTTCTTTCCCTTCAGCTCTTAGCTCTCTTCCTGTGATAATAAAATGGATAAAGTTGTTCCTATCTTATAATACATTGTCCAGAGAAAACTCATAGCTCTCTTTTAATATTTTCAACTACAATTTTGAGATTTCCTCTCTCTCATTGGCCCAAATTGGGTCATGTGCTCAACTCCGCACCAATCACTGTGGCCAGAGAGCTGGAACCCACTGATTGGCTTAAGCTTGCAGAGTCAATTCCTGTAACTGGAGAATGGAGTTAAATCTACCCAAACAATAGGACTGGGAATGGAAGAGGGATGTAACCACCAATGAAAGATCCGCATGCTCTTGATGGGAGAAAAGGACATGGAGGTTTGGGTGGGAACCTGCAATTATCTAGTAATCCAATGAAAGAGATGACTAAACAGCTTGCAGAAGATGAAGGGAATTAGTTTTTGCACCTGATGAGAAGAACAATTACCACCAATGAGGTGTGAAAGCATGTATATATATCAAAGGACATTTACTATTCAATATGTTTATGTTGGTGTAATATAAACTCTTGTGGGAGACTGGTAAATGCTTAACAACTAGGTCTCTGGGGAAACATACTTAAGTTTCTTAGAAACTTTACTGACCTAAAGAATATGTAACAAACAGTTTATAATAATAAATTTTACAGTATTCTTTGTCATATAGCCAGCTGATACTTACAGAACACTTTCTTGGTTTTTGCAGAATTCTTATATGTATAACTGATCTAAGATTGCAATTCAACCATCACTTGATAAAATCAGGCTACAAATCTTGAATGCAAGTGTAGTTTCAACATGAATGTTGGTTAATGTTATATATTAATGAATAAGATACAAGGGAAACAAAGAAAACATATATTAGAACTTCACTCATTTGTCAATGATGTGAATGACTTCTTTGCTGAATCAGCAAAAAGTTTTTAAATGCTGAAAAAATGTCTTCAGTTTTTATACTATTGACAATGCAGTGGCTATAGACATGACACATTTAAGCTTATGGACATTATTAACATATTATCCATTAATTTTTAGGTCCAGGCAATCAGCAGAGCAATAAATCAAGCCTAGATTTGTAGCATTTGCCAATTTCTGTGATGTAAATACTCTTGCTATGGCCAATCTCAGGTTACCCATGTATAATCACTAAACACAGAATTGGGTAGAGATGGGCAATAGCAACACATTTAATTGTATTTCTACTACACAAATACAGTAGATACAAATAACTTCAAGGGCATAGGTAAGAATAAAATGTAGTAAAACAGCTAGTAAGTGATGAGCTTCTAATACTTACTACCTTTATTAATTGTACAACTTAATTACAACCTTATATAATATTTAATCATGGTTTTGCTTAACAACTGGATTGCAAAATTCCTAAAAATTTAATGGCTGGCTCTCATGGCCCTGTATTAGCCAGATCCAGCACATCACTGCCCCTCACCCATGCATTTCTCCCCAAAATACTCTTTATGAGAGTGTACTGTATAAAACAATACCTTATGAGAATGGATTTTAGTGGAAATCAAATGCAGGCTCACTTTATGTGCATGAAAAATTAGAGATGATACCCATGAAATGGTGAAAGGATCTAGAAATAGAACAAACAAATAGTTCTGCATGGCTGGGAAGGCCTCAGGAAACTTATAATCTTGGCAGAAGGGGAAGCAAACGTATCCTTCTTCACATGGTGACAGGAGAGTGAAGTGTCGAGCAAAGGGAGAAAAGCCCCTTGTAAAAACCATCAAATCTCATGAGAACGCACTATCATGAGAACAGCATGGGAGTTACTGCCCCTATGATTCAATTACCTCCCACCAGGTCCCTCCCGTGACACGTGGGGTTTATGGAAACTGTAATTCAAGATGAGATTTGGGTGGGGACACAGCCAAACCATATCAGGATATAAGTACTCACACGTTCAACCCCACCAGGGATTTGTAGAAATCTTGGGAAAGACTGTATGTGTCCTCTGACTATAGCGTGGGCTGTTCTAGGCAATGTAACAGATACACACATACACACAATTGTACATACACATATATACACACAGATATATATGTATGAATATGTATAAGAGTATCTGTATATGCGTGTATATACATCTATTTGTATATATGTCACCGTTAGAATGGAATCCAAAATTATATCAATTTTTAAGACCAACAAAAAGATTCCAGAGAAATTCCCCTTTAGGAAGCCACCTTGGCTAAAATCTCCAGTTTCTTGGGAGTATGTCTCCTTCTCTGCTATTTGGAATACCTAGTGTGTTCCCCTTCCCTGAAAATTAGTGTTTTGCAGCTAGTCTTACTATTTTAATCAGATGACTCCTGGGCCTTGCTAGTCATCAGAATCTCCCTGAGGGCTTTGAAAAATACAAATTCCAGGATCCCACTCATAGAGGTTCTGATTCAGTAGATCTAGGACTGAGATGAGAATCTGAATTCTAAACACCTTACCCAGGTGGCCCAGCTATGTTGGTAGAAGAACTGCTGGGCAGGTCCAGGGTCTAGCTTTGAGGTGGAGTTCTGCCCTGCATCGCGTTACCCGGTGGTAGGTCACATCTCCTCCTCGGATAGTTTACTTTTCAAGCTCTGACCTTCAGGTCAGTAATGTGCGTCTTGTAGGGTAAGAGGACCTCTCACTCTCTGAGTGGGAAGGTTCTTTCCATCTTCACATCATCACAGCCCGGTCTGCATGGCTGGATTCCATTTGACAGGGAGAAAGAATTGAACTCCCTTTTTGCAGTGAGATGTGCTGATTGGAATAAGCTTTTTAATTTTTTTCTCTAACAAGGAAAACATTGGCTCAATTTGCCTGAACCAGAGGGGCTCTGTGCGTCAGATTTTATTCCAGATAGAAAAAAAAACTGAGTGTGAACTTATAAATCAGTTAAAAAAATGATTAATCTGCCTCACGGGATACACCATACTCTGACTGAATGCAGGGAGGGTAAGAGAGCCCCAAGCATCTAATTTAACACCTGCAAATTCCCAAGAAAGATTATACCATGGAAAGAAGACATATTGAGGATTTTAAGAAAAGGTTTAATAAAAAAATGTAAAAGCAAAGGCCATAAAATTCAAATGAGGCTCACTCCCCAGGTTATAACAAGCTCTGTGCTCAGACCTTGTTAATAGCTTTTTTAAAAAAAAAATAATTTTATTGTAGCTTCTATTTTTTCTGTCGATGTAATTAGAGCTTAATTAATTCTCCCTAAAGGGGAAAAAGAGGACAAAATGGTATTTGATCTGAGACATGTACAACGGGCAAAGTAATTAGGATCAGCAAGTTACCTTCTGTTACTTTTTTTCCTCGTTAGCTCTTCTGGGAGGAAGATAGCTCTGGACAGAGACTCCCTGTGTCTCCCCGTGGATCAGAGATTTGGCAGTGTCAGGACAGCCATTAGGGTGAAAAGATTTTATTTACATAGAGACCACAAAATAAAAGAAAAAAAAGAAAAGAAATCATAGCTGTCAGAGTGCTGCATCAATTCTCTGGTGATAATGAGATAATAATAGTTAAGTTTTGAGTGTGAAATACAGTGCAGAGTACCAGAAGCATAACTCACATAGGATTGCAGAAAGAACTTAGTCATGGACTAGGATGCCAACTCTAGCACTGATGCTGTGTGAGTTCCACAGACCTCTCTGGGCATAGTTTCTTCATTTGAAAAGGAAAATAGCAATACTGCCTAATTGAAATGTTGGTTTTAAGAAGTAAATGAGGTCATGAAACAAAAAGCACCAGGTATAAATGGTAGTATATATTTTTTTTGCCCTGGTTTCACAATATAGTTTAGTGGAATTAATCTCGAACAGTTCCAAATTTTAGGATTAATTGCCTTCAGCTTGCATGGCAATGACTTATTATACCAAGACTGTTAATGTGACCTCCTGTGGCTCCATAGGCTCAGGAGAAGCCACTGGCAGTACAGGTATACTGCCTAATTAGAGAAAAAATAATGTGCTCAAGAATGTCAGTCAATTCACATGCTAGGGGCCAGCGAACTGAATCCAGGCACTGGTTGGACCCACTGCGTGGCAGAAACTGATCTGGGTTGGGGTGAGAGTCAGAAGAGGATAGAGAGACAGACATTTGGCTTCCAAAAGCAAGCAAGCAAGCCCCCCATGACTCCAGCATCATGTCAAGACCTCCAAGATCATGGTGACAAACAAAGATCTCTTCCTCCAATCCCCCAACATGCTCTGGGATGAAAATCTGGAGTCAGGACTGAAATCAGTTTCTTGCTTCCTGGCCTATGCGTGGTGGGTACCTCTGCATGAAGTGTTGACCTCACCTGCTTCATTGAATTAATCCCTCCTTTTTCTTCCACATTTCTGCTCTCTGAGCAAGTCACTCTGTTGTCAACCTCCTCCCCCCGATATAGTAAATCTAGGCCATCTGTTTGTTATAAGCTCTTGTATGCCCCTGTAGCACTTTTTAAATAGGAAAGTTTATTTAATTAAGGTCTGTAAGCTCTACTGGGGCAGGGATTGGTTTGTTGCTGTTGTTGCTATTTAGTGAGTTGGTTTTGTTTACCTCCACATCCTCCATTTCCAGTGTAATTTTGTTGAATGGTTAAACAAATCAGAAGATGGAAAGAGAGAATAGGAAAGAAAGGGCTGAATCAGCAATGAGAAAAGAGTTTAAGGAGCTGAGATTATTCATTACTTTCTTCCTCTTCTACTTGCCCCTACCTACTCCCATTGAGACCCTGTCTACTTTATTCCTTACATATTTCCCAGTTCTCCAGGGAGATTTCTGAGATTCTCCACCTCCTTATTCAGATCAAGGTCTTTTTTCTGAAAGATCAATGGACTTTTTTTGGAATTCACCAAAGGAGATGCTGAGGCTAGAATTTTACTCTTCATCATCATTTGAAAACATATCCCAGATTGGTAAGGTTCACATATATCTTCATGGCCCCTCCCATGGCCTAACTATGCCTCAGTTCAGCGATCAGATGATCAGTTGAGGTGGGCTTAGAGAAAGGGAGAGAGAAAAGAATCACAGTTACTAGATTAGCTTCTTGGCTTGCATGGTTTGTGTCCTCCACCTTATCCTTCTGTAAAAAGACAACTTTTCCTCTGTTGATAGCTGCTAATTCTTGTTGATGACTCACTAATTTGTTGTTGTTGTTTGGATGCAGTGCACTAACAGAGACTGAACAAATAGCACACAGACAGTTGTCTTTTTTTTTTTTTTTTTTTTTTTAGGCTGAGTCTCACTGCGACACCCAGGCTGGAGTGCAATGACATGATCTCAGCTCACTGCACCCTCCGCCTCCCAGGTTCAAGTGATTCTCCTGCCCCAGCCTCCCAAGTAGCTGGGACTACAGGCACGTGCCAACACGTCCAGCTGATTTTTGTATTTTTAGTAGAGACAGGGTTTCACCATGTTGGCCAGGCTGGTCTCAAACTCCTGACCTCAAGTGATCTGCCCACCTCAGCCTCCCAAAGTGCTGGGATTACAAGTGTGAGCCACCATGCCCAGCCCAGTTGTGTCTTATGAACTATCTTGAAAATTTATTTTGAACATCATCAATTCTTCATTCAAACAAGATAAAATAACATTAATACAATTTAGTTTGAAAACATCTAAAACCAACAAGAACAGAACCAGACACAATATATGCAATGACAAAATAGTCAATAAAAGTTGTCCATGAGGAAGCCCGGATGTTGGGCCTACAAGGCAAACACTGTAAATAAGCTATCTTGAGTATGTTCAAAGAACTGAAGAAAACCATGTCTAAAGAAATAAAGGAAAATATGAAAGCAGTATCTCACTACAGAGAGAATATCAATAAAGAAAGATCAATATAAAGAATTAAAATTCTTGAGCTGAAAGTAACTGTAACTGAAGTGAAATATTCAAAAAGGAGTCAACAGCACATTTGAGCAGACAGAAGGAATAGTCAGTAAACTCAAATACAGTAATAGTATTAATAGTTTAAATGGGACTATCCAGTCTGAGGAACAGAAAGAAAAAGGAATGAAAAAAAAAGAAGAAAAAAGACTTAGAAACCTGTGGGACACCATCAAATATACCAACATGCACATACTGATAACCCAGAAGGAGAGAGAGAGAGAGATGCAGAAGGAACGTTTAAATGTATCATGTTCTTAATTCACACATTGTATGAAAAACATACATTTACATCCTTCCACGTCCTGGAGATTTGGTGAACTCCAGCTAGGATAAACACAAAGAGATACACACATAAAACATTATCAAACTGTTAAAAGACAAAAACAAAGAGAATCTTGAAAGCAACAAGAGAGAAGTGACTCATCACATACAAGGGATTCTCAATTAGATTAACAGCTTATTTCTCACCCGAAACCATGTAGTCCAGAAGGCAGTGAGGTGACATTTGAAAATACAAAAAAGAATGTCAACCAAGACTTTTACATCCAGCAAAACTGTCCTTTAAAAATGAAGGAGAAATGAAGACATTCCAAGATGTACAAAAACTGATAGACTTTGTCACTAGCAGATCTGTCCTACAAGAAATACTAAAGGGAATCTTTCGGGTTGAAATTAAACACATTAAGCAGTAACTCAAATCCACATGAAGAAATAAAGAATGCTGATAAAAGTAACTACATAGGTAAATATAAAAGACAATATAAATGTGTTTTTGTTTGTCAGCCTTATTTTCTCATATCTGATTTACAACTTTATATAGCAATAATTATAAATCTGTATTAACAGGTATAGAAAGCATAAAGATGTAATTAGTATGATAACACAGCAAAGAAAGTGAACCAAACTATATAGGAGCAAAATTTTTATGTGCTATTATAATACATTGAGGTTAATCTAAACTATATTATTATAAATTAAGATATTGATTATAATCTCCAAGACAGCCACTAAGAAAATAACTAAAATGCATGTAGGTATATGTTTATGTGTTTGTGTTTGTGTGTGTGCGGTGGTGGGGGGTGTGTAAAGAAATGACAAGGGAAATAAAATATCGTGCAAGAAAATAACGATTTCATATGAGACAGTAATGGAGGAAATTTATAAACAAAAGACATAAGACACATAAAAAACAAATATCAGAATGGTAGGCATAAATCTTACTATAGCAATAATTACATTAAAAGGAAATATTAATATTAAAAAGCAGAGATTGGAAGAATAGATTTTTTAAAGAGCATTATCCAACTATATGCTGAGAATAAGATACATACTTGAATTCAAAGACATGGTATGTTGAAAATAAAAGAATGGAAAAAGATATGCTTTGCAAATGTGATCAAAAGATAGCTGGAATGATGATGCTAATATTAGACAAAATAGACTTAAGACAAAAAATTGTTACTAGAGACAAAAATATTTTATAATGATAAATGGGTCTATCCATCAAGAAGATATAAAAGTTGCAATACATATATACCTAACAACAGAGACCCCAGAAATATATTTTAAAACTAATAGAACTGAAAAGAGAAATTGACAGTTCAGCAATAATAGTTGAAGAATTCAATACCCACTTTTAATAATGGACAGGGCAATTACACAAACAATCAATAAGAAAACAGAAGACTTGAACAATACTAGTAGATAGTATAGAATGTTCCACCCCACAGCAACAGAATGCACATTTTCCTTAAGTGCAGATGAAACATTCTCCAAGATAGACCATACGTTAGGCAACAAAACAAGTCTCAATAAATTTAAAATGATTGAAATAATACAAAATGTTTTCTGACTACCATAGAATGCAGTTGGAAATCATTAACAGGGAGAAATTTAGAAATTTTATAATACTTGGAATTTTAAAATATACTCCTAAAACAACCAAAGAAGAAATCACAAAGGAGATTAGAAAATACGTTAAGATGAGTGAAAATAAAACCACAATGTGCCAAAACTTATGGGATAAACCTAAATCAGTGTTCAGAGAGGAATATATGGTATGAACAGGTATTCTTGAAAAAAAGGGTGTTGTTCAAGAGGAGAAGAGGATGTCCAATTAAAAGCCTAACCTTCCACCTTAAAAAGCTAGAGTAAAAAGGAGTGTCGGGGTAGAATTCAAGGAGTTTCAGGGCTGTCCATGACAGTAACACACAGGCTTTATAAGGTGGTGCTTTGACAGAATTGCCTAGGAGAGGAAGTTGCTGGCAACATGAGACATTCCCGAGGTTTAATCCTAGGAGGCCACCATTCTAAAGGAAATGGGGGCAAGGTTACTTCTAGGAAGAAGGGGGTTGGGGAGAAAGAGTTTACATATGTAGGTAACATCCTCAGTATTATAGCAGGCCGTCTTTACATCTGAAAGCTCCCAAGAGCAGTAGCAGCTTGGAGTCTTATAACTACAAGGCTTTATCTTATCCATTGCTAGCAGATGTGGGTATTAATTTGCTAAGGCTGCCATCAGAAAACACCACAGACTGAACAGCTTAAAAAACAGAAATGGGCCGGTCGCGGTGGCTCACGCCTGTAATCCCAGCACGCTGGGAGGCCGAGGCGGGCGGATCACGAGGTCAGGAGAGCGAGACTATCCTGGCTAACACGGTGAAACCCCATCTCTACTAAAAATACGAAAAATTAGCCGGGCGTGGTGGTGGGCGCCTGTAATCCCAGCTACTCTGGAGGCTTAGGCGAATGGCGTGAACCCGGGAGGCGGAGCTTGCAGTGAGCCGAGATGGCGCCACTGCACTCCAGCCGGGACAACACAGCGAGACTCCGTCTCAAACAAAACAAAACAAAACAAAACAAAACAAAACAAACAAACGAAACACATAAATGTATTTCCCAGAGGTTCTCGAAGCTAGAAGTCCAAGATCAAGATGTCAGCAAGTTTGGTTTCTTCTGAGGCCTCACTCTTTGCTGGGCAAATGGCTGCCTTCTCACCATGTCCTCACATAGTCATTCCTTAGCCTGTTCTGTCTGTATCTTAGTCTTCTTTTCTTATAAGGATGACGGACATATTGGATTACAGTAGAGTTTACCCTATGACTTTATTTTACCTTAATCACCACTTTAAAGGTGTGATCTCCAAATACACTTACATTCTGAGGTATTAGGGGTTAGGACTTAAATATATGAATTTTGGGAGGACATAAATTAGCCAATACCAATGCAAAATGAGATTTCATAGGGCATGCAAAGCAAACAGACCCTAAATAGCTACAAAGCTATTTGTTTGGGCTATTTTTAAAACAAACGGCTACGTAAAAATTTGAGTTTGATGCTGGAGGGGTTTTGAGCTAACAGGTCTCAGCCTGCAGTGAAGAAACAAACAACCTAGGGGCTAATATGCAGAGGCCATCTGTGGCTCATTCATTTGACAAAGAGCAAACTAAACCTAAAAAAGCAGAAGGAGAAAAATAGCAAAGATGAGAGTATAAATAAATAACACAGAGCATAACAAAAACAGTAGAGAAAGTCAATAAATCAAAAATTGATTTTTGGAAAGATTAAAAAAATTGGCAAGCCTTAACTTTGACTGACCGAGGAAAAAGGGGGTAGCCTCAAATTGCTGAAATCAGGAATGAAACAGGGAACATTACTACTGAGTTTACAGAAATAAAAAGAATTCAAATATTGTGAACACATGTATAACAACAGATTAGATAATCTATGTAAAATCGACAGATTCCTTTTTTTAAAATACAAAAATGAACCAGGTATGGTGGCAGGAGCCTATAATCCCAGATACTTGGGATGCTGAGGCTTATAAAAAAAAAATCCTACAAATTAAATCCTGGGACCAGGTGGTATAGTTTGGGACTATATCACTCTGATATCTACTTCCTCATTACATCTCCTTCTCTAAATCTACCGTTCTTTCTCCCTCTTATAAAAGACACTTGTGATTACATTGAGCCCATCATGATGAACATTCTCAATCACATCTACAATGTTGCTTTTGCCATGTAAGATAACACATTCACAGTTTACAGAGTTTAGGACATATACTTTTGGGGGTCATAATTCTACCTACCACACTCTCCAAAATGATCTAAAGATTTCATTCAATTCTCACTGATACAGACAGGAGACAGAGGTAGAAGAGGACAGTTCCCCGGCAAAGGCCCCACCCTCAAGCCTGGAAACCTGTGGCCCTAAATGGGAACAGGCATTCTTATTTTTGTACCCAAATGTTGCCTCTTGGCCCACCATACCCCTCTATCCCATACCCGCATAAACCCCAAACCCCAGGCTCCAAGCACAGATGAGCAAATGAACAGAAGAGCAGAAGAACAGAAGAGAAGGAGAGAAGAAAAGGAATGTCTGAACATCAAGAGGAGTTCAGCTGGGGATGGTCAGAGAGGAGATCGGCTGCTGGACAGCCAATGTG
Organism: Homo sapiens; assembly: GCF_000001405.40. Taxonomy (NCBI): domain Eukaryota; kingdom Metazoa; phylum Chordata; class Mammalia; order Primates; family Hominidae; genus Homo; species Homo sapiens. The sequence goes on along the minus strand of NC_000016.10, from coordinate 17,676,232 downwards.
CAGGGGAAGATCATCTTCTCCATCCCCTTTCCAGCTCCCCATCCATCCCACTGAGAGCCACCCCCATCACTCAATAAAACCCCTGCATTCACCATCCTTCGAGTCGTTGTGTGACCTGATTTTTCCTGGATGCTGGACAAGAGCTCGGGATACAGAAAACTGTCGCACTGGCCCTCTGCCCTCGTGAAAAGGCAGAGGGTCCACTGAGCTGTTTAACACCTACACCATCCACGGATGGCAAAGCTAAAAGAGTGCACTATAACACATGCCCACTTGGGCTTTGGGAGTTGTAGGCACCCACTCCTAGATGCTACTATGGGGCCAAAGCCCAGAAGTGCTCACCCCAGCTCCTGCACCTGCCTGTCTGCATACTCCCCCTCCCATAAGGGGTTTGAACAGAGGTGGTGGCTGAAAAGACGAGTCACACCCCTGTCACAGGTCCTGAGATGGGGCGGGGGTCAGGGAACTCTCCCATTTCATTATCACTATACCAGTGGGATTTTTTTTTCAGAAATTGACAAGATAATTAGAAATTTTATATGGCCCAGAATAACCAAAACAATCTTGAAAGAGGAAAGTTGGACTTAACACTTCTTAACTTCAAAACTTGCTTCAGAGCTGTAGTAATCAAGACAATGCGGTACTGGCATAAGGCTAAACATACAGATCAATGGAATGGAATTGACAGTCCCAAAATAAACTCTTTTTTTTTTTTAGATGAAGTCTCGCTCTGTCACCCCAGGCTGCAGTGTAGATCTCAGCTCACTGCAAGCTCTGCCTCCCGGGTTCACACCTTTCTCCTGCCTCAGCCTCCTGAGTAGCTAGGACTACAGGTGCCTGCCACCATGCCTGGCTTTTTTTTTTTTTTTTTTTTTTTTTTTGTATTTTTAGTAAAGACGCGGTTTCACAGTGTTAGCCAGGATGATCTCGATCTCCTGACCTTGTGATCTGCCCACCTCGGCCTTCCGAAGTGCTGGGATTACAGGCATGAGCCACTGCACCCAGCCTCAAAATAAACTCTTACGTTTATAGTCAACTTACTTTTTGATAAAGGTGCCAAAATAATTTAATGGGAAAAGAACAGCCTTTTCAACGAATGATGTTGGACAATTTGATACTCACAGGTAAAAGAATAAATTTTGCATACCATATGCAAAAATTAACTCAAGATCTGTTATCAACCTAAATACGGGAGTTAATATAAAACTCCTAGGAAGTATATAGGCGTATATCTTTGTAACATGTGGTAGGCAAAGCCTTCTTAGATATGACACCAAAAAAAAAAAAAAGATGAGTGACAGAATAGATAAATTGAACTTCATCAAAGCTGAAAACTTTCGTGCTTTAAAAAAGACCATCGAAATGGGTAAAAGGCAAACCACAGAATGGGAGATAATGTTTACAAATTCTGTATCAGATAAGGACTTTGTATCCAGAATGTATAATAAAAAGAAATCTTTTGACTCAACAATTAAAGCAACTCAATTCAAGAATGGAGAAAGGATTTGAGTAGGCATTTCTTCAAAAAAGATAAATGGCCAATAAGCACACAAGAAGTTGTTCAATATCATTAATCATTAAGGAAACTCAAAACTAAGCTATAATGGAATATTACTTCACACCTGTTATGATGACTGTTTTTTAAAAGACAGACAATAACAAATGTTGGTGAGAATGTAGAGAAATTAGAACCTTAATTACTGATGGAATTGTAAAACGGTGCAGGAACTTTGGAAAGCACTTTGATAATTTCTCAAGCTGTTAAACGTGGCTTTATATGACAGCATTTCTACTCCTAGGTACATATCCAAGAGATCTGAAAACATATGTCCACACAAAAATGTGTACATTAATGTGTATAGCAACATTATTCACACTACTTAAAAAATTGAAACAACCTAAATGTTCATCAACTTATGAATTAAAAAAGTAAAATGTGACCTATCTATACAAAAAGGAATATTAAGGAATGCAAATAAAAAATAAAAGGAATACAAAAAGGAAAGGCATGAAGCACTGATACATGCTATACCACAGATGAACGTTGAAAACATTATGCTAAGTAAAAGAATACTGTCACAAAAACTCACATATTTTATGATTCCATTAATGTAAAATATCCAGAATAGGCAAATCCAAAGAGAGAAAATGTAGAATAGTGGTTGCCAGAGGGGATAAGGGGAAAAGAAGAATAACTGCATAATGGGTATGGGATTTCTTTGGGGGATGAGAAAAATGCCTTGAAATTAGATAGTAGTGATGTTGAGCAAGTCTGAATTTAATAAAACCCACTGAATTGTACACTTAAAAAACTGAATTTGATAGTATGTGAGTTATATCTCAATAAAACTTATTTTATAAAAAATGAAGTTGTAAAATACTCTTAAGGAATAAGGTTGTAGATGTGTGGCATTATTTCTGAGGCCTCTGTTCTGTTCCATTGGTCTATATATCTGTTTTGGTACCAGTACCATGCTGTATTGGTTACTGTTGCCTTGTAATATGGTTTGAAGTCAGGTAGCATGATGCCTCCAGCTTTGTTCTTTTTGCTTAGGATTGTCTTGGCTATATGGGCTCTTTTTTGGTTCTGTATAAAATTTAAAGTAGTTTTTTCCTAATTCTGTGAAGAAAGTCAATGGTATCTTGAGGATAGCATTGAATCTATAAATTGCTTTGGGCAGTATGGCCATTTTCATGATATTGATTCTTCCTATCCATGAGCATGGAATGTGTTTCCATTTGTTTGTGTCCTCTCTTATTTCTTTGAGCAGTGGTTTGTAGTTCTCCTTGAAGAGGTCCTTCACATCTCTTGGGAGTTGTAGTCCTAGGTATTTTATTCCCTTTATAACAATTGTGAATCGGAGTTCATTTATGATTTGGCTCTGTATTTTATTCTCTTTATAGCAATTGTGAGTCAGAGTTCACTTATGATTTGGCTCTGTTTGTCTATTATTGGTGTATAGGAATGCTTGTGATTTTTGCACATTGATTTTGTATCCTGTGACTTTGCTGAAGTTGCTTATCAGCTTAAGGAGATTTTGGACTGAGACGATGGGGTTTTCTAAACATACAATCATGTCATCTGCAAACAGAGACAATTAGACTTCCTCTCTTCCTATTGAATACCCTTTATTTCTTTCTCTTGCCTGATTGCCCTGGCCAGAACTTCTAATACTATGTTGAATAGGAGTGGTGAGAGAGGTCATCCTTGTCTTGTTCTGGTTTTCAAAGGGAATGCTTCCAGGTTTTGCCCATTCAGTATGATATTGGCTGTGGGTTTGTCATAAATAGCACTTATTATTTTGAGATACATTCCATCCATACCTAGTTTATTGAGAGTTTTTAGCATGAAGAGCTGTTGAATTTTGTCGAAGGCCTTTTCTGCATCTATTGAGATAATCATGTGGTTTTTGTCATTGGTTCTGTGTATGTGATGGATTATGTTTATTGATTTGCACGTATGTTGAACATCTGATCTTTGACAAACCTGACAAAAACAAGCAATGGAGAAAGGATTCCCTATTTAATAAATGGTGTTGGGAAAACTGGCAGACCATATGCAGAAAACTGAAACTGGACCCCTTCTTTACACCTTATACAAAAATTAACTCAAGATGGATTAAAGACTTAAACGTAAGACCTAAAATCGTAAAAACCCTAGAAGAAAACCTAGGCAATGCCATTCAGGACATAGGCATGGGCAAAGACTTTGTGACTGAAACACCAAAAACAATGGCAACAAAAGCCAAAATTGACAAATGGGATCTAATTAAGGAGCTTCTACACAGCAAAAGAAACTATCACCAGAGTGAACAGGCAACCAACAGAATGGGAGAAAATTTTTGCAATCTATCCATCTGACAAAGGGCTAATATCCAGAATCTACAAGGAACTTAAACAAATTTACAAAAAAAAAAAAAAAAAAAAACAACCCCACCAAAAAGTGGCCGAAGGATATAAATAGACACTTCTCAAAAGAAGACATTTATGCAGCCAACAAACATATGAAAAAAAGCTCATCATCACTGGTCATTAGAGAAATGCAAATCAAAACCACAGTGAGATACCATCACACACCAGTTAGAATGGTGATCATTAAAAGGTCAGGAAACAACAGATGCTGGAGAGGATGTGAAGAAATAGGAACGCTTTTACACAGTTGGTGGGAGTGTAAATTAGTTCAACCATTGTGGAAGACAGTGTGGCTATTCCTCAAGGATCTAGAACCAGAAATGCCATTTGACCCAGCAATCCCATTACTGGGTATATACCCAAAGGATTATAAATCATTCCACTATAAAGACACGTGCACACGTATGTTTATTGTGACACTATTCACAATAGCAAAGACTTGGGACCAACCCAAATGTCCATCAATGATAGACTGGATAAAGAAAATGTGGCACATACATACCATGGAAAACTATGCAACTATAAAAAAGGATGAGTTCATGTCCTTTGCAGGGACATGGATGAAGCTGGAAATTATCATTCTCAGCAAACTAACACAGGAACAGAAAACCAAACACCACATGTTCTCACTCCTAAGTGGGAATTGAACAATGAGAACACATGGACACAGGGAGGGGAACATCACACACTGGGGCCTGTTGGTGGGTGGGGGGTTAGGGGAGAGATAGCATTAGGAGAAATACCTAACATAGATGACAGGTTGTTGGGTGCAGCAAACCACAATGGCATGTGTATATCTATGTAACAAACCTGCATGCTGCATATATACCCCAGAACTTAATTTAAAAAATTAAAAAAGGAATAGAAGGAAAGAGAAACAAATAACAAATAGGTCTAATGAAAAACAAATAGCAAGATGAGACATAAACTACATTAATAATCATATTAAATGGTCTGATCATCCTTATTAAAAGGCAGCAATGTCAATGTGGATATTTTCAAAAACAAGACCTAACCATCTGCTGCCTGCAAGAAGTGCCCTTTAGATGTAAATACACAAATAGGTTAAACATAAAAGGATAGAAATAGATATGCCATGCATATACTTTTTATAAAAGGCAGGAGTAGTTATATTAATATCAGAGAAAGTAGATTTCACAGCAAGGAATAAAGAAGGTTCCTTAATAAGGGGATCAGTTACTTGGAGCTTGAAAATGCATGAAGCAAAAACCAATAGAAATGCAAAAAGTATTTTACAATTATAGTCAGAAATTTCAAACTCTTGTCTCAGTAATGGACAGAAAAGTCAATGGAAAATCAGCAAGGATATAGAAGACTTCAGTAATACTATTAACCATCTTCACTGAATTAACATTTATAAAACACTCCCTTCCACAGCAGTGGAATATACATTCTTTTCAGTGTGTTTTGAATGTCTCCACAGAACATTTATCAGTATAGACTATATCCTGGGCCAGAATACAAAAGCCAAAATACAAGCACCAATATAGTTAAAAGGATTCAAGTCATCCAAACTGTTTTCTGACTATAATGGAATTAAATGAGAAATCAATGACTGAAAGATCCCTGGAAAAAAACAAATATTTGGAAACTTAATTGCGTCATTCTAAATAACCCATAGGTCAAAGAAGAAATCAAAAGGGAAAATGATACCTTTAAGTGAATGTACATGAAAATACAACAAAAGGTGTACATTGTCATTAAAGCAGTACTTAGGGAGACATTTGTAGTACTAAATGCCTACCTTAGAAAATTATAAATGTATCAAAACAATGACCTCAGTTTCCATCTTAGAAAAATAGAAAGTGAAAAGCAAGGTAAACTGAAAGCATACTAATTCAAAATAAGCAAAAGAATAGATATAATAAATATCAGAGCAGAACCAAATGAAATAGAAAAAAAGCAAATAGCTGATTCTTTGAGATCAAACAATTGATAAACATCTAGCCCTACTGATCAGAAAAAAAGAAGGAAGACACAAATACCAATATCAAAAATGAGACAGGTAATCTCATTACGGATTCTACAGATATTTAAAAGGATACTTGGGTGAATATTATAAACTTTGTGTCTATAAATTCACTGACAACTGAAATTGATAAATCTCTTGAAAGATGTAACAATGAAACCTCACTTAAGTGAAATAAATCACCGGAATAGTGCTATAGCCATTAAAGAAAATTGAATCGTAGCTTAAAAACTTTCCACAAAGAAAATTTTTGGCTCAGATGGCTTCACTGGTGAATTCTTCTACACATTTTAAAAATAATTAACAGCAGGCCGGGCATGGTGGCTCACGCCTGTAACCCCAGCACTTTGGGAGGCCAAGGTGGGCGGATCACGAGGTCAGGAGATCGAGACCATCCTGGCTAACAGTGAAACCCCATCTCTACTAAAAATAAAAAAAATTAGCCGGGCATGGTGGTGGACACCTGTAATCCCAGCTACTGGGGAGGCTGAGGCAGGAGAAAGGTGTGAACCCAGGAGGTGGAGATTGTAGTGACCCGAGATGGCGGCACTGCACTCCAGCCTGGGCAACAGAGCAAGACTCCGTCTCAACAAAAATAATAATAATAATAATAATAATAATAATAATAATAATAATAATTAACAGCATTTCTGCACAAACTCTTCCAGAAATTTGAAAAGGAAAACACATTTCCCAATTTCTTGTATGAGTCCGGCATTTTTCTGATACCAAAACCGATAAAAGACATTACAAAAAAAATAAACTGGAGTGGAATTTAGGTCACTCTTATAATAAAGTGTGAGAATGCAAATATGGAGGATTCATCTGAAAAAAAATACGACAGGGTTTACAAGGGATCATTTGATCAGCCAAATCTCGGTTCAAAATTCTTTCTCTGCCACTTTACCAGCTGTGTGATCTTGGGCAAGTGATTTTACCTCTCTCTCTCTCGATTTCCTTATCTATAAAATTGATGTAATAACCTTGGACTGAGAGTTAGGGTGAAGATTAAATTAGATAATATATTTGCAGTGCCCTTAAATAGTGCCTGGGACATAATGGGTAATCCAATAACTATTAACTGTAACAAGATAATATTCTCGTTAAGATAAAAAAGGCTTTTGCCTTTTGTGGTGTGAATACTTGTTTGTACTCAGTTATTTTTCGATCAATGAAGCAATTTTAAAATTATTTTTCTTTGCATTTAAAGGAAGAATTATCCTTTATAACTACATATGAGGCTTACCTCTTAAGAAGCAGTGGCCTTTTTTCTCTCTCTCTCTCTTTTTTCTGTCATAGGAAGAAGCAGGATTTTTCTGCTCCAATCCAGCATAAAAATTCCCTTTGGCCATCTGTTTTTTGGCTTGAGGACCTGACTTGCCCATATAGCAGTCACTCAGTACAAGCTGAGATAGAGTCCCAGGAAGTCTTGTTCACTGCTATCTACTGTAGATTTCTCCAAGCCCCTGTGGCTTACAGCCTTACTTAAGGTAAAGCTCTACTTAAGGTAAAGCTTTACATGGCTGCAACTAGAGCCTTGCCCTCCCCATGGCCTGGAAGACATTATAAAAATCAAGAAATGGCCCTGAGTACTGATCCTTGTTTATGCTTCGCACTCAAGTTACCAATACACCAAAGTACAAATCACAGCAAAGCATTCAGAACTGGTTTGGAGCCCTCACTTTCAGGCCCTTTAAGTTCAGGCTTCAGTAATCAGTGAAAGGCAATCTCCCCTCACTCCTCCTGTCCTCAGCAGGAGCGTCCTGCTTATTATTTTTGCTGCATGGGTAGGCAATAGGATGGGAGAAGGAAGACTTGCTGTGTGCGAGGGCAGACAAGACCAGAGGAAGCCCTTGTGTTTGAAGCTTTGGAAGCACAAAGACAGACCCTGCCTGTTTATTAATGTGCTGCAATAATAGTCCCAAATCTCCTATGGAGAGGATCAAGTAAATTGGTAGGGAAAGAGACTAAACTTATTGCAATGTTTTTTCCTGCTCTTTGGCCCTAAGTCAGGATTTCTTAACAGAAGCGTTAGTGTTGATTTGGACCAGATAATTCTCTTTTGTAGTCAGGGCGGTGGTCTGTGCATTGTAAGATGAATGTTTAGCTGTATCTCTGGTCTCTACCTGCTAGAAGCCAGCATCAATCCCCTTCCCAAGTTGCCACCACCAAAACACCTTCAAGCATAGCCAAATATCCCTGGGGAGGTGGGGGAAGCCCTTGGGGATTGAAAACCACTGACCTATGCAGATCATGGGGGTAAAGATATTTCTCACTGGAGCCACTCTATCTTTTACTTTGAAAAAAAGGAGAGGACAGTAAATCCCTACAGCTCACACAGCAAAGCAGTGGGAGATGAGAGGGGAGAAATGGGTTTGTAAATGAGGCTTGGGTACACAATTATCTCTTCTGAATGATTAGATATTGTCCAAGTAGGAAATAAAGCACCAACTTATCTAGCTGAAAAGTAAAGATTTGTTTTACAGGGGCCTCTGGTAAGAGCTGAGTTGGAGAACAAAGATGATGGAACAATATTTCCAAACATCCTATAAACCTCCTCCCCACAAATGAAGGAGGACCAGGAAAGCAACACAGCCCTGGCAGACACAAGGCGGGTAGGACGATAAGGAAGTGCCCACAGATGTATATCAGTGCTAAAGGTACTGCTCGCACCTCTGGTAAGTAGGACCTTGTATGGTCAAAGGGCAGCACCTCATTCCTTGCCAGCAAAAGTAGGAAGGGGCTCTGTTAAAAAAATAAAATAAAATAAAATAAAATAAAATAAAATAAAAAAACAAGTTGGAGAAAGGAGACAGAGACAGAGTCCCTTCCTCCTCAATAGTAGTCATCAGGGATTTGTGAAGGAACAAAAGCAGGAGCTGAAACCTAGCAAATTCATGCCTGAAAGGGTGAAAATATACAACTGTGGTGTGCTGAACAAGGCCCTCCCAGAGATGCCTATGTCCTAATGCCCAGAACCTGTGAATATGTTACTTTAAAAGCCAAACGAGACTTTGCAGATGTGATAAAGTTAAGAATCCCCAGATGGGGAGATTATCCTGGATTACCCTGTGTGCCTGATGTAATCACAGGCTGCTTTTTTTTTTTTTTCTTTTTGAGATTGAGTTTCACTCTTCTTGCCCAGGCTGGAGTGCAATGACATGATCTTGGCTCAGTGCAACCTCCGCCTCCTGGGTTCAAGCGATTCTCCTGCCTCAGCCTTCCGAGTAGCTGGGATTACAGGTGCATGCCACCACACCTGGCTAATTTTTTGTATCTTTAGTAGAGACAGGGTTTTGCCATGTTGGCCAGACTGGTCTCGAACTCCTGACCTCAAGCGATCCACCCACCTCGGCCTCCCGAAGTGCTGGGATTACAGTCATAGACTTCTTAAGAGAGGGATGCGGGAAAAGTCAGTTAGACAGAAGGCAGTGTAACAACAGAAGGAGAGGGGGAAAGGGAATGATCTGAAGATCCTGTGTTGCTGGCTTTGAAGATGGAGAAAGGGCGTCGTGAGAAAAAAGATGGTGGCAGCCTCTGGAAATGGGAATGGGCAAGGGACTAGAATCCCCCCCAGAATCCTCAGGGGGAACGCAGCCTCACAGACCCATTTTAGACCTCTGACCTGCACTTCTCTAAGCTAATACATTTGTGTTGTTATAAGCCAGTAAGTTTGTTACAATGTGTTACAGAAGCCATAGGAAACAAGCAGGGGGCCCTACAGAGTCTTGCCATTCAGGGTTAGACACCCAGCTTTTAGACCAGGTTGATCACCACGTAGCTGGGGCCCTCCCATCATTTCTGAATCACATTTTCCTAGTCTGTAAATTAGCCAATCACTAGGTACCTCCTGCTCTGACCAATATATTCTGCTCTTTCATTGCTCAGAAAACACCTAGTCGGATTGCTGGGGTGACAGAAAAAAACAAGCGCTATATATAGTGTCAGCCTCTGCCTTTATGGTATGATTTTTTTTTTTTAAATCTGATATTTGTCCCTGGTTCCTGACACAGAGCTCCTTCAAATGCCTTAGGAATTTCTTACGTGTTAGGAGTATATTTTGTTATTCAAAATGAGTCTCTTTTTACTAAACCTGAGTTTATCCTAAAGAGGTGACTCATGGTGGACCCTAATTAGTTTTGAAGGAGAAGTTGGCCATGCCAGAAAGACTAAGTGCATGATTAGAGGATTGGAATTTTCCGCCCCAACCTGTGGCTAGGGGTGGGGAGGTGGAGATGATTGAGTTCAGTCATGTGGCCCATGGTTGAATCAATCATGCCTATATAATGAAAGCTCAACAAAAACTCTGGGCAATGAGGCTCTGAGAGCTTTCTGGTTGGTAAGTGTACTGATGTGCTGGCAGGGAGGTGTGTTCTGACTCTTTTTTTTTTTTTTTTTGAGACAGAGTCTTCCTCTGTCATCCACACTGGAGTATAGTGGCACAATGTTGGCTCACTTCAACCTCCACCTCCCAGGTTCAAGCAATTCTCCTGCCTCAGCCTCCCAAGTAGCTAGAATTACAGGTGCCAATTCCAATTACAGGTGGAATTACCACCATGCCAAGTTAACTTTTTCTGTTTTTAGTAGAGACGGGGTTTCACCACTTTGGCCAGGCTGGTCTCAAACTCCCGACCTCAAGTGATCCGCCCACTTTGGCCTCCCAAAGTGCTGGGATTACAGGCGCCAGCCACCATGCCTGGCCGCATCGTCACTCTCTAACCTCTCGATGGGTTCTTCCTGCCCACTGCACAGGCAAACCCAATTCACTGAGACCGCAGCATCACAATAAATAAAGCATTTAGCTAACATGAGGCCGGTCATCCCCCAGGGGGATGGAGTTATTACAAATCAAGCTCCCTGAAAATTCAGAGACTGGGATTTTTCAAGGATAGTTCTGGCAGGAACGGGGCCAGGAAGTGAGGAGTGCTGATTGGTTGGGTCAGGGATAAAATCATACATAGTCAAAGCGGTCTTCTTGTGCTGAGTTGGTTACTGGGTAGAGGCCACAGGACTGGTTGGCAGGTCTGGTAGAGTCCTTGGTTATCAGAAATGCAAAAACCTGAAAAGACATCTCAAAAGGCCAATCTTAGGGTCAACAATAGTGATCTTATCTGCAGGAGTAACTAGGGAATTGAAAATCGTATGACCTCCAGAATAATGGCTGGTAATCATTTATGTCTATATCTCAGCAGAATTCAGGCTCTTCTCAACCTCCTCACTTGGTCATCTTTCATTAGCTTTACAAAGATGATTTATTTTGGGGAAAGCGCTATTATCATTTTAACTATAGACTCAATGTCTCCCAAACTTAGCTTGATCCAAGCCCAGGAATTATTAAAGGCAGTTGCGAGGTTAAAGGCAACATGAAGGTTGATTAGGTCAGATCTCTTTTACTGTCATAATTTTCTCACCATTATAATTTTTGCAAAGGCAGTTTCAACTCCACAGCACAGAAACACCTTTATCAGGAGCCTTCCAAACCTTGCCACCCTATATATTACTTCACCCGGTTTGTATTCTTGATAATAAAAGAGCAATTGTAAGTATAGCACGTTCTGAGTTCTACCAGCTATTCTAGTGTGGGGACCATAAGCTCTTGGCCCCTAAAGGTTCACTGAAAAATCACTGACATGAGACAGATTGATTAACAGGAGAAAAGGCATACAGATGTGCTTAATGTGTATACACAGGAGCCTTCAGAATGAAGACCTAACCCAACAATAAGTTACAGAAGCTTGAGATTACAGAAAGAGTGTGGACTTAGAGCATGGCCAAAAACAGGCTTAGTGGCAAGACAGGTTTACGGGAGGAAGAGAGGAAGAGGCTTGGCTAGCAAAGGTGGCCTTGTTATGTGGAGGAGGCCTCCCTCCAAGAGAATAGATAGTAAAAATTTCTTTTTTGACTTTTTTTTCAAGTTAAAGTTTTTTATTTTTCCTTTTCTTTCTTTCTCTCTCTCTCTCTCTCTCTCTTTTTTTTTTTTTTGAGACAGAGTCTTACTGTGTTTTTCAGGCTGGTCTTGTACTCCTGGCCTCCAGTTATCCTCCCACCTCAGCCTCCCAAAGTATTAGGATTACAGGTGTCAGCCACCATGCCCAGCTCTTTTAAGACATTTTTTTTCCTTAAGACAGAGTCTTGCTCTGTTTCCCAGGCTGGAGTGCAGTGGCGTGATCTAGGCTCACTGCAACCTCTGCCTCCTGGGTTCAGGCGATTCTCCTGCTTCAGCCTCCTGAGTAGCTGGGATTACAGGCATGTGCCACCATGCCTGACTAATTTTTGGGGGTTTGTTTTGTTTGTTTGTTTGTTTTTAGTAGAGACAGGGTTTCACCATGTTGGCCAGGGTGGTCTCAAACTCCTGACCTTGTGATCAGCCTTTCTAGTCTTTTAAAGGTGTCAGACTCAGTCTCTCCTACATCTTGGAAAGGTATAGAAAAGACCTGGCTACATTAATGGAGATTCTCTACAGATGCAAATTTACCCCCACCTCAATCTGCTAGCTCTGAGAAAGCCATTTCAAAATATGTCAGAGAAATATATTTCAGGGTAAAATATTTTAATTTGCTTCAGTAGCAAATTGTGAACCTGAAAGGGGGTCATGGGAATCCCCAAATTTATGGCCGCATTGGCCAAGCAGAAGTGTAGATGGCCCCTGGGGCTTGCGGCAGCATCTGAAGTGCAGGCAGGTTTGTGGTGCTGAGCCCCCTAACGTGTGAAGTTGGACATTAATTTCAGGTAATTAGTGTCAGAAATGAAATGAATTCTTGGGCACCCGGTTGGTATTGGGTTGTGACCCTTAGCTGGTTGTGTGGCCTTGGGGACATCTCCATGGAGCCCAGCTTTTCTCGTCTAAGTGAGTAGATTAGTGGCATTCATGATTTTTAGCAGTAGAAGCCTTTGTTATATCTTAATATTAATGTTAATAATATCTTACCCCTAAACCTGATATATATAATAAATGATAGCAAATTTCAGGCCGTGAATCCCTTTCAAGCCTTCCTTCTCCTTCCTCTGAGTTACCTTTGTGAAGACCTAGGGCCCTATTAGCGATTGGAAAGCCACTGACCCAGGTGATATGAGATCCCCTCTCCTCTCAGAAAATTATCTTCTGTGTTCCCAAAATCTAATAGAGATCAGATTTCCCCAAAGCCCTGAAGGTCTCTTTAGAGACCCCTCACTCCCTCAAGCAGCTACAAGGGGAACCAGCGATTTAGTCAGCATGCCTGTTAGCTCAGTTGGAAAGGAGCCCTCACGCTTGCAAAAGTTCCCAGCCCGGGATCCAAGGTCAAACGTGTGGTCGCACAGCCCAGCTCTTTACTATCAGAAATAAAATAAATTCCCACTCCTCTCTCTTCTCCCACACAAGGCAGCAGGATGCTCAAGCCCTATCTCTGGTAATATCAGGTTTATAAGAACACTTTCTCACTTTTATTCATTTGAGAATTGAATTAGCTTTCACATTTGCCTTCACAGCTTCAAAGAACATCTCCCAGCCATCATTTACCACGCTATTAAATTGAGGAGCATCTTGTCGGTACATCTGATAATTTGCTTCTGAGTGATGTTTGTGTTGTTGCTAAGCATTTTAGCCAGCAACAATGATGTTACGAATGTGTAGCTGGGCCTTTTAACTACCAACTCAAAAGAGATTTCGACAACTGGATGGAACACGGTAATGAAGAGACTAGATTACTTTAAAAGTTATTATGTTTCAATAGGGCAAACTGGATTCAATATAAGATACTTCCAGCTCTGGCCCAAGTAACATCTTTAGTTTCTCACATGAAACTAGGTAAAATCTGACGTGGAGGCAACTGGAAATTGTCAAGTCCCAGCATATTAAGTAGGTTTAGGATTGTTACCATGAACTTCTCCATTTAGTTCAACCTTATAGGCAAGACCTGCCAGGAGTGATAGAATAGAGGGTGAACGCCTAGGGGTTAGACCCGAAAGACTGAGGGTTCAAATTCCAGCTCTGCTACTTGGGCAAATTCCATATTCCTCAGTTTCTGCTCCTGGAAAATCAGGAAATGTACTTCCCCTCCTACTGCTGACACGTTTCATGACCCATTTCTCCTCTCTCATCTCCTGCATAAAATGATTTTTCAGTGAACCTTTAGGGAACCAAGAACTTACGGCCCCCACACTAGAATAACTGGCAGAACTCAGAAAGTACCATACTTATAATTACTGTCTTATTATAAAGGATACAAATGAACAACTGGATGAAGTGATAGGTAGAGGGGCAAGGTTTGCAAGGGTCCTGATAAAGGTGTTTCTGTGCTGTGGAGTTGAAACTGCCTTTGCAAAAATTATAATGGTGAGAAAGTTATGGCAATGAAAGAGATCTGACCTAACCAACCTTCATGTTGCCTTTAACCTCCCAACTGCCTTTAATAATTCCTGGGCTTGGACCAAGCTAAGCTTGGGAGACATTGAGTCTATAGTTAAAATGATAATAGCCCTTTCCCCCAAAATAAATCATCTTTGTAAAGCTAATGAAAGACCACCAGGTGAGGAGGTTGAGAAGAGCCTGAATTCTACTAAGGTAAACATTATAGTAAGAATAGGGTTGTGGAAGGGATTATCTTAGATTTCTCAACCTTGGCACTTTTGACATTTGGGGCTGGACCATTATTTGTTGTTGGGGGCTGTCCTGTGTATTATGGGATGTTTACTGGAATCCTTGGCCTCTACCCTCCCCACCTAGATACCAGCAGCAAACCCCTTCCAGGATGACAATCAAAATAGTGTCTAGACATTGTCAAATATTTCCTAGGGGGCAAAATCAGCCCTGATTGAGAACTACTAGTTTAGAAAATGTTTCCAAAGCTCTTAGATGGTGCCTGGTGCACCATAAGGGCTCAGTAGCTGGTAACTGTTAAGATTTTTTTGTTTTGTTTTGAGACAGAGTCTTGCTCTGTCGCCCAGGCTGGAGTGCAGTGGCGTGATCTCGGCTCACAGCAAGCTCCACCTCCCGGGTTCGCGCCATTCTCCTGCCTCAGCCTCCCGAGTAGCTGGGACTACAGGCGCCCGCCACCGCACCCGGCTAATTGTTTTGTATTTTTAATAGAGACGGGGTTTCACTGGGGTCTCGATCTCCTGACCTCGTGATCCTCTCGCCTCGGCTTCCCAAAGTGCTGGGATTATAGGCGTGAGCCACCACGCCCAGCCAAGATTTTTTTAAATGCCTGTGAAGAGCCTGCGCTACTCTCTGTATTACTGGGTTGAGTGTGCTGTTCTTGAGCTTCTGCTATCCTTGGTGGACCAGGAGACTCTGTGACCCAGCTCTGGAGAACGTCAAAGGAGATGTGAATTCTGGTGGCCTTTGTGGGACCTGACAGCCTGAGCTCTCTGTTCTTCAGACTCACAATGCGAAAGTCATTGTAGCCACTATTTGCTGAGAGGAGGATCCCTCCGTGGACAAGTGAGGTTGGCCCACACAATGTGTCTTTCATCAGTCCATTTATTTAACAAACATTTACCAAGTGTCTGTTATATACCAGGTTCTGTGCTGGGCATCTGTAATATGAAGAATAAGCCCTGGTGTCTGCTTTCTAGATGTTACAGGGTAACTGGGAGCTTACCTGTAAGCAAAGATGCTTACGACCCGGAACTACTACAGAAAAGAAAAGAATTTGGTCATTAGATACAACCTGGAATGTCAGAGAAAGAGTCCTCGATAAGGCCTCAGTTTTGACAATTTAGGACCTGGTGTTTCCCTTCCAAAACTGGTTGCGAGGATCTAGCTCATATTCAGGCTCTTCACTTTTCAAATGAAAAAAGCTCAAGGACAAAGAAGAGATAACTCTGTTCAAGGAAGACCCATAAATTTATACCAGATTTGAGGTTTCCTAATACCGTACGTCTCCATTTGCAGGCCCGTCAATACAATACAAAAGTGACCTTGGTCAGCTAAATGTTTTATTCTGCAGGAGAAAAGCAAGTGTTTTCTCAATATCTAGTAGAGATTCTGGCCTCTGTATGTGTGTGTGTGCACGCACGTGCAATTGCACATATATGTGCATGTGTGTATGTGTGTCACTATTGAGAGATTGGGATGATCTGTCTGCAATTTGTCTGTGCATTGCTGAATATTTCAAGGAGAATAGATCTCTGAGCAGGAGGAATCATTAGTGTGAAGTGGTCTGCAAGCTCCTGCCCACTATTAAGTGGGACTGAGCACCTCTCCGGCCAAGGCGTTGATGGAAGACTATGAGTGGATGTGTCTGTGCTTTAGAGATGTGTCAGCGGCCAGGCACGGTGGCTCACACCTGTAATCCCAACACTTTGGGAGGCTGAGGTGGGTGGATTACCTGAGGTCAGTAGTTCAAGACCAGCCTGGCTAACATGGTGAAACTGCGTTTCTACTAAAAATACAAAAAATTAACCAGGCATGGTGGCATGTGCCTATAATTCCAGCTACTCAGGAGGCTGAGGCAGGAGAATCGCTTGAACCCAGGAGGTGGAGGTTGCAGTGAGCCGAGCTTGCGCCATTGCGCTCCAGCCTGGGCAACAAAAGCAAAACTCCATCTCAAAAAAAAAGAAAAAGAAAAAGAAAAAAGAAATGTGTCAGCAGTAGGAGGGGAGAACTTTGATTCACACTAAACTCAGAAAACGGCAGGAAGTACTTCAGTAAGTATTTGAATGAATGAATGAATAAGGAGGAGAAGAATAAGTGAGTAAAATTCAAGACCAGAGAGTCCTCCTGTGACCACCCCCAGGAGAGAGGTGTAGCATTCACCCATTGTTTTGTCTCTCCAACCTGGCTCTTTTTCTGGAAATTCCTCCTCCACCTGCAAATCTGTTTGGTTTTCTTTTGAGGGACCATTTTCTCAAGTAGTCTACATCTCTAGCCAATGTCAATTGGTCCATGAGTAGGTATCTGACCCAGAATGGGTCACCACGCTGCACTGGAAACAGCTGACTGGCCCAAGAATGGGCACCTGACCCAAGCTAAGCCAACAAGTCCCTCCATCAGGACTTCTGGGCTAAGCATCAAGGGAGTAAACTCAATATCCCTCTGAGGACTGACATCATAAATAGAAAACTCAGAAGCTACTGAGATCAGAAGAGACACTTTTTTTTCTTCTGTATAGCCAAAGACCATTTGTAATGAGAGAGATTTTTTTTTAAAAAAAGAAAGAAACAGACAATTGCTACAAGAAATGGAAAAGAATGCCAGTATGTCTGAGTCTGTGGTTTTATAGTTCCTGAGCCCCACCTGCATTCCTGCCCTTTTTTGGTTTGGTCATTCCATTCTTGCATGAGATTCCTCCATGCCCTTACAATTCTCTTTTTCCTTAGCTATTTTAATTTGCCTGTCGCTTGCAATCTGAAGAGTCCTGGCTAAACAAACAGACCCGGAGTCAGGGCAAGTTAATTTCTTTTGCATGATTTGTCACTTCTTTAGGCGATATTAGGCAGGCAAACACCACAATATTATAAATCATAAACACAAGGCCCTTGGTCTGTAATAAAGCACCATTCTCCTTCAAATGCATTCACTATACCTCCAGAAGAGAAATAGATCAGAAGTTGCTTCATAACAAAGATGCCAATATTATAGAAGCTCAAGATGGGGAATTTACTGGAGAGAGGAGCAGTCTATTGACCTGCTACAAATGTTCCGGCTGTGCTGTTATTCAAATATTTCTATTGCCTGGAGTCCTGCATTTTTTTCTGTATCCTATAAACATCCATCATAAGCAAATGGGAGAGCCTTTCCACTAAACCTTCCCCACATGCACCATTTTGAATTAATGCTACATCGTGGACATGGCTGTTCATGGTGCAGTTTTTTGTAGCAGCAAATAGCTTAAGCTGGTGATTAATCTACATAGTTTAGATACCTTCATTCAAAGGGAGAACACCAGTCCTTATTCACTGCTGATATGGTTAGGCTTTGTGTCCTCACCCAAATCTCATCTTAAATTGTAATCCCCAGGTGTTTAGGGAAAGACTTGATGGAACGTGATTGGATCACAGGGGCAGTTTCCCCTATGCTATTCTCATGATAGTGGGTGAGTTCCCTTGAGATCTGATGGTTTTATAAGGCAGTTTTCCCTGCTCTTGCTCACACTCTCTCCTGCCTCCATGTGAAGAACGTCCTTGCTTCTCCATCACCTTCCACCATGATTGTAAGTTTCCTGTGGCCTCCCCAGCCATGTGGAACTATGAGTGAATTTAAACCTCTTTTCTTATAAATTTCCCAGCCTAGGGTATTTATAGCAGTGTGAAAACGGATGAATACAATGGCCAACCACTCTTCTAGGCACTGTCCAAGTATTGTTTGTTACTTGATTATCACAAACACATAGGGAGATAGTGGCATTGCCGTTTTGTAAAGGAGGAAACTGAGGCTCAGAGTTGTTAGGGAAATTATCTAGCTGGTCAGTGGTTGGGAAAGGATTGGAAGTCAGATTAGACTGGCTACACAGCCCGTATTCTTTTCTTGTTGAGTTTCTTCAGGGACACAGAGACCAACTAGGAGAATTTCTTGACTTCCTAGAGTTTAAAGGAGTCCTGATTGATTTACCCAGGTTCTCCTTACTGAAGCACAGGCACCTGCAGGCAGGCAGGGATCCATGCACAATATGCAGGGCCTGGAATGATGCACAGCTCTTTCCACTCTCTTCCCAACATGGGGACCTTGTGCCCAGAAAGTAAACGCTTTTGTAAAATGGGAGAAAATGTTCAAAGCCTTCTTGTCCCTAACTCTGGTCACTGGCTGCCTCTCTGCATTGCTGCTCATGTCACATTTCTCTTTCCAACTCAGGTGGCGTTAAAGCCTTGGAAACATTTTGCCAGCTTCTCTCTTCATCCACGTTTCTGTTTTATATTTCACAGCGAAAAGGAGATCTGAAAAAAATGCAAATCTGGATGATGCTTCTACTTTGCTTAAAACCCTTCTCTCTGTGGGTTATTTCGACTCTTAGCGGAAAGTCTAGAATCCTGAATAGGGCTTACGAGGCACTCCACCATCCTCCTGGGCTTCTCTTGCTCATCTGTCACTGTTTCACTTTGCTCTTGACCCTCCCCTATCCAGTTCTCTTTTCCTAGTTCCCGTACCTCCCTCCCTCACTCTTCCAGCCCACCCCCTCCCCGCTGGGAGGTATGCTAACTTATAGCTGCTTCCCTCTGAGAAGTGTTTTCTGAAGCCTGAGATCAGGGGAGGCACCTGCTCCAGCCCGTGGAACCTTCTGCTTCTTCCTTACTGATACGACATTAGTAACTGTTTTTCACTGTCTGCCTTAGTTACTAAACTAAGAATGACAGGGACAAGGCTGTGTCCCCAAAAGGCAGTCTCTGCACTTGTCAGGGAGTATAATCACCAGGTTATCTTGCTGTAGGGAATCTTTGGTGTTTGTTGTTTCACTTTTATTCTCACCACTCTCAATTATTTCATATAATGCAGTTTATTCCCGGGTCTTTCCACCCTGGTTTATTTTGTGCTGGGTGTAACACACTCGACTTCTTAAAACACTGCTTGGAACTTGAAGCATCCTTGCTCTGAAATTTTTGTTGGCTTTGCATTGCTTACCCCAGCTACAACAAAATGATATTCAAAGCTCTTCAAATGTGCTCGCAACTTAGGCCTCCAGCTTTCATAACCAGGTTCTTTTTGTGAGTCCTCGTCTAATGAGAAACATTGGTTTTCCCTTCTTTGGCTTCAATTCCTTTTCTTTCCTCCTTCTTTCTCTCCCTTCTTCCCCTTTTTGCCTTTCTTCCCTGCATCTCCTCCTTTCTCATCTCACCCCCTCACTCTCTCCATCCCTCCCTTATATTCATTCAACAAAGCTTCCAACCATGGATGCCTGCTTCTGAGATTACCAACCCTAGCTGCACAAGAGATGTACTTAGGAAGTTTTCTGCTTTGTTTGTTTTTCCTTTGGACGCCTGGGCTTCAATCTCCCCTCTCCATCTTTCTCAGAGATTCCTATTTATTTGATAGAGGGTCAGACCATGCAGCAGAATGTTTTTAAAGTTCTCTTGTGATTCTACAGTGCAGCTGGAGTTGAGAGCCTCAGGCCTACGTTTATCAGGCTTTGGACTGATTTCTTTCCTCATGGACTTTATAGTATACATTATACAGCAGTGGCCGGGTGCAGTGGCTCATACCCTGTAATCTCAGCACTTTGGGAGACCAAGGTGGATGGATCACATGAAGTGAGAGTTCAAGACCAGCCTGGCCAACATCGTGAAACCACTTCTCTGCTAAAAATACAAAAGATCAGCCTAGCATGGTGGTGGATGCCTGTAATCCCAGGAGGCTGAGGCAGGAGAATCACTTGAACCTGAGAGGCAGAGGTTACAGTGAGCTGAGATCTTGCCACTGCACTCCAGCCTGGGTGACAGAGCGAGACTCTGTCTCAAAGAAAGAAAAAAATTATACAGCAGTAGTTTTCAAGGTGGGAGAAGCAATGTTACTCACCTACCCAGGGAGATGTTTGGGAAACATCCAGAGGCATTTTTGCTTGTCACTGCTGGGGGAGGGTGTGCTACTAGCATCTAGGGGATAGAAGCGAGGGCTGATGCTACACATCCTACAATGTGCAGGAGAGTCCCCCCCGTGCACCCCACATTCCCCCCATACAAAACAAAAAAAAATGACGTGGTCCAAAATGTCAATAGAGTCAAGGTTAAGAAACATTGTTGTAGAGGAAAGCATCATAATGAAATAATCACACAAATATTTATTCACTGACTGAAATAAAAGCAATAAAGAAAAATACAGTGTGACAGTATGCGTGCTTCACAAGGAAATTTGAACTTCCCTAGGTGAAATCGCCTTCCCTATGGGGGTATCTGCAAGAAGGGCACCAACAAATCACACTGCAAAGGGACCAGGGATGGGAGGAGCATTTCTGGCAGTCTCCATGGTGAATCTGAAGCTTTGCAGAATTTGTAGAACTTAGAGAAGAGCAGATGGGCTGGCGTGACAAAGAAGGGAGGATGCTGGAAAATAATTTTAATCTTGATCATCAGAGCAATGGGAAACTCACTGAGAAGCAGGGGGGGCATAATTCTCACCAAATTTGCATTTGCCAAATATCCCTCTGGTTGACAAGTGGAAATTGGATTGGCATAGAGCAAGCGTGGATGTCCCAGAAGTTTGAGAGAGACATTAGACTGGGCTGGCAGTGAGAAAGCTGGGGAGAAATAGATGCAAGAGATATTTAGGGGTAAGTTTGATCATCTCTATGCATACCTCATACTTGTCAGCCTCTAAATGTTTGGTGACACCATTCTTTTTTTTTTTTTTTTTTTTTTTTTTGAGACAGATTCTCACTCATTCACCTAGGCTGGAGTACAGTGGTGTGATCTCAGCTCACTGCAACTTCCGCCTCCTGGGTTCAAGCAATTCTCCTGCCTCAGCCTTCTGAGTAGCTGGGATTACAGGCACGTGCCACCATGCCCGCCTCATTTTTCTATTTTTAGTAGAGACGGGGTTTCACCATGTTTGTCAGGCTGGGCTTGAACTCCTGACCTTGTGATCCACCCACCTCGGCTTCCCAGAGTGCTGGGATTACAGATGTGAGCCACTGCCCCTGGCCTGATGACACCATTCTGTGACTGGAACTATTCTCCCTATTTCAAACCCTCACCATTCTGTAATCACCACACAAAGTTAATACCACCAGAAACTTCCCTGGTGACCAGCCAGTATCACAGCCTTTGAAATCCTGGGGTTCTATATCCCCTTGAAACAAGCTCTTTCTTGTGATGTATAATTTACATATATTGGCTTTATCTTCCCTACAAAATGGTAAAGGGCTTGACCACTGAAATCTATCTTACTCATTTTTATTCCCCTCCCTCCCCCTCACATACACATAGCACTTTGGACACATTTTTCTAAATATTTAGTCTGTTTGGTGACAAAAACCAGAAACCTGCTCAGAGTAACTTAAAACACGGGTTTCTTTGAAGTGGGGCTGGGACATGGTAGATGTTCCTGCTCTTTGCCTGCCAGCATTCGTTCTCTGCTAACAGCATCCAGCTGTCCCCTTTGAACAGTGTTCCTTTGCTTTCTCTTAGTCTGCATGGCTGGGTGGGGCCTCACTCACTCCCCACTGAGTTCTAAGGGTGGATTGACCGGAGGACCATAGTGTCTTGGTTCATAGGTAGATAGATGATCCAAACCATCCAGTGAGCCTCAGCCTCCCAGTTTTTCTAAACCTGCTTGGAACGTGGGGTGTTTTCTCCATTGCTGTTACAAAGCCAGAACTTCTGGGAGTTTTGGTGAGCCCCCAACTTGGAGAATGAAGCCAATTCAGAGGAAAGCGGGCAGAAGAGATAGAGGAGAACCGTGAGGACATGGTCTGGGCACCTGCAGCCATTTGTGCCTGGTCTTTGCAGCTCTGTCAGCCATTCAACTCCCTTGGGACTTAACTAGTTTGAGTTATGTGGATTTTTCTGGCACTTGGAACCAGAAGCAACCCAACAAATACTGTAGGCAGCCTTCAGAATTCAGGGGCAGGAATTTCAGCCACATCTCCCAGGAGCCTGGAATTGGGAATTCAGAGGCCAGGAGCACATGGCCATCTTAGGGGTATGTCTCCTTCTGCCTTTCTGCATGCACGTCTGCTTCTTTCCTCTCTCTCTCTGCATATCGGCCATGTCCGGTTGAGCCGGGCAAGCCTCAGAATTGTCCGGTTTCTCAGTCAAGGGCCCAACAGCAACTGTGTGGAGCTCCTGGACCATATTCTGCATCCCCAAGTGATACCTTGGTTCTCCCAACTCAGATTTCAATTTTGTTTCTATCCTTGGCCCAACCTATGGGCAAGAAGTAGAACCAAAGTCTCATTATACACTCAGCAGGCTCTATGGAAGCCCTTTCAGAAATGGGTTGTGGGGCCCAGCATACGAAGTGATGAACATGCCAGTTACATAACTGACTCCTATTCACCATTAATAAGTACAGATGGAAATCATACGGAGTGGCATCCACTTCAGCTTCAGAGCTCCAGCCAAGCCCCTGGTGGGAAGAGAATATCAGGTAACCATTCCTGCAAAAGGGAGAGCTGTGTTCAGACGCTTTTTTTTTTTGGTGACGGAGTCTCACTCTGTCACCCAGGCTGGAGTGCAATGGCATGGTCTCGGCTCCCTGCAATCTCCACCTCCTGGGTTCAAGCAATTATCCCACCTCAGCTTCCCGAGTAGCTGGGACTACATGCGCATGCCACCACACCTGGCTAATTTTTGTATTTTTAGTAGAGACAGGGTTTCACTTTATTGGCCAGGCTGGTCTCTAACTCCTGACCTCGTGATCCACGTGCCTCGGCCTCCCAAAGTGCTGGGATTACAGGCATGAGCCACCGAACCCGGCCCTCTTGACACTTTTATTGTTTTCTGTGGGCTGAAATTATGACTCCATAGTAAAATCTAATTACATCTTCCCTTTGCCTTATCTGAGATACACAGCATAAAGTCTCTCCCCTATCGGTCTGTGGACATCAGCACCCCAAGCCAAGTAGGATTCCTCATCACGGTGCTCTGACCAGGGTCTATAATCCTGTCCACATCCTTCCTGTTGGAAATGCTGTTTCGCTTTGCTCTTGGCCATCACCACCATTCAGTCCTCCCCGCCATTCAGCCAGGGCGTTGCTCAGTATCATTATCTGAAAGGAAAGCTAATAATTATACCTACATTGCAATGGGCTTGATGTAAGTTTTAATTAGAAAGTTATTTGGAGCCCTGGGCATATAGTAGCCCCTCTGTAAATGTAAATACTCTAACCCTACATCCCTTTTCTTACTAATACTTCATGATTCTACCTTGATTTGACTGATCACTGGGAACATTATTGAGGTTTAGCAGGGATGAAATATGATGCCAGGATTTTATTCTCCTTTTGAATGGAGAATTTTGCTTGTCTTCTTTTTTCTTTATCCCTGGAAGCTCTCTGGGGGTCTAGCACATGAGGACCAAATTTTTCTTTCCAAGTCTGCTTCAAAGACTGCCGAAGAATCTCGATGGAGGGATAGAGGGCCCGGGATGAATTGCTAGTCTCTAAAGTCAATACCTGTTCAGAGGCTACCCTGAAAGTGAATGATTATTGGTGGGGATAGCTTGCCGAAATGGGCTGATGAATTGGGGCCCATACAGTCACAATAAAGATTGCAATGCTGTTAGGAGACCAGATTAGATTTTTCTGGACTGCAATAGGCTGCAATCGTCTTGTTATGTCACTTTGTTTATTGTTTTGGGGGCCCGACTTATTTTCTCGGTGCAGGTACATTCAAAATAACTGCTGTGACGATTCAAATCATTTGGGTAGAAGACATTTAATCCCACTGGTGTTCCCCCATTAATTAGCAGCTGCCCTAGGGGAATGGTTACCTAGTATTGTTCAGGAATGCTTTATCATGGCGGGAATTTCCTACCCAGTAAATTGCTAATGAAAATGTCATTTTCCTGCTGAGTTTACCTGACATACTATTTATCTTTCCACTGCCATTAGAGATAGAATTACTGTCAGATTTACTACAAAAAAAATGGAATTGATTTTTAATTAAGATTTCTAGAACTAAAGGTTAAAGATGGGTTAAAGAAATGGAGCTGTGGTTTTCTCTTAAGTATCCCCAAGATTGGTGGCCACTGCTTAGTATAGTTAGAAGCCAGAGCTGTCATTTGCAGTAAGCATGCCTCACAGTTAACCCTTCTTACTTTCGTTTGGAACAAGAATGTGGACAAATGCCTGCCCGTCCGTGCCTCCATCCCTTTTGCAAGCCAGGAGTGTCATAGTGTCAAAATAGAACAGATTGCTTTGGTTTGTGTAACAAGGGTCGCTAAAATTGCAGTCTTACCTTCGCAGGCGACTCAGGGAATACTCTGATAACCTCATGCAGGCATTTCATATACAGGCAATTATAGGGAGATAGATTAGGGTGTCCAGAAGAATCATAACTTCCCTTTGCCTGATTTATAAGCTTTATCCTTATTTTTTCATAGTACCATTTATAATATCAGCACCATCTAGACAGATGTCTACGGGAGTTGGTTTCTCCAAAGCATATGCTGGTGCCTGGCTGGCATGGGACACAGTTTATTGGAGGCAGACTCCTTGGAAGAACCCATCCAAGGAGAGGTTATGAGCTCAGGTTCTGGGGTCAGGCTTGGGTCTGAGTCCCAGCTCTACCACTCATGAGCTGTGTGATAGTGGGCAAGTGGCTCACCCTCTCTGAGCTCTAATTTCCTCTTCGTAAATACAGGGGAACAATGGTTCTTATGCTATAGGATCGTTGCCAGCAGCAAATGAACTGAATCTTGTAAACGGATTAAAACCGGACCTCATTTACTAAGTGACATATAGCACTCAGTAAATACTAATTATCGTTAGAAAGGCAGATTATGGGGGACTCTGCTCATGATTTATTCACCCAAATGTCTGTTAGTTTGTATGATATTGCTAGACACCCACCCCTAATGCTACCTTCAGCTATAGACTCAATGGTATTGGTCATGGTAGGGAAAGGTATTTTCACTGACTGTTCTTCTGTCTTGCTTTCTTGTCCACATGGCCAGTATCTGCCTTTCCTTTCTCATGCTGGTGTTCCATCTGCATGAAGCCTGGGCTCCCCATTATGCCTTCCCTTAGTCCCCAGCCTAGGACATTGAAGATGAGAGATGGAAGAAGACAAGGAAGATCCACCAGCCTCAGAATCATGAGTTGGAAAGTACTGACGTCCTGGCACAGCAGGAATACCAGAAAGGTCTCTGAGCAGCCGTTTAGCTTGCTTCCCATAGGCAGCCACCACGTGCCCCTCCTGGTAAGTTCTTTATACCTTAAAAGAGATTATTGAAAAGAAAGACATGAGTGTCTCAAAGTGGTATTTTGGTACTAAAGGATGTCTTAAAATAGCAGCCCTACGTTTTCCGCTGGGGCAGAAAGGAGAGAGAGAACATGAAGCCTGGAAAAACCAAAATGATCACAGAGCATTATCTTCCCTTGATGGGTAAGAAGGCTCTCTGCGAGAAGCAGCCGTGCACTTCGACTGATGGGCTCCTGCGGGAAGAAAGGAGCCTCCTGATTATGTGAAGGTGGGAAAAGCCCTCTCTAAGGATGGCAGCAGTGACACCCAGCTGGCTGGAGTCCATTTAGGCTGGAGGAAGAGGAGAAGGAGGATAGGTCCGTGTTGTTCCTTTGCAAACCTGACCTGAGACCCAGAAGACGATCAACTGACTGGCTGTAAGTGACCAGGTGACAGCTGCTTCCTTGTTCACGAGCCTCTTCTTCTACATGCTCTGTCTTTTCAGACACATATGCTGAGTTCCACCAAAGAATCGCTGACTCACAAGCCTTCAAGGCCAATGCACATAACACAGGTTCTCTGGGGGATGCTGAGGAGATGTGTTACAGGGTACACTCCATTGTAAGCAACTTAAAATCTATGCTAGGCGGGGCATGGCAGCTCACACCCATAATCTCAGTACTTTGGGAGGC
Organism: Homo sapiens; assembly: GCF_000001405.40. NCBI lineage: Eukaryota > Metazoa > Chordata > Mammalia > Primates > Hominidae > Homo > Homo sapiens. Next base: position 17,649,886 of record NC_000016.10, on the reverse strand, counting down.
TGAGGCAGGTGGATGACTTGAGCCCAGGGGTTCAAGACAAATGTGGGCAACAAAGTAAGACCCCGTCTCTACCAAAAAAAAAAAAAATAGGCCGGGCGTGGTGGCTCATGCCTGTAATCCCAGCACTTTGGGAGGCTGAGGCAGGCAGATCACCAGAGGTCAGGAGTTCAAGACCAGCCTGGCCAACATGGTGAAACCCTGTCTCTACAAAAATACAAAAATTAGCCAGGCATTGTGGTAGGTGCCTGTAATCCCAGCTACTCGGGAGGCTGAGGCAGGAGAATTGCTTAAACCCAGGAGGCAGAGGTTGCAGGAGCCGAGATTGTGCCACTGCACTCTAGCCTGGGTGACAGAGCAAGACTCCATCTCAAAAAAAAAAAAAAAAATAGCTGAGTGTGGCAGTGTATGCCTGTGGTCCTAGGTACATAGGAGGCTAAGGCGGGAGAATTGCTTGAGCCCAGGAGGTTGTGGCTGCAGTGAGCCAAGATCGCACCATTGCACTCCAGCGTGGGTGACTGTGCAAGACCCTATTTTAGAAAAAAAAAAAAAAATTCCATGTTAGTCATGTCTGTTCTCCAAATTCCAACTCTGAGGGCTTCTTTGTCTTTCCTTCTACATAAAGGATCAGCCAACTTTTCTTAAATGGCCATACATGATAAATACTTTAGCCTTTGCAAGCCAAGAGCCAAAATTTAAGAAATTAGATAGGTACCCAGGCCTGGCGCAGTGGCTCATGCCTGTAATCCCAGCACTTTGGGAGGCCAAGGCTGGTCGATCACCTGAGGTCAGGAGTTCAAGACAAGCCTGGCCAACATGGTGAAACCCTATCTCTACTAAAAATACAGAAAATTAGCCAGGCATGGTAGTGCATGCCTGTAGTCCCAGCTACTCGGGAGGCAGAGGCAGGGGAATCGCTTGAACCCGGGAGGTAGAGGTTGCAGTGAGCTGAGATCATGCCACTGCGCTCCAGCCCGGGTGACAGAGCACGACCTTATCTCAAAAAAAAAAAAAAAAAAAAGGAAATGATATATATACTCATATGACCATCTAAAATGTAATAATTTTTTTAAAATGCAAAAATTTTTCATAGTTCAGGGGTGTTACAAAAAGAGCTGGATTGAGCCAGTGGATATAGCTTGCCTACATCAGTCCTACATAATCCTCAAAGTTCTGACTCCCCATTTTGCCCTGATATATGCAAAGCACTCAGATCCTTCAGCTGCGCCTGTTAGTATCCTTGAGCCCAACCCAGTTCACAAAAACAGACAGATGCCACAACAAGCTCTTCAGGGGTTCTCAATGGTTAACAGAGGCAAACTTGCTTGAAAATGATCAGGGTTATGGATAGCTATTGTTTTTCCTGTCATATGAGGGAAGATTAGGGACACTGGTGGAAAGGGACCAGCAACTCAGGGTTTCTGCCCATGAGTCAGTGAAATGAGGTCATGTTTCAGAGTAACGGTAATGCCTCTTGGTCTGTTCTGAGGGGAACTGGTCCGGTGATTTGTGGAAGAGAATGAAACCCGTTACTGCTATATCCGTGTTTATGTCCAGCTGCACTACAAGGTATGTACCTACCTCAGGTAAGATAAGGCGTCTTAATGCTGGACTTATTTTTCTTCAGAAACCTTCCAAGACAAATCACCCAGCTACCAAACTACACAGAAGTCTGGATTTCTTTAGACACAGCTCTCAGCGGCAACTCAGTTATCATTTCTTTATTCTTTGTTCAACAAACGTTTATTAGACATTTACCATTTTCAGAGATAAAATATGCAGCTAATAAATGGAGCTCTCATCTAGATAGGGAGGAAAATTGCATAAATGGACAAATACAAAACAGTCTCATGAGTGTGGAGATAAACATCTACTCAGACTAAAATGGGAATGTATGGGAGCCATACCTCCCTAGACTGAGAAGGATAGGAAGATTTTTTTTTTTTTTTTTTGAGACAGATTCTCACTCTGTCACTCAGGCTGCAGTGCAGTGGCACAATCTCAGCTCACTGCAACTTCTGCCTCCCGGGTTCCAGCAATTCTCCTGCCTCAGCCTCCCAAGTTGCTGGGATTATGGGTGCATGCCACCACACCTAGCTGATTTTTGTATTTTAATACAGACAGGGTTTCACCATGTTTGCCAGGCTGGTCTCGAACTCTTGACCTCAGGTGATCTGCCCACCTCAGCATCCCAGAGTGCTGGAATTACAGGCGTGAGCCACCATGCCCAAGCAGGAAGACTTTCAAAAAAAGGGGCAATTAGTATAGGTAGCCCAAAAGGCAGGGATGGGGAGAGGTATTTGGGACAAAGACAAAGTCCCAGTAGAACCCAGTATGTAAGAGAACTAAAAATGTCTGGGATAGAAGGACTGTTCGGAGGGAATGCATCTACGTGTGTGAGTGTGTGTGTGTGTGTGTGTGTGTGTGTGTGTGTGTGTGTGTTGGGCACAATACTGGAGCAATGGCAGAAAATTAGGCTGACCAGCTAGGCAGCAGGAAGAAAATGAAAGGTCATCTCTCATTTTCTTAGTGTTCATTCTTTATGCTTAAAACAACGGGAAGCCATTGGGAAACAAACACAAGAATGATGTGCTCAGATTTGTGTTTTTAAGAAATGAAAAATGCACAAGTCCTGTTGCTCTTTTATGGCCCCAGGGGTCTCTAGAAAGAACTTCAGACTCCTGAGCCTGCATTCAAGTCCCTTTGCAAACTGGCCCTTCTTGGCCTTTCCTGTTTCCCTTGTTTTGGGGAAAATATATGGAAAATGTTTAAAAATGTAAAACCATTCATCACTCAAGGGTGTTACAAAAATAGCTGGATTGAGCCACTGGACTATAGCTTGCCAACTTCTGTGCTACATAATCCTCAAAGGGTTTTTTTTTTTTTTTTTTTTGAGACGGAGTCTCGCTCTGTCGCCCAGGCTAGAGTGTGGTGGTGCAATCTCGGCTTGCTGCAACCTACGCCTCCCAGGTTCAATCTATTCTCTGGCCTCAGCCTCCCAAGTAGCTTGGGATTACAGGTGCACACCACGACACCCAGCTAATTTTTGCATTTTTAGTAGATACGGGGGTTTTGCCATGTTGGCCATCCTGGTCTCGAACTCCTGACCTCAGGTGATCCGCCTGCCTCGGCCTCACAAAGTGCTGGGATTACAGGTGTGAGCCACCATGCCCAGCCTCAAAGTTCTGATTCCCCATTTTTCCCTGATATATACAAAGCACTCAGATCCTTCAGCTCTGCCTCTGTTTGTATCCTCGAGCCCATGCGCCCTCCTCTGCCATGCACCCCACACACCAGTCATTCTGGACCATTTACTTTTTCCCTCAATAGGTCATTCATTTTCGTCTTTGTGATCTATTGCTGCATTACACATGCCCCAAAGCTCAGCAGCTTAAAACACAAATATTTATTATCTCACTCAGTTTCCGAGCATCAGGAATCCAAGAGTGGTTTAGCTGGGTGGCTCTGGCTCTGGGTTTCACATGAGATTGCAGTTAAGACATCAGCCAGCTGGGGATGTCACTTATCTGAAGGTTCAACTGGGAACCAAGACTGGAGGCACTTCTCCCATGACAGTTTACTCCATAGCAACAGATTGTGTAGCTTGGCTCCTCACTGGCTGTAGGCAAGAGGCCTCAGTTCCTCACCATGTAGAGTTTTAGGTCTGTTTATATATTCTCATGATGTGGGAGTTAACTTCCCCTAGAACCAGCAATTCAAGAGAGAGGACAAAGAGAAGGCCAAAATGCCTTCTATGGCCTAATCGTGTGTGTACCTTTTGTGTCTGCCACATTCCATTAGTTAGAAGCAAGTCACTAAGTTCTCTCAATACTCAATAGGGTAGGAATTGGGCTCCAACTCTCTAAAAGGAGAGTATCAGAGATTTTGTGGAGGTTATTTTAAAAGCACACATACTTAGAATATTAATGCCCATTTGCTTAAGCCAGTGGTTTTCAACTGGGGGCAATTTTGCCCTTTTCCCCTCAGGGACATTCAGCAACATCTGAAGACATTTTTGACTGTTCCAAGTGGAGTAGAGTGTGTTACTGGCATCCGGTGACTAAAGGCCAGGGGATGCTGCCAAACATCCTACAATGCACAGGGTGGCCCCTTGCCCCCAGCAAAGAATGATCCAGCTCAAATATCAATGATGCCGATGCTGAGAAGCCCTGGTCTAAGCTGCTAGTAGCTGTGTGACTTTGGGGAAATGAATTACTCTTTCTAAACTTAGTTCCCTCAGTTGTAAAATGAAGACACCATATAATCCACCTGGTAGGAAATAAGATAAAGCATGTAAAGCACTTAGACAATCATTCAAAGGAATACCTACCCTGTGCTAGGCCATGTCTATGCTAGATACAGGGGACTTGGAAATGAACTAGGCAGGCACAGGCCCTGACCTCACAGCATTTTGCATTTGGAGAATTAATCATAGCATCAGTCTGAGTTTTTGTTTTAATTTATCATGTATAGGTCATTGTTCCATTTGCCTGTGAAAGTCACAAAAACAACAATGTCTGGCCTACCTCAGTGTTTAGCAGCGTGCTTGGTACTAACAAGATAATCAATGCTTGTTGAATTGAATTTCACCTGCTCACTCCTTAAGATGAACACTTTTTGTGTCATTTTGGGGTACTCAAGATTGTACAACGTACAGTCTATTTAGTGACAGCTTTCAATTTTGCTGAAAGGACTTGGGGAAGAGCACTCTATTCAATGTATTCTTCAATTGTGAGATAAATCCTAATGTGAGAAATGTATAATTTGAAAAACGAATATGCATAGTAAAATTGAAGAAATATAGTAACATCATTTGTTTGTATCTTAGTCTACTAATTTTGAGCAAAAGAAGGCAGTGTTCTAATTCCTCTGTTATTTTCCCACAGATATGGCTTTGGTATCAATGTATTAGTTTTCTATTGCTGCTGCAGCTAATTACCTCCACCTAAGTGGCTCAAGCAACACAAATGTATTAGCCTGACAGTCATGAAGCTTAGAAGTCCAGTAAAAATCTTACTAGGCTAAAGGCAAGGTGTTGACAGGGCTGCTGCACTTCTGGAGGCTCTAGGGAATAATGTTTCCTGGCCTTCTCCAGCTTCTAGAGGGCACCAGCATTCTTTGGCTTGTGGACCCATCCTCCTTCCAGCAATGGAAAGTCAGTGCTCCTTCCAGAAATGGAAAGTAAAGTTCTTTGCACATTGCATCACCCTGACCTGCCATAATCTCATCTCCATCTGACTTGCCTCTTCTGTCTCCTCCTTCTACTTTTAAGGATCCTTGTGATTACATCAGACCCATCTGAATAATCTCTGTTTTCAGGTCAGCCGATTAGCAATTTAATTTTATCTGCAACTTTAATTCCCCCTTTTCCAGGCCACCCAATGTATTTTCAGGTCCTAGGGATTCAAACATGGACATCTTTAAGATGGGATGGTGGGGAGGACATTGTTCTGCCTACCATGGCCTGTGATAGCAAAGGAACCACAATATCCCACTAGACTTGTAAGGTAATCCAAAATACATCTTGTAACATAGGGAAGGTTGAACATGAGTTACGTTATCTAGCTGGAAGGATGAATTCCAGCCACTGCTTTGAAATGGTAAGATCCAGAGACACTGTATTTCCATGCTTCCTGTCACTGGGTGAAGTGAGACTCAATCACTTTCTGCATAAGCAAATGGAACCTTTAAACCTCAATTTGGCTACTCCACCATTCCAACATAACATTGCTCAGTGCCGTGAAACATGACTCTTCAAAAATCTATTATGTGACAAGCTGGGTGGTTTATGACACAAATATTGTATTTTACACACTTCATTTGCAGTTAAATTATTGAACATCTGACAACACAGGCCATGTTCTGCTTCTTAGTGCAAATCCATTAGAGGGTGTTTTTTTTTTTTTTTTGGTTATTGCTGTTAAATTAGGGCTTTAACATTTCTAGATGTGAAGAGTGAATTTATTCCACAATGATTAAAAATCATTTTGTAATTAGATTTGAATGAATAGAGAGTTATTGGAAAAGCCAGGCCTAACATTCAGCTTCTGAAGGAACAACCCCAGTGCTCACATTTTGATGGTATTTTCTGTTGTGCCACTTGGCTGTTTCATAATAAATGAAATTAAAGGTCAAAGGGGGAAAAGACCAATGAGAATTGAGACCAGGAAGATAAATCTCCAGAAAGATTTTAATTTTCATTTTCATTCTGAGATAGATCAAGCTTTGGATTTTTAAAACCTTGGCTCGTCCCATCCTCTCGGTGATTAGACTATTTATTCCCTACAACAGAGGTCATAACATTGAATTCCATTAGGCCTAGGCAGTTAATGGGAATGAGAGAAATGAGCTTAGTGTATTAGGGAGGGGTGGGGACTGTGGAAAATTGGAGAGCATATGCCCTCTCTAAATGTGTAGCTGCTACTCAGCTCCAGTGGATTTTTCTGAAAGGGAATGGGAGCCCAGTCTTGGCAAATTTCCCAACTTTTCACCAGAAACCAAAATTTTGGATTTCTACGTAAAATCTTCAGATTTCAAAATATAGGCTATTATACAGAATTTAAAAAAGAAAATTACTTGGGTTAAAGAAAACACGTATACAGTCCCAAAGTAGCTCAGAGGCCATTCATTTGAGATTGATTTCTAGGCTCCAGTGTTGCCAAACACACTGTTTGCAGAAGGTCTTCCAATGCTACAAACTTTGAAGGAAGCACTACCATCTAAGGGTGGTACCATGAGGTGTGGTTCGCAGAATAGACTCTTAAACAGTCTGTAAACAGAAATGCGTGCTTCTGCATCTATTAATGGTTAATGACCTTAGGCAAATTACTTAACATCTCTGTCTCCATATTGGTTTCTTCTTCCTATAAAATGTGAATACTATCTATCTCATAAGGTTATTTTGAAGATGTAAAATCACTTTCTGTTTGATTCCAGTGGCTACTGGATATAGGAAATGCTTGTGGTCTTGTTACTGATAAAGAAATTAAGGCAACTCATATTTGGAGTTCAGATGACTTTGCCCAAGGTCAAATAGTAAATGTGGTTCTGTATGTTGCCTGGTTATTGGTGAAAGTGTCGATGACTATCTCATAATTGGTATAAAAGGGGGGAAAAATGAGGTTCATGAGTTGGGTGCTAAGATGCTCAAGGCTTATTTCATTAATACTTGATAAATATGCCACATGAATACTGAGAAATGTCATGCGCTTCTGACTCAGCGGAATGGCTTATTTTCTCATTGTTGGAGCTTGGAGCAAGATTAAAAACACAATCATGTCACTACAATGGCTCCCTACTGCCCTTGGGCTGAATCCTGATTATTTAGTATAGCTTTAGGGTTCTTCATGTCTGGTCTTTCCTTAACACTTCCTGCCTTATGTTATTTGTCCCAATTCTACTGATCTCTCTCCATTCCAGAATGTATCATGTCCTCCATTACTTCTGCAAATTGCACATTATTCCCTTTGCCTGAAACACTTCCATTTTAATTGATACTTTGTTTATTTATTGGATCTCAGAAGCATAAGTTGAGCTAGTCAAATTTCCTAGCCTATGGTGCATCATCATATATGGTCAATTATTGTCTTGTTTTACTATTCATTTATTTCTTCCTCTATATACCTAGTCCCCATTTCATTTCTCTTCCCCTAGGGGAACCCTTTCTCATGTGTTAGACATGTGTTTGTAAATATTATAAAATATGCAGAGTTACTTTGATGGTGAGTGTTTTTAATTAACATAAATAGCACTGTGTTGGAAACCCCATTCTGAGGCTTTCTTCATTCCGCATTGTTTGACGATCTATCCAAATTGCTTTCTGTATAATTTGCTTTCTATAAAATTGCTTGTGACTTCCTTGTGCTGTTTGATTTTCTATAATGTGCATCTGTCACACTTTACTCAGCCAATCCCCTAATGATGGACACCTGAGTTGCCTGCAACTTCTTGATGCTACAAAGAAAGTTGATGCCTTAAATTCATCCTTTTATGAGTATGTGAGCATTCCCCTAGGGTATATACCTAGGAGAGAGATTAATAGGCAGTAAGGCACACACATACTTATGTTGACCAAGACTCACCAGATAACTTTTCCAAATGGTGTTGCCAGTTTACATTCGCACCAGTAAGAAAGGAGAGCTTACAGCTTCATGCTTCTTGGCATTTGCCATCTTTCTACTGTTTTGTCATTCTGATGGGTAGGAAGTGGTGCCTTGTTATAATTTGCTTTTCTCTGGTTATTAAAGAGGTTGAGCATCTCCTCATAGGTCATAGAGCCATTTAGGTTTCTCCATATCTGAATCATCTGATGATGATTTTTTTTGTATCTTTCCATTGGGTTTACTCTGTTTTCTTCCTAATTTAGAGGAGTTCTTTGTATATTCTAGATAGCTATCCCTCGTTGCTTCTGGATGTTGTAGATGTCAAGTAGGGTCTGCCATGTGCAGACCTTCCTTTTCTTTGTCTGGCTAATTTCAACTCATTCTTTGGCATCAGCCTCGATATCCTTTCCTCTGTGAAGCATTGGACAGGCTCCCTGGATTCTGTTACCCATCTTTGGTACATTCTTACTGGCACCTGTACTTTGCCTGTTATTGTATCTATCATATCATCTATTTGAGTCCTAGTTTCCCCAGAGTGATTTTGGGCTCCCTGAGGCTGTCACATCTTGTTCAGTGTAACATCTCCAGCTCCTATTTCAGGGCTTAGAATAAATAATTGGAACAAATATTTCTTGAAACAATGAGAAGTAAACTCATTTGTTAATACTTCTTATGCACTGGACCTGACATATGTGCATTATAGGGAACAATCTATTCAACCAGCCCAAGGACTGCGCAAGAGAGGACTTGTTATCCCCATTTTACAGATGAGAAAACAGAGATGAAGCGTGGAATGTGCAGAAGGAGGGATAGGCGACCACAAACAAAAGCTGGTTCCCTCAGTCATTCTACATATAAACCCCATAGCCCAAGCTACCAAATTAGAGTTTTAAAAGTTCTTGCTGAAAGACATGGAATCAACCAAAATGCCCATCAGTGATAGACTGGATAAAGAAAATGTGGTACATATACACCATGGAATACTATGATGCAACCATAAAAAGGAATGATATCATGTCCCTTGCAGGAACATGGATGAAGCTGGAAGCCATTATCCTCAGCAAACTAATGGAGGAACAGAAAACCAAACACTGCATGTTCTCACTTATAAGTAGGAGCTGAACAATGAGAACACATGGACACAGGGAGAGGAGCAACGTACACTGGGGCCTGTTGGGGGAGGGTGGAGGTGGGAAAGGGAGAGCTTTAGGAAAAAGAGCTAATGCATGCTGGGCCTAATACCTAGCTGATGGGTTGATAGGTGCAACAAACCACCATGGCACATGTTTACCTAGGTAACAAACCTGCACATCCTGTATATGCATGCACCCTGGAACTTAAAAAATTTAATTTAATTTAAAAAAAGTTCTTGCCAAAAGCATAATCATTCACTTGCCCTCAAATATTTCTTTTATTCTTAACATGGCTACAAGAATCTGATGTCTCTGCTCTTGCCTCTCCAGCCTCATCTCCCCCACCTCCTCCTCTTTCTGAGTTTCAGGAGTACCAGTTTTCCTACAGTTCCTCAAATACTCCTGCCTCTCTTCAGAGGAACAATTCTCAGCCCCCAGTGCAAATATCAATCACCTAGGGATCTTGTTAAAAATTAGGACTTTTCATTAGGAAAAGGCAAATCAAAACCACAATGAGATGCCATCTCACACTAGTCAGAAAGGCTATTATTAAAAAGTGAAAAAACTGCAAATGGTGGCGAGGCTGCAGAGAAAAGGGAAAGCTTGTACACTGTTGGTGGGAACGTAAATCAATTCAGCCACCATGGAAAGCAGTTTGAAGATTGCTCAAAGAACTTAAAATAGAACTACCATTTGACCCAGCAATCCCACTACTAGTTATATACTCAAAGGAATATAAATCGTTCTGCAGAAAAGACACATGCATTTCCATGTTCATAGCAGCACTATACATAATAGCAAAGATGTAGAATCTATGTAGGTGCCCTTCAACAGGGGACTGGATAAAGAAAATATGGTACATATACACCATGGAATACTACATAGTATATAGTATATATACACCATGCATATGGTACATATACACCATATATGTACATATACACCATATATGTACATATACACCATATATGTACATATACACCATATATGTACATATACACCATGGAATACTACATAGTCATAAAGAAGAATGAAATATCTTTTGTAGCAACATGGATATAGCTGGAGGCCATTATCCTAAGCCAATTAATGCAGGGACAGAAAACCAAACACTACATGTTCTCACTTATAAGTGGGAGCTAAAAATTGGGTACACATGGACATAAAGATGGCAACAGTAGACACTGGGAGCTACTAGAGAGGGGAGAGAAGGAGGGCAAGGGTTGAAAAACTAACCATTGGGTACTATGGTCACTACCTAGGTGATGAAATAATTTATACCAGAAATCTCAGTATCATCCAATATATTCCTATGTAACAAACCTGCACATGTTCTCCCTGAATCTAAAATAAAAGTCGAAAGTATTTTTTAAAATTTTTAAGATTTTAGGCCAGGTGTGGTGGCTCACGCCTGTAATCCTAGCACTTTGGGAGGCTGAGGTGGGCGGATCACCTGAGGTTAGGAGTTTGAGACCAGTCTGGCCAACATGGTGAAACCCCGTCTCTACTAAAAATACAAAAATTAGCTGGGCGTGGTGGCACACATCTGTCACCCCAGCTACTCGGGAGTCTGAGGCAGGAGAATTGCTTGAACCCAGGAGGCGGAGGCTGCAGTGAGCCGGGATTGCACCACTGCACTACAGCCTGGGTGACACAGCAGTGAGACTCCACCTAAAAAAAAAAAAATACATATTACATCTGAGGCAGGGCTTGAGCATCTGCACGTCTAATGAGTTCCCAGACATTGCTGATGCTGCTGGTCTGCAGATCCCCCTGGGCACCCAGGGTTTAGAACACTCCTCCGGCAACCCTCCCCTCCCCACTAACTGCTCATGCTTCTGAGCTCAGCTTAAATATCACTATATCAAGGAAGTCTTCCCTAACCCAGAGTGTACTAGGAAATAGGTCCTCATTTCACTTCCTCCTTGCTTTTTGAAGCTCCTAACACCATCATATCCATGAGTCACCGGATGAATTCTTTAATGTCTGTGTCCCCAACTAAAATATAAGGTCCATGAAGGAAGGATTCACCAGTGTAATCCCTGTACCTGACCCTGATGTGCACATAGTAGGAGCTCATTATGTGTTGAATGAAAGAAGGACTGAATGGGGATGACTATCCGGACATATTTGATTTACAGACCCTATGTGATGTGGTTTGGCTCTGTGTCCCCACCCAAACCTCATCTTGAATTTAGCTCCCATAATTCCCACGTGTTGTGGAAGGGACCCAGGGGGAGATGATTGAATCATGGGGGTAGTTTCCCCCATACTGTTCTCGTGGTAGTGAGTAAGTCTCAGGAGATGTGATGGTTTTATAAGGGGTTTCCCCTTTTGCTTGGCTCTCATTGTTCTCTCTTGCTGCTGCCATGTAAAACGTGCCTTTCGCCTTCCACTGTGATTGTGAGACCTCCCCAGCCACGTGGAACTGTGAGTCCATTAAACCTCTTTTTCTTTATAAATTACCCAGCATGTTTTTATCAGCAGCGTGAAAACAGACTAATACACCCATGACAATCGACTTTTAACCTCTTTGGTGCCACAGATCCCTTTGAGAATTTGAGGGAGGCTCTCCCCAGAAAATCCTCCCCCAGAACATAGGAGCATATAAACAAAACATTGCCTAACGATTTCAGGAGGTGAAGTATCGCTGCCTTGTATAAATATAATTATAATGCATCTCCTCCTTCCACAAGCACCAGGAACTCATGAGGTCTTCCCTTCCTCCCTTTCATTTCAGTGTCATCTGTTGTCAGTTGCAAGGGGGCAGGGACTCTTAGTAGTTAGCAGCAATTTCACCTCTAACTCACTCGCTGCATAGGCAGCATCAAAGAGCAGGTAAAGGTGGCCTGAACAAGGCAGGAGTACGTGTGTATGTTGATGGGAAGGGACTCAGCCCTGCAAAATCAACAAACCAACCAGCCAGCCCTAAATGAATCCAGACCTGACATGAGCTAGCCATGAAACTGGTCTAATCTTTAATTCAGAGGCTCTGGCAAATGAATCCGATCACAAAACATGTCATAAACCTGTCTCTCTCACCATCTTTCTGTGTCCCTATGTCTCGAGACAGATATGTCTCATTTTACAGACTTCTGTGAACTGTAGTGACAGAGGCACCTGCTTTCACACCCTGCTCAACAAATGTTATTGCTTTTCAGACCTGTGGGCAAGAGAGTTAACTGTCCTGCACCTCAGCTTCCTCACCTGTGAAATGGGCCCTGGGAGAGTATCCTCTGTAGCCTGAGCACATATTTTCAGTCTTGAAATAGCAACTTTCATTTTCATTGTTCTTGCTTTTGAAGCAGAAGTTTCTCCACCCCTATTTTACAAGCCCACCTATAAAAAAAGCCAGCTTAGAGGGGCTTGATTTGCCCTTTTAGACCGATTATCTCATCGTCCTGCTCATTTCTCTCCTCTCAGGCTTCTGGGGATATAGTACATTAAAGTCTGTTATTGGCACAGCTATTTATTTGTAACCAGGGACATTTTATTCTTTTCCAACTTGTACAAACCTGGACTTGGCTTCCATCACAGCCAGACCTAGAAATTATAATGCATTACCAGGTGGGTATTCATTTCCTGGTATTATTCTAAAAGACTTCTGGGGCTCAAGAGATTTTGAGCAGTGAATTTGAGGAAGACACCCTGTAGGTTGCAGTAAAACCTGTGTAGGTAATATTTAAGAGTTTTTTTTTTTAAGCCTTTATATTCTTTTAGAGGTTCAATTATTTACCATGCTAGCTTCAGGTAGAGAGTAATTTGAATTACTTCCCTCTGTGAGGGAAGGGTGGAGGAGGAGAAGGCAGCCATTTGCAAATCACAGAAGCCAGGCTTGGCTTTGGTGAATGCCACCAAGATGCAGAAATGTAGGCTTGCATTATATTCCCTGTTATAGTTTATTGATTGTTTTCAAAAATGTACACAGGTAATACATCCCTGTTGTTAGAGGTGATATGCAGAATTCAAAGCCAGATTGGCAGGGGGTCTAAGCCTTAGGCTGGAGTTGGAATCTGGAGACCACTGGGAAGCCAAGGTATTAAACCTTTATTTGCTAGACCATGGGGATGCCTGGAGTAAGGGGTTGAACCTAGGGAAGGGCCTAGAATAATCAGAATAGTGGGGGACAGTCTTTACCAGCTGGTGTGAAAATACTTCAGTGTTCTGGCAATGACTAGAGCCCCAAGGTTGCCTAACTGCAGGCTATCAGCTGTATTAGCACCCTTTCAATAGTAAGAGTATGATGATGAAGCTTACCAGGCACAGCTCTAAGTACTTTACATGATGAACTCATCTAATTGCCCCAGTAATTTTCTCAGTTGACAGATGAGGAGACCGAGACACAGAGAGGTTAATTAGCTTGCAGAGCTAACAACCGAAGGAGAGAATTGAATCCAAGTAGGCTGGCCTTAGAAACTTCATTCTCAGTACCATGAACTAACCTAAGCTAAGTCTGTTACCCTGTACTTTTTGTTATTGCTTTGCGATTGTGGGTTATTTTTTGCATTTTACTTACTATCAAATCATTGCTGTTCTTCCATGACAGTACACATAGATCTGACTTATTCCTCTAAATGACCACATCAGTTATCTCAAATATTTATCCTATTTTATTAATGCTTATTGCTTTTAATTTATTCTAAATATTTGTTGAGAATGTCTCCAGTTTTCTTCTCTGTCTCTGTCTCCGTCTCTCTCTGTCCCCGTCTCTCTCTCTCTCTCTCTCTCTCTCTCTCTCTCTCTGAGTCTGCCTCCGCTCCGTCTTGCTTTTCCTTTCCTTTTCTCTCCTTGGAAGGGGACACCATAAACAATGCTACAATATGCATACATGTCCTTGTACAAATAAACCTCTGTATAGCTTTTATTTCTCCTGTACCTGCTTCAAAAAAGGGAATTGCTGGCTTAATGATAAGAATCTTTTGAATTTTAATACATATTGCATTAATTATGTTGCAAAATAAATTTGCAGTTTCAGCCATTTGTTGCTGTCATGGCCATTTCTCCACATCTGTCAGGTTCCAACCCAAGCTGAGATCAAGGGGAGTTGGTGGACAGGTGGTGGGTAGTTGAAAGACCACTTGAGTTGGAGGGAGCTTTAGGCAGGTGACAGATGGCTTTATTATGCGACCCCCCTCTCACAGTGTTAGTGATGTATTTATGCACCTCACGAACAAAAGTGGCTCAGAGACAGGTGATGAGCCCTCCCATAACATGGCTCCATAACTGTGATTATGTAATGCACGGGATTGTGAGCCTGCACTCCAATTCCACTGCGTCATGCTGTGCCGCATGTTTACCTCAGCCTACTCTTGACTGCACCACGGCCATTTCCCTTGCAACATCCTCACCAGCACAGGAGATTATTAATTTTTTAAACATTTTACCACACTAATGGGAGAAAAATGGTGCCATATAGGTGCCTTAGTTTCCATTTTTCCACTCATCAGTGGATTGGGGTAAGTGTTTTCATGGCTTCCCGTTAATGTATTACCGGGTCATATATTTTCTCCAATTTTAAGCTGGGTTATCTTCTTCCTTCAGTTTTTAGGAACCCTTTAGTTATTAGGAATATTAACAGTTTGAGCACCATATGTACTGCAGATGTTCCATCCCAGTCTGTCATTGTCTTTTGTTTTTATTTGGTCTTTGGTCGAACAGATCTCTTTTATTTATTTATTTATTTTTGAGACCTAGTTTCTCTCTTGTTGCAGAGGCTGGAGTGCAATGGTGTGATCTTGGCTCACCACAACCTCTGCCTCCCTGGTTCAAGCGATTTTCCTGCCTTAGCCTCCCGAGTAGCTGGGATTACAGGCACCCGCCACCACACACAGTTAATTTTGTATTTTTAATGGAGACAGGGTTTCTGCATGTGGGTCAGGCTGGTCTCGAACTCCTGACCTCAGGTTGTCCACCCGTCTCAGCCTCCCAAAGTGCTGGGATTACAGGTGTGAGCCACCATGCCCAGCCAGTCTAACAGATCTTAAAATACATTGTTTGTAATCAGTTTTCTTTTTCTTTTCTCTTTTCTTTTCTTCCTTTCTTTCTTTCTTTCTTTCTTTCTTTCCTTCTTTCTTTCTTTCCTTCCTTCCTTCTTTCCTTCTTTCTTTTTCTTCCTTCCTTCTTTCCTTCCTCTTTTCTTTCTTTCCTTTTCTTTCTTTTCTTTCTCTTTCTTCCTAACTTCCTTCCTAACTTCTTTTTTCTTTTTTTTTTTTTTTGAGACAGGGTGTCACTCTATCAGCCAGGCTGGAGTGTAGTGGCACGATCTTGGCTCACTGCAGCCTTGACCTCCCAGGCTCAGGTGATCCTCTCACCTCAGCCTCCCAAGTAGCTGGGACTATAGGTGTGCACCACCACACCTGGCTAATTTTTGTATTTTTAGTAGAGAAGGGGTTTCACCATTTTGGCCAGGCTGATCTCAAACTCCTGGACTCAAGTTATCGGCCTGTCTTAGCCTCCCAAAATTACAGGTGTTAGCCACCACACCCAACCTGTTTGTAATCAGTTTGTGAACCATTTATTTCATAGCTTCTGGACTTTCTGTCTAGATTAGGAAGGTCTTCCCCCATCCTGGTCCTTTAAGATCTGTTCAACCAAAGACCATATAAAAACAACTCTTTATATATAGAGCCTCTTACTTTCTTTCCTATTTCTTGTATACATTTACATATTTAATCTATTCAGAATTGATTTTTGTATCTGATTGATGTACAGATCCATGTTTTCTGTACATCAGAATGGACCAATGGAGAGCCAAATGGACCAGTTCTGTTGATTAAATAAACCATAGCCTTCCCCATGGGTGGAGATGCTACAGTTGGCTCTGGGTAGAGAATAATAGGACTGAGTTCATTCTAAGAAAGTCAGAGTCAAACCATGACAAAGGCCTCCTGACTCACTCCTCATTCCGCTCCTTGACCACATGGGTCTCTTGGAGAAACACTTTTTACAGCCACCTCCTCCTCTTAAAAAAAAAAAAAAGAAATAGCAGGCAGTGTCCAAACTGAGAACTAAAGAAAAGGAGGCAGTGCCAGCTCAACAAAAGGATGCGCTACTCCACCCCCCGAAATACACACAATTTGGTCCAGATCATGAAGGCTGGGCCGTTGAGCTGGCCTCTGCTAAGGAGAAAGCCCAAAAATCAAATCACATCCTGGATCACACACCAGCCTGGTGAAGGGCAGCAGATCCCCGCAGAGCTTGATTTATGCAGTCAGTTCCTGCCTGCTGTTTGAAATATGCATTGACAGCTAAAAACTCATGCACAAATAAGCTGGCAGCGTCTTCTGCTTTACTTGGGAACTAATATAAGCAAAAACTTTGGTGACTTACTTCTAGACACGTCTCAGCATGCAGATATGTGTATAAAAGTTGAGCCGAAGGCTAAAAGTGCTTGGTATTTGCCAACTGAGCTGGAAAGCTGGAAAACTAGTCTAGCCACTTCTTTTCTTTTCCTTTTTTTTTTCTTGCCTTCTCTTTTCTCCTTCCTTTCTTCCTCCCTCCATCCTTTCCTTCTTTTCTTCCTCCCTCCCTTTTTCCGTCCTCTGTCTGCTTCCTTTTCTCCTTCTCCATTTCTCTCCATTTGTGAGATGATACCAAGATGATCCCACAGAGGGACTCATCTCCAAGGCAGAACATCCACATCCTGGCCTGTGTTTGATCAACGCTTGAAGTGGCTGTAAATACTCTTGCTTCTCATTTAAATTTGTATCGATCTCCCAAACGGGAAACGGGCAACCAAAATAAATTATATAAATAGAGTTAATCAGGATGGAGCCTGTGCACAAGAGGAATCTGGTGCTGGCACGACAGATTTTGCTGATGTGGAAAAGCTGCCAGATGAAATATGTATGCTTGGGAGGAAGGAAAATAAACAAAAGCCGGTCCCTGAGAAGTCAGAATTACCGAGAAGTGAACCAGGGTCTCCTTGAGCAGAATTGCTCTATGGCTGGCAAGACCCAGAGGTGGGAACACACGGTTCATTAATGGCTGCCTCCTTCTTGGAAATAGGCTACAGAAATCTTATATGGGTAAGGGAAGATCTGCTTATAATAGGTATAGGGGCTCTTTTTCAAATCAACCAATTTCAAGCTAAATAATGCATGACTCAAGGAAAAAAAAAACAGTAGGAAGCTCAAGTGGTATTAGTCTTTTTGATTTGTGCCTTGTAGCAGACACCTGAAGTTTTTCTTTGTTTTGTTTTTGTGGTTTTTTTTCTTTTTTCTGAGACGGAATCTTGCTCTTGTTGCCCAGGTGGGAGTGCAATGGCGCGACCTCGGCTCACTGCAACTGCCTCCTGGTTCAAGCCTCCCGGTTCTCCTCCCCCAGCCTCCCAAGTAGCTGGGATTACAGGCACCTGCCATGATGCCCGACTAATTTTTTGTATTTTTAGTAGAGGGAGGTTTCACCATGTTGGCCAGGCTAGTCTCGAAGTCCTGATCTCAGATGATCCACCCACCTTGGCCTCCCAAAGTGCTGGGATTACAGGTGTGAGCCACTGCACCCCGCCCACCTGTAGCTTTTGTCTGCTTTCTTTCGATTGTGACTTAAGGAACCATGAGAAGGGAGGTGGACATGTGATACAGGTTGAGCCCACTTCCATTCCCCACCTCCCAGAAATTGGTTCATGGGTAGATTAAATCTAGTCCATGTAGATGTTTTGTTTTGGCAACACTGTTTTTGTTTGTTTGCTCAGGTGATTTAGTAAGCAATTGGGATATTTTACATAAAATCATGGATTTCTGGCTTCTGTTTAAAAATCAGATGATCAGGTAGCTCTGAGCTGACCCTCCCTTGTGGCAACAGTGAGCTGGAATTGAACAGCGGCTCTTCCCTCCAGAAGGATGTGAGCTTTCCAGTTTGCCAAATTCCCCTCCCAGCTCTTATTGTTCTCTTTCTTCATTCCTACATATATTTGAGTTTCTAACCTGGTCTAAGATAGCAGTTTTCTAATTTCATTGCACACCATATAATAATAATGATGAAGACCCCAGACACTGGCCCAGAAAAAAAAAAAAAAAAATATATATATATATATATATAGAGAGAGAGAGAGAGAGAAAGAGTCTCCAAAAAATTATATATATATATATATATATATATATATATATGGAGAGAGAGAGAGAGAATCTCAAAAAAATTATACATACATACATATATATATATAGTTTTTTGGTTTTTTTTTTGATACGGAGTTGCTCTGTCACCCAGGCTGGAGTGCAATGGCGCGATCTCGGCTTACAACCTCTGCCTCCCAGGTTCAAGTGATTCTCCTCCCTCAGCCTCCTCAGGTAGCTGAGACTACAGGCGTGTACCACCACACCCGGCTAATTTTTGTGTTTTTTAGTAGAGGCGGGGTTTTGCCATGTTGGCCAGGCTGGTCTCAAACTCCTGACCTCAGGTGATCCGCCTGCCTTGGCCTGCCAAAGTGCTGGGATCACAGGCATGAGCTACCTCCCCTGGCCCAGAATAGTTCTTTATAAATGGGGAAAGTAGGGTTCTGATAAAGGAAGTTGCCTAAAGTCATACAGCAATTTTGTAGAATATATTGGAAAAGAACCCGGTATATATTTATATTAACTTTTAGGAGCTGACAACACTTCTTCCATTTCCTGCCAGGGAAGGGCTAGTTCCCAACGATGCCTGCAAAGGTAATATTCTACAATGTAACCCATTAAAGGTGATAACGTTGGGGATTGCAGGTGTTATAGGTGATAGATATTTTTAGACAGCAGGACTGAGTGTTCTCTCTCAAATTGCTTTTCACAAGTGGATGCCAACTTCTCTTATGACCGGGGTTGAAGGCTGGCTATAAAAAACCATTTTTTGCCTGATTATTAAAAAGGATACACCAACATCCCCCAGCCTTTTTGAAGTGTATGTGATTTATAAGCTTCCAATTGGGGGAAGAAACTGACTTTATTTATTCATTGGCTTACCTATCCTACATTTTCTGAACATTCACTGTGTGCCATGTACTATGCCAACTTTCAGAGACACAAAGATTGGTCGCTGAAGCTCTTCCTTGAGCCACAAGTTATAATGTTGACACAAAGGAGAGATGACTTCACCAAGGAGGTGTCCCCTGTTGGGTAGAGGTCAAGAGTCAGCAGCTAGCACCTAAGAGCTCAGGCCCACTTTGGAAGGCCTTTAACATTTTAAAAGTTACGATGGAGTATACCATATTTAAAAAATATTTCAGATAAAATTTCAGATTTTCAGCTTCTCCTGGAAAGTAGTGGATATGAAAACACTGAACCCACATCCTTTCATGGCAACAATTAGATATTGCTGGGTGGTATAGCTGCCCCTCACAGAGAGGGCGTGTGCTCACCAGTTTGTCCCATTCCTCACCACTCCCTATCACTTTACTCATGGCTCTGATCGTAAAGTGATGCAACCTGCCTCTCTCTTCTAGGGCTCTGAATCTGATCTAGCGTTTCAAATAATACAAGATGGTCATAGGGAGGAGGTGGAGGAAAATGTGTGGGCAGAGGCATCGAGGTGGGAACTGTGGAATATATTCAGAGAACTGCAAGTAGCTTCATACGGCAGGCAGATGCTTACAAAGTGGGACAGAAGGTAGGTGGATACAAAACTGGCCAGATTGCACAAAGAAGGTCCTGTGAATCAGGAAGAGGACTTTGTCCTGAATCCTGGGGGCAAGGGGAAGCCTTGGGATTCTTAGCAGGGGACTGTTGTGATGGCATTTGTGTTTCTTTTCTCTTTTTTTTGAGACGGAGTCTCACTCTGTTGCCCAGGCTGGAGTGCAGCCACGCAATCTCTGCTGACTGCAACCTCTACCTCCCTGGTTCAAGTGATTCTCCTGCCTCAACCTCCCGAGTAGCTGGGACTACAGGCACATGCCATCATGCCTGGCTGATTTTTATATTTTTAGTAGAGACAAGATTTCACCATGTTGGCTAGGCTGGTCTCAAACTCCTGGCCTCAAATGATCCACCTGGCTCAGCCTCCCAACGTGCTTGGATTACAGGCGTGAGCCACTGACATTTATGTTTTGGAAAGACCACTGTGCAATCATGGAGAAAATAAAACTGGCGGAGGCAGTGAAGGAGGCTGGGAGACCACTAGAACAGCTGTGTTGTACAGGTCCAGGATACAGATGAGGGACCCAGTAATCTTTAATTTATACTCAGTGTAGGCACTTGGCAAATGTTTGTTAATGATTTGGGGATGAGGGATAAAGTCTCAAGGGTCCCTTAAACCTTGAGTCAACCAAGAGTCACCCAAATGGCCCCCTAGATTTCCTGTGGCCAAAGTTAAGCACATGATCATAGGGAGGGCCAAACTGAGTACTTTCTGTAAAATGCTTTTTGACAAAGTACATTGGAATTTAGTCTTTCTTAGTAGTAATTACATTATAATGCCCCAGGTGCCCCCAGGGTGTACTCAGAGAATTAATGGGCCTCCCAGTCTCATTTACTTCTTAGGGTCCCAGGGTCTCCTGCCATAAATGAGCATTCCTAGTGCACTGAATGAGGCCCTGGAGGACTAGAAGAGTGATTACTTCTCTCAAAGGTGAGCTGGAGGTGAATATCTGCCCCTGGAGGGTGTCTTTGGCCCATTGATTGGGAATTACTGTGGTGACTGAGGCAGAAGACACTTCAAATGCAAAGAACATTGTTCCAAGCAAACGAGGGAACCCAGCAATTACTTCCACTCAAAAGTTGGTAATGAATAGGCACGTTATGTATTCATTCATTAAAGGTAGGCAAACAAGCAACCAAAGAGGAAGCTGTCTGGCCATACTTTTAATGAATCTGTCCCATTTCCGAGTGAAATGTGGGCTGTGCAGATGAAATGCTGAACTTGGGAGATATATTACCCATTCAGGAAGCCATCCTTCCTGCCTTAATTAAAGAAAATCAACTGCTCTCGCTTGCAGTGGATGATGATGGAAATCAAACTGGGGGACTTAAATACAGACTTCCCAGGAAGGCTGGGCTGGGCTGGGCTGGATTTGATTCGCAGAAGCCTGGAAACCTCATGAGTCTATCTGAAATATTATTCCTTGGGTGTCCAGAAAGTCTATGGCACCAGCAGCAACCAAGACATTTCAGGGAATCGAAGTCATTACAGGACATCAAATTCTTTTTGATGAAACTTTGGTGATTCATTCATTCAGATTTTTTAATTTTTTCATATGCTTACTCATTCATCTACTCTGTAAGCATGTATTGAGTGCCTACTATGTGCAAGTACTATGCCATGGATATTAAATGCTAAGTAAAAATAAAGATTGTCTCAGTTCTATTACTCTTAAATTATAATAGAAGAGATGTTTATTAAGTAGATAATCACACACACATATTTATATATAATTATAAATTGTGATAAGAACTCAGGGAAAAATAAAAGATGCTATGCAAACATGTAACAGGGAGCTCTGAACTAGCCTTAGAAGATTAAGGTAGATATACCTGGGGCATTGACTCTTTGGCTGGAGTTCTAAGGAAGTGAGGCATTAACTGGGTGAGGAAAAGGAGGAAGGGAAGAAGGTAGCACAAGGCAGAGAGGGGAATCAGCAAGTGCCAATATCCAAAAATGGAAGCCGAAGAAAATGCCCCTTGGATAGGTTTTTATCTCACTTTCATATACCAAGTAATGGGACTCTCTTGATAATTAAATCAGGAGACACCTGTGGGCTGAAAACTGTCATGATGACATTAGCCTTGGTGCGAGTGTGTTGGTTTAGATGCTGAGTAGACTGATGAACCCTCTAACTTCATCCTATTAACTTTTTAGAAGAAGAATTGAGCTTTCCACTTGAAACCCTTTCATGCTGAAGGAGCATGATCTTTTTATCTACTGTCATTTCAGCACCTACTGCCAGGTAGGCTGCCTCTACCTTGACTGTATCCACAAGGAAACTGAGGCACAGTGAGTTAAGTGACCCACCCAAGTCACACAGCTTACAAGCAGCAGGGCCAGGTTTTATTCACATAATCAGTCTCCAGAGTCCATACCCTCCTTGTTGCCACACTCATGGAGGGAGTAGGCACGCGAGTGCGCTCGTCTCTGCGAACTGAGCTGTGTGACCTGGGGTGAGTCACTTAGCCTCATTGTGACTCAGTTTCCTTATCTAGAAATTGGGTGTGATAATAGGCCTACTTAGATCAGAGGACTATAATAAGGAACAGACATATGGAAGGCTCTTGGAACATTGTCTTAGAGGAGGGGTAACATATGTGCTTACTATTGTGAGTACTTAAGGAATGCCTCTCATTCCCATTTCAGGGGAAGGGGCAAGAAAGAAAGTTTGCGTGTTTGACACCAAGGTAGGTGGATGGATGGGTGTGTGTGTATGTGTGTGTGTGTGTGCTCTGTGTTAGGCACAACTGACAGATAAACACTCATGAGACAGAAATGTAAAAGCCGTGTAACTCAAGTCACTGTCTTTGGTCGTGTCTAATGCAGGGGTCTGTGAGAAACAGTTTTGTAAACTGTTTTGTAAACAGTGTGGCTGGAGCCCAGAAGACTCATATTACTGTCACAGGACTGACAGGTGTATAAGCCTTCTGTGCAGTAACAGACTAAAAATCTGAGACAGCAGGGTTTGCAGCAGAGAAAGTGTTTAATGTTCACAGGGCAACCAGGCAAGGAGACAGGGACCCTCCAATTCACTTCCCTGAGGAGTTCTGGGCTGGGGCTTTTAAGGAGACCATCAGGCAAGGGGCTGGAAAATTGGAGTTGTTGATTAGTGGGGGTAAAAGGGATGAAACCATCAAGATATGGAAACTGCATTCTTTGGTGAGTTAGCTTCTTGTGAAGTCCTTCAGAGCAGCTGATGTCAGTAGTTTCACTGGTGTGTAGGACCTGAAAGAATATCTCAAATGAAAAACATAACATTTCACAATGAATGATTTGTTATTTGTAGAGCAGTTAAGGGGAGCTATTAGGTTGGTGCAAAAGTAATCACGGTTTTTGCCATTACTTTTTTTTTTTTTTTTAGACGGAGTCTTTGTTGCCCAGGCTGGAGTGCAGTGGCACAATCTTAGCTCACTGCAACCTCCACCTCCCGGGCTCAGGTGATTCTCTTGCCTCAGCCTCCCGAGTAACTGGGACTACAGGTGCATGCCACAATGCCTGGCTAATTTTTGTATTTTTAGTAGAGGCGGGGCTTTGCTATACTGGCCAGGCTGGTCTTGAACTCCTGACCTCAAGTGATCCACCTGCCTCAGCCTCCCAAGGTGCTGGGATTACAGGCATGAGCCACTGCACCTGGCCTCACCATTACTTATAATGGCAAAACTGAGATTACTTTTGCACCAACCAAATATAACCTTGTCACAGGGTCTATGTGATTCTGAGGCAATAGGCGCCAAACAGCTGTGAGGAAGCAGATCAGAGAGCAAGCTCCCTAATGATTAATGCTGAATGTGCTGTAAGCTCCCTCCTTTCTTCCCTAATTAATTGTATAAACTTTAGAAGGGCAGTTTCAATGTTTCAGTAGGATTCTGCTGGTGGCATCTGGGCAGCAGCTTGGGACTGTGTCTTCAGTAAGAATGAGTGTTCCTGAAAGATGGTGATCCTTAACTCTTCATCTCTTCAGCAGCCCCACTCACTTTTCAGGCTTAGTGAATCCTGGTGTGCTGAGTTCCAAATTGAGTATCGACTTCTTCCCGCCTCCATGCTTATGCCTAAGCTGTTCTTTATGCTCAGAAACGCCCCTTTTTCTCTTGCCTCCTCTCTCATCCACAGACATCAGGCAACCTATTCAACTTCCAAGACTTGGTTTATGCATCATGCCCTTAAAAAGTATCTCCTGGACTCGTCTTCCACCCTATCCTCATAAAGTCAGCCATTTCCTTCTTTATTCCTGACTGAAATGTATGCACAGCTCTGTGTTGCCACCTGTAATGCTGTATTGTCTTATTAAATGTATAAGTCTGTCTCCCCAATTTATTTATTTATTTTGTCTTTTGAGACGGAGTTTTGCTCTCGTCACCCAGGCTGGAGTGCAGTGGTGTGATCTCGGCTCACTGCAACCTCTGCCCCCCAGGTTCAAGTGATTCTTCTGCCTCAGCCTCCCAAATAGCTGGGATTACAGGTGCCCATCACCAGGCCCAGCTAATTTTTCGGAAAACCCTACGTAGCAGAGCCCTGTGTGTCTCTTGGGTGCTCACCATCTAGCACAGTGCTCAACATGCAGTTGGTACTTTATAAATGTTCATTAAACTAATGAACAAATGAAAAAAATGTGCAAGTCTGTTTTGCCATCCCTTGAATAGAAAACAAATAAACTACTAAAAATAACTGTTTGGAAATGAGATGCGTAGTTTCTTCAAAAGTTTGTTCATGGAATGCAATTCTGATACAGGCAACCAACCTATTGGATGGATCTTGACAGAATTACGCTGAGTGGAAAAAGCCAATCTCAAAAGGTCACATACTATGCAATTCCATTCATAGAACATTACTGAAATGGCAACATTATGGATATGGGGAATAGTTTAGTGGTTACCAGGGGTTAGGGAGCAGCATGGAGATAGCAGTGGATATAAAAGTAGCAGGAAAGATCCTTGCAGTGACACTGTTCCATACCTTGACTGTGATGATCAGTGACTCTATACATGGCAAAACTGGTGAGATCTGACTGAGGTTAGATTCTATCAACATCAATTTCCACATTGCGATATTGTACCGTAGGTATGCAAGATGTTACCATTGTGAGAAAGTGAGTGAAGGGCATATGACATATCTCTGTATTATTTTTTACAACTGCATGTGAATCTACAATTATCTCAAAATAAAGAGAAATTGCACACATACACACACACACACACACACATACACAATGAGATCCTACTACACACCCACCCGAATGCTAAAATTAAAAAGACTGACAACATCAAGTGCTGGCAAGGATATGGAGCAAGTAGGATGTTTATGTACTGTTACTGGGAATATACATTGGTATAAACCCTTTGGGAAAATGTTGGGCAGCTTCCACCAAGGCTAAAACTGTACACATCTTATGATCCATTTCCATTCCCAGGGACACAACCCAACAGAAAAACATGTGATTACCAAAAGACACGTATTAGATTTTCTATGGCAATGCATTTCATGATAGCTCCAAACTTAAAGGTGCCAAATGCCCATCAGCTGTGGAATGGATAAATTAGTTGTGGCATATTTCCATTGTCTTGGTCAGTTTTGCATGCCATACCAAAATATCATAGGCTGGATGATCTATCTTTTCTTTTCTTTCTCTTTTTTTTTTTTTTCGTTTCAAGGTCTCTCTCTGTTGCCTGGGCTAGAATGCAGTGGTGCAGTCTCAGCTCACTGCAGCTTCAACCTCCCAGGTGCAAGAGATTCTCTTGCCTCAGCCCCCGGAATAGCTGGGATTACAGGCACATGCCACCATGCCTGGCTAATTTTTGTATCTTTAGCAAAGACAGGTTTTCACCATGTTTGCCAGGCTGGTCTTGATCTCCTGACCTCAAGCTATACTCCTGCCTCAGCCTCCCAAAGTGGTGGGATTACAGGCGTGAACCTCTGCACCCAGTCTGGGTGGTTTCAATAACAAATATTTATTTCTCACAGTTCTGAAGGCTGGAAAGTCCAAGATCAAGGTGCCAGCTAATTTGTTGCCTGGTGAGGGCCCTCTTCCTGGTTTGCAGACAGCTGTCTTCTCATATGTCCACATGGCCTTTATTTGGTGCATATACAAGCGGAGAGAGAGAAAAAGAGATTGATCTCATGTCATTTCCTCATTTCATAAGGGCATTAGTCCCATCATAAGAGCCTCACTCTTATGGCTTCTTCAAATCCAAATTGCCTCTCAAAGGCACCATTTCCAAATACCATCACATTGCTAATTAGGGATTCAATCAATGAGTTTTGGGGGAAAACAAACATTCAGTCCATGGCACCCATGATGGAACACCCTATAGCAATGAGAATGAACAAGCTGAAAGTATATGCATCAGTACAGATGGAGTTCAGAATTCTAATGTTGAATGGAAGAATATGGTCACAAAAGAAGACACCCTGTATAATCCCAAAAGCAAAACTAGAATGTGCTGTTAGAAGTCAGGACAGTGGTTATATTTGGAGGATAATGATTGGAAAGTGGCGGGTACAGGATTTCTGGGGTTATGTTATTGTGTTTCTTGATTGAGGTTTTGGTTTTGCAGGTGATTGCAAATTTGTAAAAATGTATCTAACTGTTTAATTAGGATTTCTGCACTTTTGAGCATATAGATTATTATATTTCAATTAAAAAATTAAAAGGAAAACAAGTCCATTCATTTTGCTCTTTAGTCAGCATTTATTAGGTGCCTTCGCAGTTCTAGACACTAACCTAGGCTCTGGGGAGACCCATAAAGATAAAGCAGACCTGTCCTGGGAGACCCACAGTCTATGGGGAAATCACTTATTTTATTTTTCTTTCTCCTTCTCTTGTAAAGAGTTCTAAGTAGCAGTAGATAAGATCAGGAGAAACTTTTCTCTTAGTGGTGGTTGTGATTTTAATTAGTTATCGAACTAAAAGAACTTGCATAAGAGGTACTTTTCCTTGTCTTTACAGCAGAGCAGCAGAGATTTCTTTTTCATAAAATACTTATTGAACTCCAAACCTTGAGCCACAGCATTCCTCAGATGAATCCTTTTAAGACCTCCTCAAACTAATGTTCAATGAAGAGAAGAAAAAATAGTCAAATGTAATTGCTGTAAAAGAAGAAAAGAAACCTTATTAGGAAACCTATCACTGCCATCAGTAATTCAAAAACGAAAATGTTCAAGTGAGAAAAATATTTGCATTGCTTCACACAGAAATAGCTGAGAGAAAATTCTCCCTCTGTGTTTGCGGACCTTGGACCTGAGTGAATGGACCCCCCAGGACAGATTACCCCCATCTATTTAAATGAAGGACAGTTCATGGCTTTTGCCACAATTCTGTGAAAACAGTGTTTTTTTATTTTTATTTTTTTGGTCATTCCATCTATAGTAATCCTGTAATTTGCAAAACACAGAAGGCATTAAAGCGTGGATAATATCACCTTCCCATGCCAAAAATGGAAAAGAGAATTAATGAGATCAATAAAGCTACTCTCACAGGAAAAATAGAAACACAGATGGGAAATGGTAGCTGAGTTGGCAAGCCTTCGAGCTTGGGGAACTATTTGCAGCCATGTCTTAAAGCCAGGTCTGCTCCATGGAAGCTGTTAGCCGACCTCACCTCCACACCTCCAGCAGAGCCCCACATTGACTGTGCTCAGAGTTCTGGCCAGAATGGGAAATCAATCAGTGGGTCAGCAGGTATTGATGGAGCACCTCCATATGCTTGGCACCAGGTGAGCATCAAGGTGATGCAAAGAATTGTGAAATATTGCCTATTTATCAAAGAGCTTATGGTCTACTTTGAAAGAAGTTCAGACGCCCTCGCCGTTCTCATACCACCACTTAAGCAAACATGAGGTATGGGGCTAGACATCTGACCAGTACTTAAAAGTGGTATTAAAGTTGTCCCAGCCTCCTAGTGAATTGAACACACAGGATAGGGAGATAGGAGTTATAGTCATGGAGAAAGGAAATACATGTATCCTACTACATGCATTAAGTCCCTAAACAACCGTTAGAAAGACAAACATAATTATACCCAGTGTTCAGATGGAAACACTGAGGATCCAAGGGTAATACCCAGTTTTCCCAACATCCTACAGCAGGTGGTGAAACCAAATTGGATTGTACTTAATTCGTATCCTGTACTTTCTCACCCCAGCAGTGTTTCTTGTACAAGAAGTGTTGCCGCTCACAAGAGGCAAACCCATGAAGGAAACTGATTGGACATTTTACGTTGTGTAGACATGTGTTTATGTTAATATTCACAAGAAAAAGATCCATAACTTGTGTAGAAAAGCCTTGGTTTCACAGATGTTATTGCTTTCAGGTGAGGCTAAAGTATTTGAATTTAAAATAATGGACTTTTTGGCTGGGCGCAGTGGCTCACACCTGTAATCCCAGCACTTTGGGAGGCCAAGGCGGGTGGATCACCTGAGGTCGGGAGTTCGAGACCAGCCTGGCCAACATGGCGAAGCTTCATCTCTACTAAAAATATAAAAATCAGCTGGGTGTGGTGGTGGGCACCTGTAATCCTAGCTACTTGGGAGGCTGAGGCAGGAGAATCGCTTGAACCCGGGAGGCGGAGGTTGCAGTGAGCTGAGATCGCACCATTGCTCTCCAGCCTGGGTGACAAGAGTGAAACTCCATCTCGATAAATAAATAAAATGGAATTTTTAATTGCAAAGATATGGAACCAACCTAAGTGCCCATCAGCCAACAAGTGGATAAAGAAAATATGGTATATACACAGCAGAGAATACTACTGAGCCATAAAAAAGAATGAAATAATATCATTTGCAGCAACTAGGATGGAGCTGGAGGACATTATTCTAAGTGAAGTAACTCAGGAATGGAAAACTAAATATAGTACGTTCTCACTTATAAGTGGGAACTAAGCTGTGTGGACTCAAAGGCACAAGAATAATATAGTGGACTTTGGGGACTCAAGGGGGGAAGGTAAGTTGGGGGAGTGAGGGATAAAAGACCACATATTGGGTACAGGGTACCCTGCTCTGGTGACAGGTGCACTAAAATCTCAGAAATCACCACTAAAGAACTTATCAATGGAACCAAAAACCATCTGTCCCCCCAAAACTATTGAAATTTAAAATAATTTTTAATGCGGTTTTTTAAAGAGTACTATTAAGTGAATCATTATGCAGGTAAAAAGTGTTTACAGGAAAAAAAAAAAAAAACCACTGAAGTTGGGACAGTTTTGCACCATAGAAAGCAACTCTTCCTATCATAGAGATACTTGAGAATGTCATGTGGAAGCCTAGACAGGTGAGGAAATTGGAGGATTGGTCATTCCTGCCTGTGGCAGAGAGGGATGCTGGATTGCGGCAAGGTAGGGTTAGAGGATGTCCATGGTGTAGAGTTGGAAGAACACCAGAAGAGAGGAGGTGCCACATCCAGAGGGTCTGGTTAGTACCTATATCAAAAAACAAAAGCTGGCCAGGCGTGGTTGATCATGCCTGTAATCCCAGCAATTTGGGAGGCTGAGGCAGGTGGATCACCTGAGGTCAGGAGTTTGAGACCAGCCTGACCAACATGGTGAAACCCTGTGTCTACTAAAAATACAAAATTAGCCGGGCCTGGTGGCACATGACTGTAGTCCCAGCTACTCGGGAGCCTGAGGCATAAGAATCACTGGAACCTGGGAGCAGAGGTTGCTTTGAGACCAAGATGTGCCACCGCACTCCAGCCTGGGTAACAAAGACTCCATGTCAAAACAAAACACACACACACATACACACCACACACACACACACACACACACGCTCAAGATTTTCCCTGCCAAGTTGAGGAGACAAATAAATACACATGATTTTTGAGAACTTAAAGCCAAGGAACATTAGAGTGTCACTGGACCAGGAGTGAGCAGGGACACCTGGGCCATTCACTGGGGACAGTCTAGTGGCTGCTCCCCTTGAGGAGCCTGGCAGCTGATTTAAAGGGCAAGGGCAGGGGAGATGCAGCCAGGCAGCAGCAGATGCGTGTGGGCTTCCCAAGGCAGATTCTAATTTCTCCCTGGGCAGAGCGATGGCTCCTGGTGTGTCTCTGCCTCTTAGGATTTGGTACTTTGAAGTCACAGGGAAAGGAGGGGACAGGAAAAGTGAAAGGAGAGAGCAGGGAAGGTCAGAAGAAGAAAAGAATGGTGGGAAGGAAGGAAAAAGGGGGAGTAGAGAAGGAAGGAAAGGGGGAAGTATGGAGGGGTAAGAGAAGGAAGGAGAAAGGAAGAAAAGTAAGGAAAGAATAGAGATGGGAGGTGAGAAAGGAGAGAGGAAAGAAGAAAAGGAGAGAAAAAGGAAGGAGGGAAGGAAGGAGACAGAGGAGGAGAAAAGAAGGGAGGGCAGGAGGATTTAGCCTGGGCAGGTCTGCCTCACCTCTTCAATATTCGCTTTCAATATGCCTTCTCCCTTCTCTTCCCCATCACCACCTCTGAGATTAGCTTCTCATTGGCACTTCCATGTTTCCTTCCCACTAATTTTCTTTTTGATATTTTAATTTATTGCATTTTCACTGGGACCTCTTTCCCTTTAAGGCATTGTAATTAATGGCCCAGTCTAATTTCCTCTGAGACAACATTCTTAATTGCCGTAATTCTCACTTATGTCTTTTAGACATCCCTGTTGGTGTTGATTCATTTGCATTTGCGTTCTCAAACTCTTCAATTATAAATACGCCGTCAACACAGGGCGACGGTTTTCCTTCCATCCGCCACAATGGTGCGTGGTATGTGGAAGCTTCAGGGGTTCTGTCTACCTTTTAAAGTCTCATTTATAATTGAAAAGCCTCTCAGTCTTGATGCGTACAGGGATTTTTATGAACTTCTGCAAAGAGGTTGGGTTGCTTTTTTTTTTTTTTTTGTAAAGTAAATACTGTCTTTTAATAACCTTTTTCAGGGGTGAGTTTAAAGTCACTTTTGTTTTCCTTTAAAAAAATTTTTTTAAGCCGTGTTAACAGAATATGACCTGGGCAGTCAACACAGAGGTGCCCAGGATGACCCAGAGGTAATGGTGAAGCTCCCTTCTTTACCCAAGAAACTAACACTGGTGCAATGCTATTGACGAGCACAGCCTTCCCCGAACCCTAACCCTGGAAACCATTGATTTGTATAATTTTTGGCATGTCGCTGTAACTTTGACGTTTTGAGAATGTTATATAAAGAGTGCCCTTGTACTTTTGATTGTAGTTTTTGGATGTGCCCGTTTTCCCTGTTATGACTACTTATTTTCAAGTATCTTTAAGCCTACTTTTACATTATATATCATATCATTATATTTCACTTTTTTCACAAACCATGTTACTCTCCTTCCTTTAAAGGAATCTACAAAATAGTTGGGGGAAGCGAGACCAAGAAAAACTAAAAAGCAAGAAGGCAATCCTTGAAATCTCTAAAAAGGGTTTCCAATCCTTGCAGCCTTTGCTGTTCAGTATTTCAAAGACACAGGAAAGAGGTTTGATCATAGCAGGAGTAAACTCAGCAGTTTCAACCATAAACTGTGTGGCCACAGGTGATTTATTTCACCTCTCTTAGCCTCGCCTTATTTATAAAATGGGGATGATAATAGTGACTTCATAGGGTTGATTAAGAGGATTAAGTCAGTAAGAATAGGTAACAGGGCCTGGCACACATGCACCATCTATGTATTTGCTGCTGTTACAGTCCTCCTCCTCATAATCCTCCTCCTCATCCTCACTGTCCTCCTCCCCATCCTCACTGTCCTCCTCCCCATCTTTCTCATTCTCATCGTTCTTCTGCTCTTCCTCCTTCCCTTCCTCCTCATCATCTTCATCCTCTTCCTCAACTCCTTTTCTTCCTCTCTCTTCTCCCCCCTTTTCTCCTCCTTTCCTGTATGATTGGAGGCTGGGGCAGCTATGTTTTTCACTTCCTGTTGGTTAAATTCCCAAGTTGTCAATATTAGTTTGATAAGGTTCAGCTGCAAATAACCGAAAACGCTCAATGGCCGTGGCTCGGACTCTCAAAGGCTTACTGTCCCATGAAAAGCAGTGCAGAGGTACGTTGCCCAAAGCAGATATTGTAGTTTCTACCCCTCTTGTTGTCTCCTCTGGCATAACTGAGCCCACAGCAACTCCATCTTCAAGATAGCTTCATGGTCAAACACAGTTGTTAAAGTTCTGGTCATCACGGTTACTTTATTGACAGCAGGAAGGAAGGAAAAAGAGGGAAAATCCCCGAAAACATAGTTCTCACCCCAATCAGCTTCCTTTAAGAATATTCCTTGAAAAGCCACACAACACTTCTATAAAGGTCAGAATTTAGTCAACACTGTCCTACCTTACTACAGTGAAGGCTGGGGATATAGACCTTTAGTTAGATGTATTGCTTCTCTGAATAAAATCAGGGCTCTGTTACCAAGAAAAAAGGGGAGAATGGAGATTGGACAGGCAATTTACATACCTATCAAGATCTCAGGAGTCTGAATGTTGGAGTGAAACACATTCTCCAAAACACTGGTTGTAGTCGGGACTCATGGGAAGAGGCCATGCTTTATACATATAAGATATGTTATTAATCCCATGAGAATATTTGGAATGATTAGATTCATTAGATTTTGAAGTTGAAATGGCCCAAAGCACAATGTTTCCCCACAAGCATTGGTTGAAAATATGTACACATTTGCATCGCAGATTTCTTGCAAACTGTACTTACATGAATGAGATGGGAATGTGTTTATGTGTAAACATTGTTCAGTCTGTGATTGGGGTGGGACCCTTCCTGGAGGAACGGCAGACATTTCATTATTCCTAGAGTATTTGTCTAAGCTGAGATCTAATGGTTTTGCAACAGGAGGGAAGGAAATTTTCCGGAATGAATGGCAAATGCAAAGGCCAATGGACTAGAGATGGAATGAGCAAAACATTCAGTAAATCTGAAAAATGTGGATGGGAAGGTATGCAGAGTCTACATCGTGCAGAGTCTTGTTCTACCACTAAGAAAGTGACTTTTTGGAGTGATTCATACAGTGGTTACAGGTGCTTTAATAGGCCATAGGTGGGGAGACATCTTTAGTAAAATGACATTTAATTCATCTCACATTACCACAATAAAATAATATTAAATTTTCAGTTGGATAACTTTAAAGCTGGAGAAGAAGCAATGTGTGTGTGCACGTGTGTGTATGTGTGTGTGTGTGTGTGTGTGTGTGTGTTGGAGTTGGGTGAAGAATGAATGAAAAATGAAACATCCTACCACGTGTTTTGAGTCACTCAATCTATGATCATGGTATATAGCTCTCCATTTATTTAATGTCCTTTAATTTCAGGAATGTTTTATATTAATAGGTCAATTTAAAACTTTCATGTATGTTTTGTTAAATTTATTTCTAAGTATTATATGTTTTTTGAGGCTAAGTGAAAATTTTAACTTCATTTTCCAGTTGTTTACTGCTAGTATATAAAATCATAACTGATTTTTGTGATATTAATTGTGTATCTTGGGACCTTGCTAAAATGCTTTATTATTTGCAGTAGTTGCTTTCTAGAATCCTTAATATTTTCTACATAAACACTCATGACATCTGCAAATAGAAGCAGTTTTATGTCTAGCATTCAACTTTATGTCTTTTATGTCCCTTCCTTGACTTATTGAAATGACTATAACCTCTAGTACAATGTCACATAAAAGTGGTAAAATGGCCTTGCCTTTTTCCTGATCTTTATTGGAAAAGTGTTCAGTCTTTCAGCATTAAGTGTGATGTTTAGCCATAGGTTTCCCACAGATATCTTTTACCAACTTGATTAAGTTCTGTTATATTCCTAATTTGTGGAGAGTTTTTATTCATGAATGTGTGTTGAATTTTGATAAATGCTTTCTGAATCTATTAAAATGATTATATGATTTTTATCCTCCTTCTGTTAATATGGTGAATTACCAACCTTACATTCCTGGGATAAGCTCTACTTGTTCATGACATATTATTATTTTTTATATATTATTGGATTTAGTTTGTGAACAATTTGTTAAGCATTTTTTTATTTTGAGAAGTATTCATAAATTATATTGATCTGTAATTATGATTTTTTTGTGATACCTTTGGCAAGTGTTGGTATAAGGGTTTTGCTGTCTTCATAAAACTAGTTAGAAAGTGTTCTATCCTTAATTTTCATATAAAGTTCATATAAGATTGTTATTATTCTTTCCTTAAATGCGTAATAGAAGTCACTAGTGAAATATCTGGGCCTCGAGTTTTCTTTGTGAGGATGTTTTTGAAAACCAACTCAATCTCTTTATTAGATTTAGGATCATTCAGATCTTCTGTTTCATCTTGTGTCAATTTTGGTGAGTTTTATTTTTCAAAGAATGTCACCATTTCATATAGATTATTGAATATGTTGTCAATTATTCCTAATGTTTTCTTCTTAAACTTTTAATGTCTGTAGGATCTGTAGTTACAATGTCTCCTTCACTCCTGATATTGGTATTTTGTGTTTTCTCTTTTTTGTTTCAGCAATCTGACAGTTAATCAATTTTGTGGGTCATTTCAAAGAACCAACTTTTGCTTTTATCTGTTTGCTTTTTTATTTCTTTATATCAGCTCTTATTTTTTGTATCAATTTCTTCTATTTATTTTTGCTTTAATTTACTTATCACTTTCTAGACTCTTAAAGTTAACCTTATGTTTGGAAAGTCTAAATCCATCCTACACATTTTTATCTGGACTGAAGTGTTCTTGGAAGCTACCATCACACTGTCTGCTTTATCTTCCTTCTGCTCCTCATTCATTTCCTCATTCACCCTTTAATTCATTGCATTATTCAGACCTCTGTTCTACCTAAAAGCATCTCCTGTCACTTTCTATACCTTCTACCCTCCTTTATTTGTTCTTCATAACAGTATTACTACTTAGCATCATATTGCATGTTTGTTTGTTATTCATTGTTTTTCTTTGACACTACAATTAAATTTCAATTTGAGTAGGAAGCTTGCTCTTTTTCAACACTGTGTCTCCAAAATTAGGCACATATTATATACACAATATATGTTGAATATATTTGAAAATATTTGTCAAATCATTAAATCAATCCTTTCAACCCATATTTATTACCATTGATATGGCTAAAGAACATACGCAGCTGAATCAAATGTCTTGTCTGTGGGAAAGTAGCCATTCTCTCACCATAAAGATTACACTTAATTTGTTCCTACAGTCTTCCAAGAACTGAATGCATATTATCTCATTACATCTCATAACAACTTTGCAGGACTAGAGCTATTGCTACCTTCATTTGTAGCTGAGAAAACTGAACTCCCGTGGAGTCAAATGATTATCAGAGGTCACACAACCAGTAAGTTAGGAAAGCAGGATCTAACCTCTAATGCCATAGCGTGAGTGCTAAACCACTAGTTTAGCACCAATACTAGTTTATGTTACCATTTTCCCCATTTTATGGGATATTTTACACAGTACTGCTTTGGAAGACCAGTGACACTTGTCGCTATAGGGAGGGAAAGTATTGCCCCAGCCACAGCACTTCCTTCCCATCTAGCACCCCCTCCCCAACTTTATCAATGTAAAGCACACCTCCAGAAAATTTTATGTATCTCTGAATTTCTGTTCAGAAAATGGGGCTGTCTATAAATTTCTGGCCATAAAATGAACAATGATTAGGCAGATAAATTTGAATTCCCAGATAAATTCTAGATAAATTTATCTACATTTTAGAATTTCAGTAATAATTTTTGCCCTGCCAGATCCTTGGGTCGAGATTGGAATATATCCAATATCCCTAATAAATGGCACCAAGTCTAATCCCCCAGAGCCAAATGGATCTGGTCACAACTTGGACTAAGCATTCAGGTGGAGAAGGTTAGCTAGGGTACTCAGAATGAGAAGACAAGGGAAGGGAGTTCACAGAAAGGACAAAGAGGCTGATTGACATCCAATAAGCCACCTAGCCCTGCCATTTTTACCTTCTAAGTATTTCTCAAGTCTATTATCTCCTCTTCATCTCTGTGTGTAATGATAGCCCCTTACAATTTCTACACCAAGCCCAATGTCATCCTTCTAAAATGCGAAGCTGACCACACTACCGTTTTGATCAGAAAGCTTCAGTGGCTTCCAACTGCCCTTAGGACGGGTTGCAAACTCCTTGGCATTGTTACAGGAAAGGGGCGCTGATCCAGACCCCAAGAGAAGGTTCTTAGATCTTGTAAAAGAAATAATTCAGGGAGAGTCCATAGAGCAAAGCAAAAGCAAGTTTATTAGGAAAATAAAGGAATAAGAGAATGGCTACTCCATAGAGCAGCCCTCGAGGGCTGCTGGTTGCCCATTTTTATGGTTATTTCTTGATGATATGCTAACCAAGGGGTGAATTATCCATGTCTCCCCTTTTAGACCAATAGGGTGACTTCCTGACCTTGAGATGGCATTTGTAAACTGTCATGGAGCTGGTGGGAGTGTAGCAGTGAGGATGACCAGAGGTCTCATCACCATCTTGGTTGATGGTCTCATCACCATCTTGGTTTTGGTAGGTTTTGGCTGGCTGCTTTACTGAGACCTGTTTTATCAACAAGGTCTTTATGACCTGTTTTTTTTTTTTTTTTTTTTTTTTTTTTTTTTTGAGATGGAGTCTCACTCTGTCACCCAGGCTGGAGTGCAGTGGCACGATCTTGGCTCACTGCAACCTCCGCCTCCCAGGTTCAAGCAATTCTCATGTCTCAGTCTCCCAGAGTAGCTGGGATTACAGGCATGAGCCACGAGGCCCAGCTAATTTTTGTATTTTTAGTAGAATTAGGGTTTTGCCATGTTGACCAGACTGGTCTCAAACTTCTGACCTCAGGTGATCTACCCACCTTGGCCTCCCAGAGAGCTGGGATTACAGGCGTGAGCCACCACGCCCGGCCATGACCTGTATCTTGTGCTGACCTCCTCCCTCATTCTGTGACTTAGAATGCCTAACCATCTGGGAAAGCAGCCCAGTAGGTCTCAGCCTCATTTTACCTAGCCCCTATTCAAGATAGAGTTGCTCTGGTTCAAAAACCTCTAACACACTCAGCCACCTAGCCCCTCCATTTTTACCTTCTAATATTTCTCAAATCTATCCTCTCCATCTCTGTGTATGATAGCCCCCCACAATTTCCACACCTAGCCCAAAGGCATTGTTCTAAAATGCAAAGCTGACCACCCTACCCTTTTAATCAAAAAGCTTCAGTGGCTTCCAGTTGCCCTTAGGACAAGGTATAAACTCCTTGGCATAGTGTAAAATCCCTTCTGTGACTTAACTTCTGCCTCACTTTACAGCCTTATCTTACTGTGCATGTGATTTTTCACCATTTATGAACCCCAGGCTATCTTTATTCACACTAACCCTTCTGATTGCAATGTTCTTTACTCCTTATCATTGGGGATATCTCCTATTCATCTTAAAGATTGTTTGGGACCACTTTTCCAGCTACATATAAAAAACAGTGAAGTTTTTGTCAGAGGCATTCGAACCAGAACGACTCCATCTTGAGTGAGGGCTAGGAAAATAAGGCTGGGAATTGCCAGGCTGCATTCCCAGGAAGTTAGGAATTCCTAGTCTCTGGATGTTTACAGTTAAGGGAGCAGATTGAGAACCTTTACTAAACAGACCCAGAGTCAGGAATGCCGTGATATCCTGATATCTTGAAAACAGAAGTGTTACCAGAAAGGGGTCCCCAATTCAGACCCCAAGAGAGGGTTTTTGGATCTGGCCCAAGAGGGAATTCAGGGCAAGTCCCTAGAGCAAATTTGAAAGCAAGTTTATTAAGAAAGTAAAGGAATAAGAGAATGGCTACTCCATAGAGCAGCCCCCCGAAGGCTGCTGGTTGCCCATTTTTATGGTTATTTCTTAATGATATGCTAAACAAGGGGTGGATTATTCATGCCTCCCCTTTCTAGACCATATGGGATAACTTCCTGATGTTGCCATGGCATTTGTAAACTGTCATGGCGCTGGTGGAGTGCAGCAGTGAGGATGCGCAGAGGTCACTCTCGTTGCTATCTTAGTTTTGGTGGGTTTTGGCTGGCTTCTTTACTGCAATCTGTTTTGTCAGCAAGGTGTTTATGACCTGTATCTTGTGCCAACCTCCTATCTCATTCTGTGACTTAGAATGCCTTAACCATCTGGGAATGCAGCCCAATAGGTCTCCGCCTTATTTTATGCAGCCTCTATTCAAGATAGAGTTGCTCCGGTTCAAACGCCTCTGACAGAAGCCTTCCTAATTTTGCTTTAGAGATAATAATATTGATTCTTGCAATATATAGTAATTAGGAAAATTAACCCTTTATCACAAACCCTTGTAATAGAGCACATCTCCCTGTGGTTTTGTTGTTGTTATCCTATATATAAGCAAGCGTTGTACCCAGGGTGGCCACGTCTCTCCTTTTACTTTCAGGAACGCCCTCCTGTGTTGATGGAGTAGCTATTCTTTCACTCTTTTACTTTCTTAATAAACTTACTTTCACTTTGTACTGTGGACTTGCCCCAAATTCTTTCTTGCCCGAGATTCAAGAACCCTCTCTTGGGGTCTGGATTAGGACCGCTTTCCAGTAACGTTTTTACCAAATCTATATCCTTTCCTCCTGAGCACTTAATCTGACTGTATTTTCCGGCCTTATACTTAGATATGGCCATGTAAGACTTCCGGTCAGTGGAATGCAAGAGGAAGCATTGAGTGCCACTTCTAATCCTAGCCCTTTAAACTTCCCAGTGGCTCTCTTTTCTCTTTTCCTTTTGTTGACGAAGAGTCAAACTGTAAAATATTTGAAAGGATTTATTCTGAGTCACATATGAGAGACCAATGGCCCAGGCACAGCCCTCAGGTGATCCCAAGAACATCTGCCCAAGGTGGTCAGGCCACATCTTGGTTTTGTACCTTTTAGGGATACATAAGGAGTTAATCAATACATGTGAGATATACATTGGTACAGTCCAGAAAGGGGGGACAACTGGAAATGCTGGGGGTAATAAGGTAGGAATTGGTGCTCCCAAGTGATAGGTAGATTAAAAGATTTGCTGATTGGCAATTCGTTGAAAATGTTATTATCAATAGACAGGAATGTGTGAGCTGGGCACCGTGACTCAAGCCTGTAATCCCAGCGCTTTGGGACACCAAGGTGGGCAGGTCACTTGAGGTCAGGAGTCTGAAAGCAGCCTGGCCAACATGGTGAAACCCTGTCTCTACTACAAATACAAAACTTAGCTTGGTGTGGTGGCACATGCCTGCAGTCCCAGCTACTCAGGAGCCTGAGGTGGGAGAATCCCTTGAACCCAGGAGGCAGAGGTTGCAGTGAGCTGAGATTGCGCCAGTGCTGTCCAGCCCCGATGACAGAGTGAGACTCTGTCTCAAAGTAAGAAGGAAAGAAGAAAGGGAAGGAGGGAGGGAGGGAGGAAGAAGGAAAGGAAGGAAGGAAGGAAGGAAGCAAGCAAGCAAGCAAGCAAGCTAGCTAGGTAGCTAGCTGGCTGTGGATTATCATAAGGGATTGTGGAGACCAACATTATATCAGACAGATGAAGCCACTGGGTATAAGGCTTCAGAAAGAATAGATTGTAAATGTTTCTTACCAGACTTAAAGAGTCTGTTCCATCAGTAATTGCAAAAGGGAGGAAGCTGTAATGAGGCATGTCCCAATCCCACTTCTCATTGTGGCCTGAACTTGATTTTCAGGTTAACTTGACCCTTGGCCTAAAGGAGGGGTCTCTTCAGGTGGTTGGGGGGCCTTAGAATTTTAATTTTGTTTTGTACTCTATTCATTAAGTGGGGGTGAGGACTCAGAAGATGATAAGAGACCCAGGATGGGAGAAGCTTCAGTTCTCAAATAGCAGCTTGGGACAGACACCCTCTATCATCTCAGATCTGATGTGATCTTTGTGAAGAAAAAGCAAATACACACACACACACACACCCCACACACACACATATGCATTTTTCTACTGTGTTACAGCCATTGAGATTTGGAGATTTATTTGTTATAGCAGCTAACCACACCTAAATAATACATGCCACCAGGCTGGATTGATTTTAATTCAATTCAATTCAGCAACTAATTATTAAATATCTGAATGCCAGGCATGGGGCTAGGCAGCAAAGTTACAGCACAGCATAGCATAAATACACTTCCCATCCTCATAGAGCTTTCAGGCTAGGGGCGTGTTGTACTGCTTCTGGAATCTCACAGCATTCTGTGCTTTTTCTACCTTATGATAGACACACTTTATCATCACTGTGCCTTTATTTGCCTGTCTACTGCTATGAAAATTCAAGCTGCTTGAGAGTAGGTAATATGTCTTAATTGCGTTTTTAGCTCCATCGTGCCTGAGACACAGTGAATGTCTAATGAATAAATACACTGCCTGCTGTTCTCACGTTGAGCCGCTTTAGCCCTGGTCAGTTGGGAAGGTCCCTGCTCTGTGTCCTTTTGGTACCCTGTGGCTTTGCTGATGCCTTCCAGTAACACGTAGTGTTCTCTTCACCAGCAAGATGGATTCATGGAATCCTAAGGGAAATTTTATGCCTCACTCAATGACTCCCCTCTCCAATGAGAAAATAAAATATTTGGCAATTTTCTCCATTGTCCTCCTACTTTCCTCCGAATTGGGCTGCAGTTTGCAGTGTTTCTCCTGCTCAGAAATGATGAATGCCCTTTAAACCAACACAGTGTTATTTGCAAATGAACTTAAAGGGGAACAAAATTGCACGGGGCCGAAGCGGGCCCCATCAACAGCTTGGAAAAACACATTCTTCAAGGTATCAGGCAAAAGGAATTTATCCAATTTAATTTTCAGGTAGGTCTATAAAATTAATAAGTATTCTGACTGAAAAGCATAATTAAACCAACAGTGAATGTAAATGAGGAAGGGAAGTATCGTGCTATGACTGCAATATTGTTTTGCAACCGAATGGCCCATACCAAGAAAACAAATTATTAATGTAGCCTTATTTCTTGAGAATATTCTGAGAAACAGGGAAGCTCTTGCCGCTCTGCACAGTCATCTTCTTGGGAATGTATGAGCCAAGAGAAGCAGGCTCAGCTGGAACAAGTGGCAGTTTTCACAGTACTGAAGTCAAGAGGTAGCTGCCATTTTTCACACTCAGAAGGTGGTTGTTTGAATAAAACCCAATCCCACCTTCCACCCTCTGTCAGACACTGTTGGTTGTCTACTAAATAGTCAGCCCTCCTGCCTGACAGAATCTCAATCTCATTTGGGGCAGGGCGGGGAAAGGGTACAATACGCAAGCCCTAGAATGAGAATCATGATCGATCTGAGCCATTCATAGCACTCCTGTTTCCCCTTGCTTGATCCCTAATTTTCCAACTCCCCCTGTGGTTAGGGATGGCCACATAGGACTATTTAACCAGTGAAACAGCAGCAGCTATCTGCTGGAGAACTTTGGGAAATATTTCCTTCCTGATATAAGGAGAAAGAAATGATATAATCCTTTCTTAATGTCCTGAATTTCCCTCCTTACCTTCTCCTTCTTGTCTTTGAATATAGTCATGATGCCTGGAGCAACAGCAGCCACCGTGTAACTATGGGACAAGAAGCATGAGTATAAAAAGCCCATATGCTAAAAATGGAAGTCCATATTGGAATGGAACTTGGTCTTTAGGGACAAGATCAAGTTGCTGAACGAACCTTGGGGTGTCTGCCTCCAGTCTTCTTGTTAGTAAGATAAGAGATTGTTTAGACTACCATTGATCGCAATTCTATAACTTACAGCCACGCATAATCCTAACTAAATAGCATCCCCAAATTCAGTGTGTCTACAGTATCTCTGGCCGCCATCCCCCCTCAAGCATAGTCTTGCTGTATTGCCCAGACTGGACTTCAACTCTTAAGCTCAAGCAATCCTCCCACTTTCGCTGGGACAACGGGCACATACTGCTGTGCCCAACTTTGGAAAAAGATTTTTTATGTTTATCCCAAGTGCAATGAGAAGCAGCTGAAGGGTTTTGAGAAGATGGAGGTGACAGTGATGTATGTCTTTATGTATTAAGAAGGTCACTTTTGGCTC
The DNA here is from genome assembly GCF_000001405.40 of Homo sapiens. Taxonomy (NCBI): domain Eukaryota; kingdom Metazoa; phylum Chordata; class Mammalia; order Primates; family Hominidae; genus Homo; species Homo sapiens. The sequence continues at coordinate 17,608,061 of NC_000016.10, read as the reverse complement.
AGATGAGAAGATATTATAAGGAAACAAGAATGGAGTGTGAGGGATGAGTTAAGTGTCTGTTTCAAGAAATGATGGCATCTTGCGTTGGGGTGCTGTCAATGGGGCTGAGAGGAATGGGAAGATTGGGGGGAGTTTTAGGAGTTAAATTTGCACAATTGGGTGATGAGCTGGATGTGGCGGAGCAGACAAGTCAGAGTTGCAGGCGCACAGAGCTGTCTCCACCTTCCTGCTCCTGTCTCGCTGCCTCTTGACGTCCCTTGGGGCTTCAGGCCAGGAGCATCTGCCTTTGAACAGCTGCCAGACTTCTCATCCCAAGCCAAACCTGCTTGTGGGAACAAGGTCAAATAAGGGTTTTCCTTCTAGGAAAATCAATGAAACTCATAAACCAGAAGAAAAAATATTAACCCTGCCTACCTTTCTTCGCACACACCTGTCCCTGCAAAAAAAGCTGCATGTGACATTTCCCAATAATTACATCATATGATTGAGAGGAGATGCAAGAGATCATTTAATTCTCCGAAGCCTGTTTCCCCTGGAAGGTGCGCCTCAGCTTCTTCTCAGGCCCCCCACCGGAGTGAGGTTTGTGCAAATTACCATAACCTCCTGCTGGAAGGCGTGCATCTTTGTTTTTGTGGTTTCTTTCCTCTGACCCAGGCTCAGGCAGGACTTCCTGCCATGAACTCTCAGAGCCCCTGCACCTTACAGCACTTATCAGTCAGCAGTTAAATAATTCATTATGTAAGTAGCTGTTTAATGTCCCATTAGGATGAGGGAAAATGCGTGGTTTTATTCAGTATGCTTTCAAATTTCAGATTCATTTAACAGCACGAAATTAACTCACCCTCAGGGGATGATCCAGACATCTGACCATCTCCTCCATCTCTGTTTGTGCTTATGAAGTGCATTCCAGACCCCAGACAGTACCTCTGGCCCACTGGCTCAGAGGAAATTCTTCTATCACAAATCTCAGCTCTAATGCTTGTAAGCTCTGTGACTTTGATCCAGTTAACTGCCCTCTTCATGTCTCTGTTTCTTCTTTTTTAGAATTAAGGCAATGCCACCCACCATAAGATAGTAGTTAGGACCCTGGAGTCAGAGCGGCTCAGGTTCAAATCCCACCTCTGCCACTTCTTTGCTATGTGACTTCGAGAAGGCGACTTAACCTTTCTGAATCTGTGCCTCCTTCTCTAAATTGAGAATTGTATGTATCTTATATGGCTGCTGTGAAAATTGGATGATGCATTTTTAAAGTAGCCTCAAACTTGGCATTTATTAGCTGCTCAATAACTGTTCAGTGTTATCATGATTATGGCTGGTTTATCATCACACATAATTGTTTTAAGGAAAGCACTTGAGTACATTAAATAGATGTTCAAATGACAACATCATCAACAGGAGGGACAGTGACTAATACTGAATGCTTACTCTGTGCCAGACACGTTCCCAGTGGTTTACTTAGGTTAACTCTTTCCACTCTCACAGCAGTCTTGAAAGGGGCTGTTAATAGTATCCCCATTTTAATATAAGGACACTGAAATAACTCAGTAAATATTAGATAATAATACTATCAACAAATATTGGATCAGCATTTGCTATCTGCCAGATACTATGCTCAGCCTTGAGAATACAAACATTCTTTCCTTCTAGAAATTCATAGACCAACAGAAGAGGTAGATAAACATGTAACTAACTTAACATGCTATGCTCACAGTATGAATAAAATCTTACGCAAATATTGAGTGAATAAGCAACTTTTTCTGAGGCACTAGAGAGGATTAAATCTAATGTATAGAAAAAAACCTGCAAACTTGAAAGCACACCAAAATGGAAAATATTTTCACTAGCAATTAAACATAGTGCCTCATCTATCTACCCAGCTGAGAAACAGCATGCCTCAGGTGTGAGGGGAAGAGGGCCAGCCTAGGTCCATGCTATTACCATTGTCACTGCCTTGGTTGGTTCAGTAAAAAGGCATGAGATGGCCCATATTAGTTCATGCATGAATGTGGGATGATCTAACTAATTATGTGCTCATTATGAAGTGGCGGCTTCATGTGCTAACAGTGGATCCTGTGGTGTTTTTAAAGTAAAGAAGCAGTTTTATGAGAAGCCAACCACTTCATTCATTCATTCATTCATTCACTCAACAAATTTTTTTTTTCTTTTTTCTTTTTTTTTTTTTTTTTGAGGTGGAGTCTCACTCTGTCGCCCAGACTGGAGTGCAGTGGCACGATCTCAGCTCACTGCAACCTCAGCCTCCCGGGCTCAAGTGATTCTCCTGCCTCAGCCTCCTGAGTAGGTGGGATTACAGGCATCCACAACCACGCCTGGCTAATTTTTGAATTTTTAGTAGAGACGGAGTTTTGCCGTGGTCTCGAACTCTTGACCTCAAGTGATCCACCTGCCTCAGCCTCCCAAAGTGTTGGGATTACAGGCGTCAGCCACTGCACCCGGCCCCTCAACAGATATTTGCTGAGTGCCCAGCTCTAGGTCCTAGTGCTACATCAGTCTACAATCTAGGCAAAGTCTGTGCCATCATAACACTTATATTCCAACACAAGGGGAAGGACCATAAATGAATAAAACAAGTACATGTTTGGTGTATCTAATGGTGATGAGTGCTTTCAAGAAAAATGAAGCAGGATAACTGGGAAAGATGAGTGCCGGGATGGAGAGTAGAATTATTTTACATAGGGTGGTTAAGGGAAGCTTCACTCATAGGATTTTATTTGACCAAAAACTGGAAGAGGCCAGGGCCAGTGGCTCACGCCTGTAATCCCAGCACTTTGGGAGGCTGAGGCACGTGGATCCCTTGAGGTCAGGAGTTCGAGACCAGCCTGGCCAACATGGTGAAACCTCACCTCTACTAAAAAAAATACAAAAATTAGCTGGGCATGGTGCATGCCTATAATTCCAGCTACTCAGGAGGCTAAGGCAGGAGAATCGCTTGGAGCTGGGAGGCGGAGATTGCAGTGAGCCAAGATTGTGCCACTGCACTCCAGCCTGGGCGACAGAGGGACACTGTCTCAAAAAAAAAAAAAAAAAAAAAAAAAAAAACTGGAAGGGTATGAAGGGCATGCGGGAAGAGTGTTCCCACAGAGGAGCAGCATGGGCAAAGGCCCTGGAGTCGGAACTGGCTTGGTGAATTTGAAGAATTACTGGAGGCAAAGTAGCTGGAGCTAGTTGAGTAACGTCAGAGAGGTAATAGGGTTATATGATTCTCACAGTCCGTGGTCAGAAGACTGAATTTTACTCTTGGTGAAAAGAAAAGGTTTTTGGAGAGTTTGGAACAGAGGACCTCACAGATTGTATCACTTATTTATTTATTTATTTATTTACTTATTTATTTAAAGATGGGGTCTTGCTCTGTTGTCCAGGCTGGAGTGCAATGGTATAATCACAGCTCACTGTAGCCTTGGATTCCTGGGCTCAGGTGATCCTTTTCCTCAGTCTCCCTGGTAGCTGGGACTACAGACTTGTGCCACTATGCCTGGCTAATTTTTTGTATTTTTTAAAAATAGAGATAGGGTCTTACTATGTTGCCTGTGTTGGTCTTGAACTCCTAGACTCAAGCAATCCTCCTGCCTCAGCCTCCCTGGTAGCCAGGACTATAGGCATGCGCTACCATGCCTGGCTTATTTTTTATATTTTTTAAAAATAGAGATGGAGTCTTGCCATGTTGCCCTGGCAGGTCTTGAACTTCTGGGCTCAAGTGATCATCCTACCTTGGCCTCCCAAAACGCTGAGATAACCACTGTGAGCCACCATTCCTTGCCTTTTGTTTTTGAAAGATTACTCTGGCTGCTACGCTGAGAGTAGACTTTAGGGAGGTGTAAGAGGAGGAGGGGTATAATTAAGAAGCTACTGCAATCATTTAGGTGAGGGGTGAGCGGGGCCTCCCCCGAGGTGGTAGCCCTGAGGTGGCAAGAAGCAGAGGTGGGGCGTGGATCGGTTTGAAAGCAGAGCTGACAAGACTTGCTGATAGTTTGGATGTAGGTGAGACAGAGAAAGGAAAGAGTCAGACTCCAAGTTCTTTGGCCTGCCCACCCCCAGGAGGATGGAGCCCCATTTACTGAAATGGGTGAGACTGCAGTTGGACAAGTGTGATGCAGGGGGGGGGACTGAGACCCATTTGGACACATTTAGGATGAGATAACTGCTTTGATCTGAATGTTTGGGTTTCCCCAGAATTAAGATGTTGAAATCTTCATCTCTATGGTTTTAGGAGGTGGAGCCTTTGGAGGTGGTAGTAACAGTGGCTTTTGGTGAATAGAATGACTGTCTTTATAAAAGAGACCCCAGAGAGATCTCTTGTCCCTTCTACCATGTGAGGGCACAGCAAGAAGCCACGATTGGTAAACCAGGAAGTGAACCCTCTCCAGACACCAGACACCTGGATCTTGGACCTCACAACCTCCAGAATTGTGAGCAATAAATTTCTGTTGTTCATAAGTAACCCAGTTAATGATATTTTGCGGTAGCAGCTCTAATGGATTAAGAGAGCTGCCTGCAAGACTCTCAGGCCAGGCACGGTGGCTCATGCCTGTAATCTCAGCACTTTGGGAGGCTGAGGAGGGCAGATCTCCTGAGGCCAGGAGCTCAAGACCAGCCTGGCCAACATGGCGAAACCCCCGTCTGTACTAAAAATGCAAAAAAAAAAAAAAAAAAAAAAAAAAAAAATTAGCCGGGTGTGGTGGCGGGCACCTGTAATCCCAGCTACTTGGGAGGCTGAGGCAGGAGAATCTCTTGAACCCAGGAGGCAGAGGCTTCAGTGAGTCAAGATTGCACCACTGCACTCCAGCCTGGGCAACAAGAACAAAACTATGTCTCAAAAAAAGTAACAAAAAAAAAAAACAAACAAAAAAAAGACTTTCATGCTGAGCTGCTCTTCAATGGGAATGTCTGGAGAGAGTTCCAGAAAGTTGGGACTCATTAGCATATAAGCAAATACATTTGAACCCAGGAGACTAGAAGCTAGAGTGGAAGGAAGGAATGCAGACATTGAAGAGAAGGGGCCTGAGGAATTGGTCCTTGTGTCACTCCAATATTGACCATAGAGGTTTCTACCCTGATCTGCCAATAGAAGTCAGGAAGGTCATAAACTCAGAGAGAAAAAATAAAATGTGTCTTCATTCTCACGAACATCTAACTGAAATTTGGCATGCCCCTCAATTAGGAGTGACGGAATAAACCACAGCAGTGGTGATGTCGCTGGTACTGTGTCCCCAGTAGAAACCACAAGTAATTATCACATTACAAGTGCTGCAGGTATTTCAAAATATCATTTACCCTTATTGCTGTTTCATAATTATGAAGTCTTTACACATGCCATTGGATCTTTTTATTTAATGTGTTAATAAAAAAGCTCATTCATTACCATTTCACACGTTTGTTTTATTAAATATTTTGATAACTATTTTTCAATGTAATTAGTTTCTTTGAAATGCAACGTATTTCATGTATTTTTGAAAATACGTTATTCTGAGAAGGTATCCACGAGCTCCATCTGACTGCCAAAGGGGTCCAAGCCACAACAGAAGGTTAGGACCCCTAGTTTAAAGGTTGAAGTAGCAATGAAGCGGGTGGTGATGCGGCTGTCTTCTATACTGATTCCACAAACCTGGCGTCTCTCCCTGCCTTCACCCTTTCTCCCTTTTAAGCACGTCGTATTTGCCCGATCTTGTGCTCAGTGTAACTTGGATTCTAAAATGAGCAAGCCAGAGCCTCTCCCTCCAATGACCCTGTTGTCCAAAAGGGGCGCCAGTATCCAAACAGGTATCAAACATATCACAGATTCTTGCAACCTATAAAAAGTACTCAGCCACACTGCACAAGTTCCGAAAACTATCCTTGGGTCGCATTCAAGTGCAAGTTTTTGCAGCTGGAGAGCAGAAAATTGACACTGCCTTTGTATTCTTTTACGGTTTTCTTTCTTTGAGAAGTATTGGACTCAGAGAGAAGATCTCTTTAGAGAGCATGTTCTGCCTGCGTTGATTCCATCACAAGAGAAACACGTCCCTCAAAGAACATATTACGCCTCGAAAGGCCGCTCTCAGACAACAAGTTCCTTTCTTCTGGTGACACCATCTGTTTTCTTGTGGCCCACTCAAATCCTCCCAGTTCCAGGCTAGGGTTTGGGGGGAGGGGGAGGGGACCGACAGCAGGAGCTATTATATTTTGATTTGTTTTTTCAGGGTTTCCATCAAAAACCTCATAGGGGCCATCTATTCCACTGCTCTTCTTAGAATAGAATATTCAGATCTGCATCTGGGGCCCCATCACCTGGGGCCTTCTATCTCACTGGTACCATTTTGGGATGTAACAAATGGTTGGATAGATTTGTTTGGCTCACACCCACTGTCTTGAAGCAACAGTCAGGCAGGTAGAGAATTTCAGAGCATCAGACATGACCCAAAAGGAAACAAAAAGAGTCGGAAGGCATCATCCTGCCTGAATTGCTAGGGAAAGACTTCATATCTCATTTTCATAGTCTCCATTAGAAATACAGAAAAGGATTTACTGAAAAAAAATATGCATCTATTAATGGGCTTTAGGAAACATTCTGGACCATCCCTTTACTAATAAGTGCAGCTCCATTTTTTCCCCATTGGTAAAATAGGGAAAATATTCCCTACCTAATTAAAGAATGTATATATATGAGGTGGGAATTTTACTATGAATTTGCCTTCGTAGGGAGGGGACTATCTTTTTTTTAGGAGAAATATTTTAACAAGTGGTTTTGGGTTAAAGGGCAAGTGTGGAAGGCATGAGTCTACAGAAGCTCTAGTGACTGAAGACTTGGTGAAACTTCTTTGTTTAGATGTGGACAAGAATTAGATAAGAAATAGACATATCCTTTCATAAATAATGGGAACTTAATTTTAATAAACTTGGAGTGGGAAAGACCTTTCTAATCATTCAGTTATTCAGCACATATCTGCAAGTGTCAGGTCCTGGGACACCTGGAGGCACCCCTATTTGTCTTCCAGATGGCTTCTCATAAATATAGATGGGGGTTTAGAGCATATACAGAAATGTTTGCAAAAACAAGACTTTAAGATCACTAAGGGACTCTTAGCGTGGTGGCTGACAGCAAAGGCTTTGCCATCCGCTAGACCCACCTAGGTTCCAATCTCAGTTCTCCTATTTACCATTCATGGAATACTGGTCAAGTTACTAAGTTCTCTGGGCCTCTGTGACCCACCAAGTTGTTATAAGAACTAAATGATAATGATATAGAACACTTAGCATAACACAGGCTTATAATATGTACTTCACAATGATAGCTGTCATTATTAAATAAGACATCTACGTTCTTAAATAAAACCTTCCTTCCTATATTTGTTCCCAAAGAACGTGATTTGCAAAAGTACATTTTTATAATAAGCTGGTCTTATTAGTAAAATTCAGCCTTCAAAAATGCTGTATTCTCTGTTTCCCTAGAATAAGAGATATCATTGTGTTCATCTGTCACCCTCTCATTCAATCAGAAAGTCATGCATGTTGGGGACAGTTTGGGTTGTGACAACTGGGGTTGTGGGTAGAGGCTGGGACACTGCTAAACATTCTACAGTGTACACAACAGCTCTCACAACAAAAAATTCTCTGGCCTGAAATGTCAATAGCGTCCAGGTTGAGAAACCCTGGTCTGGAAGGAGTTAGCATTACTCTGATCTATGCATACTCTCATTCATTCATGTTTGCATCCATTCATTCATTCAAATAGTTGTTGAGGCCAAACCATGTGTCAAACACTCTTGTAGGTATTGGAGATAGGGTGGCTAACAAGAGGGACATGATCCCTGTTCTCATGGAGATTGCATTTTAGCTGAGGAGACAGAGATGAAGTAATTACACAAATAATTACTTATTGATTACAGTACAGGTCACCAAGGAGCATGTGATGAAGTGAGAATGTGTGATAACAGGAATGATCCAAGCATGAGAGCTGGACAAGACTGCTCTCTGAAAGTGGTGTTCAGGCTGACACTTGAAGGATTTTGCAAGATTTTTTTTAAATTTTTTTATTATACTTTAAGTTCTGGGATACATGTGCAGAACGTGCAGGTTTGTTACGTAGGTATACACATGCCATGGTGGTTTGCTGCACCCATCAACCCGTCACCTACATTAGGTATTTTTCCTAATGCTATCCCTCCCCTAGCCCCCCACCCCTTGACAGGCCCCTGTATGCGATGTTCCCCTCGCTGTGTCCATGTGTTCTCATTGTTCAACTCCCACTTATGAGTGAGAACATGCGGTGTTTGGTTTTCTGTTCTTATGTTAGTTTGCTGAGAATGATGGTTTCCAGGCTCATCCATGTCCTTGCAAAGGACATGAACTCATCCTTTTTTATGGCTGCATAGTATTCCAAGGTGTATATGTGCCACATTTTCTTTATCCAGCCTATCATTGATGGGCATTTGTGTTGGTTCCAAGTCTTTGCTTTTGTGAACAGGATTTTGCAAGATTTTAACCCATGACGTTGGTGCTCTGATAATTCTGTGTTGGATCACTGAACGCAGCAGTCACCTGGCATTGCTATTTGTGAAAATCATAGAGAGGCTGAATAGCATGGCAGTTAAGGACATAAATTCTGGAGCCAAATTGTCTTGGTTTGTAACTATCTTGGGTGACTTCTCTGCCTCAGTTTTCTCATCCATAAAATGGGGTAAAAATAATGCCTGCCTCTTTGGCTTGTGGTGAAGACTAAGTGAGTTAAATAATGCAGTGAAATAATGTAAAACACTCATAAAGCAAACACTACATAAGTATTAGTAATTATTAGAGTTAATATTTCTATTCGGAATGAAGGGGAATGTTTTCTCAACTAGAATCTGTTCCATGTGCCCAGGAAATGGTGAGAACTCACACAGCAAAAATGGGCTGGTTAATGCACACCATCACATTTTCTGTTGATTTTGGCCATCTTTGTTTGAAAGTGACAGCATTTGAGACTAGAAATTGAGTGAGTTACATTCTCCTTACAAAAGTAAACAGCCAGTGAGAAAGTGTCCCTCTTGTTTGCTACTCTATTTCCAACACCTAAAAGAGTGTTTGACAACAGTTTGACCTCAACAACTATTTGCTTAAAGCATGCATGAATGAATGAGAGTGTGCATAGATCAGAGTAATGCTAACTCTTTCTAGACTGAGGTTTCTCAAGGTTTCTTTGGCATCTTGTCAAATAAAGACAAAGATGCAAAGTACAATTGCTATTCATATGCTGGTATTTTTGGCCTCACCTCCGTAGTCTTGATTCTTTAAATCCCTGGTAAACTCATTCGAATCCTCTCTTCTAAGGAGCTTCCACTCCGTAGAAAAGAGGTGAAAATGTTATTTTTATAGCTAGGATAAAAATACTTCTTAGGTGATTCTGGTTTTTCTTTTTTTAAGAAAAATACCTTAATAATAAGCTTCCAAAATGTAAGGAAAATAATACAAAGAATTAGTGACCAGGGATGTACCCCAGAAAATTTGGCTTGGGAGAAATAGGGAGAGGAATAGGGAAAAGTCATAGGAAAGCATCCTGCAAAAGGGGCAGGAATGGTCAATTAAAAAAAAATCATAAATAGAAATAGCTGAAGGATTTTTAAGATCACGTGTGCCTAAAAATCAATTTTCAAGTTGTGGGCTGGGTAGAAGTCGTTCATCACCTCAAATCTTCCTTTAAGACTGTTTCATACCTAAGTAAATGCCTTTTGTAAATTCTGGACTCAGAAAATTGAAAAAAAGTTTCTGACATCCATATCTCTGTTGGCATCCCCAGAGTGAAGTTTTGGCGAAATTAACAATAAATTAGAATTAGAGGTAATTGTAAGAATATAAGATGCTGAAATCAGCAGAAATGTTGGAGCAGAGATTAAATTTTCCAGCTGAGTATGAAACTGGGGGCTTGAGTCGATTTTAAGAGAACAGAAGAGTGTTCACAGCTGACTTGTGGATCACATGACCTGATCTTTATAATGTTTCCTGTGGCAGTGCACAGATCCAGCATCTTTAGATGGAGCTTCTTCTCACTGGAGGATCTAGGCTTATAGACCATTTTTATGATCCGAACAGATGAAGATAAAAAAGACAGTGTAAGAAGTCATTCAGTTCTCAAAACAAAGCAAACAAAAACATTAAAATCACAAACTAAAAGATTATAAAAGAGTCTAGCTAACCTAAAAAATAAGAAAAAAACTGTCTTACAGACTAAAACAAAGAAATCAATAAAAAGGTTAAAATGTGGATATTGTAGTGATTTAAGATTCACTGTCTTTTAGGTTAGAAAGGTGTATTTAAACTTATACTTGCTTCCCCAAAGTCGCTAGCATGAGATTTGTCCTGTTTTGGGATGTAGTAAAGTGGGTTTTAGAAACAGTCCTTGGAAGTGTCTTTTGCTTGTGCTGATCCACCCTGGACTCTACCTCTTCCTGAGTTGGGAAGAGAAGGAAACAAGAAAAAAAAAACTAATTAAAAATGCAAGTACTTTTGCATGTTTAACATGACTTGATTCAATCATCAAATATTGAAATTCTGGGCTGGGCATGGTGGCTCACACCTGTAATGCCAGCACTTTGGGAGGCCGAGGTGGGTGAAATGCTTGAACCCAGGAGGTTGAGACCAACCTGGGCAACATAGTGAGAACCCATCTGTAAAAAAAAAAAAAAAAAAAAAAAAAATTAAAAAATTAGCCTAGTATCGTGGCACATGGCTGTGGTCCCAGCTACTTGGGAGGCTGAGGCAGGAGGATCACCTGAGCCTTGGGAAGTTGAGGCTGCAGTGAGCCATGATCCTGCCACTGCATTCCAGCCTTGGGGACAGAGTGAGACCCTGTCTCAAAAAAAAAAAAAAAAAAAAGAAAAGAAAAGAAAAAAAGTTGACATTCTCTAGAAAGAGCATGGAAGATTAATTCTGGCTAAACTGGGTTTGGTTTCTGGGTCTTTGTGATCATTGGCAAACTGCCTGGCTTCCCAGACCCTCAGTGTCCTCATCTGTCAAGTGGCCATAATAGTACCTACCTTACAGGTGGCTGGAAATACAAAATGAGATCAAAAAAGTGTGTGTGTGTGTGTGTGTGTGTGTGTGTGTGTGTGTGTGTGGTGTGTGTTTCTGTGTGTATATTCTTATTATTTGCTATGATTAGGTTCAATAATGTCTCCACAACCACTAAGTTATTAAATACTGAACCATTACTCCTGGGGGGAAATATAGGTTTGGTTCTTTTGAGCCTCCAGTCATGACATTTCCATCAACTGATCAATACATAACTTTGTTTTATATATTTCTGTGTAAAGACACCTTATTTAATATATATTGATTCATTAACATTGAATGCACAACCAACAGCACTATACCTCATGCCTGAACGAAGCTTATCTAACAAATATATATTTTTCTCCATAAACCACATCACAAAGTGCAACACTTTGCATCTTTGTTTGACATGGTACCAAACAAAGAAACCTTGAGAAACCTTGGTCTTGAAGGAGTTAACATTACTGTTATCTATGCAAACTCTCATTCATTCAGAATTTTTGAGCTTAGGAACTCTAGATAGCCCTTTAACACTAGGCTTGGGGACCATTTTAAACAGCAAAAACCACCAGCAAAAGGCACAAAAGTATGAAAAGCATAGCGCTAAGTAAACTTCAAGATGCATACTCATTTATAGTATGAGAGTAGAACCGAGAAAGCAGATTCTGGCCTTGTTGGGTCTCAGGTGGGATAAACACAATGGGTAACTCAACTTTTTTGCAACTCTGCACATGCCTGGGAATGACTGCAAAAGCACAGCAGGTACTGATTTTGGGATTATGAATAAATTTTTGTGAATAGGCAAAATCACCAATACAGTATCTGCAAATAATGAGAATCAACTGGAAACAAATATATGTATATACACAAATATGTGCTTGGAACCAAATAAATGTTTAGTTTCTCTCCTTTTCTATTTTCCAGTTATGTGCTAGACATTCTAGAGAAACTAAAGAAGTTTAAGACAGGCAATCTAGAATCTCAGTTTGTCAACAACAAGAAATTCTGTCAAGTTGCAAGATATGAAATCAACATACAAAAATCAGTTGCATTTCTAGAGACTAACAGTGAACTCCCTGAAAAAGAAATAAAACAATCCTATTTACAATAGCATCAAAAACAATACAATACTTAGGGATAAATTTAACCAAGAAGGTAAAACATCTGTATGCTGAAAACTATAAGACATAGATGAAAGAAATTGAAGAAGACACAAATAAATGGAATGATATCTTGTGTTCACGGAACAGAAGAATTAATATTATTAAAATGTTCATATTACCCAAAGTAATTTATAGAGTCAATGAAATCCTAGCAATATTCCAATAGCATCTTTTCATGTAATTTTTAAAAAAAAATCTTAAAATTTGTTTGGAGCCACAGACAACTCTGAATAGCCAAAGAAATCTTGAGAAAGAAGAACAAAGTTGGAAGCATCCACTTCCTGATTTCAACATATATTACCTAACTACAGTAAGCAAAACAGTATGGTGCTGGCATAAAAACAGACCTAGAGACCAATGGAATGGAAACAAGAGCCCAGGACCGGGCGCAGTGGCTCACTCCTGTAATCCCAGCACTTTGGAAGGCTGAGGTGGGCGGATCACGAGATCGGGAGATTGAGACCACCCTGGCCAACATGGTGAAATGCTGTCTCTACTAAAAATACAAAAATTAGCTGGGTATGGTGGCGCATGCCTGTAATCCCAGCTACTCAGGAGGCTGAGGGACAAGAATCGCTTGAACCCAGGAGGCAGAGTTTGCAGTAAGCCGAGATCATGCCACTGCACTCCAGCCTGGTCACAGAGCAAGACTCTGTCTCAAAAAAAAAACAAAAGAAAAGAAAAACAAGAGTCCAGTAATAAACCTATGCATAAATAGTCGATTAATATTGGACGAATCTGCCAAAAATACACAACTAGGAAAGATAGTTTTCTTCAATAAATGGTGTTGCAAAAACAGAAGATCCCTATGAAAAAAAGAACAAAACTAAGTACCCTATCTTCCATCACTCACAAAAATTAACTCTAAATGGATTAAATACTTAAAACCATAAGCTGTAAAACTTCTGAAAGAAAACATAGGGGAAAGCCTTCTTGACACTGATCTTGGCAATGATGTTTTGGATGTAACGCTAAAAGCACAAGCAACAAAAACAAAAACAAGTAGGGCTACATCAAACTAAAAATCTTCTGCACAGCGGAAGAAACAATCAATAAAATTAAAAGATAATTTATGGAATGGGAGAAAATATTTGCAAACCATATATCTGGTAAGGGGTAAATTTCTGAAATATATAAGGAATTCATACAACTGAATGGTGAAAACCAAAACCGGACAAACACAAATCCAATTAAAAAATGAGTCAAGGGTTTTTAGAGACTTTTTCCAAAGAAAACATACAACTGGTCAACAGATACATGGAAAAGGTGCCCAACATCTCTAATCACCAAGGAACTACAAATCAATACGGCAATGAGATGTCATCTTACACCTGTTAGAATAGCTATTATCAAAAAAAAAAAAAAAAAAATAGCAAGAGTTGGTGAGGATGTGGAGAAAAGGGAACCCTTGGGTACTGTTGGTGGGAATGTAAATTGGTAGAGTCATTATGGAAAATGGAGGTTTCTCAAAAATTAAAAATAACCATATGATCCAGAAATCCAACTACTGGGAATTTACTCAAAGGAAACAAAATCCATCGCTGATGGAGCTATCTGTACTCCCATGTTCTCTGCAGCATTATCCACAATAGTCAAGACATACAAACAGCCTCAGTGCCCGTCAGTGGGTGTTACTCAGCCATAAAAAAAAGAAGGAAATTCTGCCATTTGCAACAACATGGATGAAACTTGAGGGCATTATGCTAAGTGAAATAAGTCAGAGAAAGATAAATACTGTATGATCTCAGTTACATGTGGGATCAAAAATAGCCAAACTCAGAAACCGAGAGTAGAAGAGTGGTTGGCAGGAATCGGGGGAGAAGAAAACAGGGAGATGTTGGTCAAAGGGTACAAAGTTTTAGTGGAAAGATGAATAAGTTCTGGGGATTTCATGTACAGCATGGTGACTATAGTTAACAACACCGTATCGTATGCTTGAAATTTGCTTAAGGGGTAGATCTTAAATGTTCTTGCCAAAGAAAAAAATGTAAGTGAGGTGACAGCTGTGTTAACTATCTTAATTGTGATAATCATTTCACAATGTATATCAAATCATTGTACCAAACACCTAAACTTATACAATTGTATTTGTCAACTATACTCACTAATGGAAAATTAATTAATTGATTGATTACAAATAAAAGACCCTGTGAAAATGGTTGACATACGAGTGTACTGCCTGTGGTCAGCTCCTCTTATATAGGCACTCAACTACCTTCTATGCAAAATAAAGGTAATAATAAGAACTACCTCATATACCTCACAGAGTTGTGAATCACAACATGAAAAGCACAGAGAACAGGACCTCACTAAGCAAGGTCTCAGTAAATACCAGCCATTAGTAATAATCACAACAAGGACAATGGTGATGATATCTGTAGCAATTAATGCAATCAATGGTGACGGTGTTCCCTTACTTCCAGGTCTGAAAATAGCAACACCCGTGGATGCTTAGACTCCAGCAGGGCAGTCATATTTCCTGAGCCCCCATAAGGAGCCAGGAGTCATGCCAGCTCTTTTTAAGCATCATTTCATGACCTTTGTTCTTTCCTCCAGGCTTTCTCAATGTCAGCCCTCCTGACATTTGGGAAACAAAGAATTCTTTATTGTGGGTCTGTCCTGTGCATTGTAGGGTGTTCAGCGACATCCCTGGCCTCTCCTCTCCAGATGTCAGTAGCAACCCCTCCACCCCCATCTCCGCAGTAATCAACAATATCTCCAGACATGACAGAATGTCCTTGGGAAAGTCTCCTCCAGTCAAGAGTCTCCGGTCTTGACAAAGTTGATGTTCTTTTGCCTCTTCTGCAGATGAAGCAAATGAGGATTAGTGAACCTCGCAACCTGCCCCCTTACTAGGAAGTGAATTTATAACTACAACTTCTTTTGCATCCCAGGGTTGGGTTATCATGAATTACTGATTTCTGTGCCTTTCCCCTGAGCTTTTGAAATTCTCTGTTGGATGACTACAGGGCTGCCAAGAAGTTTCTATGAGAGAGCTCCCTGCCTCTCCAACTCTTCCAGCACGCTGACAGCCCCATGGAGGGTCACTAAGCTCTGTGGTTACCAAGTCTACCTGCCTCTCTCTGTTCCCAGCTTGCTGACCGTGACTTTTTGACTTCATTCAACAGTGGCTGTGTTCATTTCCCAGACTGTGGAACCTCTACCCTGCAGAGGCCACCAGTGATCAGGGGTTGATTTATTCACAGGTGACATTTTTCTTCTCTTGCATCCAGAGGACTCAGACAGACAATAGACAGACAGCCTCCTTGCAGTTCCCCCAGGCTGGCTGGCAGAATCTTTCCCTTTCCTCTGCAATGGATGGGACAGCTCTTGGAGATGCCAGGCCAATGACTTTCAATCTGACCTGATCCAATGGCTGTTTTTCTAGTAAACAATTTGTAATATCTTCCTTACTGTTTTGAAATGAAAATCACAGCTAATAGAACCTACTCGTAACTATTTAAAAATGCCATGTTATATTAAAAATTGAAAACTAATTTATTATCATATGTATTTTTCATCCACCAGAGACCCATGGTTCCTAACTCACATACGCGGTATCAGGGCATCAGGGCGAGTAACTGCTGAGGCACAATGAGACTTAATGGAATAATAAAATGCATGAACCTGAGTGTAGAATCACCACAGCTGTGACAACTACGAACACAGGCGGAAATGGGGGCAGATAGGGTGATGCAAACACCAGGACCGGTGTTGCCATGGGTAACGTGATTTTCCAAGATAGTGAACCACTCTTCCTGTGGTCCCAAACATATAAAGTACCAGCTTGCCTTGATTTTCATCGTATTGAAATTTCTGAAAATTTTAGTGTGTATTAAAAGTGAAAAAAAAAAAGTCTTACGTTTATGTGTAGAAGAGTTCACCTAGATAGCAATAGGCTTAGAGTAATGAATGGATTTTTTTGCCTATGCAAATTCTCAGCGGGCATTTGAACTCTGCACAGGCTGGCAGGAGTTTTTTGTTTGAGTCAGACTGCCCTGGGCATTACCAGATGTCTGGTATCCTGGCTCCTACCAACTAAATGCTACTGGTGCCTCCTGCCATCATAACAGAAACATAAAAAACACGCCCACCCCCACCTCCCCAAATGTCCCCCTAGGAGGCAGTACTGTTAATGGAAAGGGCTCCCAGTCAAGACCCCAAGAGAGAGTTCTTGGATCTCACGCAAGAAAGAATTCAGTGGGAGTCCACAGAGTAAAGTGAAAGCAAGTTTATTAGAAAAGTAAAGAAACAAAAGAATGGCTACTTCATAGGCAGAGCAGTGGTATGGGCTGCGTGACTGAGTATACTGACAGTTCTCTCTTGATTATGTGCTAAACAAGGAGTAGATTATTCATGTGTCTTCTGGGAAAGGGGTGCGGAGTTCCCAGAACTGAGGGTTCCTCCCTTTTTTAGACCACATAGGGTAACTTCTGGACATTGCCATGACGTCTGTAAGCTGTCGTGGCACTGGTGGGAGTGTCTCTTAGCATGCTAATGCATTCGAATTAGCATATAATGAGCAGGGAGGATGCCCAAATGTCACTTTCATCACCACCTTGGTTTTGGTGGCTTTAGGCTGGCTTCTTTACTGCATCTTGTTTTGTCAACGGGGCTTTTGTGACCTGTATCTTGCGCAGATCTTCCATCTCACCCTGTGACTAAGAATGCCTAACTTCCTGGTCATGCAACCCAGTAAGTCTCAGTCTTATTTTACCCAGCCCTTATTCAAGATGGGGTCACTCTGGTTCAAATGCCTCTGACAGTACTAACCTAAGGAGAGCCACTGCTCTAGATTTTAGGGAGAGTTGCCCCAGTTCTCTGCCTTTTGCGAGCCTGAATTCACTTCCCATTTCTGTGTTTGAACCCCATACTGCAGTCTCCTGGCCCATAATCAGATCTCTGAAACTTACATACCACCACTACAGCCTGGCTGTCATCTCTGGCCCCTGAGGAGTTCCTTCACTGACTTTCAGGCTTTTCTGGTTTTTTTTGTTTTGTTTTTTGAGACAGAGTTTTGCTCTTGTTGCCCAGGCTGGAGTGCCATGGCACGAGTTTGGCTCACTGCAACCTCTGCTTCCTGAGTTCAAGCCATTCTCCTGCCTCAGTCTCCCAAGTAGCTGGGATTACAGGCATGTACCACCACCCCTGGCTAATTTTTTATATTTAGTAGAGGCAGGGTTTCACCAGGTTGGTCAGGCTGGTCTCAAACTCCTGACCTTAGGTGATCCACCCATCTCAGCCTCCCAAAATGCTGGGATTACAGATGTGAGCCACCACATCCAGCCCTTGCTGGGTATTTTGATGGGTTTACAATGTCATGTCCATCTATGGTTGTAGCAGGAGGGGGTGCTGTTTTCCTCAGTTTAGCCTGATAACTTGCTAAAATCCTTGGTGCTTCTGTTTTCTCTCCCTCTCACTATAACGCTGCCCCCAGGATGCTGCGGTTCAAATCTGTCCATCACAACAGCACCCTGTACTTCCACTGTGCATTGACCCAAAACTGATGCTGTGGTTTCTCAGGTCTGTCACTTATGGTCATCTCTCCCCATCTTAAGACAATGTCTGTTCCAGATTTTTCATCATAACAGGCCATGGTTCCTAACTTGCATCTGGAGTCATGTTTCTAGAAAGGTCTCAACCATGGCCTCACACTCTCCAGGACCAGCCTCCCTCCCAGGACAACCTAAGCCTTAGTCTCCTCTTGTGTCCCAAGTCCAGCTGTCTCTTCCACTGCGGTGAGTCCCCCTCTTTTGTCCCTCATGGTTTGTGCTGCCGGCTGACCTCAGTCACAGCCACATGAGTCAGCAGAGATATCGGATAACCTTGAACCTCAACAATGAATGGGGTCAGCATCTCAATTCCTTTCTCCCCAGAAAGGGACTCAGCCCCCTGTGTAAATGTGCCCTCCATTCCCCGCAATGAATAACCCTCTGTAATAGTTACCTATTGCTGCTGTTAACAAATTAAAAACTTACTGCAAATGTGGTGGCTTCAAGCAAACCTCTTCTCTTACTGTTCTGAAGGTCAGAAGTCCCAAATGAATCTAAAGTCAAGGTATTGGTAGGTCTGGCTCCTTCTGGAAGCTCTAGGGGAAGATCTGCCTCCCTGCCCTCTCCAGCTGCTAGAAGCTATCCTCAATCCTTGGCTCATGGCTACACATCACATCACCATTCCCCCCCCTGCTTCCATGGTCACTTCACCTTGTTCCTCCTCTGACCATCTTGGCTTCCTCTTACAAGGATCCTTGTGATAACGTTTAGAGCCAACCCAGATAATTCAAGATAATCTCTCTCTCTCTCTCTCTCTCTCTCTCTCTCTGGATCCTTAACTTAATCACAGCTTCAAAGTCCCCTTTTCCATATAAGAGAACAGTCACTGGATCTACGGATTAGAACTTGGATATCTTTGGGGATGAGATCAAAGAAGGGTCATTAATCAGCGTACTACACCCTCTATCACTTTATAATAGTGCATAGCAGTGTTGAGCTTATCAAACTAAAGGAGAAAAATGTTTGTGTTCTGCTGCATGCACCCTTTCTTCATACCTAGTGGCGCCTCCTTGGATTACATTCATGAGACTAAAGAGATCATTGAATTGGTCTTTAGTGATTCAGAGATTTCTCCTCTAACAGGACATAGAAAAAGCTGACAATGTTTAATTAGAAATTTCTTTTCCTATATTAGTGAAATTAAAATTAATTTCTTACCTGAATCCTGCTAAGAAAGTACAGAATTCTAATGATAAATGGAAAACATACTGTACATACACTCTATGCCAAGTCCTTTATGTGCTTTATCTCATTGGATCCTCTTCAAAGACCTTGTGATGGGTGCCATTATTCTCCCTATTTTCTGGATGAGCTACCTGAGGCTCAGACAGCCTAAGTGACTTGCTCAAGGTTCCTCAGTTAGTAAGAATCAAACCCAAGATTTGGAGCCAAACATTCATATTCCAAAGCCAAACATTCAGATTCCAGAGCCGAACATTCAGATTCCAGAGCCTGTGCTTCTAACAATTGCAGATTATTCTGCTGCCCAGATCTTGCACTAACTTGCTGTGTGATATTGAGTAAGCCACTTTTTGCCTCTGGATGTTGGTCAAAGCAGGAGCATTGAGGTAGTCTGGATTTCTCAACCTCAGCACTACCGACATTTTGGAGCAGACAATTTTCTGTCGAGGAGGGCTGTCCTGTCCATTGTAGGGTGTTCAGCGGCATCCCTGGCCTCTACCCACTAGCTGCCAGTAGTGACTTTCCCCGCTCCACCCAGTTGTAATAAACATAAATGTCTCCAGACATTGCCTTGTGGGTGCAAAATTCCCCCTTGTTGAGAACCACAGAACTAAGTAATCCATCAGCACTTGCCAAACCTAGACTATTCTGGGATTTCTTTCACTCTTACTTTGGCTTCAAGTTAGGTGATTGCTTTATATTCAAGAAACTCTCTAGACAGGCAAGAGTTCAAATGCAATGTGTGAGCTAACCAGTCTTATAAATTATCACAAATGTATGTCAGTGGTAAGTACCTCCATTGCATCACTAATAACATGGGCTGAGGACAATATTACCACTCAAAGTGCACCGTCATGCATTTCTCAGTTTCTCCTTGCATGAGGTAAGAGAATAAACAGTTTGTTTAGGGGTTTAAACAAAAGCTGTTGCTTTTTTACTTTGAGCGAAAGGAGAAATCTCCTAAAATAGAAATAGAGTCTTCTCACCCTCCATTGCTACCACATTCTGCAAGATCTTCCAGGGAGCCTATTTAGGCACAGTGGACAAAAGGGCTGGTCCTCAGTGTTGGTTTTTCTTGTTCTTTCTCTCTGTGATCTCAAGACTGTGAGTTTGCCTCTTAGCTTCCATTTTTCTATCACATTATTATACAGGAACTCCTCAGCCCAAATACTTCTAAATGGTATATAGATGTTGTTTTCATCTTATTTGACATTATCTACCATTTAAATTAAGTTTTTTTGTATTGACTAAAGTCAGGAAAAACATAGACAAATACCTTATGCTCTATTCCAACTCTACCTGCAAGTTATATGATTCTGGGCAAGAGGCTTAATATCTCTGAGCCTCAGTTTCATCATCTGTAAAATGGGAACAATGATACTTATGAATTGCCATAAAAATTACATTCAATCATGTATGTTCAGCACCTAGACAGTGCTTGGCATGTAATTGTTGTTCCCTTCTGACAGTGACTAGTCAATAGGCAAGTGAGTGACTTTGGGCTTTGCCTTTAGTTTCTTGCAGTCACTATTGTCTTCAGCTGTGATGTACATGAGATGATTCAAATCCATACTGAGAAAGAAAGAGGTGGAATAATCAGCCCCTGAATGATGAACATCTGACTACGTATAATTACTTTGGGAAGCACAACTCTTAAAGATGGAGTCATCCAAGCTTTAAGCAGGAACATGTGTCCTTCTGACTTGGGCACAACGTGAGAAGCTTCACACATGCACACACAACAGACACACACACACACTCTTCACATGCACTTAGACTGCAAAGATCAGATCCATTGAGCCGTCAAACTCTTGAATCAGCGGAAAGAGCAGGGCTAATATATCACGGGATTAAGTTGGAAGAGTTAGCATTCAAAAAAATCTCTGGCTGCTGTTATAATGTTTAATGACCAGCTTTTGAGTTAGTGGCTGCTCTCACTTCCTATGTCAGTTAGTTTTTGCTAGATGACACTGTGTAACAAGCATCCCCAAAATTTCAGCAGCTTACAACAACTTAGGTTTTTTTCTCTCTTTATCCTATGCTGGTAGTCACAGCTCAGCTGCAGTTCTGCTCCATACATCTTCTGATTCCAGGATCCAGATTGAAGCAACTTCCTCTATCAAAGACATGGCATTCATGGGTCAGAGGGAAAGAGAAAGAGGGCTGATAAAAACATACAATTATAAAACTTCTGCTTGAACTTGGTTTGCAGTACATTGACTCATATGCCATTGGCTAAAACAAGTCACAGGGACAAACCTGACATCAGTGGGTCAAAAAGTCTACTCCCCCCTCAGAAAGCAGCCCAAGCCCCATTACAATAGTGGAGAGTTGTATGATTCTCTTACAGAAAGAACTGGTGAATACTTGGGAGCATACCTCCAATGGTGGGCAAGTTATACTTTAAGCATTCCCAGGCCTCCTATGATTTCAAACTCATTTTCAATCTTTAGAAGACAGGCCAAGTTAAAGGCTTCTCATACACACTTTGGGGGTGCCAAAGTTCAAAGTTCCTCTTGGAGGTTCTTAGGGTCCATGGGCTCCAACTAAGCCTTGTCTAATGGATTTCCAACAGATACTCCCCTAAATGCATTTAGTTAGACCAGGAATCTATTTATGAGAACAGTAATCCATGGTAATTCATCCCTTTCAGGCATCTTTGTGGCTTTTAGGTATTTTCAGCTGAGAAAATCACAATTTCTGTCCAGAATTGCTATAGCTGTGATAGAGCTCCCATAAATAAAAGCTGAAAGGATACAGAAAATGAGATACGTATGCACCTTTGAGGGGTGGGCCCTTAGGGAATACAGAAATGCTATTACCAGATGATGAAAAGGATAGTGAACAGCCAAAAGTACAAGAGTTTAAAGAAAATCAGTTCTTCCATTTGGTGTCTGAGGTCTCCTCCACACCTGACATATTGCAGGTCTAAGTTCAGAAGTCACCTTCTCCATCCAGACTTCAAACCAATTGCAGCATCATTTTCTAAGTATTATTCTGTTCTTCACATGACTCATCCTCTCCGCTGCTGCTTGGAAGTAAGTTCCCAAGCTGTCCTCCTTTAATTCTTCTATTTAAGCCTAGGGCCCTTTTATTCCTATTCACCAGCACCCCCCAAATCCTATCACTCATATTCTTAGTCTTCTGATTTCCCATTTTTTCTCAGACTCTGCCTTGGAAAAAAAGTGCTGTCTTGGATGTCTCCTCTCTTTGCATGTCTAGGCAAGTATTCTATAACATTCTTGCAGCATCAGTATGAATACAGACAATGCCTTGTTGTAGGCTCACATTGATGTATGTACATTGATATGGTTTGGCTTTGTGTCCCCACCCAAATCTCATGTTGAATTGTGATTCACAGTGTTGGAGGTGGGGCCTGGTGGGAGGTGATTGTATCATGGGGGTGGTTTCTAATGGCTTAGCATCATCCCTCTAGTGCTGTCTCATGACGGAGTTCTCACGAGATCTGTTGTTTGAAAGTGTGTAGCACTTCCCCTTTCTCTCTCTCTCTTCTGCCGGCCATGTGAATATGTGCCTACTTCCCTTTACTGTCTGCCATGATTATAAGTTTCCTGAGGCCTCCTTAGAACCAGAAGCCTGTACACCTTGCAGAATCATGAGCTAATTAAATATCTTTTCTTTGTAAATTACCCAGTCTCAGGTATGTCTTTATAGCACTGTGAGAATGAACTAATATACACACCAAAGGAAAAAAAGCTCACCCATCTTCTTTGTTATCACAAATAACAATAACGTTAGCTATTCATTGAGTATCCTATAATGTTCTAGGCACTGTACTTCATCATATTCATTTATTATATGCAGACATGAGTACAGGAGAAAATATATTATTACCCCAGTTGAAGAGATGAACCAGTGGAGGCTCAGAAAGGTGGAGTGACTTTCCCAAGGTCACAGAAGCTAATAACTGGCAGAGGAGGAAGTCAAACTCAGTTTTACCCAACCTCAGTGTCCAGGTCTTCCTGCTACATTATACTTCCTTCCCCCAAATACTTTATGAAGCAAGCAGTGTGACATGAATGCCACATTGGGCCTGAACAATGCCCATTAAGTAGAACTCACACCTACCTTGTTCTTACTGCACACTTCGATCCACTCAACAGACTGAAGAATGGAAAGGAAGACACTTATTCCTCTCCAGACAATAAATCATTGGCTTTCTATCTGTCACCAGCTTGGTTTTCCAAAGATTTGTTTTTGTCAGTTTAATGAATTATTGGATCACCTGGAAATTGCTCAGAATTAACGTGTGGCTGACGTTAATGGATCTGCAACACAAGTGTCGAGATCTCTCTAACCAGTCCAATCCATCCTTTTATGAGGAGGCCAGCTACCTGGCACAAGGAGATTCATTTATTTTGAGGCTGCATCTGCCCGTTTCTGCAGCGGTGGTGCACAGGCCCCAGGACAAGTCTGTCCAGAGCAAAAATGGCTGCCTCTACACCAGAGGACCTGGGTGGGCACTGCAAGCTGCCTCAGCCCTGCCTGTGTGGGCAGGTGAGAATCATAATAAATCTTACAATTTGCGACGTTCTCCTTGGTTCTTTTGGAAGCAAGCTTTGAGCTTCTTTTTTAAGATGCATCCTCATGATCCATGAGTCCTCTTAGCTCTAACCCTAAACATATTCTAAATCTAAACAGTTCTCTCTGTCTCTGCTGTTATCAGGCTAGTCAAGCTACTTCCACGTCTTGCCTAAATAACTGCAGTAACCTCCTCCTTATTCTCCATGCTCCCATCCTCACCTTCCAATTATTCAATCTTCATAGAGCAGTTAGAGTGATCATATTAAATATGATAATGACAACCTCCACTTTGCCTAGAATTTCTCAGTGGCTTACCGTTTTACCTGGAATAAAATCCCACAGTCTTCCACATCCTGGCCCCTGCCTCCCTCCCTCGCAGTCTCATCTGGTATTGAGCTCCAGGCTCTCAGTAACATCAATTAAGCAATTAATAGCCTTCTTTCTGTTCCTCCTATATTCCACACTCATTTTTTATTTTGTTTTGCTCATAGCTCTATCCACAGCACATATGACAGAGCATGGCATACAGCAAGTAATTAATATATAGTGATTTATTAATTGGTTATTTTCAAGGTCCTAATAACAATATGGAGAATTGGGAGATGGAAGGATGCTGATTACTGTGAGTGGTTTTTAAACAAAGTCTACCTGTTGGCAATTACATGGTTCCTGTGCTCCCCTACCACCTACTTAAGCTCTGATTTTCAATTTCCAACTTATCTGTCAGTTGACTCTCTAGACCAAGGATTGGCATCCTTCTTTCACTAAGGTCTAGATAGTAAAACACTGTAGGCTTTGAGGCCATTGGATCACTGTTGCAGCTACTCAACACTGCCCTTATAGTGCAAGAGCAGCCAGAGACACTATCTAAAGTTATGGGCCTAATGTGAGCCAGTGAAACTTTATTTACCTGTGGCATGCTGGGTCTGGCACACTAGTTGTAGTTTGCTAAGTCCTGCTTTAGACTATACATTTCTTGAATACCCTAATACATAGTTGGCCACCACTTACTCAGGGCCCGTTGAAGAAGGTCCATTGTGGTAGAAAGAAGAATTTACCCACTGCTATGAAAATCGAGAAAGCCACAGCCTTTCATTTCTGGGACCAGTTTCTGGCATCATGAATACTAGAATCAGGTCTGTATGGCACTGTGGCTTCCCCTACTGACAAACTGTGCAACCTTAGACGTGGTACCAAATCATTCTGTGCAGCAATCTTTTCTTCTACAAAATGGGACTAAATGATCTCTTGGGGTTGTTTTAAAGAGCAAAGAAGGTAACAAAAGTGAACCCAGATGAAATGAGAACCACCCAGCACACACATACAGGCACATGCACATGCATACACACCCTACAAAAACAATTTTGATCATCTGTTTAATTAACAACCGGACTTTTTCCTCTCCTGAGGGTTGTTTACAATCTAGGGGCACCACCATTGAATTGCTCAGGCCAATAGGAAACATTTCTTTGTGATGCTCTTTTGGGTAAGAGGAGAGTGAATAATGAAGCCACTGGCAAAAAGAAAAGATTTGAGGATTAAAAACAAGAAGTTTTAAAGGAGATGTTTATGTTGCGTGGTGTGTGATGTAAAACCTCCCTTCAGTACCATAAGATTGCAGTACAATATCCATTTCTTATTATTACATTGGGGAATTTGTGTGTCTTCAGTGGAGGGTAATCTTCTGAAGAGGTGAATCCTCCTTTATGTTAGGTATGAGCTGAGAACAAAGGCTTCTTTGCCTGGTACAAAGGCTTCTTTTCCTGGAGCTTAGAGGACTCAAGGATGGTAAGGATGCATCCTAACACCTACTAGGTGTTCAGTAAATGATAGTTCCATCCTCATTCTACTTTAATAATTTCATCTTTACAAAAAAAATAAATCTCAGCAATTCAGACTCAGTGCCAAAAATCAGTAAATCCCAGGTACTGGATGTTTACTAAAGGAAGAGAATAATTCAAATGAGGCTTGTCCTGTAGAGATCCCTCAAGGATACACAAAAATGGCTCACAGTTAGCATATTCATTCTTATTATATAAATGGATTCTACTAAAGTGCTGCTTAAAAGCAATTTGGTTATAAGCAGTTTAAGCATTCTCTTTGCAACCTTTTCCCCACTGTGTTCACAGCATCTTTGAGAAAATTTTCCCAAGAGCAGGGGAAACTAGAGATCAGCCCTTGCCTGAATTGTCACAAATTACAAATGAGTAATTGTCCTAGCACTCCTTGGGAGAGAGAAATGAACTTTGAGTTTAAAAACCTGATTTCCAATTGTCATTTTTCCATTTGTTAGCTGTATGATCACGAATAGCTCTGTTCTTCTTTCCTGTTTCAGTATCCTAAATAAATGGAAAAACATCCTGTATTCATGGGCTGGAAGACTTAATAATATTAAGATGTCAATATACCAAAAGAAATGTATAGCTCTTCCTGGCATTGTCTGATAACTGAACTGTGATTCAACTCCTGAATGAAGGTGCTCTAAGAAGTTATTGTCCTCATTGTTACTACTACCCTAATTCTGGACTAAGCAAACACACCCACAAACACATGCATGCACACATATACACATTTATCTTTATTTTTCCTTTTTTTTTGCTAGTGCTTTTGGTATCATGTCTAAGAATCCATTGCCAAATCCAAAATCATAAAGATTTACCTCTGTTTTCTTCCAAGAGTTTTATGATTTTAGCTTTTGAATCTAGGTCACTGATCTATTTTGAGTTCATTCTTCATATGGTGTGAGGTAGGGATCCAAATTCATTTTTGTGCATGTGGAAATTCAGTTGTTCCCTCACCAACTGAGACTATTTTTTCCTCCACTGAATGACTGAACAAACTTAGCACACTTGCCAAAAATCAATTGGAGATATATATATATATATATATAGGAGACATATATATAGGAGATATACATATAGGAGATATATATATAGGAGATATATATATAGGAGATATATATAGGAGATATATATATAGGAGATATATATAGGAGATATATATATAGGAGATATATATATAGGAGATATATATAGGAGAGATATATATATAGGAGATATATATAGGAGAGATATATAGGAGATATATATATAGGAGATATATATAGGAGATATATATATAGGAGATATATATATAGGAGATACATATATATGAGATATATATAAATAATAGAAATATATGTATATATCTGGACTCTCATTTTTATTCCACTTTTCTATATGTTTATCCTTATGTCAGTATCATGCTGTTTTGATTACTACAGATTTGTAGTAAGTTTTGAAACAGGAAAGTGTGAGTTCTTCAACTTTTTTCGTCTTTTTTTAAGATTGTTTTAGTTACTCAGGGTCTCTTGTAATCCCATGTGGATTTGAGGACTAGCTTTTCCATTTCCACAGAAAAAAAGAGGCCATTGCAATTTTAATAGGCATTGCATTCAATCTGTAGATTACTTTCAGTGTATTGACAGTTTAACAATATTGCATCTTCCAATCCATGAACACTGGATGTTCTTCCATTTATTTAAGTCTTCTTTAATTTATTTCTGCAATGTTTTGAGTTTTCAGTGTACAAGTCCTTTACTTCCTTGGATAAATTTGTTGCCAGGCATTTTATTCTTTTAGATGCTGTTGTAAATGAGATTGCTCCCTTAATTTCCTTTTTGGATTGTTCATTACAGGTGTGTAGAAACATAACTGGGTTTTGTATGTTTATCTTGTAACTTGCAACTTTGCTGAATTGTTCATTAGCTCTAATGGCTTTTTTATAGATTCTTTGGGATTTTCTATATATAGGATCATGCCGTCTGTGAACAGAGATAGTTCTACTTCTTACTTTCCAATTTAGATGCCTTTTATTTCTTTTTCTTGTTTAATTACGCTGGATAGAATTTCCAGTGCAGTGTTGAATACCATTGGTGAAAGGAGGCATTCTTGTCTTGTTCCTGATCTTAGGGGGAAAGCTTTTAGTCTTTCACCTTTAGGTGCAATGTCAGCTGTGGGTTTTTTAAAATAAATGTCCTTTATCATGTTGAGGAAGTTCCCTTCTATTCTATCTTTTCTGAGTATTTTTATCCTGAAAGGGTGTTGTATTTCTTCAAATGCCCTTTTTTATATCAATTGAGATGATTATATATTTTTTGTTTATTTTATTAATGTGACATATTAGATTGATTGATTTTCTTATGTTGAACCACCCTTGCATTCCTAGAATAAATCCCACTTGGTTATGACATATCATCCTTTTAATATGCTGTTGGATTCAATTTCCTGGTATTTGTTGATTTAAAACAATATTTTTGATAAAAGTCAAATCCTCCAAAAATCCACTGTAACGATAATAATGGATATTAGCCTTCTCTTTCCTGCCTACATATAATTTGTCTTTATAGTACTATCACTAGACTTTCACTGTGATGATATATTTGCTGCACGGAGGGTAGCTTAGCTAAATAATGAGATTCTGCATCTTTAAATGTGTGTGTGTGTGTGTGTGTGTGTGTGTGGTGCGTGCGCTTTGGAGTCAGAGCTTTGGAGTCTGAGCTTTGGAGTCAGCAAGATCTGCATTCAGCTCCCAGCTCTGTCACACACCATCTGTGGGAACCTGGACAATGTCTTAGCTTTCCTGAGCTCCAGTTTGATCACAGGAATAATTTAATCTCTAGCTCTCAGAGCTGTTAAGAAAAAAAGAGCAGACGAGACACTGTATGTAAAACACTTAGCACACTTCCTAGCATAAAACAGTCTTGATCAAAAGAGCAAATCGCTGAGCTATTGGTATTATTTAGATTTGACAAATTACAAATATGTTTTGTTCATGCGTTTTTTTTCCAGGCAGTTAGTTTTGCTGGGAAGAAACTGCTCAGTTAATACGAGCCTGTGGTGGTGGCTGTGTGGTTGTATCTATCCAGCCAGATGTACTGTGAAAACAGTTTCATCAACTAACCAGATGTGTTCACAGTGAAGACTGAAGGGTTTTTATCCAGATGCTGGTGCAGTTCCTCGGGGCTCAGTGATTTCCTTGCTTTCAACTTTACCAGCCCAGAGAGGGTTTCCTCTTCCTGACCCAGCCTGGCTCCCCCTCCATGGTCTCCCTTCCTGGCTGAAAGGAGTATGCGATTCTGCATTCAGTCACTAGATGGCGTTTGACTGTTTCCAAGAAGGGAGCTTGACTGAGTGGGTGCCCTCAATCAGAGGCTGCTGGAATTTAAGGTCAGGAATTTCAGCCACAGCCTAAAGTCGTGGCCAGATTACAGACCAGTAGGAAGAGAAACTGCTCGTGCTGCTGCTTCGTTTATTTCTCTTCTTTTTCTCAAGAAATGATGCTATGGTGAGGGTAGAGTCACCAAAATTTTTCAAAATACTGATATAGAGTGATTTCAGTATCCATCTATGCGAAAGAAAAAGCTATCTCCTATTCCAGGAATGATGTGGCAACCTTACAAACTAAAGCATGCTCAAACAATCACCATGACAAAAGTTCATCATAGAGGGTGGGACTGCCTGCTGGTTAACAACACCTCTCTGCAGTCAGACTGTCTCCACTGATATCCAGAGGTTTCTACTGGTGACCTACCAGCTGTGTGATCTTGGGCAAGGTGCTTAATCTCTCTGTGCCTCAGTTCCCTTATCTATAAAATGTAAAAATAATAAAACCTAGCTGTGGGCTTTGGGGAAGAATAGATGAGACCATGTACAGAACTCTGAGAATAGCTCCTGGCACATGGTAAGTCTTCAATAAGAGACAGCTATTATTCATTTAGCCAACATTTATGAGAGGTCAGAAGAGTACCCCCTGCCAAGAGTGGTTGTGAGAAGGAAATGAGATAACACAGGCCAAGCGCTTAGAATGTTGCTTGGGACACAGAAAGAGCTCCATCAAGGTGTGCTATCAAAATATTAAGAAGAAAAAGATTACAGGCTGGGCACAGTGGCTCACACCTATAATCCCAACACTTTGGGAGGCTGAGGTGGGCAGATCACTTGAAGTCAGGAGTTTGAGACCATCCTGGCCAACATGGTGAAACCCTGTCTCTAGTAAAAATATAAAAATTAGCCAGGCATAGTGGTGCGTAACTGTAATCCCAGCTATTCGGGAGGCTGAGGCAGGAGAATGGCTTGAACCCAGGAGGTGGAGGTTGCAGTGAGTCAAGATCACACCACTGCACTCCAGCCTGGGCAACAGAGGGAGACTCTGTCTCAAAAAATTAAAAAATTAGGAAGAAAAAGATTTCAGGCTGGGCGTGGTGGCTCACTCCTCTAATCCCAACACTTTGGGAGGCCTAGGTGGGAGGATCACTTGAGCCCAGGAGTTTGAGACCAGCCTGATGAGTCCCCATCTCTATAAAGAAATCATAATCATAATCATACAAATATTAGCTGGATGTGATGGCACACGTCTGTTGTCCCAGCTACTTGGGAGGCTGAGGTAAGAGGACCCCTTGAACCTGGGAGAGAGAGGTTGCTGTGAGCTATGATTGCACCACTGCACTCCAGCTTGGGCAACAGAGCAAGACCCTGTTTCAAAAACAGAAAAGAAAAGTTTACAAAATACTGACATAGAGTATGATTCCATATTTAAATTAAAATATGTGAAGAGATGGAGGAGTGGTATGTGATCTCTTTTTCCTCTTTCTCCTTCACCTCTGCCGCTAATCTGAAGAAGCTTAAATACATACAGTAATGACAGATTCCACCCTGGGGCATTAGAGTGAGCATTTTGCTGGATGAGTGAGAAGGTTCAAGGCCCCCGACAAAAAAAGAGTTTCCTGGTGATGGGATGCCATGCACCTTCACAGCCTGTGCTGGATCATGACCTTTACTAATGACCCAGGTCTCCTGGAGAAGGGGTCTTAACACTTACAGGGTCATGGTGACTTTTGCAGTCTGAGGAAGCCCAAGGACCCCCTTCTTAAAATGATGTTTCTAAATGCATGTGAAATAGACTATATCCGATTTTACAAAAGAAGTCTGTAATCTAACATAAACTATCTGTGGTTACCATAGGTGCAAAGTCATTAATATTGCTGTCAATTTTGCTTATATTCATAATTAACTGAAACGCTGCATTTGAGGTGGAAATTAGTTAAAACTGATATGCACATTTTCCCCATCCAAGTCACACAGCCCTGAATTTTATGCACAGGTCTTCTGGGTCAGGGAGCCCCGGGTAAAGAACCTTGGTAGGACAAAAACATAGTATTCCTACCACCTTAGGCAAGCTGTCTGAGTACTCGAGATTGTGCTGTTTATTTCAGGAACAACAGACGTTCCATTATGCTCCTTAAAATCTAAGTGAATTGATTCAGAACAAATAGCTTATCACCTTTTTTTAATTATGAGATTGAGGAAAACTACAACTGCACCTTATGTTGAGGGAAAAAAATCCATCTAGCTGACATTGGAGGGTATCAACAGCTGACTTTTTTTTCCTAATACAGCTATTCAATATAAAGCAAATTGGTTTAGATGATCAATGGGAAAGAATACTGTTTTAGGGCTTAACGGGAACAATTTCTCCTTCCCTTAAAAAGTTCTCAGTTCACAACTGGATTGATGTGCCTCTTATAAACCAGTTTGAAAGTAGTGTCACATTGCTTTTCATTTAAAAAATAAAATAAAAACCTTTCCTGAAACTTTAGGTCCCATGTGTGTATGTGCGTATGTGTGTGTGTACACATGTATGCATATATGCACATTTTATCCCAGAATTCCAAGACTAAGATAAATCATTCCATACTGGATAGAGAAAGCCTTTTTGAGATTGTTTCCAGCAAGAAACAGCTAGAACAGGGGGAGAATACAACAGGCTAGAGAGAGAAAGAAGGTAAAAAGATACCTTCTCCCTGGCTCCCTTGAAACAAATGTGTTTTCTTATTTATCTTCCTTTGTGAGATCAGTTATGGTAATTTTGTACTATCAGGGGAACTGCCCTTAGAACATTTATCCCAGTTTCAAGGAGTTCAAGGATCAAAAAAATAAAAAGGATTATAGAATGTTCCTCCTTTGATTTTTCCCCACCTATGATCACCTTTTGCTTCTCAAAGCAGAGCCCAGAATATACTTATTTCCCAGCATACCCGCAGCACATGCCCAATGCAAACACTTCTCCTTAAAAGAATCTCTATAATAATCCTTAGCTAACAATTTGATAAAGTAAGGGCATATCAGAACAGCCTGGTCTAAGGTTGAGCTATGATCATTTCAACACAAAACCAAGCCAAGAGTTTGATTGGTCAAAACAGCCAATTCTAAGGAAAGAAAAAGGAAAAGAACTACCTATTAGGGTAAAGAATCCACATCTCATCCCTTAAGCAGAAGCTGTTGGTGCCTTTCAGTGTTATCTTCCAGGACAGTCTAAACAACATGGAAAGCTTCACTGAATTTAGATCAAGAAATTTTGTTTACAGGTGTTTGACTCATATGTGTCTACAGTTGTGTGTGTGTTTACATGTTTATTTCTTACATTGTATGTGTTTGCTTTTGCATATCTGTGTGTTATATTTGGGTATGTGTTAATGTGTTTATATGGTGGATATACCAATTATGCATTGTGGGTTAAATGACAGGCTAGATACTACTTCTTCTACTGGACTCCAGGATTATGCTTTGCGTGATGTTGAACAAATGCCATCAAAGAAAACTCAGTCATTCTTAGTTGACTCAAGGGCCCTTGATGTAGAGAAAGCCCTGGAGAGGGAAAGCTGAACCCGTGAATCTGTGGAACTTCCTGACCACAAAGTTGAGCTAAAAGAGTTGCAAAAACAAAAATGTTCTTTTACTATTCTCCCAAGCAAGACTATCTAATGGGGTTGAATGCAAATTGGAATGATTTAAGATAAAACTGGACACATGTTGTTGGGTGAATGAATACAAAATGGAAGACTATTGGAAACATAGCTATAAAGGCTGATCCATGTCAGGCTGGGCAGGGCCTTGAATGCCAGGTTGATGCAAATGGCCCTGGGGCACCATCTGTGGCTTTGGTCAAGCTGCCACCTAACAGGAGACAGGCATCCCATCCCCAGGGAGCTCCTGGCACCGGCTTCCTTGTAAACGAGTGTGGGCCTATTATAACAGGTACAGGGTGGGGTAGGGGGTCCTTATGGAAATGAAACCGAGTTAACTTTAGCCCCAATTCTCCATAGATTGCCCAACTTAGACTATGCCACACTTTCAGCTTTTCAAATTGCCAAATGCACATTTCTGTTTATTACTTTATCAGTTCATTTAACACATGTTTGTGATGGGCCTGCCATATCCCAGGCTCTGTCCTAGGCACTGGGGATTGAGTACAGAATGGAATAGACCAAAGCTCTGCCTTCATGGAGCATTCATTGTAATTAGAGACAGACAGATAAGGCACAAGATAAACCAGTAACTTATATACTGCATTCAGTAGGAATAAATGCTTAGGCGGGAAGAAAGTAAAGTAGACCAGGGAGCTAGGAAGCCATGGGCAGTTTAAAAATGTAGGGCTGCCAGGGAAGGTAATTTTCGAGGTGAGATCTGAGGATGTGCATGTATCTGCAGGAGGAGAATTTCAAGCAGAGGAAACAGTAAGTTCAGAGACCCTGAGGTGGGAGACTGTCTGCTATGTTCAAGGGATTATGAGGAGGCCAGAGGGGTTGGAATGGAGGGAACGTTGGGGAGGTGAGGTCAGAAAGGTGATGAAGGGGTTGGGTCATGCAGGGTCATGGAGATCACACCCAAGGCATTGGTTCTCTTTCTGAATGCTGTGAAGAGTGCGCTATAGGGGCTCAGAAACAAAGCTTACCTCCTTCAAACCAGCATCTGGACTTGCATCAACAAAATAAAGACACAGTTGCTGGCATGTTTTAGAAGAGATGCTCAGAGCCAATCGTGGGTGGCAATCACACTGACAAGCTGTAGCAGTGAGCTGGGCTCCCTATTTAATTTCCAGACGGCCTGGATTCAGGGCCTCTTAAAAGGCAGAAGCCAGTTGGTTGCAATCTCTCATCACATTAGAGACTCTGAGGTCCACGTTCAATATCTGCAAGCACTTCCTTTCCCCAGAGGATGGATTTAACATCCATTGTCGATGGAATCCACCAGGCACTGAGAACCCAGAGGGAATGACCAAAAACATCCAAAACTTTGTTTTGAGGGAAGCAGTGAGATGCAGGCTCCCCTTCATCCTACCCTGGTCTGGCTTCATTTCAAATACATATGGATTTAAAAGGAAATTGAAACCACATGCAACAGATGAGTAACTGACATTGAACACCTAGAATGGATTTTGCACAATTCGTTGATATATTTCAGTCCCTTAGATCCAATAACTCTTCTTCCTTCCATCCCTTTCCTTTTAATTCTCCTTCTCCTCTCTCTTCTAAGTATTCATTCTATAGGCAAAGAGAGAGAGCATTTTTTGCTTTGTAGCTTTGTTTTGGTTTGGTTTGGTTTTTGAGTTTTTGGCTCACCTGGCAGTTGACCTGCAACAAGGCTGGAGCCTCCCTCTTCTCACTGACACTGCTTGGATTATCCTCCAAATTCATCCCACTGTGGCTTCTCATTCCGGCCATCCTCTCCCTTGCCAGGATGCAGAAATTTCTTGCCATCTTTCACAATTACAGGCTCACGTCTGCTGGAGTCCCTACAAAAGAAAGAATAAGTGGGACCACTGTGTCTCCCTCCAGGAGGAGTTATAATTTGGCACAGAGAATTTTTATCTTTATTCTGCAAATTGCCTTGAAAGAAATGTCAATTAAAGAAAGGCTGTTTGTTAATAAAGCCCCACAGTATGGAGCAGGCTGATTCCAGCCACAACTTGCTTGCCATGCTCAACTGCTATTTGAAGAAAAATACTTCTTGCATCGGAAGTGGGTTTTGTCATGGTGTATAACAAACATCTAGAAACCCAGAATTAATTCAGTTTGGCATTACTTGAAAGAAATCTGGTTTGAGATGATCCAAGAGCAGTTATGGGTTTGGACTAACCAAACCTGGAGGGTTAGATTTGAGGGGAAAGTAAGGTTGTCCTCGCCAATAATATCTTCTTTATCACCCTAATACCATGATAATTTTCTTTGCTCCTTGATCTCAGAGTGCAAATATATTTATATCTTAGTTTTCTTTTCTTTTCTTTTCTTTTTTTTTTTGATACAGTCTTGCTCTGTCACCCAGGCTGGAGTGCAGTGGCATGATCTCAGCCCACTGCAACCTCCACCTTCCAGGTTCAAGCAATTCTCCTGCCGCAGCCTCCCATGTAGCTAGGATTATTGGTATGCCAATAGGCCAGGCTAATTTTTTTGTATTTTTAGTAGAGACAGTTTCACCATGTTGGCCATGCTGGTCTCGAACTCCTGACCTCATGATCTGCCCGCTTCTGCCTCCCAAAGTGCTGGGATTACAGGCATGAGCCACAGCGCCTGGCCTCATGTTTGTTTTCAATTAAACATTTGAACATTCTTACCAGCGAGATGTTGATACACCATTTAGGACCATCCTCAGTGGTCCTCACACTTAAAGGGCTTATGTAGTCTAAAGGGAACCAGGTGTCTTCAACAATGAGCAGAGAGTACTAGAGTTTGATTGCGCTGTCATTGCTATTGCTTCTTGCAGCCACATGACATCGCTGTTGAAGACTGGTTCTGTGCAGTTCCACCACACTCCCCTTTGTAACCTAAATCCCAACAGAAGTTGCACTTCCTTGGGGTCCAGCATACCCAACAGTGTTTTGTCCTTGACCTTGCAAGATTTTAACTCTAGTACTCCTGCAATCAGTCATTGCTCTCTGGAACACGAGTATGGTATTAGGGTATCTGTGCCTGCTAGAGCTTTCTACATCAGCCAAAATATACCCAAAATATCTCTTCTCTGTGAAAGCATAGAATCTATTGTTGAGCTGAGTACTATAATTATCCTAGGTCTAGAACACGGCTAGGACTCCCTTGTTCTTTCTTCTTATTTCAGGCATCTTGTTGCCCTTCCCTGCCTCTTTGGTTTGGTCAGACCCCCTGGTCAAACTGAACACAACTTGTTAACTTTACCAAGTTCTTCTCAGGGAGAAGAAATGGCAGAGATTTGCTTCCTGTTGAATATCAATCCCACAGACTTACACTTAAGTCACAGAAGCATCCTGGGTCCAACGGAAAAACTACATCTCCCAGCTCCCCTTGCAATAGGAACAGCTAATGAGATGGGAGTGGAGGCCATTCTATGGGGTTTGGGAAATGTCTGTTGGCATCTTCTTTTTGCTTCTATCTGGAGGCCAGACTTAGGCTGGCAACCTTTACCAGGAAGTGACCTTAAGGGTAGAAAGCATGAGGTAAGTATATTGGAATGGAAAGATAAGAAGGGTTTGGGTCCCTGGTGGACAAGGAGCTACTGTATTGTCTCTGGACTGCCTTTAATTCATCTTTTAGCCAGACTTCTCAAACTTTCTTGTGCACATGAGTCACCCAAGGATCTTGTTAAAAATGCAGATTCTGTTTTATTAGGTCTGGGGTGGAGCCTGGGTGTCTGCATTTCTCATAGAATTCCAGGTAAGGGTTACCAGATAAAATACAGACCAGCCAGTTAAATTTGAATTTCAAATAAACAGCAAATAATTTTTTAGTATAAATATGTTCTAAGTATTGCACGAGGCACACTTCTGCTTAAAAATGTCGGCGTAAGTAGGACCCAGTTATTGCTCGGTGAGTCAGCAGGTGAGCTTCCTTTTAGGTGTGGCAAAAATGCATAGCAGCAGGGCCTTAGAGTACATCGGAGCTGGTGAATTTCCAGTGGTTGGAGTTTTTTAGTATAGGTGATAAGGAAAGAAAAAATGTCACTCAGTCTGAGTCAGGTTTTAAAAAAACGAGTCAATGGAAAAGAAAGGAAAAGTTGCATGAGAGACTTGGGCTCCAAATAAGATGCACAGCAGGTGGCTGAGCAGTGGCTGGGGCATTGGTCCAACTAGGACAGAGACTCTCTCTGCATCTTGGGGTTGGTTTTTATCCTGTCTTTGCTTCTGTCTGCCTATATGGCCTGTTCTACTCACTGTGAACCAGCTTCTCCTTTTCCCACTCCTCAGTTTCTGATCTTGTATATTTCCAGATTGCCTGTGGTTTTGCCATTACACCAGCCCCAGTCCCAGTTCTCCTGCAATCACTGGAGCAATAAGGTGTCATAACTGAAGGCATGGACTCTGGATTCACATGCAGGTGCTCCACTGTTGGCACAACCATGGAGAATGCATCCTCCTTTCTGTGCGTCAGCTTTCTTGCCTGTAAAATGGGGAGACGATATCCTGCGTAGGAGTGCTGTGAGCTTGAAATAAGGTGATATATGCAACGGTCTCAGAACAGGGCCGGCACAATGTCAGCACTAAATAAGTGCTAGCTGTTATCACAGCATAGCTTCTGACTTCAAGTTCCCGCAGTCTCTGAGAGTCTTAATTTAAAACCTCGAGAGGAGAAGGATCTGGTTGGTTCAGCTCTGTAAGGCTGCCAGGGCACAGGCTGTGAGGAGGATAATGATGTCTTTGAGAAGAGAAGGGAGACTTCGGTGTGGTGGGATCCCAAAGAACTTACAGCTGACCTTTAAACAATGCAGAGATTAGGGATGCAAACCCCATACACAGTTGAAATTTGACATGTAACTTTTTGACTCCTCAGAGTCTTAACTATTAATAGCCTACTGTTGACTAGAAGCCTTACCAATAACATAAATAGTCAATTAATACATACTTTATATGTTACATGTATTATATACTGTATGCTTATAATAAAGTAAGCTAGAAAAAAGAATTTATTAAGAAACTCATAAGTAAAATATATTTACTACTCATTAAATGGAAGTGGATCATCATAAAGGTTTTCAGCCTTGTCATCTTCACGTTAAATCAAAGAGCAGGAAGAAGAAGAGGAGTTGGTCCTGCTGTCTTGGGTGGCAGAAGTGGAAGAGGTGGAGGAGATGGAAGGGAAGGCAGAAGAGGCAGGCACACTTGGTGTAAATTTTATTGAAAAAATTCAAGTATAAATGGACATGAACTTCAAGCACACACTCCAAGCCTGTGTTGTTCCAGAGTCAACTGTATTTGGGAACAGCACCCTAGAGAGATGCCACTGAGCATTTTGAAGAACACATAGTCCATTTCCAGGTAAGAAGGGGTAAGATCATTCCAGGCAGAGGGAAGACTTCCAAGCGAAGGTAATGAAAAGTGTCAAAGAGCTTGCTGTCCTCTTGGAGTTTCAAGATAGCCCAGAAGTATAGAGGTGCAACGAGAAGAGGATCAGAATGAGAAAAGGGTGAGAAGTCAATAGGCAAGATGAAGAAAGCCTTCTATTGCCAAACTCGGGAGCTTTAACTTCAATCTGTGAGCTAGTGATCCCAGGCTGGAGCCCAGGAACCTCACAAGATCCCTGATTCTTGATCAGAGGTCTGTGAGTTCATATTGAGGACTTTTCTTAGAAAACTTCTGCACACATGGTGAGTGACTTAGGACAAGTCAACATAACCTCTCTCAGCCTCAGTTTTCTCATCTGTCGTATGGCATTAATACTAGTGCTGGCCTTACAGAGTTGTGAGGATGGAATAAGTTATCACAAGCCAAGTTCTTAGAACAGTGCCTGTCACATAGTAGTTGCTCAACAAATGCTAATTATTGTTGTATTCTTTTTATTTCATTGATAGTTTTTAAATTAATGTAGGCATTTTTAGTTTATCTAGGTGGCCTATTTATAACCTGACACTGCAATGCGATTTCAATGCCCATGCTTGCATGTTTATTTATGATACCATTGGTGCCAATTAGTATGTCTTTCAGCATCATGGGTTAATGGGAAAAGATCGGAGGTGGATTTGATCTACAGAGGGTGATTTTGTACCAAGTAAGGTTCAAAGAGTGTCAGGTCATGGTGTTCAAACAAACATATCCCAGCTGGGTCCCGAGTAAGGATCTAAGCCATGTGGGGACCAGAGCATGAAGAAGCACCTCCATGAGAAATAACCCACTTTGCTGCAGCCAACCCAAGGCCATAATCACTCTGCGAGCGGCATTTTAGTTTTGGCAAAACGAACTCATCTGTCCCATTAAATGAATGTTGTTCCTTTGAATTTTATTGGTTCTATAGTCTTATCGTTTTAATTTATAAGTGTGGTTTTACCATTGTATAAGAGCTATTAGCACACAAAGTTTACGCCGAGTTTTATGTTGGCACATACTTAAGCAACAGTATAGTAAAAATAACTGAAGTCAATACCAGGAGTCTGCAATTTGTATTACTATTATTAGTCACATTTGAGAATATGATGGCGGGAGGGTTTAAGTTGGGGCGTGGCATGATTTCGTATTTCAGAAAGCTCTGGCATAGGTGTGGGGAGGATAGAAAGATGGGAGCAAGAGCTGTTGTCTCAGCACATGTTTCTGTAAGAAACCAACAACCTCGTGGAATTAACAATACATTATTTTTTCTGAATCTCTGTATAGGGAGTAGAGTTAGCAACTGTCATGGGTTGCCTGGGACCAGGGATGGCTTCATGAGTGTGTAACTTGTGCAGACACATAGGTCCATAGGTCCCCATGGTCAAAAGGGCACCTTATTTGGTTTAACACCCTGTTGTCACAATCTTGAAAATCTTCATCATTTTTGAAGAAGGTCCCTGCATTTTAATTTTGCACTGGACCCTGCAAATTATGTAGTCAGTCCTTCCTGGACTGAGGAATATCCCAAGACATGGGACATTCAGTGCTAAACTGAGACAGTCTCAGGCAAACTGGGATGATTGGTCACCCTAACTGCCATGCAGGGCCCAGGGCATGAAAAGAACTGGTTATCTTAATAGGATATCTGGCGGTTTTACTCCCAAGTTCCTGGCCACTCCCAGAGGGGGCACCTGGCAAAGAGTTTGTGCTGAAGCCCTAGGCCTAAACAATGTGCCCAGGCCAGGCTCAGGGTGCTGGCCTTGACAGGGTGTCAGAGATGAAGGCTAGGCAGTTTCTAAGGGGGCTGCTTCCTGCAGAGGTGGGGCTAGAGACACCTGGGGAAGCAGCCGAAACTCATTTTGCCTTGAGAAGGAGCCAGCAGGATTAGGGTGGCGATGGCGTGGCTCTTCATAAATTGTTGTGATGCACGGAAGAAAACAGTATTGGGACACGTCCCCTGGCAGGTTTGCTTTCTCCAAGCATGAGACATTCACAGAAATTCCCCGCCTACCTTGAGAAGTCAAAGTTGCTGCTTCATCTGCAGGAAAACCCCAAGCAAGAGAAGGGCCTGGTACCTTCCTAGCCAGCTCTCAAGTTCAACCCGGATTTACAGCCTGCTGCTTATTATTTCAATGAAATTATAGTGGAAATAATTCAATTTCAATTATTTCAATGATAGGCAGGTCAATTCCAGGTCATGGATGAGGTCAGTTCCAGGTCATGGATGAGGCAAGGAAGAGGAGGAAAAAAGTAGCTGATCTGTTAGTTTCAAGGGGCAAGATCCAAGGAAGCTCCAATGAACAGAGATGCCAGGGTCATGGGAAGCAACAGACGTAGAAGCCCCAGGCCAACTACTTCTCTGTCATTGCAACGAAAATGCGTTGCCTTTCCCGAAAGATCCTCTTAGCCCCGCCATGTGAGCCAGAGTCAGTTATCTTCTGAGGTTAGACCAGTCTCTAAAATGGGGATGGGTAACTTGATCCAAGAAATGCTGGATGAAAACTGTGAGAATTTCTACTGAATTTTACTTTCTTTAATCTCATGCTTTCAGTCTCTTTCTTTGGCTTGTGCATTATCATATGAAGAGTATATAATTCAATGTTTAAATATAAAATCAATCTAATACTGGGGTGCCCATTCACTTTTTTGGAGGGAGGTGTTCATGATCGAAAATATTTGGAGACCCTTGGCTCAGAGGCTTTAAGCCTTGAAAGCGAAAGGGGCTTCTCAAGCTGTTTTTTCCTCCCCACAATTCAGCAGACCATGTGCACTGACTATGCGTCAGACATTGCGTAAGAACAGTGAAGAGCCACACGCGTGACCTGCATCCCTCCCATCCCCCCCATCCCCCCAGGGAATCTCCAATTGCAAAAATATTTATTAAGCACTTTGTATGCACTTCCTGGTCTCTTGCATGTCCAATCCGATGTATGAGACCAGGACATGCATAAAAGGTGCTTAATAAATATTTTTGCATAAAATAATGAGGGTGGAGTTTGAAAGATAGGTGAGGAGTTATTGGAAATATACAGAGTGAGAAAGGCATTTTAGGCAAAAGAAAGAATTTGAGTGAAAAATATGGAAAAAATAGTATTTACTATGTGGTTTAGAGAAAAACTTGAGTAATGTGAATGAAGTTGAGGTGGTTTGAATGGCAGATGACTTAGTGAGGAGTGGAGGGAAGATAAAGGAGGAAAGGTATGTTATTGCCTAGAACAGTGCCTGGAGCATGTTGGTGTTTAATAAATATTTGCTGAATGAATGAAGAAGGAGATGAATTAAATGTGACCGTAAATGCCAGGCTAAGGAATTTAAATTTAACTCTAGAAAATGAATAGACATAATAGTAATACTAGCTAGCATTTCTTTCTTTTTTCTTTTTTTTTTTGAGACAGTGTCTCACTTTGTCACCCAGGCTGGAGTGCAGTGGTGTGATCATAGTTCACTGCAGCCTCGAACTCCTGGGTTCAAGCAATCCTCCTGCCTCAGCCTCTTAAGTAGCTGGGACTACAGGCACATAACACCGCATCCAGCTAATTTTTTAAAAATGTTTTTGTAGGGACGGAGTGTCACTATGTTGCTCAAGCTGGTCTCAAATTCCTGGCCTCAGGCAATCCCTCTACCTTGGCCTCCCAAAGTGCTGAGATTAC
Organism: Homo sapiens; assembly: GCF_000001405.40. Lineage (NCBI taxonomy): Eukaryota > Metazoa > Chordata > Mammalia > Primates > Hominidae > Homo > Homo sapiens. Next base: position 17,566,802 of record NC_000016.10, on the reverse strand, counting down.
AGGCATGAGCCACTGCGCCCAGCCACATTTATTATCTTAACTAGTCTTGAAAATGGAGGTGATCTGCCCAGACCTTCACTTTGAGAAAGTAGGGCGATGGTGCATATTTTGGGTTAGAGTGGAGGGACACTGAAGTCCAACACAGTCTCTGCTCCAGTGGAATTAAATTCCATTGTTGGAGACGGTCAAAGAAACATAAATGCACAGAAAAAGAAGAAAATATAATAGACGATCAGGGCTATGAAGGAGAAAACATCGTCCTATGAGATATATAAATATTAGGAATCTATCAAGAATGGGAAGGTTTCCCTGAAGAAATCATTGTTAGGGCAAGAATGGAAGATTTAGAATAAGTTTTCCAGGCAAAGAGTGAGGGAAGGCACTTTTGAGGCAGAGGGACAAGCTGATGCAGATGCCCTGAATTGACAAGGTTTTGGCAAACTGGAGAAACCAAACCAAAATAAAACAACAACAAGACTTATGTGTGGGAACCTTGTGAGTCATATGGGGAGAGTGGCCCAGGTTGAGGCAGGAAGCAGGCAGGGACCAGTTGGGCCAGGCCTGGAAGGTCTTGCCGAAGATTTTGACTCTTATCCAAAGAACAGGTAGAAGTTATGGCAAGGGCTAATCAAGGGATTGGCAAACTTCTATTTATCCTAGATCCCATCTAAGCACATGTGTGCAGATGGCATGTAAGTGCCTGTGTCTAGATGGTTTGTACCTGGACCACAGGCCTGCTTATCTTTCTTTCCTTAGGAGAGTCAGATGATGTGATTTTGTTTGCCAGGAAGAAAACACTAGAGTAAAAGTGGATACACAATATTGATTCATTTTTATTCTCACTTAAGAAGCAATTGAGAGATAGGTGGCTTGAGATTATTCAACAGGTCAGCAATAGCTTCTTAATTATTCTCTTGGTCCTTTCCTCATGGTTACAAGGTGGCTGCCACAGCTCCAAACATCACATTCTTGCATGACAACATACAAAGCAGAAAGAGAGATGGCATCTTTCTTGCATCTCTCCTTTTTTACCAACAGGGGGTGTATTTCCCAGAAACCCCTCAGCAGATTTTCCCTTTATGGAGATGAGGTTACCGGCCATGCCATGGGGAGGCTGGGAAAATGAGTAGCCCCCTTTTCGGACTTCTATTATAGGAGACGGTCCCTGCTAACATAGAATCATTAAGCAGGCAGACAAGAGTGCCTGCCATGCCAGCTTCCTTTTTTTTTTTTTTTTTTTTTTTGCCCAGGCTGGAGTACAGTAGCATGATCTCAGCTCACTGCAACCTCCGCCTCCCAGGTTCAAGCGATTCTCCTGCCTCAGCCTACCGAGTACCTGGGACTACAGGCGCCTGCCACCACGCCTGGCTAATTTTTGTATTTTTAGTAGTGACAGGGTTTCACCATGTTGACCAGGCTGGTCTCGAACTCCTGACCTCAGGTGACTGGCCCGCCTCGGCCTCCCAAAGTGTTGGGATTACAGGCATGAGCCACCGCGCCCGGCCCCACGCCAGCTTCTTGATGGGATGGTTACTTTCTCTGATCTTTCTGAGACTTTCTGATTGAGTCAATGAAAGGAAGTTTCTCTTTTTTGCACTGAAGCCGTGCAGAAACCAAACTATACTCTGAGAGGCAGGCAACATGAACAACTTGAAAGAAGGTATCCGGGGTGTTGGTAAGGCTGTAATCAGGGAAGGAAGGAAGCAAGGAAGGGTTACTCAACATTGCGTTTCACCTCTTCCCAAGTTGCACAAGGGAGATAATTACCCCGTTTTTGGACAGCTCACCGCAGGGGAAAGAGCACTGAGCCAGGAGTCGCAAGGCTTATGTACATGTCCAGCTCCATCCTTAACCAGCTGGGTGTCCTTAGGCAAGGTACCACTTTTTTATAAATGAGACATTTCTGTTAAGAAGAAAAAAGTATAAAATAATATAGCAAACCCCCTCCCCTCTTAAGAAAAGCATCACAGGAACCATGGAGACCCCTAAGTCACTCCCCTAAAGTATCATCCAATCCCTTCTACCACAATTTTGAATTTGGTATGTGTGATTTCTTGAATGTGAGCACTTTGTAATGACATAGTTGTATCCTTAAATAAAGCACAGTAGTGCTTTGTGTTTGTTTTTGCTTTTGTTTTGAGATGGGGGCTCCGTCTGTTGCCCGGGCTGGAGTACAGTGGTGTCATCTCAGCTCACTGCAGTCTTGATCTCCTGGGCTCAATCGATCCTCCCACTTCAGCCTTCTGAGCAGTTGGGACCACAGGCATGCACCACCATGCCCGGCTAATTTTTTTTGTATTTTTTGTAGAGACAGGGTTTCACCGTGTAGCCCAGGCTGGTCTCAAACCCCTGGGTTCAAACGATTTGCCTGCGTCAGCCTCCCAAAGTGTGGGAATTACAGGCATGAGCCACCACTCCCAACCATAGCAGTGTTTTGTATATTTGTAAACCTTGATATAAAATGGTATTACACTAAGGAATTTTCTGGCAATTTGTTTTTTCCTTCACACTTATTGCAGGTGATATGTGCACCTCTAGTTCATTCACATTTATGGCCACACTATTTCAGTGTTTAAATGTTTCAATTTATTTACCCTTTCTCCCCCAATAGACACGTGGGGTTGCTGCCATTTGTTTTGCTATTACAAACAGATACTTGTTTATACCTTTCCCTGCATGCATTATAAGAGACTCTCTGGGGTCTCTCAGTGGGATAACTGCTGTGTGGGAAAAGCATGACATTTTGAGTGAAACACATGAGGTCTGGAGTCCAGTTCTATGACCCTCCAGCTTGGTGACTCTGATGGTTAATATTGTCAACTTGATTGGATTGAAGGATGCAAAGTATTGTTCCTGGGTGTGCCTGTGAGGGTGCTGCCAAAGGAGATGTGAGTCACTGGACTGGGAAAGGCAGACCCACCCTCAATCTGGGAGGGCACCATCTAATCAGCTGCCAACGCGGCCAGAATAAAAGCAGGTTGAAGAACATGGAGAGAATAGACTGGCTGAGTCTCCCAGCCTCCATCTTTCTCCCTTTCTGGATGCTTCCTGCCCTGGAACATCGGATTCCAGGTTCTTCAGCTGTGGGACTCTTGGACCTTTGACCACTGACTGAAGGCTGCACTGTGGGCTTCCCTCCTTTTGTTGTTTTGGAGCTTGGACTGGCTTCCTTGCTCCTCAGCTTGCAGATGGCCTATTGTGAGAGCGCACCTGGTGATTGTGTGAGTCAATACTCCTTAATCGACTCCCCTTTATATATACATCTATCCTGTTAGTTCGGTCCCATTAGAGAACCCTGACTAATACAGTAACTACGGGTGAGTCTTCCAACTGTTCTCTGTCCTGTGTTCTGCATATGTAAACTAGGGAATAATGATGCTTCTGTCGTTATGATAATAACCATTGTGAAAATCAAAATAAATCATGTCCATCAAATGCTAATGGAAAATCTGAGCACATAATAGGTTCTCAGGCAGCATTTCCCCCTTCTACTTTTCCCTCCATTCTTCTCAGTCTAATTATTTATTAAATTGTGACTATTCTTCATGGATCAAAGAGGATAATGTAATAGGTAAAGGCTTGTGAAATTACTGTGTTTATCAAACAAAACCAATCGAATATGCATGCTACCACACAATTCAACATGATATATAAAAGTGCTTTGGAAAGTGAAAACCAACCCTCATTCTTTCATTCATTCATTTATTCACTCATCAGATATTTTCTGAGGACCTATTTTGCATCTAACACTGGACCATCACGAGATTGAATGAACAGGCACAGACAGAGACTCCCTCTTCATGCAAATTGTCAATTAACCAGAGGGAAAAGTAGTGAGCAATTAGCATTGCAACTAAGTGCAAAGTGTGATAAGTGAGAGGAAGGAGAATAATAGCAAATAATAATCTTAGCACTGTGTATCCTGCACTGAAATCATTTTAATCCTCACAACATATGAGATAGGGACTATTATTATGTGGATCAGAGTCCTGGTAGGTAGCAGATGACACTGTCTGAGCCATTACTGAGGCTAGTGCAGCGAAGGGACAATTTACAAAGGTGTGGGCAGGACCCAAGGAAACCAACAAGGGACAGTGAAGCACCGAGGCGCTGGCCACATCAGGGAGCTGTTACCACCCTTGGTGCTGAAGGAACACCGGAGGGACGCTTTCATTAAAAGTAATGGCCAAAGGCCAGGCACGGTGGCTCACGCCTGTAATCCCAGCACTTTGGGAGGCCGAGGCGGGTGGATCATCTGAGGTCAGGAGTTCCAGACCAGGCTGGCCAACATGCGAAACCCCATCTCTACTAAAAATACAAAAATTAGCCGAGTGCATCCTGGGTGCCTGTAGTCCCAGCTACTCTAGAGGGAGGAGAATCACTTGAACCCAGGAGGCAGAGGTTGCAGTGAGCTGAGATCACACCACTGCACTCCAGCCTGGGCGACAGAGTGAAACTCTTTCTCAAAAAAAATAAAGTAATGGCAAAGACCACAATTACCTTTGCACCAACCTAATAGAGCCAAGAACACAGCTGTCCATCAGAAAGCTTGAAAAGAGGAACTCAGCGCCACCCAACAGGTAAGCATGTAAGCCCAGGGGATCAATCAATAGTCCCATCTCCTCTCTGCCTGCCTCTCATTGACTGAATCCAGACAGAGGACATGAGAACCAACTGATCAGCCAAAGGAATGTAGAACATGGTAGAAAAGTTGACCAAATAGAGCACATTCCGCACAATTGTTACCCCACTTACAAAGGAGGAAGCTGAGGCACAGAGGAAAAGAAAGAAAGTATCAAGATAAAAGACCAGGTGCAGTGGCTCACGCCTGTAATCCCAGCGCTTTGGGAGGCCCAGGCAGGCAGATCACTTGAGGCCAGGAGTTTAAGACCAGCCTGGCCAACATGGTGAAAACCTATCTCTACTAAAACTACAAAAAGTAGCTGGGCACGGTGCTACTCGTGAGGCTGAGGCACGAGAATCGCTTGAACCTGGGAGGCGGAGGTTGCAGTAAGCCAAGATTGCACCACTGCACTCCAGCCTGGGCAGCAGGGCAAGACTCTGTCTCTAAATAAATAAGTAAATAAAAGGTAAAAGACAATGAGGCAGGGACAACCTCTTGATATTATGATATTATGAGATCTAGGAGGGCTTCCTGGGGAGGTGAGTTGGACAGCAAGAAGGGAACCAGCAGAAGGAAGAATGTTCTGGAGAGAAGGATTTGCCTGTGTCAAGGTCCCATGTAAAGAAAGTTCCAGGTGTGTTGGAGAAAGGAAAATAAGGTTAGAGTGGCTGCAGTGCTAGAGCAAGTTGGAGAGAGGCGCGTGAAAAAGAAAGCACTTATTATTCCAATGGGTAGAATCTGTGCCCCCAGGAGAGTGGCTGGGATGCTCCTCAGGGCTTGGCCCCCTAATCCTTGTTCCCATTCCCAGGAGGCAGACTCCAGGCTGCTTTCTGCTCATCAGGTCTCCCCACCTGTGCCTAGAGTGGCCGCTTCACAGCTGAAGGGTCTTGGCAGGATGCCCCGACCGGATGAACCGGCTGGACTTGCTGCTGGGCCTGGAGGCCCCCGCAACTCTGCCGTCAGTCCTGTGAATGATGAGGATGGCCTAATGGTGCGGAATGTGTTTAAAATGCAATCCAGGTGCCAGTCCTATTCTGCATGCATTACCATTAGGGAGACTCCATCCTCGGCCGAACAGGACTCCCGTATCCACAAGGGCACCACTGACAGTGAGATGGCACTGAAATTGACTTTGGAGGGCAGGTGAGAAGGAGCAGACGGAAGGGAAGCAAGGGCACCTCTACTCTGGGTGCCAGGGGATCACTCCAGGTCTCAAAAACTCTGCTGTTCCAAGCTCCTGCCCATGCCCGCAAGGAGTGATGAACACCTGTGTGGAAAGAACAACGTCTTCTAGCTGGGTTTGCAGGCTGGAACCTGGGTAGGGGCATTATATAATTTACATATATGTTTGTAATAACGTTTACCTCATTGATAATGTTTACCTCATTTATGCCAAGTGCAGAAACTTGAAGTTTACTGAAAACTACAAATAAAACATTACTCACTATGAGTGATGAGATATTCCAGCTGTCTCTCCTTTCCTTCCTTCCTTCCTCCCTCCTTTCCTTCCTTCCTCCCTCCCTCCTTACTTCCTTCCTTCATTCCTTCCTTCCTTCCTCCCTCCTTTCCTTCCACTTTTTTCTCCCTCCTTCCTCTCCCCATCTTATTATCCACCTCTATCAACCCATCTATTTATACATGTATCTAATCACAAACAGCTAATTATGGAGTTAGCACACATTGAGCACCTAATTCAATAAATGATTCTAAGTACATTAACTCATTTCGTCCTCACAAAAGCCCTTTGAGTTAGGCATTTTAATGATTCTCATCTTAAGATGGTGAAACTGAGGCACTGAGTGTTTCTTTAATTTGCCAGAAGTTATCATATAGCTAGTAAGTGAGAGAGTGAAGATTTGAACGTAGGAAGCCTGGCTCCAGACAAAGGCTGAAAGAATAGTATAGTATAATGACCATCTGCGTATCTTTTGCCTTAGATTCAAAATTGTTGACACAGCAATTTCTGCTCTCTCAGGAGCTCTCTCTCTCTCTCTCTCTACACACACACACACACACACACACACACACACACACACACACACACAATGTTCTTCTGAACCATTTGAAAGTAAATTTCATATATCATGATGCTTCACCCCTGATAACTCAGCATGCATCTCCTAAGAATAATACATTCTCCTAAAATTCTGTAGTCTGCTGTTCCTCCATTCTTAACAATAATTTACCCTGCCATTTGACACACCCATCCTGGATCAATTTTTGGAGGGATGTAGTGGTAGTAGCAGTAATAAATGATAATAATACTATCAATAAGAACTATTGGTTGAAAGTCTACTGTGTGCCGGGTACACTGCTGGACACTTAGTCAACAATGTCTTTGATTCATGGCAATTCCAAGAGGTAAGTGTAATCTTCCCAATGTTCCACATGGGGAAACTGAGTCAGAGCCATTCAGAACAAGTTCAAGATCATGCAGCTAAAAGTAGCAGAGCTGGCATTCAGACTTCAGGCTGAATGGATTTCTTGAAACACCCAGGGATCACTGTTGGGCTGGGGAGTCTTTGCTTGTGAAAGGACTTTGTCACAGGGAGGATGTCCCAGCGTTCCCCGACTCATCGCCTGTCCAAACCAGCTTCGTCTAATTCACATTTGAATAAATCCCCATCAGCAGCACTTACAGCAGCATGGTGCTGCTGCTTCAGCTGCCAGATCATGAAAAGCCACTATTTTCCAGGAAGTGGGAACAAGTACGATCAAATCCGTCCCTTTTGAGGCCACAGCAACTGGAATCTAGTCCTATGCTGCCATTCTTATTGTTATTACACAGTTAAGTCACACAGGCAATAAGTGTGTTATGTATTAATACCATATTTCATTAGTTTTATCAATGTAATTGGCTTTAATTTTGCGTTTCAATGTAAATGCTTTTAATTGAGGCATGCATTCCTTAGTCCTCAGTGTCCGTTGTTTGCTGTTGCTCATATGTTTCAGATAAATTCTTCCCTCTCATGGCATTTGCATTCTCAACCCTTAATAACTGCAGAGAGCCCCACCTTCATTCAACTTCTTTTTAGCTAATGACCAGTTAAGCCCTCAGGGAATGGTGGGTCATAGATGCTGGGGCCACTGGGGGAGACTCAGGAGACTGAGCAGGAAAATAATCCCTTACAAGAAAAGAGAAAGAAAGGAAAGCCCACTTTTGCAGAAAGTAACTATCTTCAGCTGAGGATTCTCTACTTCTCACCCTGATTACTGAAACCTGCATGAAGGTAAATTTCAATCCCACCTTCCACTTATCTCTCTTCCACCTTGAAAATCCAGCTCTTTCTGACAGCTGGCAGATGCAAATATCAGACACCCCTCTGCCTCCATGGATTCGTCTGGAAAGTTCTCTGTCACTGCCGCAAGGCCACTCAGAGCTGACTCAGTTTCCCTCCTGCAGTATCTTTTTCATTTTCTCTGACCATGAGTGTAATATTTTTCAGGTCCTATTTGCTGTTTGTTTGTTGTTCTTTTCCTTGCCCCAAGCCCATTCGCTTGTTCCTGGTTGGTGGAGGGAAAGCCAGTCTTTCTGACAGCGGGGTAGAACTAAATAGATCACAATCCATAATGCGACCCTACAGTAAATAGTTGTATTGCTCCGAGCGATGGTGATATGGTTTGGCTCTGTCCCCACCCAAATCTCATTTCAACTTGTAACCCCCACGAGTCAAGAGGGGGACTGGTAATCCCCACATGTCAAGAGAAGGAGGTGACTGGATCACGGGGGCAATCTCCCACATGCCGTTCTCATAATAGTGAGTGAGGTCTCATGAGATCTGATGGTTTTATAAGAGTTTGGAAGTTAGTCCTTTGTGCTTCTTCCTCTCTCTCCAGCCGCCTTGTGAAGAAAGTGCCTGCTTCCTCTTCTGCCATGATTGTAAGTTTCCTGAGGCCTCCGAACCATGCAGAACTGAGTCAGTTAAACCTCTTTCCTTTATAAATGACCCAGTCTCAGAGAAGTTCTTTATAGCAGTGTGAAAACGGACTAACACAGATGGCATCTCTCAGAATGAGTTATAATGTTGGCTGAGGTATTCACAGGGCATATTGGTGTACTGAGCTCCTGCTCTGCAAGTTGTAGTCCACAGGGAGCATTCAGAGCCAAAATACGGTATTTTGCAAAGTTCAATAAGAGATACTTGTGCAGAGTTCTGACGAAAGATTCTTTCTAAGGCTTGCATGGGGCAGGGAGCTTTGAAGATGATAATAATTGCAATAACAGTGAAAGCTACCATTTACTGAGCTCTTGCTGTATGCCAGCACTGTGCTAAGAAGTTGATGTACATAGCTCATTTAACCCTTACAGTGGGTCTCTGAGATGCAGGTACTGTTATTCTGGTTTCAAAAATGAGAAAATTGAGACTCAGAGAGGCTAAGTTATTCCACCCCCAAAGTTTCCAATTCAGTATTTTTCTTGCGGCGGGGGTAGGGCAGGAGACATCTGAAAATGTGCAGTTCTAGCAAGCTTCCTGACGAAGCTGCTGGTGTCGGGGTGCTTTTGAGAACCGCATCTCAGGGTGCTTTTGAGAACCACATCCCAGGGTGCTTTTGAGAACCACAGAGTTACTAAGCGACTGTTTGAGGCTGGTGTTTCACCTGTTCACCTATGTTGAACCTCATCGCAGCCTAGCCAGCTAAGCTTCATTACCCTCATTTAAAATCTGAGGTCCAGGCTGGGCGCGGTGGTTCACGCCTGTAATCCCAGCACTTTGGGAGGCCGAGGTGGGTGGATCAACTAAGGTCAGGAGTTTGAGACCAGTCTGGCCAACATGGTGAAACCCCATCTCTACTAAAAATACAAAAATTAGCCAAGTGTAGTGTCAGGCACATGTAATCTCAGCTACTCCGGGAGGCTGAGGCACGAGAATCACTTGAACCCGGAGGTGGAGGTTGCAGTGAGCCGAGATCATGCCATTGCACTCCAACCTGGGCAACAGAGTGAGACTCTGTCTCAAAAAACTAAAATAATAAAATCTGAGATCCAGAGGAGGGAAACAGGTTCTCAGAAACACAGGTATGTCTGGCTTCGCATCTACTCTGTATAATAAACTGCAGCCACCTTCTGAACAAAAAAGCTTTCATGAACCCAGGGACACGGAGGGCTTCAAAAATGAATTTATAGAGAGGATTCTTGGACATGGCTTTTAAAACTAGTGGGTTAAATAGAGAATCCTGGTTGAGGTTGGCCTGTTCCTCTTGGCTGTCCCAGGGTTATTGCAAGAGCATGAGTCAAGCCTTAGAGTCATTTCTGATGCTTCACATTCCGGTCTGGTATTTTTCCAGGTACAGCTAGAGAGGAAGGTCTTGGACACTTACTTCTACCTGTGTACTTATGGTCTATGGCTCCATGTGCCCCAGGACATGAAATGATAACCCTGTCCCTTTCCTAGCACTGTAAATGGCCCTCTGGTGGACTGAAAGAGTTAATGCAGTTCCCAAAAGCTTTAACGTGGGAAGCACAGAGATTTAGAACAGCCTCTGCGCGTCGAGAACATCTCAGTCCTGGCTGTGTGTGCATTGGAATCACCTGAAGCAGGTGAAAAACACCGATGGCCAGCCTGAATGCCAGAGCTTCTTATGCACTTGGACCGGGAAAATCTAGCCTCCTAAGCATCCTTTATTAAAAAGCATTCCAGGTGAATTCTAAGATTGGCCAGGGGTGATCTGAGAACTGAGGAAGGATGAATCAGAAACTCCTAGAGAGCTTGTGAAAACACAAATTTCAGAGCTCCTCCCTGCAATTCTGATTCACTGGTCTGGGGGATCCAGAGAATGAGCATTTCTAGCAAATTCCCAGGTGATGCTGATGCTGCTGTCTGTGACCACACAAGGATGCTCATTCAAGTCACTTCAAAGAACCAAACTTGGGCCTCTCCAAGTCATGCAGCCAGGGACTGGCACATCCAGGAGGGGAACTCAGGTCTTTTCACTTTGACCTGATTTGCTTTGCTGCTCAGTGTAGAATCTCCTTTTTTTTTTTTTTTTTTTTTTTTTTTTTTTTTTGAGATGGAGTTTCGCTCTTCATTGTCCAGGCTGGAGTGCTATTGCACTATCTATCTCAGCTCACCGCAACCTCCGCCTCCCGGGTTCAAGCGATTCTCCTGCCTCAGCCTCCCAAGTAACTGGGATTACAGGCATGTGCCACCATGCCTGGCTAATTTTTTGTATTTTTTTTTAGCAGAGACGGGGTTTCACCATGTTGGCTGGACTGGTCTCGAACTCCTGACCTTCGGTGATCCTTCCACCTCAGCCTCCCAAAGTGCAGGATTACAGGCATCAGCCACCGCTCCTGGCCCCAGAATCCACATTCTTCTGTTCCGCAGACATTAATTAAAGACCAAATAATCACTTGGGGCTATTCTAGGTGCTTAGAGAATTGGGATGAGAAAGACAGACACATTTCCTGTCCCCTCAGCTTATGGTTTAGTGTAGTGGTCTCAACCAGGAGCAATTTCATATCTGCCCATACCCAGGGACACTAGGCCATGTCTGGAGACATTTTTGATAGTCACAACTAGGGGTTGAGGAGGGCTGCTGCCATCATCTAGTGCGTAGAGGCCAGGGGTGGTGCTGAACATCACAGAGTGCACAGGATGGCCCCCCACAACCAAGAATAATCTGGCCCCAAATGTCGATAGATCAGTAGTGCTGAGGCTGAGAAACCCTGGTGGTGGCGATAAGACACACACAAATATGTAATTACAATCCACAGGGGGAGATGTCTATGATGGAGGAAGTTGAGGATGCTCTTGGCTCCAGAGGAAGGCTATGGCATCTGGAAGGATTCCAGGCAGAGGTCACGTCTAAGCTAAATACCAAAAGATGAGTCAAATAAGAAAGCAAAGAATTAGAGACAGAAAGAGTAATCCTGACAACGGAAACCACATATGCAAAGAGGAAAAAAAAAAGCACCTTTGAAGAGTAGTGCTGGCTGGGGGCAGTGGCTCAGGCCTGTAATCCCAGCATTTTGGGAGGCTGGGGCGGACAGATCACCTGAGGTCAGGAGTTCGAGACCAGCCTGGCCAACATGGCAAAACCCTGTCTCTACTAAAAAACAAAAATTAGCCAACCATGGTGGTGGGTGCCTGTAATCCCAGCTACTTGGGAGGCTGAGGCAGGAGAATCACTTGAACTCAGGAGGTGGAGGTTGCAGTGAGCCGAGATCATACCATTGCACTCCATCCTGGGTGACAAGAGTGAAACTCCGTCTCCAAAAAACAAAACAAACAAACAAAAAGTAGTACAAACGACCAATCTCTGCCAGGCACACGGGCTTGCACCAACCACCATCTCAGCACCATGCAGTCATTAATGCATCTATGGTCACAGCTACATTACAGGGCAAGTACTTCTATGATTCCCATGTTATCGATGTGGCCACTGAGGCCCAAAGAGGTCACATGACTTGCCCCAGGTCACACAGCTGATGAATGGTGGAGCTAGAGTTAGAAGCAGGCACCCTGGCTGCTAGAGTCCATAGCCTCTATCATGCTGCTCCATGCAGATCATAATTCAGTGTAGTGGGAACATGAAGGAAAGGGAGTTGCGGGTGGATGGAGGAATTTGGGGCCAGAGAAGTAGGTGAGGGACCGGCAGACAGGGCCATGCCAGCCACCTAAGTGGCTTAGGCATATCTTAATGGCAGTGGGAAGTCATTGAAGGACTTAGCTGAGAAAGGGACGGAATTTAGATATTTGGAAAATAGCAGAGGTCAAGGAAGAGCTCAGATTATGAGTGAATCCAGGTCGAGAAGCCTTTAAAATTCATTATCCTCAAGGAAACATGGGTTGGTTCCCTTTGTATTCCAGGGAAAGGTGTGAGATTCTAGGTTTCTTAAAAAATCTCCCTGGACATCCCTCCAGCCTCTCTCCCAGCAAGAGTCAGCAGGTCACCCATCAGCTGGGGACAAAATTAGAACAAAGTAGGAAAAAGTGGGCATCATCGCTGCATTTCAGAGGGAGTCTTCTCTGTGGCCAGCCCCTGAGTATTATTTAGCCAGCTCGGTATAGTTAGCTTTAAAATAACAGAATTGTTTAGTAGCAGAAAAATACAGTTATTAGCTCTGATTATAGGGGAATCCGATTGAGCCACGAATGTGATCTGCCTGTTTTATTCCTAACTGGTAATTTCAAACGGCCTCCTTTCCTCAAATTTTAGGAAAGGAGGAACCCAAACCTTGCGAGCTGCTCCGCATTGTTTATCTGTTATTTTTAAACAAATCAAACGGAAATTGATCTGCCTTGTTGGGAACGCAGTTGCTGCCAAATGGCCTGGCTCTCCTACAGGTTTTTGTGGGAACACCATCAGTTAGCCGTGATCGCTTCAATTGTGAATAATCAGGGAACTAATTACGGGCCTCCTGGAGTTGTCCTCACCAGCAGGTAACATAATTCACTGCTAAGTGGGGTGAAAATGAGCCTTCCATGCTTTGGAGCAGGAAGTCATTTACCTTGCTGGACATTTTGACACTTCTCTGTTTCATGCATCCCAGAAGGAAGGAAGCTGGGGTCTGGTGAGCTTCAACTTTGCAGACAGCCCAGCCCATCTACCCATCCCTTCTCCTTCTTGGCAAATACTTATCAAGGACCTAAGTTGTCACACACTTCCAGACGGAGCCTACAGCCTAGCAGGTATCCTAGATAGTAAGTAACTTTAAAAGATCATTTTTGTTGTTTTGTTCTGTTTTTGACAGAGTCTACGTCTGTCACCCAGACTGGAGTGCAGTGGGGCCATCTGGCTCACTGCAACCTCCGCCTCCCAGGTTCGAGTGATTCTCCTGCTTCAGTAGCTCCTGAGTAGCTAGGACTGCAGGCGTGTGCCACCACGCCTGGGTAATTTTTTGTATTTTTAGTGGAGACAGGGTTTCGCTTTGTTAGCCAGGATGGTCTCAATCTCCTGACCTCAAGTGATCCGCCCGCCTTGGCCTCCCAAAGTGCTGGGATTACAGGTGTGAGCCAGTGTACCCAGCCAGCATCCATTCCTTTTTTTTTTTGAGAAGGAGTTTTGTTCTGTCAACCAGGCTGGAGTGTACCGGCATGATCTTGGCTCACTGCAACCTCCTCCCACTGAGTTCAAGCTATTCTCCTGCCTCAGCCTCCCGAGTAGCTGGGATTACAGGTGCCCGCCACCACGCCCATCTAATTCTTGTATTTTTAGTGGAGACGGGGTTTCCCCATGTTGGTCAGGCTGGTCTCAAACCCCTAACCTCAGGTGACCCACCTTCCTCAGCCTCCCAAAGTGCTGGGATTACAGACGTGAGCCACCATGCCCGTCCCAACATCTGCTTTTAAATAGAGATAAATTGCCATTGTTGAACCAAACCAGGTCATGCGGCAAAAAGAGTCAAGATTCAAGGAGTTAAAAGTCTGTCTTAGCCCAGCACAAGTTAGCTTTGTGGTTACAAACATGGCCTGGGGAGGGAGGCAGTGTGGGTTCAAGACCCAGTTCCAGTACTGTCTAACTGTCTGAGCATGGGTCAGGTAGCGTGTTTCCTAAGGGTTAGTTTATTTTTCTCTAGAAGGGAAAAGAACACAGCACTTTCTTATGTTTTGGGGAAGATTGAATAAGACTGTCTATCCACACATGGCTGAATTCCTGATTTGTGGTGGTGGCGGTTATAAGCTGAGCAGGTTTGGGCAAGTCAGGATGTTCCAAAGCCTCAGGTATGAATGGTCCTGACCTTCCAGCTGGACTGCTTAGATAATCAAATGGGCCAGTGTGCATGAAAACCTCTTTACAGCCGCAACAGGCAACACAAAGTACTGTTGCTCCATGTGTGTGTGAAGACGTGGTGCGGAAGGTCTCCTGCTCACAAAGGGGAGGTTTTATGGTTTAAAACAGACTTGCTTTCTAGGCTGCTGCCACATCTTTTGGGATAATGAGTGATATCCTGGGAAACTGGAGTTGGATGCTTTTTGCCTACATTCATAAGGCAGGTTGAATAAAATAATTGTTATGGCCGGGTGTGGTGGCTCATGCCTATAATCCCAGCGCTTTGGGAGGCCAAGGCGGGCAGATTACAAGGCCAGGAGATCAAGACCATCCTGGCCAACATAGTGAAACCCCGTCTCTACTAAACATACAAAAATTAGCTGGGCCTAATGACGTGTGCCTATAATCCCAGCTGCTCGGGAGGCTGAGGCAGGAGAATCGCTTGAACCCAGGAGGTGAAGTTGCAGTGAGCTGAGATTGTGCCACTGCACTCCAGCCTGGTGACAGAGCGAGACTCTGTCTCAAAAAATAATAATAGTAATTGTTGCATTCAGGTGAGCAACTGATGAGTAGACCACTTAGAACTGGTTTTGTTCCAAAATGTGGTCAAATCTGCATGAACCAGAATGCCTGGGGGAAATTCTGATCCATTGACTCTTCTGGTTATGTGAAGTTTTCCTTTTTGCTCTTGCCCTTGTGTTTGAAAGGATTTTCAGAGAACTTGAGTCCACCGTCTTTTTCTGTCAGTAGCAACTAGCAGGGAGCGGAAGATTGGGTGAGTTTGGAAGGTACCCAGCATCACAGTGCTCAGGCTGATGGCTGCTGTCACCACACACGGCAGGACAAGGACACGCAGCAGATTGCTTGTTCAGTGTGACAAAGATGGACCCAGGGACATTTGTACATTTACAAAATGTAATAGTGTGTAGCCAGTAAAAATAGTGTTAGATGGCAAGTGAGGCTGTTATGAGTTACACCGAGTCTCCCCCATCAAAAAAAAAAGATATGTCCTCTGGGTGTGGTGCCTCACACCTGTAATCCCAGCACTTTGAGAGGCTGAGGTGGGCGGATCACAAAGTCAGCAGTTCAAGACCAGCCTGACCAACATGGTGAAATCCCTTCTCTACTAAAAAAAAAAAAAAAAAAAAAAAAAATTTGCCAGGCCTTGTGGTGTGTGTCTGTAGCCCCAGCTACTCAGGGGGCTGAGGCAGAATTGCCTGAACCCAGCAGGTGGAGGTTGCAGTGAGCTGAGATCGTGCCACTGCACTCCAGCCTGGATGACAAGGCGAGACTCCATCTCAAAAAAAAAAAAAGTCGAAGTTGTGAACCCCAAAAATTTGAGACAGGCCTCAGTTAATTTTGAAAGTGTATTTTACCAAGGTTGAGGACGTGCCCGTGACACAGCCTCAGGCAGTCCTGACGACATGTGCCCAGGCTGGTCGGGGCACAGCTTGGTTTTATACATTTTAGGGAGACGTGAGACATCAGTCAATATATGTAAGAAGTACGTTGGTTCTGTCCAGAAAGGCGGGGACAAAGGGACAACTCAAATCAGGGAGGGGGCTTCCAGGTCACAGGTAGGTGAGAGACAAATGGTTGCATCCTTTCGAGTTTCTGATAAGCCTTTCCAAAGGAGGCAATCAGAATATGTATCTATCTCAGTGAGCACAGAGATGACTTTGAATAAAATGGGAGGCAGGTTTGCCCTCAGCAGTTTCCAGCTTGAATTTTCCTTTTAGCTTAGCGATTTTGGGGGCCCAAGGTACTTTCCTTTCACAAAGTCCTAACCCCTAGTACTTCAAAATGTGACCTTCCTTGGAAATAGGGTGGCTGCAGATGTTTAGTGAAGACGAGATATTTCTGGAGTAAGGTGGGCCCCTAGTCCAATATGAAAGGTGTATTAGGGTTCTCTTAGAGGGACAGAACTAATAGGATATGTGTGTGTATATATATATATATATATAATTGATGGACGTTTGGGTTGTTTCCACCTTTTGGCCTTTATAACTAGTGCTGTCATGAACATTTTTGTAAGAGTATTCGTTTGAACACTTGTTTTCAATTCCTTTGGGCATCTACTTGGGAGCAGAATTGCTAGGCTCTGTGATCATTCTTTAACTTTTTGAGATATATATATACATACACACACACATATATACACACACATATATATACACATATAAATATATATAAAGGGGAGTTTATTAAATATTAACTTGCACAATCACAAGGTCCCACAATAGGCTGCCTGCAGGCTGAGGAGCAAGGAGAGCTAGTTTGAGTCCCAAAACGGAAGAACTTGGAGTCTGATGCTCGATGGCAGGAAGCATCCAGCACGGGAGAAAGATGTAGGCTGGGAGGCTGGACCAGTCTCTCCTTTTCAAGTTTTTCTGCCTACTTTGTATTCCCTGGAAGCTGATAGATGGTGCCCACCAGATTAAGGGTGGGTCTGCCTTCCCCAGCCCCTTGACTCAAATGTTAATCTTTTTTGGCAGCACCCACACAGACACACCCAGGGTTAATACTTTGTATCCCTCAATCTAATCAAGTTGATATGCAGCATGAACCATCACAAAAGGTGTCCCATGGGAAGACAACCATGTGAGGACAGAGAGCCACAGGGAGAATGTCAAGTGACAAAGGCTGAAACTGGGGTTATGCAACTGTAAGCCAAGGGGCGCCAAAGATTACCAGTGACCACCATAAGCCAGAAAGAGGCCAGGAAGGATTCTCCTATGGGATTTAGAAGGAAGGTGGCCCTGCAAGCACCTTGATTTTGGACTTCTAGCCTCTAAACCTATAATACATGTCTATTGTTTTAAGCCATTCACTTTGTTTTGGCAGCCCTTGGAAGAAAACACAGAGGCTGTTGATGCTGTATTTCCAACTAAAAAAGCAACTAATAAAGCAGTGTGCAGGCTATGATCCCATTTATAGAAAAGTCGTGATTATGTAATTTTAAATGACAGATCATACAATAAAATAGTAACAGTTATCACTAGATGAAAAAATTGCAGGTTTAAATTTTTGTTCATTTTTAAAGTCTGTTTTCTCACTCTTCAAAATAAATAGATGATAAGTATAATAGGAGAAACAGGTCATGTTTTTGCAAGAGAAATAATTGCACCTGAAAATATGTTCCCCACATAAACATCTTATACCAACAAATGGCATATGGAATTTGCTTCCTAAGGGCTCAGCCTTCAAACGTTCTTTCTCATCCAGATGTGCTCAGACCATGGCTCTGTACTCAGAAAGAAGCAAAGGAAGGGGGATTTATACCCTCTCCTTTTTATAATCAGTACCTCCCCAGTACCATCAGGATGTAATCTACATATGATCTGTCATGACTTAGCCTCCACTGGTATCTCGAGTCTCATTTTCTACTCATAGTGACCCCAGTTGTCAGCTGTCACCACGCCTGCCCACAACCCCTCCACGCACATACCCATGTAGTATTCTGCCTCATTCCTGAAGGGCTCTTGTGGCTTCCCACGTGAAACTCTGCAGTGTCATGCTTTGTGCCTTCACTCACCCTGTTTTCTTTGCTAAGAGTACACTTCCCAGCCAAGTCCCAGGCATCCTTATATCCTCAGCTTAAATACCAATTCCTCCAAGAAGCCCCCCTTGGAGGGCTTACCTCTGCCTTTATTAGACTTTGTCAAGGCCTCCACCCTTACTGTCTTGGCATCTGTGTATCTGCTGTCCCATCCTGGTCACAATTGTCAGCTTTCTTCTCTCCATCCACCACTGTAGTATCAGCTCCAATGAGGGAAGGAAACATTCAGTGGTCATCCCTGCACCCAGATTGACTGGGCCTGGTATTCAGTAGCAGCTCAATAAGTGTCTGTTTCAATTCGCCATTGCAAAAATATGGAACCAGTCCAAATGCCCATCAATCAACAAGTGGATAAATAAATTGTGATATAGAAAGAAATTGTGATATATATACAAGCCATGGAATACTACTCAGCAGTAAAAATGAATGAAATGATGGTATTCACAGCAACCTGGATGGGATTGGAGACCATTATTCTAAGTGAAGTAACTCAGGAATGGAAAACCAAACATTGTATGTTCTCACTCATAAGTGGGAGCTAAGCTATGAGGATGCAAAGGCATAATAATGATACAATGAATTTTGGGGACTCAGGGAAAGGGTGTTGGGGGTGACGGATAAAAGGCTACACATTGGGTACAGTGCACACTGCTTGGGTAATGGGTATACCAAAATCTCAGAAATCACCACTAAAGTATTTATTCGTGTAACCAAACGCTACCTGTTCGCCAAAAATCTATTGAAAAAATTGTAAAAGGTGCCTGTTGAATTGCACAGAAGCCCATGTGATTGAAGGCAATAGGATTGTTGGACTGTGTTATTTAGATGATACATCTTTCAATTTCTGCTTTTGCTCCCTCCAGTCCATCTTCCATATTCCAAAGTAATCATTATAACTTAAATAAGATGAAGCTAGCCCCAGGTTAAAACCCTTACATAAAACCTCATTACTGTTAGAATAAAATTCAAATGTTTGGTCATGGCCTATAGGCCTGCAATGAAAATCCCTGACTTCAGCTCATTAAGTGCTAAAATATTTGTTAATTGATGAAATGGATGGATGGTTGGATGGATGGACAGATGGATGGATGGATGGATGGATGGATGGACGGACGGACGGACGGACGGTCGGACGGACGGACGGATGGATGGATGGATAGAAGGAAAGATGGATAGGAAGATGAATGGATGGACAGACAAACTGATATATCAATGGATTGATGGGTGGATGGGTGGATAGATGGATGAATGAAGGGATGACTTCTTCCTTTCATGTAAGTGTAAATTTATAGAGAGTATAGCTTGGGCATTCATTTGTCTCTCCTTAGAGAAGTGCTTCAGAAACATTCTATAGCAGGAGAAAAGTAGAAAGCACATTTGATTTTTGTTTTTGCCATTACCTCTTTTTTTTTTTTTTTTGAGACAGTCTCACTTTGTCGTCAGGCTAGGGTGCAGTGGCACGATTTCGGCTCACTGCAACCTCTGCCTCCTGGGTTCAAGCGATTCTCCTGCCCCAGTTTCCTGAGTAGCTGGGACTACAGGCACGTGCCACCACATCCAGCTAATTTTTGTATTTTTAGTAGAGATGGGGTTTCACCATGTTGGCCAGGATGGTCTCTATCTCTTGACCTCATGATCCGCCTGCCACGGCCTCCCAAAGTGCTGGGATTACAGGCGTGAGCCACTGCACCCTGCTTGCCATTATCCTCTTTTTGCAAGCATTTTGCTGCTCTGGGACTGAGTTTCCCCACCTTCTCACAGGGAAAGGATTGAAGCCAGAGGATTCAACAAAGTTCACCAGAAATTCTTCACTAGCTAATGACCCTCAGGCAGCCACATTTTGTCACTGGATGCCTCTCTCACCTCCTGTCTCTTTCTTTCCTCCATACTACGGGAAATTCTGGAATACCTTTAAAACTTGATTTTCCTGGACTTTGGTTTTAATTGACAGATGACTTCAGGGTTTCATTTTCCTCCCAGATACTCATCAAAGTGTCTTCCTAAACAAGGCCAATTTGGGCCCCAAGAGAGATTTTCAAGCTAGCTGGCAAGGAAATTTTCTTTTTTATTCTTTCTTTTTTTTTTTTTGAGATGGAGTGGTCTGCCTGGCCTGGATGTTTTATATAAATGGCATCATACCATATATGACTTTGTGTCTGAGATCTTTCCATTAGCAGACTGTTGTCAAGGTTCACCCACATTGAAGCATGTATCAGTTTATTGTTCCTTTTTATGGTGGAATAATATTCCATTGTATCGATATACCATATTTTCTTTATCCATTCGTCTGTTGATGGACATTTGGGTTGTTTCCACCTTTTGGCCTTTATAACTAGTGCTGTCGTGAACATTTTTGTAAGAGTATTTGTTTGAACACTTGTTTTCAATTCCTTTGGGCATCTACTTGGGAGCAGAATTGCTAGGCTCTGTGATCATTCTTTAACTTTTTGGGAAACCGCTGAACTATTTTCCACACTGGCTGCTCCGTTTTACATTCCTACATACTGCCATTGCCTGGGGAGGAGGTGACAATGGTTGAGACTTCATCTGCAGAAGTAGACGGGGGAATGTCAATGCAAGCAGATAGATGCACGATTGTTTAAAGAATCACCTGACCTGAGAACTTCTAGATGTGGTAAAATTCTAAATGTTGGAAAAAAATTGTACAAAGACAGCTGTGGTCTGATTTTGAAGTGAAAGATAGTGGGGAGATTTGAGTCCTGGGGATGGGAACAATTTTTTGGACAGTCTTTGCTCAATTGTTGGTATGTTTTATAGAGTAATAAAATTTCCATTATCATACAAAATTAGCTGGGCCTGGTGGTGCACGCCTGTAATCCCAGCACTTTGGGAGGTCGAGGTGGGTGGGTCACTTGAGCTCAGGAGTTCAAGACTAGCCTGGGCAACATGGCAAAACCCATCTCTACAAAAAAATTAACCAGACATGGTGGTGCATGCTGGGAGGCAGAGGTTGCAGTAAGCCAACATCATGCCACTGCACTCCAGCCTGGGCAACGGAATGAGACCCTGTCTCAAAAATAAATAATTAACTTTAAAAGCACCCCAAATATGGAAATCCATAGAGAAGGAAAGCAGATTAGTTGTCGGTTGGGGCACAGGGAATGGGAGGTGACTGACTATGAATACAGTGTCTCCTTTTGGGCTGATGAAAATATCCTGGAACAAGAGAGGGGGTAGCTGCACAACACTGGGAATGAGCTAAAGCCCACTGAATTGTCTACTTCAGCACGGTTAATTTTATGTTATGTGAATTTTACATCAATTTGTTTTTGTTGGGTTTTTTTGTTTTTTGTTTTTTTTAGATAGAGTCTCACTCTGTTGCCCAGGCTGGAGTGCAATGGCACAATTTCAGCTCATTGCAACTTCCACCTCCCAGATTCAAGTGATTATCCTGCATCAGCCTCCTGAGTAGCTGGAATTACAGGCGCCCACAACCATGCTCAGCTAATTTTTTTGTATTTTTAGTAGAGATGGGGTTTTGCCGTATTGGCCAGGCTGGTCTAGAACTTCTGACCGCAAGTGATTCCCCTGCCTCAGCCTCCAAAAGTGCTGGTATTATAGGCGTGAGCCACCATACCCAGCCCTACATCGATTTTTAAAAATGCAAATCAGTATATGTTCCCTGGTTGTAACTCTCCAGTGGCTTCCCCTGATATCTGAGTTCAAATATTTGTACGAGTTTCTGACCTGTCAGGGAAGTTTCCAGGATCCAGCTCCTGTCTACCTCACATTATGGGCTCTTGTCGCATCCACCTTTAATCACCATGCTGGCATCCAACTGGCCCACCACATGCCTGCCTCCCAACCTTTGTTCTTGTTCTTCCTCCTGCCCGCAAAGCTCTGCCCCAGTCCTTGCAAGGTTTTCTCTCATGGGTCATCAATATCTCCTCAGTGTCGCCCCCTGGTGGAGTTCCTCTTTGACCATTTCACCAACAATGCCTGTTGACCCTTCACCTCATTACTCTTTATAATTTTCCTATTAACTCTTATTATCAGAAATAATCTTATTAATCTCCATTTTTGTAAATTGAAGTGATATTCATATTACCAAAAATAACTATTTTCAGTGTACAATTCAGTGGCATTGAGTCCATTCACAATTTTGCACACGCACCACTGCTATCTAGTTACAAGACACTTTCATCATTACAGAAGAAAACCCCATACCCATGACACGGTCTCTCCTCATCCCCCCTCCATCAGCTCCCAGCAACCACCAATCTGCTTTCTGACTCTACGGATTTACCTATTCTGAATATTTTCATACAAATGGAATTATATAGTACATGACCTTTTACATCCAACTTCTTTCACTTAGCATGATGTTTTCAAGGTTCATGCATCTTGTAGCATGTGTCAGAATGCCGTTCCTGTTCATGGCCAAATAATATTCCATTGTAGGGATATACAGCATTTTGCTCATCTGTTCATCTACTGATGGACATTTGAATTCTTTCCACCTTGTGGGCTATTGTGAATAATGCCACTGTGAACATGTGTATACCATTTGTTTGAGTATCTGTTTTCAGTACTTTGAAGAATGGAGTTGCTGGGTCATATAGTAATTTGGTTTAACTTTTTAAGAAACCACAGATATGTTTTCCACAGAGGCTGAACCATTTTACATTTTGGCTGTATTTTTAATATATTCCCCTCTAGCATCCAAATTTTGTTTACTGCTCTAGTCTCAGCATCCAGAAGACTAGCCAGCACCCATTTGGTCCTCAGTAAATACTTCTAAAACAAAAATAGTAGTAGACATAGGGCCAGGCGCAGTGGCTCATGCCTGTAATCCCAGCACTTCAGGAGGCCGAGGCAGGCGGATCACCTGAGTTCGAGAGTTCGAAACCAGCCTGACCAACATGAAGAAACCCAGTCTTTACTAAAAAAATACAAAATTAGCCGGGCGTGGTGGCGCATGCCTGTAATCCCAGCTACTAGGGAGGCTGAGGCAGGAGAATCGCTTGAACCTGGGAGGTGGAGGTTGTGGTGAGCCGATATCACGCCACTGCACTCCAGCCTGGGCACCAAGAGCGAAACTCCGTCTCAACAACAACAACCAAAGTAGACATAACTCTCCGGCTTATATAACTAAACGAGAATAGCAGTCTGCAGTTCAAAGCAACAGCCCTTTAGCAAGCAGCCTTTACCTGCAACAATATCCTCCCAGTGTAACTTAGGTTAGGCAAAGTTCACTCCCAAGACTCTTTCAAAATATCTCACTTCCTGGAAGGAAATCAGATTTATAGGGAGATGTTTTGGCCAAACTGCAAGTCTGGGGACTCAAGAGAGAAGCTTGGCGGGGGTGTGGACATATCCCATGAACGCATGGCCATGATGACCCGTGCCTAGCTCCACGGAGTCCCCGCCCCACTTTGCCTTCTTTTGTCCACCTATTCCAGGAAAAGACGACCGTACCCATTTTAGGGTTAAAGTCATGGCAATCTGAAATGTCTCCAAGGTGATATTCACCCTCAGGAACCTAATCTCCTGGTGGATGAGAACAGACTTAATAACTCCAGGACCAGAAGCCTGAGCTAATAAGTGCTTTGTGAATCTGGCGAGGGAACAGATCACTTAGTCCAATTATGTTCAAATATGTAGTAAGTTATATCAGTGGTAATGGGTTCAGTATGACAACTTGAGCAGAAACAAAGAGATAGACATTTTATGATTAGATGTTTACTCTGTCTCCATTTCTCTTGGCAGCACCACTCTTCTGCCTGCACACATGTGCATATGCATTCACTCCTTAAATGGAACCATGTGATGGTTTATTCTTCAGAGAGGCCATGAAAAGAATATGGATGCTTTGAAATCAAACGGAACTGCGTTAGGATCCCAGCTCTCTTCCACTAATTAGCTATGTGACCTCAAGCAGCTTACTGTACCTCTAGGAACCTCAGTTTCTTTACTTATAAAATGGGAACCTCAGGCCAGGCATGGTGGCTCATACCTGTAATCTCAGCACTTTGGGAGGCTGAGGTGGGAGGATCATTTAAGGTCAGGAGTTTGAGACCAGCCTGGCCAACATGGTGAAATTCCCGTGTCTACTGAAAATACAAAAATTAGCCGGGCATGGTGGACACACATGTAATCCCAGCTACTCGGGAGGCTGAGGTAGGAGAATCGCTTAAACCCGAGAAGTTACAGTAAGCTGAGATCACACCACTGCACTCCAGCCTGGGCGACAGAGCGAAAATCCATCTCGAATAATAATAATAATAATACATTAAAAATGGGAACCTCAATAATATTTGTGCCACTCACCATGACTGGCATGACACATGTAAGGTGCATGCCTACCATCTGGAGAGTAACTAAGCCTCTTTTCTTTCCCCAAAGAAGCCTACTTGGCAGTCAGAGGAGAGGGCCCAAGGTTGAGCATGATTTTACATTTTTGGAGTGTCATGGTAGCCATGTCCTGGGAGAGCCATCTCCTTGGAAATCGGGTCAATTGCATGTGTTTGGTGATAATCAAAAATCACAAAGAACAACGTGTAACCCAGTAGTCTTTGAAATACCCATTAGCACAAACCGTTAAGGAAAAAGCAAAGATAGCTGTGGCATAATTCACCACTGGATTTCAGGCTGACATGCTTTAATCTAGCTTTTAAATTTTTAATTATGTTAATCTAATTTTAGACATTAATGAGATTGTGGTACACAGTATTTATTTCCATTTCAGGCTGTTTTCTTTCCTCTTCAGTTACCCACTCTTTCAAATAGTTCAGGTCACTGGAGCCAGCCAGCTTTCTCGGCACGATGGGAGTTGCTTTTCAGTGTACATCTGCCTGGTTACTCAAAGTGTGGTCCATGGACCAGCACAGGCATCTCCTGGGGACCCGTTAGCAATGCAAAATATTAGCCCCACTCTAGATCTATAATTTGCACTTTTAAAAGATCCTCCAGTGACTGTTTTTGAGCACAAAAAGTTGTGACAAGTGTGCCATTCAAGGACCCTCTAGATACCATGTGATGTTTCAGTGAACATAGCTGGTCCAGGGGTTCTTGGGCTGTGATGGGCTCCAAACCTAGACAAAACCACCCAGCATCCCTCCAGAGTTTTGGCAGTTGTTTTGTTCCCCCCACCCCACATTTCAATACCTGGCTTGGGGACAAGAGACAACACACCATCCTGACAAATCTAAAGCCCAGAGTAAAACATCAGTCGTTGGTTGGATCTTTCACTGTCAACAGTAGCAGCCACAGCTAAAGGGGCCCTTATAAGAAGCACAGCTCACTGTTGCTCCATGTTGACTTTATGCTGTGTCTCATTCTCAGTACTTTACACATAGCAGCTCATTCAATCCTTACAGCATCCCTGGGATGTACCATTATTAGTCCCATTTCACAGATGAGGAAACTGAGGCTCACAAGTGTGGGTGACTTTCCCAAGATCTCAGCTAGTCAGTCTTAGAAACCAGGAGTCTGAGTTAGAGTCTGAGCTTTGATCAGTTGACCTCAACCAAAATGAGACCCTGATTCCTTTATTTGCAAATATTTACCTACAAAATGCCAGGCCTTTGAGAGGCACTGGGGAGAGAATGATGAACAGAGACAGAGACTTTACCCTTGGGGAGCTTATAGTCTAGTAGGGAAGAAGGACATTAACCAGACCATCACATACACACATACAAGTGTCCTTACAAATGGGGACAATGCTATAGGAAAGGGATACAGAGAGTGCTAAGAATGGCCAGCAGGCAGGAGGATCTGCCTGGGATGGTGTTGGGAAGGCCTCCCTAGATCTTCGAGCTCAGGACTTTGAGCTCAGGGCTCATGGCATTATTAGCTAACAGTGGAGCATGTTAGCTAGTATTGCTGGAACATTCCAGAAATGAAGGAAAACATTTGAAAATACCCTAAGGGAGGGGGTCAATAGGATGTTTGGGGCATCTGAAAGGAGGGGTCCAGGGTGTGAGGGGCTGGATTCAGGTGATCCACAGGGGCCTTGAGAATTCCCTCTCTCCGTCTTCGGACTCTACCTTCCCAGGTTGGCTCATCTCCAGTGACTTCTGTTCTTTTTTTTTTGTTTTAAGGCAGGGTCTTTCGCTGTGTTGCCAGGGCTAGAATACAGTGGCACAATCATAGCTCACTGCAGCCTCAACCTCCTGGGCTCAAGCAATCCTCCTGTCTCAGCCTTCAGAGTAGCCAGGACTACAGAAATGTGTCCTATGAACAGCTGATTTTTTAAATTTTTGTAGAGATGGGAGTCTTGCTATGTTTTCTAGGCTGGTGTCAAACTCCTGGGCTCAAGTTGTCCTCCAGCCTCAGCCTCCCATAGTGCTGGGATTACAGGCACGATGAGGTCTTTTCATATGAAGGCAAAGATGACCCCCACCGTCTCTGATCTTTTATTGGCTTATTACCAACTAAAGGGAGGAGGGTCTTTTCTAATTGTTCTAAGGTCTTTCTAAGAAGGATTCCCACTGGCTGTGCCTATCCCTGGATCAATCATTCCAGCCAGCAGGAGCTAATGCTAAGTTTCACCAGACCAGGGGACCACCTCTGGAGCCCAAGGCATCTTAGGCTCCTCAGAAAGAGTCTGAATGGTGGACTTTTCAGACATCATGGGCATGAGGGAATTGGAGAGAGGGGAGCCCTACAGCTGGCTTCTTGGTACCCTTCAACATTTCCTTTGTAGCCATTCTTTACTCCGTTCCTATGGTCAGGGTCTACTGAGTCATTCTTAGAGGAATTTAAGAGGCATTATAAAGAAGCACTATAAAATGCCCTTGGTTATTTAAAAAATATTGTATTAAATGTAAACTTTTATCATAGAACCCACGCTGGTTTTAGAAATGTCCCATGATAAGGGCAGCATCTTAGAATCAATAAGATGGTACTGAGTGCTCTCTCGGGCATGAGGTCTTGGATGAGGCACCTGGGAAATGTTGAGTAATGAATTCTCATCTGATTTTCCCAGAGTTGCTATCTACCACTTCCTCAGTCCCAGCATTGTTTCTAATAATCATTAATAAGGATATATTGATTGCCTACAGAGGATGGGATTCTGTATCTTGCGGTGGAGGAGAGAAAAGGGAAACAGACAGATAGAAACAGGGATTGACAGAGACATGTAACTAGAGAGGGCAGGAAACCACAAATTCATACAGAGTAGGCTTACAAAATAGTTAAGGGAAATACTCAAACACAAGTGCAAATTATTATTATTATTTTTTTTTTGAGACGGGGTCTCGCTCTGTCGCCCAGGCTGGAGTGCATTGGCAGGATCTCCGCTCACTGCAAGCTCCGCCACCCGGGTTCACGCCATTCTCCTGCCTCAGCCTCCCGAGTAGCTGGGACTACAGGCGCCCGCCACCACGCCTGGCTAACTTTTTTTTGTATTTTTAGTAGAGACGGGGTTTCACCGTGCTAGCCAGAATGGTGTCGACCTCCTGACTTTGTGATCCGCCCACCTCGGCCTCCCAAAGTGCTGGGATTACAGGCGTGAGCCACCGTACCCGGCCCACAAGTGTAAAATTAATTGAGATTCCATTTGTAATGGGATAGGGTTCTTGGGTCAAAAGGCAAGATGCACTTTGACCTGGAATCCTAGGAACTGTGCTGGCCTCCTTACTATGCCTGAGAAGGAGAGGAATGGCCGGGGAACGGGGGGAGTTTGAGATGGAGAAGGGGCCCTCTTCTGGGAGCTTTCTCTTCCCCACTGAAACACTGCAGACAAACTGCAGCCAGCATCCGCCTCCAGAAGGAACGGCCGTGGCCCACACACGTGGCATCTGCAACCAACTCACACGTCTACCCCCGTGCTGTTGTTGATAAGACGTTTACAAATTCAGTGAGAGAAAAATGTGGTCATTTATACCGCAGCGTTGTAAAGCTTGACATTAGTGGAGCTATTGGAGCCTATGAATCACAGAAGGAGGTAAAAATTCAAATGGATATAAATGTCCATTAATAGTGGAAAAGTTAAATAAATTACACTTCATCCACATCGTGGAATAATGGGAAGCTATTATAAAAATGAGATAGACCTCTATGGAGTGCCACAGAAATCTCCCAGAAATGCTCAAGTTAAAATAAAAAAAGCAAATTGCAGAACAATGCATAGAGTCTGATTCCATTTATTTATGGTAGAAAAAATACCTGTGCCTGCAAATGCGCTGATAAAGGATCTATGCCAAGCAAGACCAGTGATTACCTCCTGGGAGGAACTAGTGTGAATGGGATCAAGATTCCCACATTTTCTTTATGTATTTATATTCTTTATATATTTCCTGTTAGAGCCTTTTTCCATGAAAATAAAAATATATATAAATTGCATCACTAACAATGAAAGTTAGTGATTTGGGGCCAGGCACAGCGGTTCTGTCTTTAATCCCAGCACTTTGGGAGGCCGAGGTGGGCAGATCACTTGAAGTCAGGAGTTCGAGACCAGCCTGGCCAACATGGTGAAACCCCGTCTCTACTAAAAATACAACAATTAGCCAGGTCTGGTGGTGTGTGCCTGTAGTCTCAGCTACTAGGGAGGCTGAGGCAAGAGAATCGCCTGAAGCCGGGAGGTGGAGGTTGCAGTGAGCCAAGATAGTGCCACTGCACTCCAGCCTGGGTGACAGAGGGAGACTCTATCTCAAAGAAAAAGAAAAAGTTAGTGATTCTTGGAAAATGGGGAAAAAAAAGTCACTTAATTTCCCTTTGACCTCATTACTCATGTTCTCACCCCAGCAGCGGCAGGGGTCCTCTGGCTCTGACCACAGTGGTATAGAGTGGCTTTTCTGCCACCCTGCCTTTGCCCAGCTAGAATACGCTCATCTCCATCACTCTCCATGCATAAGGTTGTTTTCATGCAGGTGCAAGCAGTGACAGTAAGTCCCGTTCATGGGACGATTAGGCTTCATTCAGAACAAAGGCTTGAAGAAGGTGAGGAATTTGGAGAAGCAGCTTTCTGGAGAAGAGTATTGCATGGAGAGGGAATAGCTGGAGTGAGGGCCTGGTGGTAGGGCCATGACTGGTGCATTTAGTGAACATTCAAGGAACATCAAGGCAGGTGGGAGGTGAGAGCTGGGTAAGGGAGAGAATGAGGTGGGAGGAGGGGTGGGAACCAGATCACCTAGGATCATGTAGGGACTTTGCTCCATTGCAGGGACTTT
The DNA here is from genome assembly GCF_000001405.40 of Homo sapiens. Classification (NCBI taxonomy): domain Eukaryota; kingdom Metazoa; phylum Chordata; class Mammalia; order Primates; family Hominidae; genus Homo; species Homo sapiens. The sequence continues at coordinate 17,537,770 of NC_000016.10, read as the reverse complement.
GGCTTTTCTTTCTTTCTTTTTTTTTTTTTTAGATGGAGTCTCGCTCTATCGCCAGGCTGGAGTGCGGTGGTGCGATCTTGGCTCATGGCAACCTCTGCCTCCTGGGTTCAAGCGATTCTCCTGCCTCAGCCTCCTGAGTAGCTGTGACTACAGGTGCGCCACCATGCCCAGATAATTTTTGTATTTTTAGTAGAGACGGGGTTTCACCATGTTGGCCAGGATGGTCTCAATCTCCTGACCTTGTGATCCGCCCACCTCAGCCTCCTAAAGTGCTGGGATTACAGGCGTGAGCCACTGCATCCAGCCAGGACTTTGGCTTTTGCCTTGAATTCCGTGGTGCCCTGGAGGGCTCTGAGCAGAGAAGCAACATGAACTGGGGGTCTCTGGGTTCTAACAGGGTGGCTCTGGTGGCTGAGTTGAGAAGATAGCAGAGTGGTGGGGGGGTGCTTGAAACCTGGGGGAGCAGTTAGGAGGCCGTTGTAGTCCCACATGGCTGGGGCCCAGGTGATAGAGGTGGAGAAAATGAGAAAGAATAGGATTCTGGATACATTTGGAGGTGGAACCCCCTCCCGAGACCCCTCCACATTTCCTCCACCCCCAACCTCTTTGTTCTTCCTGCCACAAACAATCCAGGTCAAGAGGGAGCCACCATCAGTGTCTCATGCCTAAGCTCAGGACATCTCAGGAGCCTCTACTCAGTTGTTTCTTGAAGTGCTCTCCATTTATTAATGCCAGCTGCTCCCACCTCTCAGGGCATGAAAGCAGGTCCATTAAGCTCAGATTGGCAACCTGAGACTGGGTGGAAGGGGACCACAGGACAGAAATGACAGCAGCAGCAGCAACAGCAGAAAGCAAGCTATTCCATGAGAAGGATCTCTTCTCCCAGTCCTCTCCTGCTGCTATTTTTGGAAAAGCTTCCTCTCTTGAATCCCACATACACCCCCTTAAAGTCCTGGGAGACTTACCTGGCTCCCTCTTCTCATTCAGGCAGGAATCTGGGTTGTTCTTTTTTAAGCCAGTTAATATATTCTTATTTTCATGTGTTCATTCATCTGGCAAATATTTTCTAAGGGCCAGGTATTCCGATAAGCAATGAAGATACACAGTGGGCCTGATCAGTGCAGTCCCTGACTACACAGAGCCTAAACTCCAGTAGAAGAGGCAGACATAAAATAACTAATCAATCCCATAAGCTGTAGAATGTTGTTGGGGTCAAGAGGCAGCAGAGGCTTACAGTGCAGACTACGGAACTAGACCCTTTGCAGAGTGATCTTGGGCAAGTTAGCTAGCCTCTCTGTGCCCCAGTTTTCTCATTTGTGGAACAAGAGAGACTAAGAATGCCTATTCCATAGCTTTGTTTTGTTTTGTTTTTTTGAGACAGGGTCTCACTCTGTCACCCAGGCTGGAAGGCAGTGGCACGATCTCAGCTCACTGCCATCTCCACCTCCGGGTTCAAGTGATTCTTCCACCTCAGCCTCCCCAGTAGCTGGGACCATAGGCATGCACCATTACACCCAGCTAATTTTTCGTATTTTTTGGTAGAGAAGGGGTTTCACTATGTTGGCCAGGCTGGTCTCGATCTCCTGAGCTCAAGTGATCCTCTTGATCACTTAAGTGCTGGGATTACAGGTGTGAGTCACTATGCCTGCCCCATTTGTTGATGGATTAAAAAAATTCACATGTACAAAGCTCTTATGAAAATATCCAGCACGTAGGAAATATCATGTGGGTGTTAGCTACTATTATAAGCATTTAATTCAGACTGTGTTAGTTCCATAAAGGGAACATATAGGGGATGTAGAGCGCCAGAGAAAGTTACAAATGTAGGGCGTGGAGAGCAGTCTCTCCATGGAGGTGAAATTAACATGAGACCTGAGGGAGGAGGAGGAGCTAGGTATGCAAAAGTGTAGGACGAGAGGGTGCAGGGAAAAGTGTTCAAAGTAGAGGGAAGGGTATGAGCAGAGCCTCTGGTGCAGCAAAAAAGGCTGGCCCTTTGGAGAAGTGCAGAAGGGTACATGGAGCCCCATGAGCCAGCAGGCCACGTGGTCCTTCCCCGAGACCTAGACATCAAGAAGCAGAAGACAGTGTACCGACCTGAAATAGCCAATGGCCAGCTGAATGCCCCAGAGGATTCTGACTTGGATCTTTGTCAAGTGGTCCTTCCATAGATTGAGTCTTCGTGAGTCACCACATGTTTTTGGCCTCTTTTCCTGGCCAATCATTTCCCCTGGGAATTTGGAGTTGGACTTGGTTGTTCTTGCCAGTTTTTTGGGGGCACTAGTACTGAGAGGACATAAAAATGGGGTGGCCACCTTTGGGTCTTTGGGTTGTGGGCAAGAGAGGCAGAAAAGGTCACTCTGCAAAGGAAGAAACGAAGCGAACTAGCTGAAAGCACCAGAGCAGAGAGAGGGAAGAGTTGCCTTGGACCCTAATAGGTCCAGTTTCTGATTCTAGACCCTGTGAGCCCAACTATACTATCTGTCTGTGTGCTCCAGGAAGTACGCTTGAATACTTCCAATAAAGCTTGGACTGATTTGAGTCAGTTTCTTGGGCTTACAACCAAACACCCCTGAGAAACCCGTTCATTTCCTTGACCATTCCATGACATGTCAAGACAGGAGCCATTACATTGTTGAACTTCCCAGGTCTGGGTGGTGGACACAAAATTTCACAAATGGTCTGTACAATCTTCCACTTTCATGAACCCTTTCAGGTAGAAAATTCTCATCAGCAAACATGGGTGCATTCCAATAAAGAAGAAAGCCCAGCTCAATATGTTAGCCCTTTGTACACAGGTCTGTACACATAGCAGTAGTTTAGGTGGTTTATCCTTAGAATTTCTGCATATCTGAGCATCTAGGTGAAATGTGACTCGAACATTTGAAGGCACATAGATCCCTTGGACACGGTAAGGGCAGATCTATCCACAAAGTGGCACTTAAGGATTTTTTTAAAAACGTACGTTCTTGATTGATTCACTGGGAAACTAATAATAGTCAATATTTATTGATTAATTATTACATGTTAGAAGTCATGTTGAGTGCTTGACATGAATGAACTTATTCAATTATCCTTACAGTCCTGTGAAATAGGTATTATTATCCCTATTTGCAGATTTAAAAACTGAGACATTGCAAGATTAAAGAACTTACCCAAGGGCATTTGCTAGCAAATGACAGCACTGGAGTTAAAACTTCACAATCCAGGCTGTGCGTGGTGGCTCATGCCTGTAATCCCAGCACTTTGGGAGGCCGAGGCGGGCGGATCACGAAGTCAGGGGATCGAGACCATCCTGGCTAACATGGTGAAACCCCACCTCTACTAAAAACACAAAAAATTAGCCTGGTGTGGTGGCAGGTGCCTGTAGTCCCAGCTACTCGGGAGGCTGAGGCAGGAGAATGGCGTGAACCCAGGAGGTGGAGCTTGCAGTGAGCCGAGATTGCCCCACTGCACTTCAGCCTGCGAGACAGAGCGAGATTCTGTCTCAAAAAAAAAAAAAAAAAAAATTCACAATCCATATAGCTGGTTCTGTAGCTGATTTCTATAGCATCACGTTTCTGACAGTTACTATTTTATTCCTCCGAGATGCCATAATAGAAAGTCTCTGTCCCCACCTTCTCTGCCACCAGCTCACTCTCCCACCACCCCCAAATATCTGACTAGATATGGCATATCTACCAAAAGTCATTATTGGCATGTGGGGTGGTATAGCCACTAGGAAAATAATTCATCAAGGAGATAAAAATGATAGTTGGCATTTATTTAGTACCTAATGCATACCAGGCTATTCCTTTTGTGTTCATTATTTCATTTAATCATCATCCCTATGAGGAAGATAGATCTCCCCCATTTTGCAGATGATAAAACTCAGACTTAAAAAGATTGTGTGATGGCTGGGCATGGTGGCTCATGCCTGTAATCTCAGCAGTTTGGGAGGCCAAGGGCAGCAGCTCACGAGGTCAGAAGTTTGAGACCAGCCTGACCAACATGGTGAAACCCCATCTCTACTAAAAATATAAAAATTAGCCAGGCGTGGTGGCACGCACCTGTAATCCCAGCTACTCAGGAGGCTGAGGCAGAAGAACCACTTGAACCCCAGAGGCGGAGGTTGCAGTGAGCCGAGATTGCACCACTGCACTCCAGCCTGGGCAATGGAGTGAGACTCCATCACACACACACAAAAAGTAAAAAAAGATTCTGTGACTTAGCCAGCCAGGGTCGCAGAGCTCAGTGATATTTGATTCAACTGGAAATTTTTGGAATATCACAGTCATTCAACCTCATCTCATAACCCTTCACCTATGGTATCCTCATCCATAGTGGGCAGTGCAGAGCAGAAAGAGAATGGCAGGTGTCACTGATGCCCAAACAAACCAGAAATGCAAGAACAGGTGAGACATTGTCCTAGGGACTCCCAGACATGGTGGGGGAGTGATAGTGATGAGCTTTATTTAGGTGGAGATTGAAATTACTGGCATTATAGTTAGAATGGAGCCAGAGAAATATGGCACCATGTCTAGGAGGATCAGTTGAATTTTGTCACCTTCTGGTCCGTTAAACTCTGATTACACACCCATCAAAACAATACAGCTTTATAAACCAAAAATTCATGTAGCACCTATCACGTGCCAGACACTGTGGAGTACAGCACATGCACTAAGAGACAATACGTCCACAGATTTAACTGAATTCAAGATGATGCTATTTAGATAAGAGGGATGACAATAGTGGCAAAGGAATATAAGATGTCTTCACATATTCACATACACCAATACTAAGCTAAGAGCTTTACTGAATCTATTTAATCCTCACAAAACAGACAAAAAAACAAGGCAGGCATTAATACCCTTCAAAGATGAGGAAACTGAGGCTCAGGTTTTTAAAAAATCCTCAAAATCACACAGATGGTAAGCAGTGGTATCAGTTTTCAGGCTTCTACCCATATCTCTCTGGCTCTGAAGCACATGGGTGTAACCACCGTGAGATATTGCTTCTTGTGTTTGTCATATTGTCGTTTTCTTGCTCATAATAGGCTCCAAGTATTCATGGAAAGTTTCCCGTGAGATTTCCTTTCTCACCCCCACGCACCGACACCACTGGTGCAAGACAGCTTAGGAGACAACACTGTCCCTCCTGAAGTCTCCTAAAGGCTCATGCATGTTCTGTAGGTTTCTATGGGTGAGTTTGCTCTGGTTTTTATTTTTTAACAAAGCCATAAATAGTTGATGTGGTGAGGCTGACCACCCAGCCAGCTTCCCTCCACTCTTTGTGGTGGGTTTCACATCCCAATCTCTTAGGGCCAGAAGACATGTTTTAACCTGAAAGAAAATGTCTCAACCACAGAGCTTCTGACATGGGAGGTCCGTTCCTTTACTACGAGGCAGGAGTCAAAGTGAGCAGACGGGAAGGCAGAGAGTTGTGCATATCAGCTGGAACCAAAGTCTCACACTTATGCCCCCAAGCAGGGCTGCATTCCAGACATCTTGTCCTCTTTGGTGGCCAGGAATAGAGAGATAGGGTGGGGTCCATGTCAAGCTTCTGTTTGACAAAAAACAAACCAATTCAGGCTGGTATCAACGAAAAGGAAAAAAAAAGTATTAGAAGTTATTAGTGGCCAGGAGCGGTGGCTTATGCCTATAATCCCAGCACTTTGGGAGGCCGAGACGGGTGGATCATGAAGTCAGGAGATCAAGACCATCCTGGCTAACACAGTGAAACCCCATCTCTACTAAAAATACAAAAACTTAGCCGGGCATGGTGGCAGGTGCCTGTAGTCCTAGATACTTGGGAGGCAGAGGCAGGAGAATCACTTGAACCTGGGAGGCCGAGGTTGCAGTGAGCCAAGATCACACCACTGCACTCCAGCCTGGGTGACAGAGCAAGACTCCAGCTCAAAAAAAAAAAAAAAGGTATTAGTTAGTTCATAAGATCTCTAGGAGGTGGCATAGGGGATGGGACGGTGGCCTCCAAAAAGATATGACCATGTCCTAATCCCTGAAATCTGTAAATGTGGCTTTATTTGGCAAATGGGGTCTTTACAGATGGAAATAATTTAAAGGCCCTGAGATGAGGAAATCATTCTGGATTATCCACGTGAACCCTGAATCCAATGACAAGTGTCCTAAGAGCGAAGCAGAAGTCATTATATGAAATAGACACTTGCACATGCATGTTTATAGCAGCACAGTTCACAATTGCAAAAATATAAAACCAGCCTAAATGCCCATCAACCAACAAGTGGATAAAGAAAATGTGGTATATATAGATACTGTGGAATACTACTCAGCCATAAAGAGGGACAAAATAATGGCACTCACGACAATCTGGATGGAGTTAGAGACCATTATTTTAAATGAAGTAACTCGCGAATGGAAAACCAAATATTGTATGTTCTTACTCATAAGTGGGAGCTAAGCTATGAGGATGCAAAAGCATAGAAATGATACAGTAGACTTTGGGGACTTGGGGGTACATGGGGAGGGGGGTGAGGGATAAAAGACTACACACTGGTTACAGTTACACTACTCAGGTGCACAAAAATCTCAGAAATCACTACTTAAGAACTTTTCTTTCTCTTTCTCTCTCTCTTTTTTTTTTTTTTGGAGACAGAGTCTTGCTCTGTCACCCAGGCTAGGGTGCACTGGCCCAATTTCAGCTTACTGCAACCTCTGCCTCCTGGGTTTCAAGTGATTCTAGTGCCTCAGCCTCCTGAGTAGCTGCGATTACAGGTGCATGCAACCACGCCTGGATATTTTTTTTTTTTTTTTGTATTTTTAGTAGAGATAGGGTTTCACCATGTTGGCCAGGCTGGTCTTGAACTCTTCCCCTCAAGTGATCTGCCCACCTCAGCCTCCCGAAGTGCTGAGATTACAGGCGTGAGCCACCACACCCAGCCCACCACTAAAGAACTTTTCCATGCAACCAAACACTACACGTTTCCCCAAAACTATTGAAATAAAAGTAAATATTTTAAAAAATAAATAAAAATGAGATTTTTTAAAAAGTGAAACAGAAAGAGTCTTAATACCATCAGAAGAGAAGACATAGAGAAGAGAAGGAAGCCTGACCATGCAGGTAGCAATGAGAGTGATGCAGCCAGAATTCAAGGAATGCCAGCAGCCACCAGCAGATGAAGAAGCAAAGAAGGAATTCTCCCCTAGAGCCTCCAGAGGGAAAGCCACCATTGAGGGAAATGCCAGCTTCCATGGTGAAGGCTGGAGCAAGCAAGCTGATTGGTGGAAATGAGGTCACGTGCTTTTACCCTAGCTGCAAGGGAAGCTGGGAAAACTGGTATCAGCTTCTGCAGAGAAAGGTGGGAACAGAGACCAGGAGGATTCCCTCAGCATAGGTAGGTTCTGGGCAGTCAAAAATGAGGAGAGATGTTCTCTAGAGGTGGCTAGCAGAGCACATCTTCATTCTGCACTCTGACTCCTCCTATTAGTTGGAAATAACAGGGAATCCCCTGCTTCTCCAAGTCTAAGCAGCTCTGCAGCCACCTTGCTGGGTGAGCCAGGTCTCAGGTGTCTTGCTCCTGTGTTTCATGAACTATCGGTTTTGCTTGCCCAATTCCATTACCGTAGCAGCTGGGTTTTAGTTTTGGTTTTGTTTTTTTCTGAGTTAACTATTCTTTCGTTGTCAGGGCTTGCATCCTGTTGAAGGCTGCTCAGCAACGCAGGCTGTGTTACATGATGTGGCCTCACCACTCTCCCCAGTATCTCTCCACTGCTCCCTGGGCTTCAGCCGCACTCATTTCTCCCACTGCTTCTGGAATATTCCAGGTACCCTGCTCATCAGGGCTGTCGCTCACTTGCTCCCTTCTGCCTGGAATACACCTCCCTTCCACCTGCTATGACTTACTGCCTCATTTGATTCAGCTCTTTGCCCAAATGTCACCTCTTCCAAATGACTTTTCCCAGCTGCTTGATCTAAAACAGTAGCCCCTTCTCATCACTCTTCATCTTTTACCTGCTTTACTATAAAAGCATTTATCACTAGCTAGTATGAATTATGCATTTATTCGCTTATTTTTTTATTGGGCACTTTCCCCCCGCTAGAACACAAGTTCCATGAAAAGAGAAATCTTTATATTTTGCTTGCTACTGTATCCCTCGTGTCTAGAATAATTCTTGAAATGCAGGAGTTGTTCCGCATGTACTAGCGGAATGCATAAATTATATTGTCACTAATAGTTTAAATATTTCCCCTTTTTAACTAGGATTTAGTCATTTCTAGAAAATGATTCTTTCCATCATTCTGCCTGTCTTCCAGAGCCTAGCAGAGTGTCAAACTCATAATGGGCCACAGGGAATATTTATGGGAGGGATGAGTGAATGGGTGAGCACATTTAGACTCTCGTTAAAACCAAACACTTGGCAATAAAATGCAAGATTCTCAAGTTGCGATTTCTTCTAATGGTATTTCCCAACTTTAAGCTGGCATCCAATACAATCATTTCTGTCTTTCTAGAGCTGTACTCACACATATAGACAGCTTATATGGTTTTGTACGCATGGAATCTTATGCTAGTAAGGAGTGATAAACATTTGTCTACTTTGTATGTTTATTCATTAGCACAATCTCTTCCCCCTCCACCAGACAAGAACTGATGTTGAACACCATTCTGTGGAACAGATAAACAGGGATGGTTTTGGCTGGGGGCCCCGGTCATTGTCCACATCACCTACCCTTGTGTCATCACAACTCTAAGCTCTGGGTCTCTCTGGCAGCTTTGGAAACACCTGTATTGAGAAGAACAAGGAGTGTGTTTGTCTCTTTCAGATTCCACACAAATACCCCTTATTCCCTTTCTCTTCTTTTGTTGGCAATGAAGATTCTAGGGGTGTGTCCAGGCTCAGACAGCCTCACGGGAGGTTGCAAGCCTGGGTAGGGGAATGTGAGCAGAACAACCAAGACAGCCTAGATGGAGATTTCTGTCCTCATGGTTTAATTCCCTGTATTTCCTTTTGGCTCAATCTTGGGCCATTAAAGGAAGAGGCTTCATTATATATATGTGCGTGTGTGTGTCTGTGTGTGTGTATGTTTATTTTTATATGTATATATATAATTTATATATATAATCTGCTATGTACTATGTACTATATTACACATTGTATATACTGTGCCGTGTACTATTAGGTTGGCACAAAAGTAATTGCAGTTTTGCCACTTTTATGAGAAAAAAATGCAATTACTTTCACACCAACCTAGTATATTAGAGCATTATGTGGATCTCCACACATTGGATGGTAGGGATGAGTATCATACCTATTTTACAGATGGAGGAATGAAAGTTTCGAGAGATGATCGTATTTACCTAGGACCGCAAAGAGACAGAGACCTTGAAACTAGATTTGACTGTCAACCTCTACCTACAGAGGAAAGGAGGAGTGATCACTTCTTTCACAATCCATTGGTGTTTTTCACCAATTGCTTTTGAGAGTTCAAGATCCACGACCGGCAGCAGAACTCTCAGCCTCATTGGGCGCCCAGGGGCACTCTGGCAGGTCCCTGGGAAATGGTGCCCCAGCCTCTTGATTTATTGAGATTGCAGCTTGGCTGATGGCTGGCCAGCATGAAGTGCGTGCTGATGAGGAGGTGCCGTGGGCCATGTGGGCCTTGGAGGCTGCTCTGCCTGGGAAGCGGATTTTTTTTTTTCTGTCTCATGATGGATGGTGCTGGGACCTAGCCAGACAGTGTCAATCAATCCACAATTCCTGGGGACCTGCTCTGAGTCAGGCACTGTGCTAGGTGCTGGGGATACCCCAGGTTGTATGACAGCCAAGCCTTGCCAGGTCAGCAAATCGAAGGCTAGTTTTAAGCCCCAACTGCCCCTTTGCTAGATCCCTTCACACAGTGCATATAAGGGCAGCCTTGGTCCCTATTCTCATGGAGCTCCATCAAAAGGTGGAAAAATACACAAGCCTACTGAATATGTCATTTTATAAGTATGATAAGGAGGGCATGGGACTGTATAGATAAAGGAAACTGAGCCAGGTTGGGCAGCATCAGGAAAATCTCTCTAGAAATAATGTTTGCGCAACAATCAGAAAGATGAACAGGAGTAAATAATGTGGGTTGTGTGGATGTAGAAGGGGAGACACATGGGCAGAGGCTGGAATCCAAGCTGTGGGAAGAACTTGTGGGAAGCTGCAGTGTGATACTGAAGGTCCTGAGAGAAGTCTAGTGCAGTGGGGGCCCAGTGAGCAGAGTGGAGCGGTGTGTAACCCGAATAAGACCAGGCCACCTATAGTCCAGTCTTCATAGGACATTGTGCCAGAGAGAAACAAAACCCAGAGCAGAGCTAGGAGGGGTGACATGTGTCTTTCCTGGATGACTCTTAACAATACCAGACTAGGGACTCAGCAGTCAAATCTCCAAAATTTCTTCATCAGCCATTTCTTTCCCAGAGTCCTAAGAGCTGCTGTGGAGGAAACAAGGCTTTGACTGTAAATGGAGGATGGAGGAGGAAGGATGTCTGCATGATTCTCCTCTTTTTTGTTTTCATTATAGCTGAGTATTTTACCAACAAATCAGACCTTTCTTGCTCTTTCAGGATCAATCTGCTAATAACCCTCATGGAGTCTGCATGACAGATTCATTTCTCACCACTTCCTCTTTTCCCCATTGTTTGCAACTATAGCAGTGACAGATTATTTTTAAGTGTTCTTTTCTAACCTTTCTCATTAACTTGACATTGAAGGCAGGGTGCTCAGACCAATGTCCCTTCCCTAAGTTCTGGTTTTCCTCTCCTTCCTGCAGAAGATGAGGGAACTATATACACAGGGCCTTGGCGACTGTGTTATACAGATTGGACTTTTTCTTAAAAACAATAGAAAACCAATACAGGTTTGTATTTTTATTTTATTTTATTTCGAGAAGAAGTTTCGCTCTTGTTGCCCTGGCTGGAGTGCAGGGGCGTGATCTCGGCTCACTGCAACCTCCGCCTCCTGGGTTCAAGCAATTCTCCTGCCTCAGCCTCCCAAGTAGCAGGGATCACAGGCACACACCACCATGCCCGGCCAATTTTTGTATTTTTAGTAGAGACAGGGTTTCGCCATGTTGGCCAGACTGGTCTCAAACTCCTGATCTCAAGTGGTCCCCCCGCCTCGGCCTCCCCAAGTGCTGGGATTACAGGTGTGAGCCACTGCGCCTGACCCAGGGTTTTTAAATGTTAAATAAAAACATGTTTCTTTTTTTATACATTTTTATTATATATTGAGAAATTATAGGTGCATATATTTATAGGGTACAAGGTGGTGTTGTGGGTTTTTATGGTTTTTTTTTTGTTTTGTTTTGTTTAGAGACAGTGTCTCGGTCTGCCCCCAAGGCTGGAGTGCAGTGGCACATTCATAGCTCACTGCAGCCTCAAACTCCTGCGCTCAACCCATCCTTCTGCCTCAGCCTCCCAAGGAGCTGGCACTACAGGCATGCAACACCATGCCTGGCTAATTTTTTTTTTTTTTTTTTTTTTTTGTAGAGATAGGGTCTCACTGTGTTGCCCAGGCTGACCTTGAACTCCTGGCCTCAAGCAATCCTCCCATCTCGGCCTCCAAAATTGCTGGGATCACAGATGTGAGCCACTGTGCTTGGCCTGATTTTTTCATACAGTGTGGAATTATTTTAAACAGAGAAGAAATGTGATCACATTTGTGATTCTAAATGAGAATATTTCACCTTTCTCAACTCAGCATGAACTTTCCCCCAAGTCCAGCGGAAACTGTCTTTCCTAACACAGCCGACATCACTTCTCCTAAGTGGACACTGTCACGTGCTTGGCCCCTTGCTCTCTACCAGGTTTTTCAAGCTCAGCACTATTGACAGTCTGGACCTGTTCATTCCATCATGTGGCAAGCCATCCTGTGCGCTGCAGGAGGCTTAGCGGCGTCCCTGGCCTGCGCGCATTAAATGCCAGTAGTATCCCTCTCACTGTGACAACCAAAAATGTTGTTGTTTTTTTCTTTGTGAGGCAAAGTCTCACTCTGTCTCCAGGGTGGAGTGCAGTGGCACGATCTCAGCTCACTGCAACCTCCACCTCCCGGGTTCAAGCAATTCTCCTGCGTCAGCCTCCCAAGTAACTGAGACTACAGGCGCACGCCACCACGCCCACCTAATTTTTTTGGTATTTTTAGTAGAGACGGGGTTTCACCATGTTGGCCAGGATGGTCTCAATCTCTTGACCTTGTGATCCGCCTGCCTCGGCCTCCCAAATTGCTGGGATTATAGGCGTGAGCCACTGCTCCCAGCCTCAGAAATGTCTTTGTATTGCCAAATTGCCCCTGTTGAGAAGCACTGCTGCATGGTTTAATATTCATATTGTTTCTTACCATATCACTTACAATACCATATTCTTCTTACCATGATCATGTAAATGACATCTGTCCAGTATACACAGAAGGCTTGGTGTCTGTGGATATTGACATCTGGGCCCTCTATTTATGCCCTTGAGAATTTGTGTCTTTAATCAATAAAATTCAAGGTTCTTGCTCACCCTTCAATCACATTCTGAGCATCCTGTCGAGCCCTGTCCTGTCTGCCTGGCTGGCCTCCCCTTTGTTTGAAGGGACTGCCTTTTCCCATAGCCTTGTGGGCACCATTCAGAATGCTGTGGTTATATAAAGGCTTGGCCAAAGAGGGCACTGGGTAGCCACGACAAAACAAACACCTATTCCTGTGCTTGGAACGGGTGAGGTCTTTTATGACTTGCTGGAGATGTCTCCTAAATTGTTTGAAATCTTTTTTCAAAACGGACTCCTATATTGTTTGATTTTTTTTTGCAAAATTGACCTTGAACAGAAATAAACTTTGGATGACAAGCGAGAAAATTCATGTTTCTAAAGCAGAAAGTCATCCTGAGAGCTTTCTGAAAGGACGTCTATTGTGTTCACCAGGGGAAAAGGAAGTTCAGGCGTACCCCTGTCTGACTATGTGATTCATCTCACAACCGTAACAACAACAAAAAAAGGCACCAGGCTCGGGATGCTGTATTTCCAAGCTCCCTGTGCTCGCTAATTTCTCTTCAGAAGAAGAGCAGGTGGCCTGGCTGCCACAAAGTACCTAGGAGGGAACTTGTTGGAGTTCAGTTCATTGGAACAGAAATGACAGAATGTCAATTTACCTCCTAACTGCATGTCATCGTCAGGAATCAAATAAGCAATTACATGAAGCTAAATTGAATTCATTTCAGATTCAGATGGACAGCCTGCCCCTAGGTTGCTCCACTGGGGGGAAACAGCCTTTCTAACTGCATATATAACAGCAACCCGTGGGTGGTGGGTTTCTGAGCTATGCAACCTCCATCCTCCTTAGGGCCAGCCTGGCTGAAATTGTCACTGACAGCTTCCCACCTGGAATTTCCATGTCCACCCTCCACATCCCTTGCCTACCCCAAGCCTAGAGACGTGAAACGTGGCAGGAAGGTGCCTCTAATGGTGGAATTTTAGGCATCAGTGTGTGGGGATATGTCCATATAAGATCAATCCCTTTCATCAGTGACTTCTCCTAGGGGCTCCATAGAGCATCTTTTCAATGGGTCCAGCCAGATAATATGGTGATCTTTGAAGTCAAATAAAAGAGGAAGAGGATGAAAGAAAGGCTCGTTTAAAAAAAAGAAAAGTTACTAGATGACACAATGGATTAGCTTATTTAATTCTAAAAGTAACTCTCTGAAATAGGTGTTATTATGTCTCTCCATATTTTCAAAATCTTAGAGATGGTGCTTACCTTATATTCATGTTCTCACTTATGTTTCCTGGCCTTCCTGGATATTAGTCTGGGGCCATGAGACTCATTCTGGTGAATGGACTGTAAGCAGAAATGATAGGTGTCACTTTCTGGCCAAGGTAGTTAAGAGGTCTCCCCCTTCTTTCTCTTATCCTATTGCCACAAACATGCAGGCCACAAGGTCGTCATGGTGCAGTACTGAGATGGAAGATAGTAATGTTAATTGCACTCATATGTTAAAGAGTTTTTAGAAGGCTGATACTTGCATCTTCTCCAATATCCTGCCAAGTTCTCTTCCAGCCTCTTCTTGCACACTCTTAGTGATAAGAAACTTGCCACCTCCTCAGCGTCTTATTTTTAAATTTTTAATTTTTATTTATTTATTTTTGTTTAAATTTATTTTTTTGAGACAGGGTCTCGCTTTGTTTCCCTGGCTGGAGTGCAGTGGCACGATCTCGGCTCACTGCAACGTCCGCCTCCCGGGTTCAAGCAATTCTCATGCCTCAGCCTCCCCAGTAGCTAGGATTACAGGTGTGTGCCACCAAACCTGGCTAATTTTTGTATTTTTTAGGAGAGACGGGGGTTCACCATGTTGGCCAGGCTGGTTTCAAACTCCTGACCTCAAGTGATCCGCCTGCCTCTGCCTCGCAAAGTGCTGGGATTACAGGCGTGAGCCACCGTGCCCGGCCCTCCTCAGCATCTTATACATGGTTGATCTCAGTGTCTAGCAGTCCTCATCCTGTCTTTGGGAGCCACACAGATCAACTAGTGTCAAGTAGTATCCTTGCTCTTAAACCAAACACCTTTCTCAGTGTTTGCACATAGGTTACCTGTCCTGTGTAACTTTTCCTTTTGCCAAGCTTAGTTTTTTAAGTTGTTCCTTTCGTTTGGTTGGTGTTGAGTCCCCTTGCCTCTTATATTACAAACAGGAAAACAGATGCCCACAGAAGGCAAATGGCATGCAAAGCACTAACCGTTCCTTCATGGCAGAACCTGGCACTGCACTGTCTAAGCTTCATAAGGGAGAAGATTGGTATCTGGTTTGCTCACTGTTGTATCTCAGAGCAGTGCCTGGCACATAGTATATGCTTAATTAATATTTGTTGAGCAAATGAATGAACCCAAGAGTCCCAACTCCCATTATTTTACAATGTAAGGAAATAGTCAATCAGAAATTTTAGGCTGAACCTACATCTTAGAACTGGTGGGCACAAAACACTACAATAACACAGCTATAATTCAAATAAGGCATTTATCATATAGTCTTGGGCTTATAAGACATCTAAACTTGGCGCCTATAGTCTCAGCTAATCGGGAGGCTGAGGCAGGAGAATGGCGTGAACCCGGGAGGCAGAGCTTTCAGTGAGCTGAGATTGCGCCACTGCACTCCAGCCTGGGCAACAGAGCGAGACTCCCTCTCAAAAACAAAAACAAAAACAAAACAAAAAACAAACAAAACAAAAAACAAACAAAAAACAGCTATACGTGACCCAAAAAAATCACATATATGTAGAAATTACTAAAGATGGAGGTGAAGACACGTTTGACCACTCCCCCGCCCATTCCCACACCTTCAAACTTTGTTGACCTCTACTTAAGCATTTTTCATGGCAACTGTTTCAGACGCCCTGCATCCCCATTCTCTCCACAAATATTGTGGTAATTTCTAAAGCCTTATTAAGACGCCGATCCTTGGGGCATATTTCAATAGTTTGGGTAATAACTTTATGGATTAGGGCACAGAGCCATAAAAAATGGACCTGGCTTTGACATTAAAATTGTTATTTGCATTCATTTCTGAGATGTAGCTTTATAGTGAAAGTAAACTTATTTCCTGAAAAGATAGATATGATACTGAGATGAAAATGAATACTGGTTAATGAAACCACAGATAAGTATACCCTTGCATAAAATGCCATTGCATTTAGGCAATAATTCACATACATCTGCCTTGCCAGCAATCTCCTATTCCCCACCTGTTGAAGCAACATCTTCCTGAGAAACCTTTAGTTGTGGGGACTGGGTGCAGAGTCCAGCTCTGGCATTAGCTGTTGTGATTCACCTTTTCACAATGTGTATAAATTGAGAATAAGGCTAAATTCATTTATTCATTTACTTTTAACAAAGGAGTTTTAGAACTCCTAAGATATGCCATGCTCTGAACATATAATTGCTTTCTACAACAAAGGGGCAGTCACTAGCTAGCTAGTTATCTGAGTGGCTAGGTGGTTGGGTGGATGGATAGATATCTAGATAGGTGAATGTATGGATGGATGATTGGATGAATGGATAGATAGGTAGATAGGTCAGGGGATGGATGGATGGACAAACACACAGATGGATGGACGAACACACAGATGGATGAATGGCCAGATAGAAAAGATGATGAAGAGTCTTTGCATTTTCAGGATCACCTGGCTTCATTCAGTAAGCCTCACTCTCTATCCATATGTCTTACATTAGTCTGGCCCTATCCTTGACCAGTGGACCCATCGTGGCCAATCAGACCATTGAGATGGATTCATGGTTAGGCAGAGCCCATCAGCTCTAATTCCAAATCTGGAGCAAGCATGGCCTAGAGGGAAGCAACTCTTTCCTACTGGACTTAAATTTGGGAGGGTGTAAGCCTGGCTCTGCTGGCTGGGTGGTGGATGCACACACACAGAGCACACCTGGCTTGGGAGTGAAGCCACCAGAGAGGAAAGCAGAATGGAGTAAATGGAAAAGTAGGGTACCAATGACATGGCTTAAACATCTGAATTCTGCCATGCCTAATGCTAACACCTCAGCTTTTGAATTCTTGTGAGACTTTGTACCTTCAATTTTATTTTTCTTTCAGAGTTTGCAACCACAAGGGCTCTAAATAAAACAGATACCTAAGCCAGAAAAGGATTATTTTGTACTGTGCTGTAGAGGATCTAGAATGAAACCAAGCACAGCTTCCCACTCACTACCTCCACCATGAACACCAGCAGCCTGGGAGCCACGTGTGTTCTGCCTAAACTTTGGGACACAGACCACCACCTAATTTTAGATTGAACAATCTGAAAACTACCTCCATGGAACTACTTCCCAAAGATACCCCAATATTTGCATTTTAGTGGCCCACAAGCAATGCTAAGTTTTTAATCAATGGCCTTCTATTCCATCAAATAGGGGAGCTGGGTTTTGAGAATGTCCTCCCTCCCAGCCAAGGAACTCAATAAAACTGTTTTCACTATGAATGAGCCAAAAGAATGTGGCGAGTAAAACATGTTTATTTTCCCCAAAGCAGTGCTTGCATATAAAAGGTTGCTCAACATTGTTCTTGATAAATGATATCCTCTGAGGGTTCTTCCAGCTTTAAACTTTGTGATTGCATGCAAAGATCAGTGAGAAACTTCTCTTTGAAGCACCATGTAATCTCGCCCTAGCTCAGCACTATGCCTGGCACAAAGGAGGTTCTCCGTGTGTATCTGGTGAATAATGAATGAATAAATTTAGACCTAACCATAACCTTCATCCCCTAACTGCTCAGAAGGGACCCCAGTAGAGAGTAACTTTAAGAGGCAATTAGATTCTAGAGGTATCACATAAAGAAACAATCGCATAGTCAGAATTTTCCTTAAAAGTCCTCTTAAGTCACCCATGCTTTGAAGAAGCAGATAGTCTCTCAATGTGTCCAACACAGTCCATTTTCCGTCTATCTTGAACAAACCACTGTGTTTTGGGAAGAGCATCTGATGAAGAGGTTGATTTGTGTTTAAGGGATCATACTGAATAAAAACAGCTGTCTGGCACCTAGCAAGAGTAGATGCTCATAGTATGAGGGACAAAAGAGCAAAGGAAGGGATCTCTAGAATCAGATTTTCTCAGGCTATGAGTGGGAGGGTGGATGAAATAAACTATATGATTGGAAACTTTCGTCCTCACCTTCCCCTGCCTCCTTCTCCATCTTCATCCCCTCCCTCTCTCCCCACTCTCTCTTTCTCTTGTTCTTGCATCTGCTCACCTCATATTGTATAATTTAAATCACTAACACATGCTTCTGATGTCACTATATTGTATCCCTAAACCTTCACAGGCCAATGAACGTCCCAGGTAAAAGTCACAAAAAAAGAGATCTCTCTCCATCCTCTGATACCCATCCCAGCACAGAACCTTCTATGGCTGATAGAATTCTTTGCACTCATTCTCTCTCCATATTCAGATGATCTTGAGGAAGCAGAAAGATCAGAGGAAAATGCTTCCAGCAAACTTCGCATTAGATTCTAAAACCCTATGATTCATTCCTTTTCCATCCAAATAAAATCCCTGTCTTTACAGTAAAGGTGATGAATGGAAACGGCATCCTCAGAGGTTTATATACGTCTTGCGGACTTTTTCATTTCCTCCTTTCTCTTCTTTCCGTCTTCTTTTCATTTTTGCAGTGCAACAAACTTTCACAATGAAGGATTTTATAGAAAATCCATGTCTGGGGATTTATTTGAGCCTTTGTCATAAATTATGGCAACATAGAACCTGGCTGTTGCTATACAATTCCACATATTTCAACAAGGTGATTACGATAAAGTCCACGACTCCCTTCAGCTGGAGTAGGACTTTTGAGTGTGCAGCTGCTGTCCCAGATATGAGGGACACAAATGTGGATACAAAGGCTTCCTTTGATGAGTTGGCAAAGCTGAGTTTTGGAAAGGAAGGCAGTCTTTTTCCCCCCAAAGAATACTATGTTGAAATAGAATTGTCTTTTTAAAGCCCAGATCAGCATCTATGGAGCATGAAGATGACAGCATCCAAGACTAAAGCGTTTCCCTGGATGAGAAATGACCTCATCCCTTGATTCATCTTTGCAGTTAATATAATGACCTTTAAAATCGAGTTGCTGAGAATTGAACAAAGTTAAAAAAAAAAAAATCAAACAAGAAAGCCCAGAAGATGATAAGGGATTGTTTAAATCCCTGCTAAGCAGGCACTGTGCCACCTATGACCTACCACATAAACCAGAGGAGTAGGCCAGCCACTTTGCTCACCACGTCTGGATAAAAATCTAATGCGAGAATTAAGGATCACTTTGATGATCAGTTTCCATTCTGAGCCCAATCTCTGTGGCCCATCCAACCTTAGAATCAGTCTCTGCCAAAGTCACTGGGGATGCTCAGTGGTCCAGCTGACCATCTCAGGAAGGCTGGGGTCGGTGGTGGAGGGGTGTCCAAAAGTCTCACATTCATCTTTAAATCTGCCCCAGAGCTGGTGGCTCTGACTTTGGGCAGGGTAACTTAATGTCTCCTTTCTTTTAGTATAAAAACCCCAACATTTTTCTCCAAGAAAATGCCCATTCTTCATTGCACATGGTCTTAATGAGAATGTCAATCAAAACATTCTGCCCTTCCTTTGCCTTGGATGGTAAGTGATTCATACTGAGTCAATTAGATACCATCGCACAGAAATGTAAACTTTGGATGGAGTGATTTAAGGGCAGTACATAGTTGGAGCTGATTTCTCCTGACAGTGGGATTCGCAGCAAGGGACCCCCTCCTCCCTGTTTGGGTTCAAAGTGCTTTAATTCCTTACTGCTCAGCCGTAAAAATAAATGAATTAATGGCATTTGCAGCAACCTAGATGAGATTGGAGACTATTATTCTAAGTGAAGTAACTCAGGAATGGAAAACCAAACATCGTATGTTCTCCCTCATAAGTAGGAGCTAAGCTATGAGGATGCAACGGTATAAGAATGACACAGTGGACTTCGGGGACTTGGGGAAAGGGTGGGAAGAGGGTGAGGGATAAAAGACTACAAATTGGGTGCAGTGTATACTGCTTGGGTGATGGGTGCACAAAAATCTCACAAACCACCACTAAACTTACTCATGTAACCAAATACCACCTGTTCCCCAATAACCTATGTAAATAAAAAATAATTATAATAAATGTTCATAAAGTCAAAAAAAAAAAAAAAAACCCAAAACCCAAAGTGCTTTAGTTCCTGTCCTTGCTGGGGCTGGGTTCTGTACTTCTCCTTGGATTCTGGGTGCTTCCCCATGCATACCCTAGTAAGTTCAATTTTTTTTTTTTACTTAAGTGAGCCTGAGTTGGCCTCTGATGTTGGCAAGCATAGAACCAACTGACACAAGTAGCTTAGTGCTTTGCTACTCAAGGTGTGATCACAGACTAATTGTGTCACATGAGAGATTATGACAAATGCAGTATCTTGGGTTTCACCCTAGATCTACTAGATCAGAATCTGCTTTTTTTTTTTTTTTTTTTTTTTTGGAGGCAGAGTCTTACTCTGTCACTCAGGCTGGAGTCCATCTCAGCTCACTGCAACTTCCGGCTCCTGGGTTCAAGCAATTCTCATGCCTCAGCCTCCCAAGTAGCTGGGACTATCGGCATGCACCACCATGCCCAGCTACTTTTTGTATTTTTAGTAGAGACGAGGTTTCACCATGTTGGCCAGGCTGGTCTCAACCTCGTGACCTCAAGTGATCTGCCCATCTCAGCCTCCCACAGTGCTGGGACTATAGGCATGAGCCACCGTGCCTGGCTCAGAATCAGCATTTTCACATGGTTCCCAGGTGATTCCTATGCATGTCCAGGTATGGGAAGCCCTGGTTTAATAGAGAACCATGTGGACTCTGGATTGGAAAAAGCTGCACCTTTATCCTCAGTCTATTTCTTCCCTGGGTCGTCCTCATTTCTTCACCTCCTAAACAATGATACTTTCTCTGCTTCATTACTTTATTTATTCCTTCACTCACTTACCAAATATTTATTGACCCAAAAACGCTATGCTAACAACTGGAGGTAGAGAGTTAAATGAATTGTGAGTTTTTCCCTCGAAACGGTGACAGCCTAACAGAGAAGAAAAAGATGGAAACATCTGTAAACACTGCATACTGCAGTTTTCTCAATTTTTTTTTTTTTTTTTTTTTTTTTTTTTGAGACGGAGTCTTGCTGTGTCGCGCAGACAGGAGAGCAATGGTGCGATCTCGGCTCACTGCAACCTCTGCCTCCCAGGTTCAAGTGATTCTCCTGCCTCAGCCTCCCGAGTAGCTGGGATTACAGGCGCCCACCACCATGCCTGGCTAATTTTCATATTTTTAGTAGAGACGGGGTTTTGCCATGTTGGCGAGGCTTGTCTCAAACTCTTGGCCTCAAGCAAACCACCTGCCTCAGCCTTCCGAAGTGCTGGGATTACGGATGTGAGCCACTGCACCTGGCTTCTCAATTTTAATATAGTGATAGTAATAGTACCTACTTCATCAGGTTTGCTAAGGGTTGCCTTTTTACAAATCCATGTTAAAATGAAGCACAGTGGCTACACATAATAACTGATCAGTAAGTGTTAGATATTATTAGTAAGTATTTCAAGCACCAAGACTGAGAGATGTAATTCTATTGGCATACATTTCTTAAGTGCTTACAGTTGACCAGGTGTGGGTCCAAAATCTTGATATATATCATTTAACTCTTAGATCAACCATAGGAGGTAAGTATTATCAATATCTCCATTTGAGAGAAAAGGAGGCGCATGAGGTACCATCTGTAGCACAGGTTAGAGGTGAGAGTGATCAATGCTCTTTGTGTTTTGGGGGTGGGGGCATATACAGAAGAAGGGGCACTTAATCCAGATTATGAATGATGAAGAGTACATCAGGTAAACAGAGGCACCACAGAGAGGGAACAGCAGGTGCAAAGGATGAAGGTATGAGGAGTGAATAAATAGGATGAGATATGTGGCTGGATAGGAAATGTCACACCAGCTGGGTGCAGTGGCTCACACCTTAATCCCAGCACTTTGGAAGGCCAAAATGAGAGGATAATTTGAGCCCAGGAATTTGAGACCAGCCTGTGCAACATAGCAAGACCCTGTCTGTAAAAAAAAAAATTTTTTTAAATTAGCCAAGCATGGTGGTTGTGTGCCTGTAGTCCCAGCTACTCGGGAGTCTGGCATTCTAGGCTGCAGTGAGCTATGATTGAGTCACTGTGCTCCAGCCTGGGCAACTGAACAAGACCCTGTCTCAAAAAAAAAAAAAAAAAAAAAAAGCTATCCAGATGCATTGTATCTTGACTCGGAAATACCAGCTCATGGGGCGTAATGAGCATTCCTTGCACACATACATAGTCTGAGAATTTGAGCTGGGCCTTCAGCAACACCACTCATTTCCAACGGGCAAGTCATTTAAGAGGTTGTTGCCTCCTACCTGGAAAAAGACAGGAAGTCTGGGAAAATAGAGACAATAACTAATGCTTTTGCCTCTCCCCTCTAGGGGTACACAGACATAAATGGTCTCATCTGGACAGAGAACTCTGAACATTTTTTGATCGACAGCTCTGAACAGATGCATGAACCACACGGTTTAAGTCAAGGTGCCGGGGTGAGGTGCTCCACTCTGCTCTGTCTTTAGCCTGTGAATGGCTCAGACTCTTGGATGTTCCTGGCTTAGCTAGGTTTCCATGGCCCTGCACAGAGCTTGGCGTGACAGCAGGTACTCCAAACATGCCTGAACAAGTTGTTATCTCCATCCATTAGATGATGCCATTGGTTCAATTCAACTTTGACTAGAACTTGCGGGTCTTTTCGATTCCAACAGGTAACATTGTATCTGCAGAAGGCTGGATCTTCTTTGTCAGGTTTCAACACTACTGTCACCTTCTCCAAACGTCTCTCCTAACCATTTGATCAAACGAATCTTCGCATACCCCAGTCAACAGCTACTATCCTCTCTACTTTATTTTCTTCACGGGTTTTAGTATCTGAAACTGTCCCCCCAGGGTTGACAAGCATTGCATGCCAGGTTCTGTACATAAATGTAGCTATAATTAAGCATTAATCAGGCTGGACTTTGACTCAATTTGTTTTTGTTAAAAGTCATGTAGCACTGGATACTAACCATTTGCATTCCCATTGTTCCTACAGAGGGATTTCTGACATTAGCGTCATGAGATTGTTTAAGAATAGATTTGCGGCCGGGCGCGGTGGCTCACGCCTGTAATCCCAGCAC
The DNA here is from genome assembly GCF_000001405.40 of Homo sapiens. Taxonomy (NCBI): domain Eukaryota; kingdom Metazoa; phylum Chordata; class Mammalia; order Primates; family Hominidae; genus Homo; species Homo sapiens. The sequence goes on along the minus strand of NC_000016.10, from coordinate 17,515,070 downwards.
TTTGGGAGGCCGAGGCGGGCGGATCACGAGGTCAGGAGATCGAGACCATCCTGGCTAAAACGGTGAAACCCCGTCTCTACTAAAAATACAAAAAATTAGCCGGGCGTAGTGGCGGGCGCCTGTAGTCCCAGCTACTTGGGAGGCTGAGGCAGGAGAATGGCGTGAACCCGGGAGGCGGAGCTTGCAGTGAGCCAAGATCCCGCCACTGCACTCCAGCCTGGGCGACAGAGCGAGACTCCGTCTCAAAAAAAAAAAAAAAAAAAAAAAAAAAAAGAATAGATTTGCATCCCCTTCATTCATATAGATAAGATCTCTGACATTAGAATCATAAGGCTTTGGTTAAAGATGTTTTTCAGACCCTGAATTCCAGCAACTTGTTAGAAGACCCCCCACAGAGGAAAGGGATCAGCAAGGGAATATGGCTCCTTTTCTGTTTTGCTTTTTTGAAACAGGGTCTCCCTCTGTTGCCCAGGCTGGGGTGCAGTGGTGCCATCACAGCTCACTGCAGCCTGGACCTCCTGGGCTCAAAGGATCCACCTGCCTCCACCCCTCACAGTGCTGGGATTACAGCCATGAGCCACCATGCTCGGCCAGAATACAGCTTCTTCATCTCCTTGTACCATGACTTCATCCTGCACTTTTCCACTAATCAGTGATCTCCACACATCAGCCCACTCCAAAACCCTTAAAAACCCTAAGCCCAAACTTCTCAGGGAAATGGATTTAAGGTTTCCTCCCATCTCCTCATTCAGTGACCCTATGATTAAACCTCTTTCTCTGCGGCAACCCAGTGTCTCAGCATATTGACTTGTTGCATGCATCAGCCAATGAACCTACTACAGTTACATCTGTACTTCCTCACCAATGTATTTATTTACTTGTGTATTGTCAGTCTGCTCCCATAAAATGTAAGCTCTGAGAATCTTTGTCTCCTTCATCATAATATTCACAATACCTTGAACAGTGTCTGGGACACTGCAATTGGGCAAAAAAAAAGTGAATAAAGAAATGGCTGAGGCCAGGCGTGGTAGCTCACACCCGTAATCCTAGCACTTTGGGAGGCCGAGGAGGTGGATCACGAGGTCAAGAGATTGAGACCATCCTGGCCAACATGGTGAAACCCCATCTCTACTAAAAATACAAAAATTAGCCGGGTGTGGTGGCAGGTGCCTGTAGTCCCAGCTACTTGGGAGGCTGAGGCAGGAGAATCACTTGAACCCAGGAGGCAGAGGTTGCAGTGAGCCAAGATCGCACCACTGCACTGCAGCCTGGCAACAGAGCGAGACTCCATCTCAAATAAATAAATAAATAAATAAATAAATAAAATAAATAAATAAATAAATAAAAGAGCTGTTCTTTCTAACCATAATTTTTACACATGTACCTCATTTCATGAAGGTGAAATAAATGAAAATCTGGTATTATATTCTTAAATAATGTAAAATATTCTTCCACTTGAAATTCCACAAAAGAATTCTACAGCCAGCTCAATGAGGGCATGAAGAGACAATGTCACCCCCTGTCTTTCAGGAGCATGACAGGTAGAAAGGAAGTGTGCAGTGACTTTGTAAACTACCTAGACATCTGTCCCAGATTGGGTCCTCTGGAAGACATTGAATTAGAATCTGGGTACAAGTGTTTATTTGGGAATAATACCTAGGAAAAAAGGATAAAGCAGTTTGGGAATAAGTAAGTCATGTAAGGTGTTGTTGCCTCCTTTCTAGAAAAAGACAGAAAATCTGGGGAAAGAGAGACTGTAACTGTATTTTATAACAGGAAAAACCTCGTGAAACCTGGCAGGGAGCTCTGGAGCAAGTACTGGATTATATCAGAATGACCCAAGTGGGGCCAAAGTACCCAGGCCTTAGTTTATACCCCTGTTTCACTAAGTCACAGGCTGAGGTTGCCCCAAGAAAGGCGTGACCTGGGGCAGCAAATCTTTGCAGCTGAGAAAGACCATGAAGGAACTGACAGCCGACAGCCACCTGCAAACCACATTTTCTAGAGCTGGGCAGCAAGTCTTTTCCTTGAAGGGTCATCAAGACAGGGCACTCCTGGGCACTTCAACGTTGTGAATTTCAAGCTCAAACCAAGGCTCTCAGAAGGCTGGCTACCGGGTGTCCACTGAGTTCCTGCTGTCTTCTAAGATGTGCCACAAATAGTCCAATTCCTAAATTAGAAGTCACGTCCTGTAAGTGCTTGCTGACTTGGCAGTAGCAACACTGACATAATTTCACAAATAATGATGTTATCCGAGGCAAAAGTTGCATTAGATCAATTACCACTCTATTTCAGTGCCATCTGAGTAGCTCTGTGTTTATTTCAGTTCACCTATTTTTAAACCAAAGCTCTCAGGCTTCTGAACCACAACCATGAGCATACCTTCCTTTTCCAGTCCTTGACAGCAACTGGCTCTCATTCTGAACTAAAAAGAATGATGTGGATATCCTCCCCTCCCCATTTATCTTCTCAATTTCCTTACTTTGTATACTTTAATTGGAGGAGGAGGAGTGGTTGTTCTGCTATGAGGAGAGTCAAAAACTTAAGGTTCAAAATAAATAAATAAAGGCAGGGGATATTATTATTTCAGGAGAATGGAAGATTAGCTTAAACTGTAACAGGAGAAGGGTTGTGTTTGATTGAGGAATATTTTCCTGTTGGAGAAAGATGTCAGATGCAGGTGGAGCTGGACTATTAGGAAAAATCATTAAACTTGAGATGCATGCCCATGTGACTGGTGTTACAGGTTGAACTGTGTTCAAATTTATATAAAGTTCTAACCCCTGGCACCTCAGAATGTGTCCTTATTTGCAGACAGGTCTTTAAAGAGGTAATCAAGTTAAAGCAAGGTCATCAGGGTGGAACCTAAACCAATAAGACTGGTGTCCTTATAAAAAGGGGAAATCTGAACAGAAACAGACTTGCAGAGAGGGAAGACAGTGTGAAGAGACAAGGAGAATATGGCCATTGTTATGAGCTGAATGTTTGTGCCTCCTCCCACAAATTCAGATGTGGACACAGTTGGATGCCTGCATCCCCAGTTTGATGGTATTAGAAGGTGAGGTCTTTGAGATAATTAGGTTTAGATGAGGTCATGAAAGTGAATCCCTCATGATGGGATTCGTGCCGTTATACGAAGAGGACAAGGGAGAGAGGTATTTCTTTCCCTCCACAAGCACCCATGAAGGAAAGGCCATGTCCAAAGACACAGCAAGAAGGTGGCTGTCTTCAAGCCAGGAAGCAAGCCCTCATTAGACAATGAATCTGCCCATGGCTCAATCTTGGACTTCTCCGCCTCCAGAACCACAAGAAATAATTGCTTTGTTTATAAGCTATCCAGGCTACAGTATTTGGTTATAGCAGCCCAAACAGACTAAAACAGCAATCTACATGATGAGGAGAGAAGCCTGGAAATAGATTCTTCCCTTATAGCCCTCAGAGGAGACCAATCCTGCTGATGCCTTGATTTGGACATCTGGTCTCCAGAACTGTGAGATAATGAATTTCTGTTGCATAAGCCACCCAGCTTGTGGGACTTTGTTACAGCAGTTGTAGCAAACTAACCCAGCTGGATTAGATCAGGAGAAGACTAAGTGATCCTTATGAACTGTCCTCCCTCCAGGGTGGAGGATTAGCTGACTCTCCTAAAGCAGAGAAATCTGGAGGCCATAGCCCTGCTGAGGAGACTCAAGAGGAGGTGAGGAAAACATTCCCTCTCCTGCCTTCTTTCTTGTTTTGTTTTCTTTTTTTTTGTTTGTTTTCTTTTTTTTTGAGACAGAGTCTCGCTCTGTTGCCCAGGCTGGAGTGCAGTGGTACAATCTCAGTTCACTGCAACATCTACCTCCCAAGTTCAAGTATTCTCCTGCCTCAGTCTCCCTGGTAGCTGGGACTACAGGTACACGCCACCACACCCACCTAATTTTTGTGTTTTTAGTAGAGACAACCAGGGTTTCACCATATTGGCCAGGCTGGTCTCAAACTCCTGGGCTCAAGTGATCTGCCTGCCTCGGCCTCCCAAAGTGCTGGAATTCTAGGCATGAGCCACCGTGTCTGGTCCCCTGCTGCCTTCTAACATCATCTTCATCTTTTCCCTGTCTACCCTCTGATCTCTCCCAGAGTCTCTTAAGCAGTGGATGTGCTGGTGGTGACATGGGGCTCCCTACATTTCAGTGTCCTTGTGTATCAAATGGGAGTTATAAAATAATTTCTGTAAAGAAGTGGTGAGAGGAATCCATGGGATGACACATGGGAACGGCAGGCGCAGAGCAAGTGTTCCACTAACTGAAGCCATAACCACCCTTAGTGTGGAAGGCAAGAACTTCACATTATACTTAATCATTATATGAATCACTATAATTAATGATTATAAATTATATGTAATGGGTGACTAATTATTATTATTGGCAAATGAAAGCTCTCTGCATCTCTCTGTCACTTGTGGGATGTGTGATGAATCACAGAAGCCTGGGTTCAAAGCCTGGCTTTGCGGATTTACAGGCAGTGAGACCTGGGTAAGATGCTTTAGGAGTCTGAGAGGTAGAGGTGTTAAACGGAGGGTCAAAAAGTTGCTGAAAAGCTTTCCAAGGGGACAGTGAAACAGGCCAGTCCTGATGAGAGAGGAATAAATGGGGAAAGAGTACAGGAGACACAAGCTGGGTGGTTTTAAAATATCTGGGTTACTTTGGTGAAGAAGCTAGAGCTTTGATTATTTTGTTTGCTATGTGCCTCCATAGTTGGTTAGTGTTGAAGATGGAGCCCTTAGTCCCTAGTACCAAGTACAGCATCCAAGATACTGTACCAAGATCCTTACCTCTTACCTTGTTGGAGATAAAACCATCTTCAAACCTACAGGGGCCAGGAAGTATGCCAACATTTGTTATCATAGTAGTTTGTTGTTGTTGTTTGTTGTTTGTTTTTGAGACAGGGTCTCGCTCTGTCACTCAGGCTGGAGTGCAGTACTGCAATCTCTGCTCACTCATCCTCCACCTCCTGGGTTCAAGCAGTTCTCCTGCCTCAGCCTTCCAAGTAACTGGGATTACAGGCGCCCACCACCACAGCCCACTAATTTTTGTACTTTTAGTAGAGACGGGGTTTTGCTATGTTGGCCAGGCTGGTCTCGAGTGATCCACCCACCTTGGCCTCCCAAAGTGCTAGGATTACAGGTGTGAGCCACCATGCCCGGTCTTGTTGTTGTTTTGAGCCCTACTCTGTGCCAGAAACTTTGTTAACCACCTTGGATATGTTGTGTATATTGTTAACAATTTCATATGTGGAAGTCAAATATTAGATGAATCTCTAAAATTAAAATGTTTTATTTGGGAGGAAAGGATTGCAATTCAGAGCATATATGCAGACCAGGTGGTCTTTAGTACATCCAAAGAACAAAGAGAAGTTTAGAGGCATTTTAGAAAAGGAGAAATGTTACATATTGTTTTTTGAGAAAGTTCATCGGCAAGGGTAAGGCTGTGGGAGCTGGCAAACTCTGTTTGGTGAGTGATGGCAGTGGGCAAAACTTGTCTTAAGGTCACAGCAGGTTTTTCCAGTAGCTGTTAGATAAAACTGGCTTCAGGTTCCAGCAGGCAGTTCCAGCAGCCAGGCTTTCCAAGAATTACTTTCTGGAAGCCATGTAATGTGGTCTGACTGCTTTTTCCTCCTCCTGGCCTCTTGACTCTGTTTTAGTTGGCTGTAACAAGAACGACCCAATTCTAAGACCAACTTTCACACAGAATGCAGACTGGAATGTTAACTTAGAGATAAGGAAACCTAGGCTTAGACAGGTAGAGTAACTTGCTCAGCGTCTCACAACTCGGAAGTAGCAGAGGCAGGACTCAAATCCAGATGGTTGTGTTACCAGTGGAGAGTGTCCAGGTTCTTGGTGTCTTGATCAAATAATTGGATGAAATGCACAAACAAAGCAAGGAAAGAATGAAGCAACAAAAGCAGAATTTATCGAAGACTAAAGTACACTCCACAGAGTGGGGGTGGGCCAGAGCACAGGAACTCAAGAGCCCCATTACAGAATTTTTGGAGGCTTAAATACCCCCCAAAATTTCCATTGGTTACTTGGTGTATGCCTTATGTAAATGAAGAGGATGGAGGAAACTTACAAAGTCATTTATTTGGCTTACGCCCTGTGTAAATGGAGAAGATATTTCCCATCACAGCTGAAGTGTTTCCATTTGATTTAGTTCTAGGAAGTCCTTATGTTCCTGGTCTCCAAACCCTATTCTCCTGCCTCTGTTGGAATGCATGTGGGGGCTCAGGGAACCCCTGTATTAGTTGACTAGGGCTTCCATAACTTCCACAGACTTAAACAATGGAAATTGACTTTCTCACAGTTTTGGAGGCTAAAAGTCCAAGATGGTGGTGAGAGCAGGGTTGGTTTCACCCGAGGCCTCTCTTCCTAGCTTGCAGTTGGCCCCCTTCTCACCATGTTCTCACATGCTTTTCCTCTGTGTGTGTCCCTGCTGGCGCATGTCCACATTTCTGCTTAGAAGGACACCAGTTGGACTGAATGAAGACTGAAGACCCACCCTAATGGCCGCATTTTAACCTAATTACCTCTTTGAACGTCATCTCTCCAAATACAGTCATGATCTGAGATACTGAGAACCCTCAATTAGGCAAGGACTTGAAGGTATGACTTTCTGGGAAACACAATTCAACCCATAACGAGCCCCATACCGGTATTTCCTCAGGTATGAGACACATACCATCGTTGAAGCATGATGGCGCCAGGTATAACCTGACACTAACAGCGATGACTTATATCCAGATAAAGTGATTCCCTTTTCAAACCTCTTTCAGTTACTCTGACTGCACCAAGAACATCTTGGCTCGGTGCTAAGGACTTTTAACACTTCTCCAAAGCTAACAAGTCTCCCCTTTGAACAAAGACAGCTGTCTAGCTAACTAACTAAATTTAATAGCCTTGGTTGTTTGTTTTTGTTGTTGTTGTTTTAGCCTTGTTTATTTTTATTGCATTTTTTTCTTTCTTTCTTTCTTTTTTTTTTTTTTTTTTTTTTTTTGGAGATAGAGTCTGCCTTTGTTGCCCAGGCTGGAGTGCAATGGCACGATCTCTGCTCACTGCAGCCTTGGGCTCCCGGGTTCTAGTGATTCTCCTGCCTCAGCCTCCTGAGTAGCTGACTACAGGTGCCCACCACCATGCCCAGCTAATTTTCGTGTTTTTAGTAGAGACAGAGTTTTGCCATGTTGTCAGGCTGCTCTCGAACTCCTGACCTCAAGTGATCCACCCGCCTCGGCCTTCCAAAGTGCTGGGATTGCAGGTGTGAGTCACTGTGCCCAGCTGCATTTATTTTTCTAGTGATCTAGTCAGGGTATGGAAAAGCAGACTTTTCATTTCAGATACTGATATAAAGTTTCCCTTTTATTTATTTATTGAGACGGAGTCTCCTCTCTTGCTAGGCTGGAGTGAAGTGACATGATGTCAGCTCACTGCAACCTCTGCTTCCAGGGTTCAAGCGACTCTCTTGCCTTAGCCTCCCAAGTAGCTGGGATTACAGGCATGCGCCACCATGCCCGGGTAATTTTTGTATTTTTAGTAGAGATGGGGTTTCACCATGTTGGCCAGTCTGGTCTTGAATTTCTGACCTCAAATGATCCACCCCCCCTCGGCCTCCCAAAGTGCTGGGATTACAGGCGTGAGCCACTGTGCATGGCTGCATTTATTTTTCTAGTGATCTGGTCAGGGTAAGGAAAAGCAACCTTTTCGTTTAAATAAATATGTTTTGTAAAAGACTGAGTTCATTAAAGCAGCAAAAGTAGTGAGCAAATCAGAGAGAGCAGTCCATGGATGTGACAGCCTGGGTCGATGGTCCTACGATGATGGGAGGTGGGGAGATACTGCAGCCATAGGCACTGCTGAAACGAGGAATCCATAGGTCAGAGGCTGAAGAGAAAATTCCTTGCAAGGACAAAAAACCAAACACCGCATGTTCTCACTCATAGGTGGGAACTAAACAATGAGAACACTTGGACACAGGAAAGGGGACATCACACACCGGGGCCTGTTGTGGGGTGGGGGGAGGGGGGAGGGATAGCATTAGGAGATATACCTAAAGTAAATGACGAGTTAATGGGTACAGCACACCAACATGGCACATGTATACATATGTAACAAACCTGCACATTGTGCACATGTACCGTAAAACTTAAAGTATAATAAAAAATATAGCTCTCCCTCTACCTCTCCCTCTCCCTCTCCCCCTCCCTCCTCTCCCTCTCCCCACGGTCTCCCTCTCCCTCTCTTTCCACGGTCTCCCTCTGATGCCGAGCCAAAGCTGGACTGTACTGCTGCCATCTCGGCTCACTGCAACCTCCCTGCCTGATTCTCCTGCCTCAGCCTGCCGAGTGCCTGCGATTGCAGGCGCGCGCCGCCACGCCTGACTGGTTTTCGTATTTTTTTGGTGGAGACGGGGCTTCGCTGTGTTGGCTGGGCTGGTCTCCAGCTCCTAACCGCGAGTGATCCGCCAGCCTCGGCCTCCCGAGGTGCCGGGATTGCAGACGGAGTCTGGTTCACTCAGTGCTCAATGGTGCCCAGGCTGGAGTGCAGTGGCGTGATCTCGGCTTGCTACAACCTCCACCTCCCAGCCACCTGCCTTGGCCTCCCAAAGTGCCGAGAGTGCAGCCTCTGCCCGGCCGCCACCCCGTCTGGGAAGTGAGGAGCGTCTCTGCCTGGCCACCCATCGTCTGGGACGTGAGGAGCCCCTCTGCCTGGCTGCCCAGTCTGGAAAGTGAGGAGCGTCTCTGCCCAGCCGCCATCCCATCTAGGAAGTGAGGAGCGTCTCTGCCCGGCCGCCATCCCATCTAGGAAGTGAGGAGCGTCTCTGCCCAGCCGCCATCCCATCTAGGAAGTGAGGAGCGTCTCTGCCTGGCCGCCCATCGTCTGAGATGTGGGGAGCGCCTCTGCCCCGCCGCCCCGTCTGGGATGTGAGGAGTGCCTCTGCCCAGCCAAGACCCCGTCTGGGAGGTGAGGAGACCCTCCGCCTGGCAACCGCCCCATCTGAGAAGTGAGGAGCCCCTCCGCCTGGCAGCCGCCCCGTCTGGGAAGTGAGGAGCGTCTCCGCCCGGAAGCCACCCCGTCTGGGAGGGAGGTGGGGGTCAGTCCCCTGCCCGGCCAGCCGCCCCGTCCGGGAGGTGAGGGGCGCCTCTGCCCAGCCGCCCCTACTGGGAAGTGAGGAGCCCCTCTGCCCGGCCAGCCACCCCGTCAGGGAAGGAGGTGGGGGGGGTCAACCCCCCGCCCGGCCAGCCGCCCAGTCCGGGAGGGAGGTGGGGGGGTCAGCCCCCCGCCCGGCCAGCCGCCCCGTCCGGGAGGTGAGGGGCGCCTCTGCCCAGCCGCCCCTACTGGGAAGTGAGGAGCCCCCCCACCCGGCCAGCCGCCCCGACCGGGAGGCAGGTGGGGGGGTCAGCCCCCCACCCGGCCAGCCGCCCCATCCGGGAGGTGAGGGGCGCCTCTGCCCGGCCGCCCCTACTGGGAAGTGAGGAGCCCCTCTGCCCAGCCGCCACCCCGTCTGGGAGGTGTACCCAACAGCTCATTGAGAACGGGCCACGATGACAATGGCGGTTTTGTGGAATAGAAAGGGGGGAAAGGTGAGGAAAAGATTGAGAAATCGGATGGTTGCCGTGTCTGTGTAGAAAGAAGTAGACATGGGAAACTTTACATTTTGTTCTGTACTAAGAAAAATTCTTCGGCCTTGGGATCCTGTTGATCTGTGACCTTACCCCCAACCCTGTGCTCTCTGAATCATGTGCTGTGTCCACTCAGGGTTAAATGGATTAAGGGCGGTGCAAGATGTGCTTTGTTAAACAGATGCTTGAAGGCAGCATGCTCCTTAAGAGTCATCACCACTCCCTAATCTCAAGTACCCAGGGACACAAACACTGCGGAAGGCCGTAGGTTCCTCTGCCTAGGAAAACCAGAGACCTTTGTTCACTTGTTTATCTGCTGACCTTCCCTCCACTATTGTCCTATGACCCTGCCAAATCCCCCTCTGTGAGAAACACCCAAGAATGATCAATAAAAAAAATAAAATAAAATAAAATAAATAAATAAATAAATAAAAAATATAAATAAAATAAAATAAGAAAAGAAACTTCCTGAGGGATGTCCCAGCTGGGGATTGCATGAGGGATCTCAGGCTAAGATTTAGGTGTTTTGTTTTGTTTTGTTTTCTTTGTTTGTTTGTTTTTTGAGACATGGTCTTGCTCTGCTGCTCAGGCTGGAGAGCAGTGGTCCAACCATAGCTCACTGTATCCGCGAACTCCTGGCCACAAGTGATCTTCCTGCGTTAGCTCCCCAAGTAGCTGGGACTACAGGTGGGAGCCACCACACCCGGCTAATTTTTTAACTTTTTGTCGAGGCAGGGTCTTACTTTGTGTCAAGGCTGGTCTCAAACTCCTGGCCTCAAGCGATCCTCCCACCTATGCCTCCCAAAAAGTTGGGATTAGAGGTTATGAGCCAGCATGCCCAGCCTGGAGTTTCAAGTTGATGCTGTCAAGTTGATTAACTATTTCCTACTTGAGGGGTGGTGCCTACCTCGGGAATCCCTTCATTTTCAACCCCTATCCCCTTTTCTCCCTCTCCACCCAAGACAAGTTAAGAGTTTGCCAGTTTCAACAGAGCCTTTCTTTTTCTTAAGCCATCCTGTTGATTAGCACTAGGATATTGACTTTGGTGGTTTATCACTGTTCACCTTTTCCTTCCCATAAGCTTTTTGGCAGATACTTAGTGAGACAGACTTTGTTTGATTCCAATGCGAGCTCCATCATTTAGTCACTGTCAGTACTTGAATGGGGTTTCACGACCTCCCTGGGCCTCAGTCTCCTCATCTGTAAAATGGGATTAATAATAAACACCCAGTGAGGATCAAATGGGAAATAATTTCTAAAGCTCCTGGCCCCTGTAAGCACTCAATAAATGGTAGCTATTATTAGCTTCCTCCAAGGCAGAGAAATGTAAATGTGTACCTGCCAAGGATTCTGGGAGTATAGCCAAAATCACCCCACCTCAGACATAAAATTTCTTCCAAGCCTTAAATTTGAGATTCTACTCTGTAATATACCCACATTTGTTTTCATGTAAAAATAATGCTTTAAAATACCATCAAGGACAATTAGTGCTCCAGGAAAATGGGCTTTAAGTATTCTCTGTCTGCCATGGGCCCATCATTCCCTTGGTTATATATAATTTAAGCTCTGAAAAGCATGAAAAATTGCATCCCTTTAACTCAGTGGCTCTCAACAAAGGGTGATTTTGCCACAGGGGACATTTACAAAATATCTGAAGACATTTTTGGTTGTCACAACTGTGGGAGGTGGTGCTACAGGCATCTAGTGGGTAGAGGCCAGAGATGTTGCTAAACACCCTTCAAGACATTGGACAGTCCCCAGCGCAAAAAAAGTATCCAGGCTGGGCGCAGTGGCTCATGATCCTAATCTTAGCACTTTGGGAGGTCAAGACGGGCAGATCACTTGAGGTGAGGATTTGGAGACCAGCCTGACCAACATGGCAAAACCTTGTCTCTACTAAAAACACAAAAATTAGCCGAGTGTGATGGTATGCACCTGTAATCCCAGCTACCCAGGAAGCTGAGGCATGAGAATTGCTTGAATCCAGGAGGCAGCAGAGGTTGCAGTGAGCTGAGATCGCACCACTGCACTCCAGCCTGAGCAACAGGGCAAAATTCTGTCTAAAAAAAAAAACAACAAAAGTATCCAGCTCTAAATATCAATAGGCTGAAGTTGAGAAATCCTAGAGGTACTCAAAAGCCTTTGTTGTTTGAGTAGGTTGTTCATTCTCTCATCTTTGTCTCTATCCTCTGATTCTTCTTTCTTTTCTTTTCTTTTTTTTGTGATTCTCTGCAGGCTTCTCTCCCTACCTTTCATGTCCTCTCTGTGTCTCTTGTTCCCTTGCCTCCTTTCCTCTCCCTTTCTCTCTCTGTCTCTCTTTATGAATCTCTCTGGTGTTCCTGCTTTCTGTTTTTTATTCCCTTTCTCCTTTCCTTAGCTCTGGTTCTCTTCCCTTTTCTTTTCTTTTTTTTTTTTTTATCTCCCCATCTCAGGTCTGTCTTCAACTTTCCCCTGGTCTCTCTCTTTCTTATCTCTCTCCCTGGCATCTTTCTTCTTTCTCTATTTTTGTTTTTTGTTTGTTTGCTTGTTTTTGAGACGGAGTTCCACTCTGTCGCCCAGGCTGGAGTGCAATGGCATGATCTCAGGTCACTGAAACCTCCACCTCCCGTGTTCAAGCGATTCTCCTGCCTCAGCCTCCCAAGTAGCTGGGATTACAGGCATGTGCCACCATATCCCGCTAATTTTTGTATGTTTGGTAGAGACAGGGTTTAACCATGTTGGCCAGGCTGGTCTCCAACTCCTGACCTCAAGTGATCCGCCTGCCTCAGCCTCCCAAACTGTTGGGATTACAGGCCATTTTGGGGTATTTTGCCTGTAAGTGTGGAGTAATGGAATGCAGCAACTACAGACAAGCTGGCTTTAGAAATACTACTTTAAAAGGTGTGTGGAGGGGCCGGGCACGGTGGCTCATGCCTGTAATCTCAGCACTTGGGGAGGCTGAGATGGGTGGATCACTTGAGCATAGGAAATTGAGACCAGCCTGGGCCACATAGGAAAACCCTGTCTCTAAAAAAAATTAGCTGGACGTGGTGGTACACACACCTATGGTCCCAGCTACTCGGGAGGTGGAGACAGGAGTATTGCTTAAGCCCGAGGTGGACGTTGCAGTGAGCCAAGATCATGCCACTGCACTCCAGCCTGCGTAATAGAGTGAGGTTTTGTCTCAAAAAGAAAAAGAAAAAGAAAAAAAAAAAACTCCAGCCTGCATAATAGAGTGAGACACTGTCTCAAAAAGAAAAAAAAAAGGAAAAAAAAAGGTAAAACTGAAAAAGGCCAGGGAGTGGATTCTCTTTACTTTTCTTTTTCTTTTTTAAATAGTTTTTAAAAATGCGTATGAAGGAAGAGATTATGGCAACAGGAGGCATTTATACTACCCTATCATCCATACCCCTTTGGATGGAACAAACCAGGGACCCAGGGCCAGTCAGACAGCAAATGCTGTCCTGGGCTTGCTTCAGCCCAGCAGTGGTCTGGGGTGATAGACTGCTCCATGGAGAGATGACTGCAGTGACCTGAGCCAAACCTTAGGGAAACCAGGGAGAGGACATCTGGAGTCATCCAACTTCTTTGCTGGTGCTCAGCTATGTGTTTCTAGCACTTGTCACCCTTTTCCCCACTCCCAAGCAGTTTTGTATCCTCAACCATCTAGCTACGACCTTACCTGCTGTATTAGGGCTCTCCAGAGAACCAGACCAATAGGATACGCATACATACGGAAGGAAATTTATGATGAGCCATTGACTCGCATGATGATGGAGGCGGCTGAGTCCAAATCTGTGGGCTGGCAGGTGGGGGATTCAGGAGAGGATGGTACAGGTGAAGTTGCAGGCGGCCTGCTGGAGAATTCTTTCTTGCTTGTAGAGGCCCAGACTTTTGCTCTATTCAGGCCTTCAACTGATTAGATGAGGCCCAGCCACAATATGACGAACAATCCTCTTTCCTCAATGTAAACGTTCATCTCATCCAGAAGCGTTCTTCCAGTTGATGCCTGAAATTAACCATCATACCTGCTAATGGGTGGTGAGATAAATCATGGTCCCTTAATCCTACCCTGACATATGATTATCATGTATGACCATCTCAAGCCGGCATTCTACAAATGCTGTGGCTGTTGCTATTACTATTGGTGGTAGAGGAAGGTGAGTGGTAGAAGGAAGAATAGGGGGTCAGGGCCCAGCCAGTCTGAGGTTTGTCCCCCTGTACAGCATGCTGTCTCAAGAACAGGGATTGGCTGCCTATGTTTGTGAATACGTTTCACTGAAACACGGCTTTTCACTTACATATTGTCTATGGCTGCTTTTATTCCACAACAGCAGAGATGAGTAGTTGCAGCAGAGATGGTATGGCCTACACATATTTACTATGGGGGCCTTTACAGAACACATTTGCCAACCTTGTCTCAAGAGCACAGACTCTGGAGTAAGACTGCCTGACTTCCAATCCCCATTTCTCTGTTTCCTGGCTGTGATCTGAACAAGGTACTTAACTTCTCCGTGCCTTCATTTTCTCATCTGTATATTGGAAATAATAATTATACATACATATATAGGTAGGTACCTGAGAAGTGCTACTAACAGTGCCCGTCTCATTAAGTGCTCCATAGATATTGGCTGTCAGTATGAAATTAGCAGATGTTTGCTTTCCTGAAGGTATATGAAGGTTGACGGGACCAATTTGGCTGGAGAAGCCACTGGCTGGGGGGATTTTACTTGTGTTTTTATTTCTTGGAAGGTATTGGTCAGAGGGAGCATTTTCCCTAAGAAGGAAAAAGAAGGGAGACTTTTTTTTAAATCCTGCATGTGGCATTCTAAATGGGGAATATTCAGAGGGGATTAGGAGGAAGTTTTATGTCCACAGGACCCTGTCAGCCTCTGCTCCATCTCTCAAGAAAACTGTACTAAAATCTGCCATTTATCAATGCTTTTAAGGGTGAGTCTGAGTGTTGAGGGTAGGGGGATGCTGTTACAGTCTCCAAGGTGGGCACGGGATGACCACAAGAACAGCCCCCAGAAGCTGATGTCACAGTTTTATGTGTGCAGTCCTCTGGAAGTGGACTGGACCTCTGGGCTCAAGGGATTCACCTGCCTCTGCCTCCCAAAGTGTGGGACATGACTCAGGGACACTTGCAGTCCTCTGGGGACTTTGGACATAGATAATCCCTGAGGATTCGAGGGAATAAACTTTTTTTTTTGGGGGGGCAGTCTCGCTCTGTTGCCCAGGCTAGAGTGCAATGGCACAATCTCAGCTCACTGTAACTTCCATCTCCTGGGTTCAAGCTATTCCTCTGCCTCAGTCTCCCAAGTAGCTGGGACTGCAGGTGCCCGCCACCATGCCTGGCTAATTTTTTGTATTTTTTAGGAGAGACAGGGTTTCGCCATGTTGGCCAGGCTGGTCTCAAACTCCTGACCTCAGGTGATCCGCCTGCCTCAGCCTCCCAAGGTGCTGGGTATTACAGGCAGGAGCCATTGAGCCCGGCCTTGAGGGAATACACTTCTAATGGTGGAGTTTGAGACACTACCACAGGCAATAGTGAGCATCCCTGGGGACTACTAATCCTAACCAATGCCCTCACAGCAAATTTCTACTTTTCCTTCCATGGCTGGCCCAGGATGTCAGAAGGATGGATGTCATTGCCCATGTGGCCATTCTACACCAGAATCACAAGCAGCTGACCATGGGTTAAATGGAGTTGGCAGATGCATTTCATTTGGCCCAAACAAGCAATGTTTTTAAAAACAGAGCCAGCTGTTAAACAGCTAAGGATTTTGCACACAAAAATAAATGCTAATGGCTTCCTTCTCTTGAGACTCAGAGAGATTGGGCAACAGTGAGCCTGCATTCCCGCAGGACAGTAATAAGCTGGAGTGGGGCAGCCTGTGCTCTCCAGGTCACCAAAGTCCCCAGTGCTGCCTTTTCTCCTATAGCTGGCCCCTTCCATTAGCTTTGGTTACCTGCTGGAACCCTGGAGGCTTGAGTGGGCAAGTCCTGGCTACACATTTACTGGAAGCACCAGCAGAGATAGACAGGGCATCTACAAACAGCATACTCTGCAGCTGGTAGATTCTAAGATAAGGCTCTTATAGATTCTGAAATCATGGGAAAGTAGGGCTGAAAGAATACTTTGCAGGGCAAGAATCCAAGTTCTTCAACTCCTCGTGTGTGTGTTTGTGCATATGTGCATGCATGTGCACATGTGTGTATCGGCAGGGAGACAGAGATAAGAGAGAAAGTTATTTTTTCTCTTACAGGCAAATTTTTCTTTTTTTTCTTTCTTTTCTTTTTTTTGGAGGCAGGGTCTTGGTCTGTCCCCTAGGCTGGAGTGCAGTGACACAATCAAGGTTCACTGCAGCCTCAACATCCTGGGGTCAAGCCATCCTCCTACCTCAGGCTCCTGAGTAGTTGGGATTATAGGCACATGCCATCCCACCCAGCTAATTTTTGTATTTTGTGTAGAGATAGGGTTTTACCATGTTGCCCCGGCTGGTCTCGAACTACTGAGCTCAAGTGCTCTGCCCACCTCAGCCTATTTTTTTCTTTTTTTGAGACAGAGTCTTGTTCTGTCACCCAGGCTGGAGTGCAGTGGTGTGATCATGGCCTTGACTGCCCAGGCTCAATCAGTTCTCCTGCCTCAGCCTGCTGAGCAGCTGGGACCACAGGTGCATGCCACCACACCTGGCTAATTTTTTTATTTTTTATAGAGATGGGGGTCACGCCATATTGCCCAGGCTGGTCTTGGACTCCTGGGCTCAAGGGATCTACCCGCCTCTGCCTCCCAAAGTGCTGGGATTACAGTCATGAGCCACTACTCCTGGCCCTTGTTTTCTAATCTAATATTTTTATTAGTCCAAAGAATATAAATTTTTCATCACCACACCCTCTACCTCCTGGAATTATTCAAAAGGAAGCTTCTATCCTTCCCTTCACCTTGTCCCTGTCTTTTCTACAAGAGTGGAGAAATCACGTATCTGATAAGAAAAGATTGGAAAGATGAAATCTCAGGGTGGAGGGCATCAGTCCCTTGGACTTTCTTTTGGAGCTCTGGGCTTGTCCCTGGATGAGGGTGTCATACGTGGCATCAGCATGCCTGGGTCAGGGCTTGGTGCTGGCCTTGTAGAGAGAGGAGCAGACGTGCACTTCTTTCTGTCTCTACTCCTGGGGCCCAGACTAGCTCCTTTGCAGCTGCTCTTCTGCTGTTTCCCTTTAACGGATTTGAGGATCCAGGCTCAGGGGTATGTATCAGGGAAACACACTGTGGTTGTGGGTATAAGCCTTACCTTCTGGCCTGGCATTACCAACAATAAAGCTGGTATTTTGGCCAGTCATTTGTTGTTATGCTTATTCCTCGATTTGTTCACAATGCAAAAGAAAAAAAAAATGGGTGCTCCTGAGTAGCACGTGACAGGGATCCCCAGAGGGACAATAGTCAAAATTCTACTCTATGGGTTGGTCCAGAATCAAGGAGCAGAAACAGCTTGGAGAAATTGACCTTCAGCAGGAGGCTGAAGTCTGTTTTGTGTGAGATGATGTGGACCACATCCCACATCCCACATCTTATTTGCATTTATCAGTGGTTGTTTCTGCAGACGGTTAGTCATGAGCCAATTATGCCTTGTGCATGGGGAATTTTAACCACTTTATCCAACAGACACAAAGTCTGTGTGACAGGAGGCTTCAGTTTCCTGGAAGATGGCTGTCCTGGAGACACAAGGTGGTTGACCGTTGACCAGCTCTTCTGCTCTAGTTGCCTTCCATTAATGTTGTGTCAATTTCATTAACATGTACAAGGTTTGGGGAAAGTATAAAGGGATTGGCAAGCCTGAGAAGAAACCGAGATCCCTTTGTACATCAGTCACTCCCAAAGACTGACCCTTTTCAGCTCCTGAAACCATCAGAAACTATTTGATCCCATTCATTTCCATGTTGAGGTTGATGGTTTAATGGGCTTCAAAGCCTCTTAACCCACAGCTTGCTGCCTGCTAGTCCTTTGTATGCAAAAGATTCCTTCAAAATACATTCACTCAAAAGCTTGTATATGCAAATGCATCCTGGGGAAGATGAGATTCCACAGTGATCAGGGGGTGTCTCTTCATTGCCAGTTGCGTTATAGTCATTGTTTGTTTCATCTAGAACATTCCCACCTCCCATATGGAGAAGTCTCTTGCTAGAAGTTACTTGCCTATCCCCCTCCTTTTTTTTTTTTTTTCATTTCTACAGTGTTATCCATTTGGAGAGGGACTTTCTTATTTACACAGAAGACCACATATTGTATGATTCCATTTATATAAAATGTCCAGAAAAGGCAAAACCATAGAGACAAAGTAGATTAGTGGTTTCCTGGGGCTGGGAGTGAAAATGTGAAGTAACTGTAAATGGGTATGTGGGATCCTACTGGGTGATGAAAATGTCCTAAAAATAGATGATGTTGGATGGTTACACAACTCTGTAAATTTGCCAAGAGTTGTTAAATTATACACTTAAAATTGGTAAATGTTATGATCTATAATTTGCACCTCAGTCAAGTTGTTTTTTTTTTTGACACATTTATTGAGATATAATTCACATTCCATACCATTCACCAATTTAAAGTAAGTAATTCAATTTTTTTAATTATACTTTAAGTTCTAGGATACATGTACACAACATGCAGTTTTGATACATAGGTATACATGTGCCATGTTGGTTTGCTGCACCCATCAACTCATCAAGTTGTTTATTTAAAAGAGAGAAGCGCCAGGTGTGGTGGCTCATGCCTGTAATCCCAGCACTTTGGGAGGCTGAGTGGGAAGATCACTTGAACCCAGGAGGTGATACCCGGCTGGGCAACATAGTGCGATCCCATCTCTATAAAAAAAATTTTAAAAATTAGCTGGGCTTGGCAGCATGCACCTGCAGTCCCAGCTTCTTGGGAGGCTGAGCTGGGAGGATCGCTTGATCCCAAGAGGTCGAGGTTACTGTGAGCTGAGATTGCACTACCACACCTCTGCCTGGGCAACTGAGCAAGATCCTGTTTACAAAAAATAAACAAAAATTGAAAATTGAAATTAAAAAGAAAGTGAAGGTAGACTTTGGCAGTTGTTGCTGCCCACATTTCCTAGGCCCTCATGTTTCTACATAGGCTCACTGGCTTTGGCCTCCAGTCCTAGGGTTCTTTGCCTAAGGGTACTTTCTGGCCACCAGCATCCACTCTCTCCACATGTGTGGCGGACTTGAAGTGCCAAGGAATTCATGTTCTGTGAGAGCAGATCTCAACCAATAACTACTAAGAAAGGGTGTATAAATACTTCAGCTCCCTTGTTTTGGGGTTACATTTAGTACATTGTTACCCAGAGTTCTCCAAGAAATATTGGACTCCAGTTTCCCATAGAGTAAGTTGCTTGATGAGATAAATTCCCTTCTCTTCCCTGTCTCACTCTCCAGTCCTCTTCTGGTGCTTCCTGAGATCTCTACTCAAATATATAACTTCCACTGAAATTATTGTCCTGAAATATGTGTCCTTTCCTCTAGGGAAGACCTACTGGAAACTAGCCAGAACTGGAAGTTGATTAAACAGTTTAAATTGAAGTTAAGCCATAGACTTTGAGGTCTGATGGCCTGGGCTGAAGTTTCAGCCCTACCTTACTAGCTCTGTGACTTTGACTAAGTTTCTTGGCTGTAAAGTTTCATATTTTTCATGTGTCTAATCAGGATAATGATGTTACCTCTGTCACAGAGATAGTGTGAGGATGCAACACCATAGTGCAGCTGGAGCCCTTAGCAGAGGAATTGGCACTTAGTAAATTTGTAATTATATGTAATTTTATGAGATCATGACTGCTCCACCAAATAATCACAGACATTTGAACCACACTGAAAAACAGGGTCAGTTGAATTTGCTGGAGCTCATCCATAGAGTGTGCAGTTGTATCCAGGATCAAAATGCTCTGATGTTGCTGCTTGGATGATATGAGTACCACCCTCTTTGAAGGACACTAGTGCTTGCCTGTATGGGAGTGGGCAGAAAGTGAAAATGGGTTGGGCGCAGTGGCTCACGCCTGTAATCCCAGCACTTTGGGAAGCTGAGGCGGGCAGATCACGAGGTCAGGAGTTCGAGACCAACCTGGCCAACATGGTGAGATCCCGTCTCTACTAAAAATAAAAAATAAAAAAGTAGCCAGGCATGGTGGCACACACCTGTAATCCCAGCTACTCCAGAGGCTGAGGCAGGAGAATTGCTTAAACCCGGGAGGCGGAGGTTGCAGTGAGCCGAGATCATGCCACTGCACTCCAGCCTGGGCGACAGAGCAAGACTCTGTCTCAGAAAAAAAGAAAAAATAAGAGAAAGTGGAAATGACTGTGCCTCCTTTTGTCTTGATGAACAAACTGGATTGAATACTTCTCCAAAGGGACCTATTTAACTCAGGTAATTATCAAAAATTTGTAGAATTAATTTTATAACCTTCTGAAAAGAAGGGGACACTGTCTTATCTTACTTGGTTCCATATCAAGCCTGGGTTTCTCATTGGATGGAAGAGTGATTCTGCTGTGTCTGATTGTGAGACTTCAAAAAGTTATTTTGCTTCTCTTCGCCTAGGTCCTTATCTGTAAAAAGGAGATAAGGATGCTTACCTTGAAGGGATATCCTAAAAATGACATGACTCAGTATATGTAAAGAGAACTCTGCAAGGTCTAGAATGTAGTAGATTGCTAACAAACATGTCTCTATTTCCCCCTCTGTTAGTGCTTCTCCAGTGATGTTAACTTGGATAGAAGTTTGGTTCCTTTAACTTGTAAGGAAAGAGAGTGTGTGTCAAGGCTTAAGTGACAGTCATTAACCTGGCAGAAAAATATCCGGCCAGCATAGCATATATACCACCATTTCCCTTTCTGCAAGAATGGGAGACATTACTAATCGATCATTGCTCTTTTCACTTGAGTTTGGACCCTGTCCCAGAATCTTTTCCAGGAGAGCATTTGAGAGCACCACTATCAACCCATCAAATTAGGCATACAGGATGAAAGTTATTTGCCAACCCCTAGTGTAAGCTTAAAAATAATGGA
Source organism: Homo sapiens (assembly GCF_000001405.40). Taxonomy (NCBI): domain Eukaryota; kingdom Metazoa; phylum Chordata; class Mammalia; order Primates; family Hominidae; genus Homo; species Homo sapiens. The sequence continues at coordinate 17,494,385 of NC_000016.10, read as the reverse complement.
GTTTAGTGCAAGCTCTGCTTCTCAATAAATATTTAATAAATGGCTGACTAAAGGATAAATGCAGTGAGGATATTTAATGCTGCTATCATCTGTGTCTTCATCAGACAATCTTGTTCAAAGATCAAGCCCAAATTCCTCCAAGTTCCTCCTCCCAAAAATGTGTATCTTCCTTTAGTAGTAGAAGGCTTTGGAGGATACTTGGAATGCTCCAAATTTAGGTACAAAGGAGCCTTCTCTAGAACTATCCTTGGGTTCTACATCCGTAGATTCAACCAACCACAAATCAAAAATATTCAGGAAAAATATATAACAATATAACAAAAAATAATGCAAGTGAAAAAATACAGTATAACAACTATTTACATAGCATTAATATTGTATTAAGTATCATAAGTAATCTAGAGATGATTTAAAGTATACTGGCAGATGTACCTAAGTTACATGCAGATACTATGGCATTTTATATAAGGGGTGTGAGCACCTGTAGATTTTAGTATTGGAGGGAGGGGGCTGGAACCAATCCCCCACAGACACCGAGGATGACTATATATGGATATATTGTCATCTTGGGAGATTCAAACTCCATTGGTGATAGCATTTTTATCCAGTGCTGGCTGCACAGAAACTGCTTGGAAGTATAAGTTATCCGAAGAGCTTATTCTGGTGATGAAGGAGAAATCCTTAATTGGTAGGACATAGCCGACTATTTTCTGACCAGGAGGCGCATCTCAAAACTGTATGTCAGGAGGCTTCAACAGAGCTGTAATGCCAAGCCTGATGGTGATCTCCTTACGAAATTGGTTTTAGCCATAGTAATGACTGCCCTTTTAAAGCAAAAAGACCAGCATCTGACACCAAGTCTGCAGCTGCAAGCATCCCATGCTGTTAATCACTGCAAGATTGATTCCTGGTCCAATGTTTGCTTTTTGCTATTGTAAACTTAAAAGTATTAGTTATGTTTATGCAATTATGAAAACCAAATTTATTTATTATAAGTGCAGAAAATTTGAAAGAAGAAAGGAAAATCCTCCATAGTTTCACCACTGAAAAATGGTCAGTATTAAAGCCTGGGGCATTTCTGTCATCATTTTTATGCATATTTTAATATAATTATGTTTACATATCACATATAAGGAGTTTAGCTCCTGATTTTTTTTGTTTAACTTGATGACATGGCATTTCTCCATGTTTTTGCAAACTCTTCATGAACATTTTAGTTATATAAATATTCTAATTAGTGGATATGCCATAATTTACTTAACCATTAGACAATATTGTTGAAAGTTAGATTGTTTCAGATGTTTTGCTATTGCAAAGATGCTATGATGACTATCTTTGCATATAAGATATGATGACTATTTTTGTGTGTACAGGAATGTTTCCTTGAATTAGATTCTGATCTTTCTCTGTTTCTGAAATATAAAATATATAAAGTATATGCAACTTAAGTATAGAGCTCAGCTGATTTTTACACATGTATACACCAGTGTACCACCACCCAAACCAAGGTTATATATCATTTCCAGTACCCCCAAACAGTTCTTTCTATGTTTTATTGATTGATTGATTGAGACAGGGTTTCTTTCTGTTGCCCAGGCTGGAGTACAGTGGTGCAATCATGGCTCACTACAGCCTCAACCTCCTAGGCTCTAGCAATCCTCCTGCCTCAGCCTCCTGAACAGATGGGGCAACAGATGTACTTGTTAGCTCAGCTATTTTTTTTTTTTTTTTTGGAGAGACTGGGTCTTGTTAGGTTGCCCAGGCTGGAATGACATGATTTTTAAACAAACACATAACAGCCTACAGAAAAATACATCTCTTTCTTTGGCCTAAAAAATTAGCAGTGTCTTATCTGACCCAGAACCCCATCACTGTGTTAGATTATAGCAGTATGAATGATAGCTTCCTTGAGCACCACTGTGACATCTCAGCATGCTGGGTGTCCCTCCCAAAGCAAGCTTTTCAGAGCTGTTTCCACTGCCTGTAAAAGGAACCGTTGTGGGTGGGGGGCGGTGCGATTCCAACACCACAAATGGAATGGAGTCCTCTTCCCCCGCCGCATCCTAGGTATACTGATGAGAAAGTTTAAAGATAGCACCTATTTTCCTCCCAGTATATAAATGACTTTGGCAATAGCCAGCAATTTTCTGTCTCTCTAACAATTTTGGAACTTTTACATGACAACTTACCATGGATAATACTGTGAATTTTAAAGTAAAATGTCCATATATGCAAATATATCCATATAAATAAAAGGTAATAATGAATACAAATAAATACATCTCATAAGACTCCTCTGATCCTTTCTCTACTCTAATCCTAATCACTACCACCACCACTACCACCATCAGTTTTGTTGAGGTCCTACTCTGTTCTAAGGATTATCTGTTATTGACACACATCACTTCACTTCATTCTCACAACAACCCTCTCTCCATTTTACAGATAGGGAAACTGAGGCCATGTGCCACACAAGGAGTAAGTTTTGGAACTGAGATTTGAACCCAGCGTGGTCTGCCCCCAGAGCTGGCATGTTTCATCGCCATGTGTACCTTTGCTAAGCTAGTCACATGCCCCTTTGAAGTTTTAGGTGATGGCAGTTTACTGATCTCGCATTTCAATTTTTGACAATTGACCTATTTGAAATGGTATGTACCCATTCACACACAAACACACAAAATCTGTACTTGATACTCTTGGTGGAATAGGACATCCTATGCTTTGCATAGTTAATAAATGTAACTGTAGTGGCATTAATATTTTCATGGCTTTATTGAGATATAATTTACATACCATAAAACTCACCTGCTTTAGTGTATTTATAGAGTTATGCAACCATTACCACAACCTAATTTTATTTAGGTCATTTCCATCACCCCCAAAACAAACAACGTACCCATGGCAACCATTAATCTACTTTCTGCCTCAATAGGTTTGCCTTTTCCGGACATTTCATATAAATAAAATCATACAGCATGTGGTCCTTTTGTGTCTGGCTTCTCTCCTGAGCATAATGATGTTTTAAAGACTTGCCACATAGTGGTGTGAATCAGTACTTCATTCCTTTACTTTGCTGAATGGTAGTCCAGTCTCCACTGTGCTACACTACACTATGCTATACATCTTAGCACAGGTCCACTATGCTACACATCTTTCTCATGCTTCCTCAGTTGATAGGGCTCACGTTGTTCAAAATTGTCTTCTTTCTGACGCCTCTCATAACCTCCACTACCTCCTTTCATAGTATATTCCAAAAGTGCTGCTTTTTGTTTTCTATCACCTCTGAATTCTTCATTGTTTTTTTTCAATTACATGAATAAGTTCTCTAGTGGTGATTTCTGAGATTTTGTTGCACCCATCACCTGAGCAGAGTACCCTGTACCCAATGTGTAGTCTTTTTCTTTTTCTTTTTTTTTTTTTTTTTTTTTTTTTGAGACAAAGTCTCGCTCTTGTCATGCAGGCTGGAGTGCAATGGTGTGATCTCAGCTCACTGCAACCTCTGCCTTCTGGGTTCAAGAAATTGTCCTGCCTCAGCCTCCCGAGTAGCTGGGATTACAAGCACATGCCACCATGCCCAGCTAATTTTTGTATTTTTAGTAGAGACAGGGTTTCACCATGTTGGCCAGGCTTGTCTTGAACTCCTGACCTCAGGTGATCCGCCCGTGTCAGCCTTCCAAAGTGCTGGGATTACAGGCATGAGCCAATGTGCCTGGCCCCAAAGTGTAGTCTTTTATCCCTCACTCTGCCCCCACCATTTCCCTGGAGTCCCCAAAATCCAATGTATCATTCTTATGCCTTTGCGTCCTCAGAGCTTAGCTCCCACTTAAGAGTGAGAGCATATAACGTTCGGTTTTCTATTCTTGAGTTACTTCACTTAGAATAATGGTCTCCAATTCCATCCAGATTGCTGCAAATGCCTTTATTTTGTTCCTTTTTATCACAGAGTAGTATTCCCTGGGGAGTGTGTGTGTGTGTGTGTGTGTGTGTGTGTGTGTGTGTGTGTGTGTCTATGTCTATGCCACATTTTCTTTATTCATTTGTTGATTAAACCAAATATTTTTATTTTTTAAAATAAAAAACCCCATTGTTGTTTTATTTACATTAAGATTTTACTCCATCTAGATTAACACAAATTTTTTTTAATGTTTTTAAATTTTTTTTTTTTTTTGAGACCGAGTCTCACTCTATTGCCCATGCTGGAGTGCAGTGGTGCAATCTCAGCTCACCGCAACCTCCACCTCCTGGGTTCAAGCAATTCTCTTGCCTCAGCTTCCCAAGTAGCTGGGATTACAGGCATGTACCACCATGCCCAGCTAATTTTGTCGTGTTTTTAGTAGAGACGGGGTTTCATCATGGTGTCCAGGATGGTCTGGAACTCCTGACCTCAGGCGATCCACCCACCTCAGCCTCCCAAAGTGCTGGGATTACAGACGTGAGCCACCATGCCCAGCCTGGATTTGTTTTTTTAATATATGGTATATTATAGGAGTCCGACATTATTTTCTTCCAGTGGAAAATCAGTTGGGCTAGCAACATACTTCAAATAAACCATATTTCCCTACCAGATTCAAATATTGTCTTTGAGTTCTGTTATATTGATCTATTTATTTCTAAACTAGCAGCATATTTATTTGTTTATAGTTGACTTTATGGTATATTCTGATATATGTTAAGGCAAGTATATGTCTGCCTTGTATACATATATGAGTGTATGTTTGTATTTATTTCCATTTGGTCATTCAAGTGTATTCCTTCCTCCATTCGTTTAATCCAATCTCCCTTTTCCCCTCCACCCACCATTAAAAGCAAGCTGTTGATATTTTATTGATATTGGAACTTGAAGTTAATTTTATTGATTTTTGTAAGATTTATATTTTATATCAACTTGCCCATGCAAGACTTAGCATTTATTTTCGTTTGTGTGGATCGTGTTTTATGAAATTCAATGAGATTTTTGGGCATTACTTTACAAATAGTTTTCCTATAATTCCCAAGTCTTTTTTCTTAAGTGGTCCCAAGTTATTTTATAGTTCATGCTATTGTAACTAGAATATTTTTCCATCTAATTTCCTGCCATATCTATTTCAAGGTTCTTACTGCTGGTATAGAGAAAGGTTATTAATATTTGTATAATTCTACTGTTTCCAGTTCCTTTACAAATTCTTATTGATTGTAGTAGGGTTTTTGTTTGTTCGTTTGTTTTTTACTAGAGTCTATTAGGTTTCTTTAGTATATGTCATGATAAATTTTAGGTTACCCTTGAATGGATTAAGGAAGGCCTAGAGAACTGATAAAGCATTGCTTTTGGAATGTCTATGAAGGTGCTTCCAGAGGAGGCTGGCATGTGAGTCAGTAGATTCATTGGGGAGGATCTACCCTCCAAGTGTGCAGGCACCATCCAATCAGTGGGGAGCACAGGTGGAACAAAATATGAGAAAGGAAAGAATTTCCTCTCCTTTTATTGGAGAAACGGACAGTCTCTCCTGGAGAAGGTAACACTCTCCTCCTCTCCTTCTGATATGGTTTGGCTGTGTCCCCAACCAAATCTCACCTAGAATTGTAATAATCCAGATGTGTCAAGGGTGGGGCCAGGTGGAGATAATTGAATCATGGGGGTGGTGTCCCCCATACTGTTCTCATGGTAGTGAATAAGTCCATGAAATATGATGCTTTTATAAATTGGAGTTCCCCTGCACAAGCTCTTTCTTGCCTGCTGCTGTGTAAGACGTGATTTGCCCTTCCTTGCCTTCACCATGATAGTGAGGCCTCCCCGGCCATGTGGAACTGTGAATCCATTAAACCCCTTTCCTTTCTTTCCTTTATAAATTACTCAGTCTCAGGTATGTCATTATTAGCAGCATGAGAACAGACTAATATACCTCCTCTCCTCTCTCTCTCTCATGGAGGTGGGCCACTTTCCTCCTGCCCTTCAACATCAGAACTCCAGGGTGTCTGGCCTTGGGACTTCATGACTTACTCAATGCCCCTTTCATTTCAGGCCTTTGACCTTGGACTGAGTTACACCACTGGCTTTTCTGACACTGAGGCTTTGGACTTGAATGGAGCCAGGCTACTGGCATCCTAGGCTTTCCGGCCTACAGACAGCCTGTCCTGAGACTTAGCCTCCATTATCATCGGAGCTAATGCCGCTAATAAAGCCCCATCTCATATATCTGTATCCATATCTATCTATATTTATATCCTATTGGTTTGGTATCTATGTAGAACTCTAATATAGTATACAAGCAAACCAACAGCAAAAAGAGAGTTTTAGTTTTTCTTTTGCAATACTTACAGATTATTTTGTTTTCTTATCTTAATGCATTTACAAGAACTTTTAAATGCATTAAGATTTAATTTTTGCCATTTTGAGTAATTTTTTGTTCGTTAGCCTGCATTATACTTAATTTCCTTCTATTAATGGTTTACTTGGTGATTTCTTAAGAATGACTCCCAAGTGTAATCAAATGGTTTCTCAGCTTCATCTTTAACAGAGTAATGGAACTGGTGGATTATGTTGATACCTTACCTGATTCAACCCAGACTTAAATTCCTGGAATAAACTGCTTGGTCATAACACATTATTCCTTTGATGCTGGTAGTTTATTCAAAAGATTCATTTTTTTTCATAAGTAAAGTTAACTTATAGTTTTCTTTCCTGGTGCTATCTTTACCAGAACTGAGGGGTTTTTTTGTTTTGTTTTTTGTTTTTGTTTTTTAATTGAAAAGCTCTGCATTCCTTTCTATGGCAGGGGCTAGCAACCTTGTGATAAAGGAAAAACTTCAGGCAAATTAAATTTAAAGGAGTTTAATTGATCCATGAACGACTGGTGAATTGGGCAGCCTTCCCAGCCAGGGTAGGCTCAGAGACTCCAGCACAGCCAGGGGATGGAAGAAGGTTTGTGGACAGAAAAAGACAAGTGATGTACAGAAGATGGAAGTGAGGTACAGAAACAGCTGGATTGGTTACAGCTCGTGTTTGCCTTATTTGAACATGGTTCAAACAGTTGGCTACATTTGATTGGCCAAAACTCAGTGATTGTCACAAGCGGAGGCTATGGTCTGTTTACACCTCCACTTGCTATAGTTCAGCAGATACAGAAAAACCTTTAGGCCAAACTTGAATACATAAGAAGACAGCTTTAGGCTACACTTGATTTAACATTTGGCTTGCACATTTGTATCACCTGGAGAACTGTTTCAAGATGCTGATAGCTGGCACAGCCCACACCAGTTGAATAGATATTTCTTGGGGTGGGATTTGGACATCATTAGTTTTAAAAATCTCACTGGGTGACTCCACCATGCAGTCAAGTCTGAGAACAACTGTGTACAACTTGGAATAAGTAACATTGGAGCAATCCTTTTTATTACACATAAGGTTATATACAACTCAGCTTTGAACCTCTCTGATCTGGTAAATTTTCCATCTCTTTCTGGTCATCGGTTTCTCCAAGTTTTCTGCCTTGTCTTGGGCCATTTTTAATGTTTATTTTTTTCCCAAGAAATTAGCCACTTAATCCAGGTTATCAAATGTATTGGCATAGAATTGCACGTGATATTCTCTTCAATTTTCCTTTACTTCTGTGATTTTGGCTAAGTTTTCTTTTTTACATAGCTATACTTTTATTTTTATTTATTTATTTTTTTTCTAAATCAGACTTGCCAGGGGTTTAATCTGGTGTTTCAAAAAATGAGTTTTTGAGTTGATTTTTTACTTTCTGCTGTTGTTTGTGCTTTCCATTTCATTACATTCAGTTTCTGTCATTATTATTTTTTATGGAGAATTTCTTTTATTTTCTTATTGTAACCTCTGGGCTCATACATTTCTTCATTGTCTTATTAGTCATTCTTTATAATGAAGGTTTTGCAGTCTATTAATTTTCCTCTGACTATAGCTTTTGTTGTATTCTGTTGATTTTGTGATATTCTCTTATTTATTGCTCTTCTAAAAAAGATTAAATTCCATTATCTAGGGTGGTGTTTCTCACTTTTTAAGTTATTAAAACAAATAAAATAAAATATTTATAATATTGGATTATGATTAGGGAGAATCTGGCTTGAGAAAAATCTTTTTTATTTTATTTGTTGAGGTTTACTTTATGTTTAGGTATATGACAGATTCCGTGGATATTAGAAGATAATATTTACTTTCTGTTAAGGTAAGTGTTTCTCTATGTATCTATTAAATTGAGTTTGTAGGTTGCAGTGTGCAATTTCTCTATGTCCTTACTGATTTTTCTTTCTATTTATCTACCTGCTATGGAAAAGAAGCATATTGATTTCTTCAAATATATATGTATTTCTTTTATCAAGTTCTCATTGTTTTTCTAACAGTTTTCAGATCTTGTATTTGATGTTACTATGTGCTGAGTGCTACTTCGAGTGCTTTTTAACATTAATTCATATATTTAAGCCCCCTGACAATCGCAGGAGGAGAGTACCGTGTTCCCCCAGTTTTGCAGATGAAAAAGAAAGGAGAAAATGAAACAATCTCTCCAACACACCAGAGTTAGTAAGAAGTACATGGGAGATTCAAACCCAAGTGGTTTGGGTCCAGGGTCTTGTTCCCCCACTGTTGCCCTGCCTCCGACATCAACAGCACAGTTGGTGTCTCCCCTTCTTGCCAGTGGCTTTTTCATTACATGGTTAACATAGGTTCTCATTTCTTCTTCTTCCTCTTTTTTGCTTTTTTTGTTTTGTTTTGTTTTTTGTTTTTTGTTTTAGAGACCCTCTGTTGCCCAGGCTGGAGTTCAGTGGCATGATCATGTCTCACTGCAGCCTCGACCTCCCAGGCTCAAGCAGTCCTCCCACTTTAGCCTCCTGGAGTAGCAGGATTGCAGGTGCACAGCCACCACACCCAGCTAGAATGAGTTCACGTTCTTTGCAGGGACATGAATGAAGTTGGAAACCATCATCCTCAGCAAACTAATGTAGGAACAGAAAACCAAGCACCACATGTTATCACTCATAAGTGGGAGTTGAACAACGAGAACACATGGACACAGGGAGGGGAACATCACACACCCGGGCTTATCGGGGGGTGGAGGGAAAGGGGAGGCAGAGCATTAGGACAAATACATAATGCATGCGGGGCTTGAAACCTAGATGCTGCGTTGATAGGTACATCAAACCACCATGGCACATGTATACCTATGTAACAAACCTGCATGTTCAGCACATGTATCCCAGGACTTAAAGTTTTTAAAAAAATAAAAAAATAAAAATTTTTTGTAGAGACAGGGTCTTTCTATGTTGCCCAGGCTGGTCTTGAACCCCTGGGCTCAAGCCATACTTCCACCTCAGCCTCCTGTTGTGCTGGGATTACAGGCGTGAGCCACCACACCGGATCCTTCTCTGTCTTCTTATGTGACCCCTTTCCTGTAACTCCAGTCATTGCGCCCCAGGTGAGGCAGGATAATCAATGCTGTTTTCTGCAATGTCTTTGGACTCTGACTTCAACTTCAATTCATCAACAAACATTAATCAAGCTCTTACCATGTGCCAAGCACTAAGCAGTAAGCAAAGCAGACAAAACCTTGCCCTCATGGGCTTTATAATCTAATGGGGTCAGACAGACAGACAACAATAAATAGAATAAGTGAACAAGGTGGTCAGTGCTCGGAGACCAATAAAACAAAGTCAAGGCAATTGGGGGTGCTGGCTGAGGCACTGTGATTCCACTGCGATAGTTGGGAAAGGCTTAAATGAGAATGTTACTGGCGATGAATTCATACGGGTCTGCAGCAACCTCAATTCTTGCCTCCACGGAAGAAAGGATTCAACTGAGGGGCATAAGGCAGAAGGAGAGACTGAGGCAAGTTTCAGAGCAGCAGTGAAAGTTTATTAAAAAGTGTTAGAGGCCGGGTACGGTGGCTCATGCCTGTAATCATAGCACTTTGGGAGGCTGAGGCGGGCAAATCATGAGGTCAGGAGTTTGAGACCAGCCTGGCCAACATGGTGAAACGCCATCTCTACTAAAAATACAAAATATTAGCTGGGCGTAGTGGCGGGTGCCTGTAATTTTAGCTACTCGGGAGGCTGAGACAGGAGAATCGCTTGAACCTGGGAGGCAGAGGTTGCAGTGAGCTGAGATCATGCCACTGCACTCCAACCTGGTGACAGAGAGACTCAGTCTCCAAAAAAAAAAAAAAAAAAAAGGTGTTAGAGCAGGAATGGCTGGGCGTGGTGTCTCACGCCTGTAATCCCCGCACTTTGGGAGGCCAAAGCAGGTGGATCACCTGAGGTCAGGAGTTTGAGACCAGCCTGGCCAACATGGTGAAACCCCGTCTCTACTAAAAATACAAAATTAGCTGAGTGTGGTGGTGCATGCCTGTAATTCTAGCTACTTGGGAGGCTGAAGCAGGAGAATCACTTAGAACCCAGGAAGGGAAGGTTGCAGTGAGCCAAGATCAAGCCACTGCACTCCAGCCTGGGCGACAACAGAGCGAGACTCCAACTCAAAAAAAAAAAAAAAAAAGCGTTAGAGCAGGAATGAAACAAAAAATGGTATACTTGGAAGAGGACCAAGCAGGCGACTTGAGAGATAAAGTGCGCTGTTTGACCTTTGACTTGGGGTCATACACTGGCATGCTTCTGGGGTCTTGCGTCCCTTCTCCCCTGATTCTTCCCTTGGGGCAGGATGTTACCTGGAGCAGTGGCCTGGAGAGAAGCATGCTGAGTGTGCTTCCTGGAGTTGTACGCATGCTCAGTTAAAGCGTTCTTCCCTTACCAGTCAGATGTCCCCAGGAGGTCATATACCAGTTAAACTCTGCCATTTTGCCTCTTAGTGTGCATGCTTGAACCTACTTGCCCAACTCTTGAGATCTTATCGGGAAGCTGCTGATCACCAGTTTCAGGTATTTCTGTTCATTGGGAAACTGCCTTTCCCTGGTGCTGACTGCAACCAATTATTATTTTAGAGAGACAGTTAACAGCTGCCTGACCATGGTTGCCTGACATTCCTAGTGGTGGGGGAGGAGCCCTCTCCTGCCCTGTTCATGTCTGACTAGCTAACTACTGTAACTAGAAGATGACACCTTCTTCAGAAGCTTGAAAAAGGCAGGGAGACAAGGTAAGGGAGGGAGACAGGCAGATATCTGGGTGCACAGCATTCCAGACATAATGAAAAACCAGGGCAATGCCGCCAGGTGAGCACCTGCCTGGCGTATTTAAGAAACTGAAAGGAAACCAGGGTGATGGAAGGGTGTGAGGAAAGGGCAGGAAAATAGCTTGTGCAGGTGAGAGAGATGCTGGGGGCTGGATGGTGGGGGCCATGCAGGCTCTTATAGGAACACTGGCTTTATTTCTAAGAGAAATGAGGATCCCCTTGATGTTGCTGTTAACTAATGAATGACAACACTGCAGCTAAGTTTAATCAGGTTTTCTCTGGCTGCTGTGGAGAGAACAGAGCAAGGTTGGAGGCAGGGCTGTGAATTAGGAGGTGACTGCGGAATCAAGGGAGAGACAATGTGGCTTGGACCTAAGTGATGGCCATGGGGACAGTGAGATGTAATCTGATTTGGGAAATATTTTGAACATGAAGCCAACAGGATTTGCTGATGAATTGGGTGCGTATTACGAGCAAAAGACAGGAGCTGTGATGACTGAAAGCTCTTGATATGGAAAAGCTTTTGGTGGCATGAGCTGGGAAGGAAGTTCAAGAATTCCATTTTGGATATGATAAGTTTAATACTGTTAGGAAATAATTCTCCATGGGCTGTTTATATTTCTGCACATTGTGGCTTTCTATTCTGGATGACTTTTTTTTTTTTTTTTTTTTTTGGAGACAGGGTCTGACTCTGTCACCTTGGCTGGAATGCAGTGGTGCAATCTTGGCTCACTGTAACCTCCGCCTTCCGGGCTCAAGCCATCCTCTCACCTCAGCCTCCTGAGTATTTAGGACTACGGGCACAGCCACCACTTCCAGTTAATTTTTTTTTTTTTTTTTTTTTGAGATGGAGTCTCTCTCTGTTGCCCAGGCTGGAGTGCAGTGGGGCAATCTCGGCTCACTACAACCTCCAACTCCTGGGTTCAGGTGATTCTCCTGCCTCAGCTTCCCAGGTAGCTGGGATTACAGGCATCCGCCACCAAGCCTGACTACTTTTTTTGTATTTTTTTCTAGAGACGGGGTTTTGCCATGTTGACCAGGCTGGTCTTGAACTCTTGGCCTCAGGTGATCCATCCACCTCGGCCTCCCAAAGTGCTGGGATTACAGGTGTGAGCCACCATGTCTGGCCACAGCTAATTTTTGTATTTATTGTAGAGATGGGGTTTCTCCATGTTGCTTAGGCTGATGTTGAACTCCTGGGCTCAAGTGATCGGCCTGCCTTGGCCTCCTAAAGTGCTGGCATTACAGGCATGAGCCACCATGCCTGGCCTCCGGATGACCTTTTCAAGACATCAAAAGGCATATAAACTTCATATTTGTATTGTGAACAGCCTTAGTAGGCAGAGATAGTGTCTCCCTTCTGGGCAGAGGGCAGATTTGTTTGCTATTCAGGCTAATAAAGATAATGTCTCCCTCTGGGGCAAAGGTTGAGCAGATTTGCTTGCAGCTCATTATAAAATACAGAGTTTTTCAAAACTCCAGGTTTCTCAGTCATGTGTAGAGCATCTGCCTTGACCCCCTCTGTACCACCCCAGAGACTTGGTGGGGGATGCAGGGAGGGAACTGATGCAAACATGAAGCTCATGCTGCCTGCTATGAGGTGGGTAATAGGATCTTTTGTCTCTGATCCAGGAGTCTCATGTCTTCTGCTGGAATTCATGAAGCTATGGCAGAATACCTTGTTAGTTTGCAAGTAGGGTCAAATCCCCAGCCCCTTTTTCAGTTCTTGACAGAGATGTCTATTAGACATCCAAGTGGCGATGCTGGGTGAGCAACTGAGTGCATGAACTTGGAGTTTGGGGAGGAGTACAGGCTGGAAATATAAACATGTGAATTAGAGGATTTCTTTATAGCCATGCATCTGGATGGTGGAGAAGAAAAGCTATGGAATTAAAGCCTGGGAAAAGCCAGCACAGAAAATTGGGGTAAGGAAGGGGAGAGGACAGCTGGAAGAGAAGGGATTAACCAAAGAGGCTGAGAAGGAACAGCTGTGAGATAGGAGCGAACCCAGAGAGCAGCATCCTGGAAGCCAAAGAAATAAATAAGGAGGAAGGAAGGGACAACTGTGACCTTTGTTGCATTAGGCTAAGTAACTATTGAATCTGGTAATGAGGTCACTGATGAGCTTAAGAGTAGCGTGTGTGTGTGTGTGTGTGTGTGTGTGTGTGTGTGTGTGTGTGTTAGAAGGGCTTAGGAGAAGATGGAAAGGGAAGAATTGGAGATACGGTGAGCTAGACAATGCTTTTGAGGAGTTTTCCTGCAAAAGAAAGAGAAACACGAGATCGAAGCTATAGAGGGCTGTGGGGCCAGGAGAGAACATTTTTTATTTTATGGTTTTTGAGATGGAGTTTCGCTTTTGTTGCCCAGGCTGGAGTGCAATGGTGCAATCTCAGCTCAGCCGAATCTCAGCTCACCGCAACCTCCGCCTCCTAGGTTCAAGCAGTTCTCCTGCCTCAGCCTCCCAAGTAGCTGGGATTACAGGCATGTGCCACCATGCCCAGCTAATTTTGTATTTTTAGTAGAGACAGGGTTTCACCACGTTGATCAGGCTGGTGTCAAATTCCTGACCTCAGGTGATCCGCCCGCCTCAGCCTCCCAAAGTGCGTGATTACAGGCATGAGCCACCACGCCTGGTCAGAACTTTTGTTTTTAACCAGAGAAATACCAGGGAATTCAAATGCTAGAGGAAATGCTGCTCTCGGGAGGAAGAACTGATGATAAAGGAAGGAGAAAATGGAAGTGTTGGAGTGATGTCCGCAGATAGGTAAGACAAGGTGGGGTCTCTTTGGCAGATGGAGGAGTGGGTCTCGACCTGGAGCCTAGAAAGTTCATTCACAAAAACAGTCCGCGACACCGATGTAGAAAAGTGGGGAAATTAAATGGCAGGAGCTTGGTGGGAAGCTTCCTTCCCCCTCCCTTGTCAACCTGGGAAGCAAGGTCCTCAGGCAAGTGGGGAAGGAGGAAAGTCAGAGGCAGGAGGGGAGAGAGAGCTGGTGGCTTCATGCCTGGGAGAGTGACAAGACCAGCAAAATGCAGCGAATGAGACAGCATTGAGGACCCGCTTGCGGCTCATGGCCTTAGAGGGAGAACCTGTCCCTTTATGGAGGCTGTACAGTGTGGCACTCAGGAGCTGTGGCAGTTATGCTTCTTACCATGTGGACAGCATTGTTCTGCCAGGAGGGAGAATTAATCAAGCAGGCAGAAGGAAGCAGAGCAAGAGATAAAGCGGGTGACTTCTGTGTTTGGGTCCCTGGTTCCAGCTCTTCCCAAATCCCACCTCTATCCCTGAGCTTCTTTCAGTTAGACTGTTTCATTCTATCAGACACGTCATCGTACCAGCTATAGAGACAGAAACCCAGCCTGAGTGGCTCCAACTAATATGGGGCTCATTCTTGGGTGTGAAGAAAAGTCTAAGGATGGGCCGGAGACAGCAGAGCACCAGGAACCCAAGCTGTTTCTTTCTTTCTGGCTCACCACCTGTAGTACTGGCCTCTGTCCTCATGGTCACAAGATGGCTGCTGGAGCTCCAGCTATCCTTTCTACATTCCAGTCCAAAAGAATGGGAATGATGGCTGGGCACCATGGTTCATGCCTGTAATCCTAACAGTTTGGGAAGTTGAGGTGGGCAGATTGCTTGAGCTCAGAAGTTAGAGATCAGACTGAGCAACAGGGCGAGACCCCCATCTCTACTAAAAATACAAAAACTAGATGTGGTATCAGGTGCCTGTGTCCCAGCTACTTGGGGGGCTGAGGCAGGAGAATTGCTTGGGCTTGGGAGGTCGAGGCTGCAGTGAGCCGAGATTGCACCACTGCACTCCAGCTGGGGTGACAGAGTGAGACCCTGTCTGAAGTTAAGAATAGAAAAAAAACAATGGGAATGGCAAGGCACAAAGGGAACTCAATCCCAACTTATTTAGGATCTTCCCTCCCACCCCAAAGGATTTCTTGGGAGCTCTACCAATTGTATCTGCTGTCTTCTTTCCGATCACTCCTAACTTACAGGAAGGCTAAGAACCGTTGCTTTTGGTTTGGGCTCATTGTCACCCCAACTAAAATCAGAATTCTTGACCAAACAGGAAAGGAAGAATGGGTATTTGAGAAGCAGCTAACAGACTCTGGCATATCAAACAGGCTTCCAGTGAACTTCTGTTTTCCTTGTGGAATAGAGTTCTTAGAGGGCAGGTGCAAGGAGAGCCTTGTAAGGGAAGCACAGAGGCTGTGAGTCCTCAGAAGGTCAAAGTGCTGGGACAAAACAAAGTCAGATCATCTCTTAAGCAATGTGGTGCTTTCTGATTTTCTTCCCTCCTCCCCATCTCCCACTCCCGCCCCCAACACCGTACACTTAGCCCTTGTGGAATAGAATTCTTAGGGGTTCAGGTAAAAGAGATTTGAGAGACACAGAGAGAAATAGCAATAGGTGCAGGATGGGTTGACATTGGGGTGCAGAGAAGAAGCTACAAACAAGATGGGAGAGGTGATTTGGGGACTACGGGGCTCAGCCTGCCGACTTAAAGATACAGGGGCTAAATAGAAACATCTGTGGCATACAGAACCTTTGAGAGGGGTGAGGAGGGTAAAGTTAAGAAATTAAAAAAGTATTTGGACCAAAAATATTTGAGATCTAATACATTAGTTGCTCTCAATTCTTCTTTGGTGAGATGGATATTTTTAACTCTTTTCTTTTTTGGTGAACTTTTTCCTAACCCATTCCATAGCTCCCATCATGACCATGCAAATAGTTATTACTAATCACTTTAAGAAAATCCAAAATGCCCAAAGAATGACAATGAATTTAGCATCATTTATATATCACACATTTGAAAAATGGATCTACAGTTATTTGTTCAGTCAGTAGATGATGCTTGATGCATAAATGGAGTAAGAGTTGTTAAACAGTCACATTTCTTGAGAAGGTTATCAACACTCCAGTGTCATTGTCTGGGTAAGGTCTGCCCTGACCAGCCTGTTTCCCCTTGTCCTATTTTAGTCACTCTAGCAAGTCAGCTTCCTTTTCTTTTTCTTTCTTTCTTTTTTTTTTTTTTTTTTTTTTTTTGAGACAGGGTCTTTATCTGACACCCAGGCTGGAGTGCAGTGGTGCAATCTAGCTCACTGTAGTCTTGAACTTCTGGGCACAAAGAATCAAGTAGCTAGGACTACAGGTGAGCACTACCAACCCTAATTTTTAAATTATTTTTCTTTGTAGAAAAGAGGTCTGGCTATGTTGCCCAAGCTGGTCTCAAAGTCCTGGACTCAAGCAATCCTCCCGCCTCGCCTCAGCCTCCCAAAGTGCTGGGATTATAGGCGTGAGCCACCATGCTCAGCCTCTTTTTATTTTTTTCATAGCACTTATCACTCTCTGATATTACTTGTTTATATATTTGTTTGTCTTGACCTGTCTGCCTCCTTAGAATGCAAGCTTGATGACAGGAGGGACTTTCTGTGTCTTATCCGTGGATGAATTCCCATGAATCCCTGGCATGAACACTGTCCTAAGTATTGAATCAATTCTCAACAAATATTTGGTGAATATGATTTGTTGAAGTCCTCAATATACGGCTTGGCACCTAGTAAGTGCTCAATAAATGTTCGCTCTTATTGCCGTCATCGTCATCATTGTCATCCTTGTCATTGCCACAGTCATAAATAAGCCTATGGCCCCAGGGGTTAGATTAGGCACCCATAACACATATAATCAACTTTTTTTTTTTTTTTTTTTTTAAGATGGAGTCTTGCTTTGTCGCCCAGGCTGGAGTGCAGTGGCACAATCTTGGCTCATTGTGACCACCACCTTCCAAGTATCTGGGACTACAGGCATGCACCATCATCCCCGGCTAATTTTTGTCATTTTAGTAGAGATGGGGTTTCGTCATGTTGGCCAGGCTGGTCTCAAACTCCTGGCCTCAAGCGATCCACCTGCCTCGGCCTCCCAAACTGCTGAAATTACAAGGCATGAGCCACCACGCCCAGCCCACAATCAACATTTAAAGAAAAAAAATGTCTGCCAGTGTAGTCTGAGACTTGGACTGCGTCCCCTTTTCAAACATCAGAGCCTTGCAAGGGTAGCATAGAGGCTGTGAGTCCTTAGAAGGTCAAAGTGCTGAGACAAAACAAATTCAGATCATCTCTTAAGCAATGTGGTGCTTTCTGATTTTCTTCTCTCTTTCCCATCTCCCACTCCTGCCCCAACACCCTACTCTTGCAAATTGGTGTGATTTTCTTCTGCACACATGGTAGGTGCCCTCTCCACATAGGACCTCGCTTTCCTTTGCTGTCTCCAGATTTTTTTTACAGGAAACTCTGCAGTCAGAGGAATGTTATTTACTACCTAGAGCTCCCTCTGCTGATGCATTGGGTAGATGATTAGCCTGGAAGCCTGCGGATTTCAGCAGAAGCACAGCTGGGCTCCTGGCGGGGTTTGTCACCTGCCTATGCCTGTGGTCTGATCAGAGGCTGTTTCTTTCTCTTGCACTGGGGAAAGAGGTACAGGTGATGCCTGTCTGTCTGTGACCTCGCATGCTGTGGGTGGGGCTCCAGGGACGTTCAAGGTCCTGGCTCCTCTGACCTCCACGTGGAATCCTTGCACTTGCAAATGCTTATTGGAGAGACTCTGGGATTCCTAGTGGGCTGGGAGGGTGTTCAGCGTACCACTCACTGACACTCAGAAACAGGTGACCCACCTGTTCATGATTTCTGTCTCAACGCAGAAGTGAAACGTAGGGGGAATTTTTTAATTTTTCAAGAGCAAAATTTGTAGAGTCTGGGTGAAAACAGGCTCTAATAAACCAAAAAGAAATAAATGCATGATCGAAATTTTAAAAAAGAATGTATTTGGCTAAATTTAACTCTTAGGCTGAAGTTTATTTAAATGCAGAAGGCATATCCAGCCCTAGCTCTCTGGCACCTGGGGCAGGAGCATTGAGGCAAGGGGAGAACATTGCTTTACAGACCACCCTGCCAATGCAACCAGGCTAATATTCCTTCAACACTGCTATTGGCCGGTGCTATCATTTTGTATAAACTGTATGACACTCTGCTATATACACTGCCCCATTTCCCTGCCTCCAACCCCCCAGCCTTAAAACATACGTATTATTTTTCTTCACTACTTACAGTTGAGAGTATCGAGGTTTGGTGACATTAACTAACCTGCTTAACATCACACAACTAACAAGTTGCCGAGATGGTGTTTGAACTTGGGTTCCTTGAACTTCTAAGCATGGGGTTCCAACCTGCCAGCATCCCAGGCTCATTCCTACCTGCCCCATAGATCAGTGTTCATTCCACCCCCAAAATGTATTCAGTGCCCTGCACTGTGCAAAGCACCAGAAAAAGTAGAGATGAATGAGACTTGGTCCTAACCCTTGGGGGTATGTGCAATCTTCTATCAAAGTCGAGGATGAGGTTTTAGTGCTACTTTCTCCAGGCAGCCCTGGATACCTTTGGACACTCATAATTGGCAGTGCCCTACTGTTACTAATAAAAACTAATAACAAAATAAATAAAAATTAATAAATAAAATAAAAATTAATAATAAAAAATTAGTGGGTGTGGTGACGTGCACCTGTAGTCCCAGCTACTTGAGAGGCTGAGGCCAAACAATTGCTTGAGCCTGGGAGTTTGAGGCTGCAGTGAGCCATGATTGTGCCCCTGCACTCCAGTCTGATCAACAGAGTGAGAACCTGTCTCAAATAAATGAAGAAAAATAAATAAGACACATATCATCTAACATTTACGGAGCACTTACTATGTGTCAGTCACTATAGGAAAAAGCCTTTCTTATGGATTATCTCATTGAATCCTTATAAGAAACTTATGAGAATGGCCCTTTTATCAGCCTCATTTTACAGATGAGAAAACTGAGGCCTCGAGGTAAACAACTGATACTTAGAAATCCGAGTCAAAAAGTAGCAGAGCTGAGTAAACCTGGGAAATCTGACTCTTAACCATTTTGCACACTGACTCCGCTGTGGCTGCCCCCTCCTCTGACCCCATCCCGCGCCTGTCTTGTCCCATGACCTCTTCTGACAGCTCCTTGAGAGAGAAGAACCCTTTCCCCCTGGCCTTCCACTTTCTCTCACAGCCCCGAGCTCAGTGCTGGGCACACCTAGGAGCTGAAAACTACTGATTAACTGATTTACTCCCCCCTTCACTGGAAAATGGCGATGAAACAAGATTTGGGGTGGAGGTGGGGAGGGAATCCCACAGATCAGTCTGGGGCTTCTTCAGAGCTCTGGCTCTTGGTCAAGTGAGATTAGGAACGATATTTTAAGAGCAGAGTTCCTTAGGAAATCTTCTACACGCCTATAGTTTGCTTTCCCAGCATGACGTCCGGCACATAATAGGGTCCAATACATCTTTGTTGAATGACTGAATGAGCTTTAAAAATTCTAAGGACTCTCACTGCTGTTGCTAGGGCTGCCGCTGGAGTCTCAGGCGGTGCTTTCGGCTCTGTCTTATACATCAAGCTCTGCCTGTCTCGCTTTTACACCACAGTGGAAGCCAAAGCCGGGGCCCCTTCGAATGCAAAGTGGCTGCTTTTGCTTGGTTTGGCTTAGAAGACATGATGCCCGGCCCCTGCTCCCAGGGGTTCTGGCACTGCCCAAACCAACTGCGCCCCCTGGTACTGAGATACATGTGCACTGCAGATTCGTCAAAATTCACGCCCTTCTCCCACTCCAAGCCACCCGCTGTTCTGATCTCATCTTTGTCTCACCTCCTTACCCAAAGATTCTTGAGGTGCAGGAAGACAGCTCCAGTGACCCCAGAAGCTTGCCTTCCTATTCTTCGATCTCGGGTGATTTTTCATCCTAAAACCATCACATAAGCTGTTTATGGCGTCCATAACCCGCCTGGAGCCTTTAAACCTCTTTCTTGCATGGCTTTTTATAAGTCTGAGATAAACAAACAACTCTCTCTCCAGGGACTTGGAGCCCAGATCCTTAACCTCACTCCTTAAGCCCCTGGCCCCTGAGGGAGTGGAGCCAGAGGGTGGGCCCCAAAGGACTGTGGTTAAATGTGAGATGTGGAGGAAGCAGATAACATCATTGCTGCTAACGGGAAAAATGCGGCCAGAGACCTTGAAGCAAAGATGAGCCAGAGGGCAGGGTTGCCAAGAGGCTCCAGAGCAGCCTCTGCTGGGTTGAGAAGCTCTGCTGAGACACTAAGAGAGCGTTCTGGCAACATGTGAAATCTTGGGGGCTGTCTCCTCCAACCCCTCATTTGGCACTAAAGAAATCTAAGTCCTGGGAGGGGAGGTGGCTTGGCCAAGGTCATATAACCTCGGGAGGCTGCGTGGAATAAATGATGGAATCTGTTCCCTGCACCTACTTCTTTCCCATCAGACCCTGATCTCTATAGGGCATCCAAGTTGTTACAGGGAGGCTGGCTTCACCCCAATGGCGGAGGTGAAATATGGGATCTTGGCCAAGTTGATCGGCATTTTCTAACTTCCTGGCCACACTGATTGGTCTCGGAGTGACCCAGAACTTAAGACTGGTCTAATCAGAAAAAAAATCTCCGAACCTTTGAGGAAAATCCTGGGAAATACTGACCCTCCTTTCCCTGGGCTAGAAATGAACACAGGATACAAAGTAGTCGCAGCAGCTGAGGCCAGGCATCGTGTGACATCAAGAGGGAATAAGGTAGACTCCATGGAAAGCAGAGAGGAGAGATGGAAAGAAAAGGAATCCCAGGTGATAATTGTGAGTTGCTAGATCAAACCTCACCTGAAGCCTTTCCTCTGCAATGTTCAGCTACATGATCCAGTAAAGTATATTTTTAAGACAGACCGGGCTGGGCACAGTGGCTGATGCCTGTAATCCCAGCACTTTGGGAGGCTGAGGCAGGCAGATCACCTGAGGTCAGGAGTTTGAGATCAGCCTGGCCAACATGGTGAAACCTCGTCTGTACTAAAAAAAAAATTAGCTGGGCGTGGTGGCACATGCCTGTAATCCCAGCTACTCGGGAGGCTGAGGCATGAGAATTACTTGAACCCAAGAGGCAGAGGTTGGAGTGAGCTGAGATCACACCACTGCACTCCAGGCTGGGTGATGGAGTGAGACTGTGTCAAAAAAAAAAAAAAAAAAAAGACTTAAAAGATAGACTTAAGTCTTATTACTGTTAGTAATAGATGTTATTGCTTGTAAACAAAATATCCCCAACTGATAAACAGATGACTGGTGGCCCTAGAAACTTGCCTCTGGTCTTTTACTCCTGGTTAGGGGTGCTGGGCCCAAAGGGAAGGCCTCTATGCCAGGCTACATGCCTGGCTAAGCTTTAGATACAACTAAGGTTGATTGGTTTGGAGTTTACAACCCCCACTAGCATACATTTTATACTTTTCTTGTTCAGGCAAGTGGACTGGCTAATTACATGGGTTCAGAAAGCATTTTTTCTTGGCGCTTACTCCCGTCCTGCCCTCATGAACCCTTAGCATTTTTGCACATCTCTACAGCAATGCTTATCTCACCATATATATATATATAATATTATATATATTTACATATAAATATATATATTATATATATGTTATATATTATATATTATATATATTATATGTACATATATATAAATATATTATATATAATATATTTATTATATACATTATATATAATATATATATATACAATATATATATATTTATATATACGTTTTTTAGATGGAGTCTTGCTCTGTAACCCAGGCTGGAGTGCAGTGGTGTGATCTCGGCTCACTGCAGCCTCTGCCTCCTGGGTTCAAGAGATTCTCCTGCCTCAGCCTCCTGAGTAGCTGGGATCAGGGGTGTGTGCCACCATGCCCGGCTAATTTTTGTATTTTTAGTAGAGACGGGGTTTCACCATGTTGGCAAGGCTGATCTCGAACTTCTGACCTCAGGTGATCCTCCTGTCTTGGCCTCCCAAAGTGCTGCGATTACAGGCATGAGCCACCGCGCCCAGGCCTATCTCACTATATTTTAATGATTAACATCCACATCAGGCTTCTCTAGACCTCAGGCTTGCTGAAGATGAGATTAAACCTCATTCACCTTTGGATGCGTGCACCTGGCCCAGTGTCTGACACAAGCTTTGTATTCACGGATGCTTGTGGAGTGGATGAAACAATCTCTTCCCACTCCCTGCCTCATTGTCTGATGAGCCTTCATTACACTCCACTTTCTTCTCTTTGTAAATTAGGATGAGGTGAAAAAGCACAGCAGACAAGATGCGAAGCATTCACGCCAAGTCCTCAATTCACAAACTGATTTGATCTGCTGTTGTATTCCCAGAGTGCTAGGTCCCGTATGGGACACCAACGCCATCCCATATGCTCACTGTTCTGCGCTGCTGTGTATAAAGCCCTGGGCAAGAGGACAAGGGAGGGAAAAACCAGAAAGACTGAGTCAGAGAAGGCTCGGGATGAAATTTGAGTCCATTGGGATCATTCTGCCTAAACGACAGAGGAGAAAGCTTGGGCTCAGGGAGGAGTCCTCCTCCTCCTGGCTCAAGGTCACCGGGACAGACCAGTCAGGATGGGAAAGAACTCCACTTTCAAGAGCAAGACCTGTTTCCCCAGGACCTGGGCCCTGTGCAGACAGGAAGGGGGACTTCAGGATGGATGGGGAAAAGGACACGCTGGGAGGCTGCGGGGCCAGCCTTTGGGGCTTGCATCCTGCGAAGGTTGAGTAACTCCACGGGTCTCCCTTTTGCCGCTATACCACTTGCCAACTGGGTTTGGAGTCTCTTGGCTTGTGAGTCCTCAGGGACCAGAGAAGTGACTCAGTGAACACTTAGTACATCGTTGGCACCGGGGATTGTGTGTGATTCAGGAGTCACTCACAGAGCTTGTGCTGATTAACTCCAGAAACTCACCCAAAGCCTCCTCCCCACCCCTTCAAGCCCAGGATGAAGGGATCAGACTGTGGCTCTGACACTCCTGAAATGTTTCTCACGTGTCCACCTGCCAACCGGTCTGGTACCGACAGAAGATCCCTGGACCGCGAACTCCGGGGCTAGGAGCTTCCTCCACGCACTGCCTCCTTCCAGCGGCCCACAGGGAAAACAGGACCTCGGGACCCCCTCTCTTCCTGACCTCCCCTGGATTCTGAGCGGGCCCACCCTCAACCAAAGGTCCCCTGTTTCGCGGCCCCTGCCTCTCTTTTTCCGCCTTGGGAATTGTCCCCCTCGCCCCCCATCCTACTCCCACTACGTCCTGAGGGGTGTCTGTCTTCTCTGATCGCCCCCACCCCCTTCCTTTCCCTCCTCCTTTTCCTCCCTCGGCTCCTCCCCCAGGCCCCGCCCTCTCCGCCTCGGCCCGCGTCCCCCCGGCGCCTTCCCCATCACCCTCCCCTCCAGCGGGGACAGGGGTGTGGGGAGGGGGGCGGCGGCGGCGGCCCGAGCGGGAGCCCGAGCGGCAGCCGGCGGCCGCGGGAGCTGCGGGGAGCGCGGGGGCGGCCCGGAGCGTGCCGGGGTCCCCGCGCCTCGCTCGCCGGCCGCGCTCCGAAGATGGTGGCGGCGCCGTGCGCCCGGAGGCTGGCCCGGCGCTCGCACTCGGCGCTGCTCGCGGCGCTCACGGTGCTGCTGCTGCAGACGCTGGTCGTGTGGAATTTCAGCAGCCTCGACTCCGGGGCCGGGGAGCGCCGCGGGGGCGCAGCGGTCGGCGGCGGGGAGCAGCCGCCCCCGGCCCCGGCCCCGCGCCGGGAGCGCCGGGACCTGCCCGCCGAGCCGGCTGCAGCCCGAGGAGGAGGAGGAGGCGGCGGCGGAGGAGGAGGAGGACGGGGGCCCCAGGCGCGGGCGCGGGGAGGCGGCCCCGGAGAACCGCGGGGACAGCAGCCGGCCAGCCGGGGGGCACTGCCCGCCCGGGCTCTGGTAAGATGCCCTTTCGGCTCGCGCCCCGCGGCGAGGGAGGGAGGAAGGCAGCCCGACCCCACGCCCCCCTAGCCCTTGAACTCGGTCATCAGACTGGGACTCTGCAAGCCTACCGACTCCACATCGCCTCTTGCCCCGGGAAGCCGGGTGGGGTCCCTGCCAAGGCTCAGGGGTCGTGGGCTGCCCCTTTCAGAGTCTGAGCACGGACCCCTTGGGGTCTGGGGGAAGTTTTCTCCAGCGGGGGCGCTTTGGGGGTTACCGGAGCCTGGCTGGGTTCCTGTTCCCCATCACTCTTGCTGGGGACCCCAGGTGACTTGCTCCGTGCGTGTAGGTCTTGGTGACTCGCTCCCTGCCTGAGTGAGTGGATCTCCCCGGATCCTCAGCCGCTGTTCCTGGGCGGTTGTCGCAGCAGCATCTCTCTGGTTTTTGCCGAGCTGGGTGCAGACAGTTGAGCCCTCTGTTCGTCCTGGCCTGCGATGAGGGCTGAGCTGGGCGTCCCAAGTCCCCGACCATGCCCCTGAATCAATACTCAGTCCGGGGTGTCTGGTCTTACTTTGGGTCTTCTGTTTCTCTTCTCTGGATGTTTGAGCCTTCCGTCTTCACCTTCTCTGTCTCTAACCTTGCCGTCTCCCATGCCCTCTGTGACTTTATCTCCTCCCCATCTCCAGTTTCAGGGCATGGCTCCTTCTCCTAGCTGGTTGTCTCTGTCTTTCTGTCTTGTTGCGGCCGGTTCAGGTCACCAGCTGTGTGTCCGACCACACCGTCAGGGCTTCCACTCCTATGGGATTACTTTGCCCTTCGTGGGTGTGAACAGTCAGGGCTCTGAAACTGTTTTTTCCGCAGATCTGGGGCCATCTGGGTGGCTGGGTGGGGAACTGACTTGTCTTCCTACCCTGTCCCTAACTTCTCCAGGGATACCTTTCCCACCTTCTCTGGGCTGCCTTGCCCAGCCTACTGAGCTAGGAGCAGGAGCACATGGGGCAGGAGGCCGGAGTCCCCATTTCAGAGCCAAGGTCTCAGTTCTCCAGGGGCGTGAGTTCTGCCTTAGGGCATAGCCAATGTGTTGTGTGTCTGTCTGTTTCTTCATCACACTACTTGTCTGCAAGGATTTGCCTAGCCGTTAAAGGATATTAGACACCAGGGGGATGGTTTCAGGATCCTGAAGACTGAATGCATATTTCTATCATTTGTCACTTTGGAAGTCCTCACTGAAGACTGCCTTAGTACACAGCGTGATGCTTTCTGAGCTGCTAAACTTCTTCGGAGTCTGTGCGACCCTTTCTGCCGGAGTGCAGCTCTTCATGCCTGAGAACTGAGCCAGTCCCAAGACGTGATGTGATGGCATTTCACGTTGCTGTGTGGGTAGCAGGGAGAAGTCTTTCCCTCATTTGCGGGGAGAATAGTGGCGTGAGCTGCCTGACGGAGAACCAGAACATTCCTAGTGTCCTGCGATCTCTTCTTTACAGAGAGGGGTACTCTGAAACGCTGCCTTTGAACTCTTGGAGTTGATAGTGATGGGTTCCCGCAGAAATGCAATTAGAAGTTCTTTGTGCATCCAGAGCCCAGGAGGTGGGGTGGGAGGGTTGTGGGTCGTGTCCTGCTGGTCCAGTGTAAGAACGTGTAGGGGAGACATGGTGGGGGAAGCCTGGGGCTTACTGTATCATTTGCATCTGGGGGTCAGAGTGGGTTCAGGAGGTACCTTTAGGATGCATGTAGCACCTGTTGAAACAAATGAAGAGAAGGAAGGAGGCAGGGCTAGCTGATTTCTTCATAGGTCCCCGGCATTGTGAGCATCCACCCCCAGCCCCTCTCTGTGTGCTCGGCTCAGTGTTTTACTCTCTCACACCCAGCTCAGCCTCTGAGAGATCTGCGGTTGGGGAGGTAGGTGGGAACACACTATTTTCCTTTTTACTTCCTTTTGGAATTGCAGTTCCAGCAGCGGAGGTGCTTTGCTTTTCTGAAACTCTGCTTCCAACTGCAAGTTCAGTTACTCTCCCCAAATCTGCATGTCCTAATGTCTCAATTTCTTTACCTTCCAAGATGGACATTTATGTATTTTTTTTTTCTTTTGGTTCTCTTCTCTTCTTGGTGGCTGTCTACCATGCTGTTGACTGTTGTCTCTTGGGGCTTTGTATTTTATTTCATTTGCTTGTCTCCTTTCTTTCCTCTCCCCCCACACCTACTCCATGACCTGCTAAATCCTGAAATCACAGTACAGACAGGCTGGCTGGAGCCCGGGGTCTGTCCTACTCTGACTGTGCCCACCCAGTTCCTGCCCTTCCATGGAGCTCCAGGAGACCAGAAGGGGGCAGGCTGTTCCCAAAGTCTGGTATAGCTGGAGCTTGGGTTGCAGGCAAGGAGAGGACCAGACCTTTTCGCAAGCAATAGAGGCCGTTGAAATGTGCAGTTTGTTTCCAGACCCTGCGGAGGCTGCCAGGATGATGCTTTGGAGGGAGATTCAGGAGTGGGACATTTAAAGAAACAAATCCCCGTGATTTTCCAGATGGCTCTTGTAGAGAGGTGGTTAGACACATGCTTAGAAGAAGATGCTTTAGCTCAGTGCTCTGTTGCAGGTGGGGATGGGGTGGGTGGACAGCCTTGGCTCTTGCATGTAGAGGGAACCTGTGTCCTGGGTTGCTGGTGGGTGTGTTGCAGAGAGTGTCAGGCAGGCATTGTGTATAGGGCATTTCCTAAGCCAGATCTTCCTCCTTCCTGATGCCCACAGCCTCAGAGCATTTGTCCTTTTTATGTTTGGGGAGCTGCGCTTCGGTGGAAGGCCCTGATTGTATTTTTGGTGCACTTAAGAAGCCAAGAGGAAACACCCCGTTTCTCAAGTAGACAGAGTCAGAGGGCATGTCCATAAAAGATTTGCAAGCTCTCCTTTTCCTCTCAGCCTCTTTTAAAGCTCTTAAATATTAGAATTATTGGGTGGATTGCAGCTGTTTTGTGGCTGACACTGATTCCTTCACTGGGTCTCCAGTAAGCTGTGGATTTTACTGTCATCTCAGAATTTAAGAAACAGATGGACTCCCTTATAAAGGGAGGAAAAATATTGGGAGAACTGTCACAAGGATCAGCCTACAGGTTCTGAATAGATTTTGGAGAAAATGAAAGAGAGCTGCGTGTGTTAATGTAATGAATGTTTATTTTCTTTCCCTTAGTGACTCTTCTTGAAGTCCCCACATTTATTGCTCGTGTTCTTAGATAAACTGTTACTCAGTAAGTTTCATTTAAGAAATCTAATTTTTTATTACCCTTCCCACCCCCCGCCTGCCGCCCTACATAAGCACACAAAGTAGAATGGGGTTTCTGTATTATCCGACGCCTTTGAAATGTTGATTTTTCGGCAGAAATTCCTCATGCTTCACATTACTCAGATAACTCAGGACTCTTTTAGACATCAGCAGTGACTTTGAAAGATCGGTTCACTGGCTTTAGATCACCTCTGCTTCTAACAGCCTTGGAGGTATAGCTTTTCTTCCTATCCAGATGTTCTGAGACCACAGAAAACAGGGTATGTTATTGATGGTTCGTTTTTTTTTTCACACTTTCAATGGAGTTTTGTTTTGTTTGAGCGACGCATTACACTTTGTATACAGAAATATGCATCATTGAATAATATTTATCTTACTGCAAATGTTGCCATCTGTTTATCATGGAAAGTGTTAAAATAGATAAATAAAAGTAGAAATAATATACGTAGGTATAGATATGTTTGTAATATGAATTCTAATATATCTATGTATTCACTTTCCTTCCGGTCTTTTCATACTTTAGACGTTCTCTTCAGTTTATCAATTCATTTTTTAAAAATCTTCCAGAAGGGTGGGTGGTCAAAGGCTTGCTATTTTTCACCTAGGAAGCCAGCCATGGCGTAAGTTCTTATTTACTGGTGACTGTTCAAGTTTGATTCATGGTTTTAATAGAAGAGGAAATTTGGTGGCTTGAGTTAAAGCAGAGATTTGACATCATCGCGTCATTGTGTATGTGTGTGTGTATCCTCAGAAAGCAAAGATATCCTTAGGCATATCTCTGACATAAGAGTCTGCCCCCCACACCCCGCTCCAGAGCTGTTTATGATCCATAAGGTCATAAATCCATCTATATGAGTGTTTCAGTGCAGAAGAACTTAACACACACACCTGTTGGACTGCACAGGTGAGGTTGAGAGTCTCTATCTTTTGACCAGTGCTACCTTAAGAGCTGCCACTTATGATCTCTCTCTTTCCTTTTCCTTTGCATTTCCCCATTTCTGCGGACCCAGATCCCCATCTACCAGAAACAAAGAGAAAATGCCTTGGGGAAAATAAAAAATAACTAAAAAACAAACTCGATCTTAACAAAACCTGCATTCTAAGGAAGGGGTGTGGGAACAGGAGAAAACGTCCCAACAAGTATGTGCGAGGCCCCGGCACCAATGAAAGAGGCCTCTGTTGAGTACCCTCAGGCCTGACATACCTGGGTTCACCTCCTGGCTCGGCCCTTTCTCATGCCCCTAATCTTGGGCAAGTCACTGTAATTTCGGTCCTCTGTGAATCTGAGCTACCTCATAGGGCTGTATGAGGATGAAATGTAGCAATATATGTGAACTCATGTGGGCCTGTTCCTTAATCAGTGTTCAAAAATGAGCTGTTCTTAAAAGGAAATTCTTGGTATGTTTGAAAATAAGGAATTTCTTGCAGTTATTCATTTTCCCGTACAGTGTAGGGTGCGAGTAAATCCAAGGCAGTAGAATGAATATAGCTGTTTCTGTGTGAGCAGGACGGAATGTGGTAGAGGAAGGAGTACTGACATTTATTGAGTGCCTGCTGTATGTCAGGTGTCATTTAGGTATTTTGCATACGTTAGGTTATTAAATGCTCACCCCCCCCCCCCCCAAAAAAAAACACAAAAAATTTCCAGGAAGGAAGACGGTATTACACAACTGATAAAAAGTTAAAACTAAGGACACCCAACTAGAAATCGCTGGTCTTATGATGGCTTGTTATGTGGCAGGAATAATGGAGGGATTTGTAAATGTTACCTTACTGTCTTACTGATTTCTCCCAACTTTGTGGGATAAGACTTTTGCTGTCCCCAGGAGGAAACTGAAGCTCAAAGAAGTGAAGCTGCTTGCTCATGAAGTTCACAGAGCTGGGGAGTAGCAGAACTGAGATCCAAACCCAGGCCTGCCCCTTTCCAAAGATGCCACCTTTCCGAGTTGCGTTCCTTTTGCATGGTTTGTTGAAAAACCCTAAATGCAACCATGCATTCCCAAAAATCTTTTTTTTTTTTTTTTTTTTTTTTTTTTGAGACAGCATCTTGCTCTGTCACCCAGGCTGGAGGGCAGTGGCGTGATCTCGGCTCACTGCAACCTCCGCCTCCTAGGTTCAAGCAATTCTTGTGCCTCAGCCTCCTGAGTAGCTGGGATTACAGGCGTGCACCACCACGCCTGGCTAATTTTTGTATTTTAGTAGAGACAGGGTTTCACCATGTTGGCCAGGCTGCTCTCGAACTCCTGGCCTCGTGATCCGCCCGCCTCGGCCTCCCAAAATGCTGGGACTACAGGCCTGAGCCACTTTGCCCAGCCCCAAAAATCTTTATTCTACTTTTCTCACTTCTTGTTGCAGATTCCTAAAAAGTTACCAACCCTAGAAAAGAAGCAGACATGCAATTTATATTGAATCAGACCCCTAACTCATGATGCAAATACAAGGGTAGTAATAATGATAATAATAATAATAATGACTGCATGGCAGTTATGATGTGTTAGGTGGTTTTAAAAATGGATATATAATAGTTTGACATATTTTGGGGTACATGTGATATTTTGATAGGTTCATATAATGTGTAATGATTAACTTAAAGTAATTGGGATATTCATTACCGCCAACATTTATCTTTACTTTTTTGTCAGAGACACTGAAATTCTTCTCTTCTAGCTCCTTTTTTTTTTTTTTTTTTTGAGACAGTTTTGCTCTGTTGCCCGGCCTGGAGTGCAGTGGCACAATCTTGACTCACTGCTACCTCCGCCTCTCAGGTTCAAGCAATTCTCCTGCCTCAGCCTCCTGATTAGCTGGGATTACAGGCACCCGCCACCACACCTGGCTAATTCTGTTTGTATTTTTAGTAGAGATGAGGTTTTGCCGTGTTGGCCAGGCTGGTCTTAAACTCCTGGCCTCAGGTGATCTGCCTGCCTTGGCCTCCCAAAGTGCTGGGATTATAGATGTGAGCCACTGTGCCCGGGTCTTCTAGCTATTTTGAAATATACAATAGATTATTGTTAATGATAATCACCCTACTGGACTACCAAACACTAGAGCTTATTCCTTCTATCTAACTGGATTTTTATCCTTCCAATCAACATCTTCCTCCCTACTCCCCTAATCACCTATCTACTCTCTATCTTCTTGTCATCTACTTTTTTTAGCTCCTACATAGGAGTGAGAACATGTGATATTTGTCTCTAAGTGCCTGGCTTATTTCAGTTAGTATGATGGCCTCCGGTTTATTCATGTTGCTGCAAATGACAGGATTTCACTTTTTAACAGCTGGCTAATATTCCACTGTGTGTGTTTACCACATTTTCTTTATCCATTCATCCACCGATGGGCACTTAACTTGATTTCATATCTTGGCTATTGTGAAGAATGTTGCAGTAAGCATGGGAGTGCAGATAGCTCTTGGATTTATTGATTTCCTTTCCTTTGGATAATTAATCCTTTCCTGTGTAGACACAGTAGTGGGATTGCCAGATCATATGGTAGTTCTGTTTTTAGCTTGTGAAGAACCTTCATACTCTTCTCCATAGTGGCTGTACTAATTTACATTCCCACCAACAGTGTATGAGTGTTCCATTTTCTCACATCCTCACCAGCGTCTGTTATTTTTTGTCTTCTTGATAAAAGCCCTTTCAGGTGGGGTGAGATGATATCTCACTGTGCTTTTGACTCACAGTTCCCTGGTGATTAGTGATGCTGTGCATTTTTTTATATATCCATTGGCCATTCGTATGTCTTCTTTTGAGAAATATCTGTTCAGCTCTTTTGCCTGTTTAAAAAATTGGACTACTTGTTTTTTTGCTGTTGAGTTGTTTGAGTTCTTTATATATTTTGGTTATTAATCCCTTGTCAGATGGGTAGTTTGCAAATATTTTCTTCCATTTTGTAGATTATTTAATTTGTTGATTGTTTGCCGTGCAGAAGCTTTGTAGCTTGATGTGATCCCGTTTGTCTATTTTTGCTTTTGTTGCCTGTGCTTTTGTGGTCTTACCCAAAAAAAATTCTTGCTCAGCGTCCTGAAGTGTCTCCCCAATGTTTTTTTCTCTAGTCGTCTCATAGTCTCGGGTCTTAGATTTAAGTCTTTAATCTATTTTGATTTGGTTTTTGTGTATGGTGAGTGATGGGGCCTAGTTTCATTCTTAAGTTTATCCATAGGTAATGGCTATCCCGTTTTTCCAGCACTACTTATCGAAGACTTTCCTTTCCCCAGCCTTTGTCAAAAATGAGTTGATATTAAAGTGTGGGTTTATTTCTGCGTTCTCTATTCTGTTTGCCAGGCACTGTTCTAAACCCTCTTTGTGCATGAACTCATTTAATCCTTCAAGCTGTGTACTATTATATTTTCAACAGTCAAGAATGGAAGTTGAAATTGGCTAGAGAGAGGAGTCTTGAATTCAGCTCTCTCTAACCAAGGGAGAAGCGGAGGAGGGGGCAAGAGGATATTGTTCAGGGTTCTTTGGCCGGGGACAATGGCCTTTCTTTCAACCACAACAGACTTCCTGCTGCTCCATTCCTTCAGACCGCTCTGTGGTTGGCCCACTGAGGAGCCCGCCACTTGTACCTGAGAGCCTGGGTCTGCAGCACACTGGAGAGTTACCTCAATAAACATGCAGTGCGGATCATCTTGCGGACACTTCCTTCCGCCTGCAACAGAAACTACCCGTTTGCCCGCAGATGCTCATCAGATGGTGCCCATGTGCTCTCTGGGTTCGGTTGCCCCCTTCCCGATTGGAAGCCAGAGGCATCACAAAGAAGATGGGTGTGGGGTGGGGTGTCACCTTAGCCCTGAACCTGGACACTGGCATTATTAGTGTCAGGAACTGCAAACCCAGACACCCTGCCAGATGAGGAAGGGGTGGGACCCATTCTCAAGCTTTGTGTGTGTGGACGAGGGTGTCTCATCTTTCAGGGCCACCTAGGGGCAATGAATGGATTTGTCCTGTCCCAGGCCTAGTTTGTCCCAGCCAGGTGACTACTGCTTATCTGGACATCTAATCCAGGCTAATGTGTCAGTGGATGCTAATGAGGTAATGTGGTAAGAGGCATTTGTTTCTCCTCCCAGGGCACGCTTTGCCATAATTTTTGGCCACAAGATGTGTGGTTTCAGTTTAAGATGAGTTTGTGGGGCAGAGAGGTTGATGCAAATGTTCCCTACCCAGGAGGCACAAACATTGCAACTATGGTGATGATGAGGTGCATTTATCGAATGCACCAAACACTGTGGAAGGACTAAAAAGACATGCTTTTATTGAATTCTTATAACATCTGGCAAGTTAAGAGCTATTATTTTCATTTCTGTTTTACTGATTGAAATAATGAAAACTAAGGCAATAAGTTGGATGAAAATTAAGCAGATGTGAAGTGTCCAAACTAGAAATTGAAGTTGGGTGGTGTCTCCAAAGGCTGTGTTCTCAGTCTACCCAGTTCAGAGTCAGTAAGTCCGTTGACTCTAGCCCCTCATTCTCCCCCTGCCTCCATCTATTTATGCATGCATTTGTCCACCCATCCATCCATCCATCCATCCATCAGTCCATTCATCTATTTGTCTAAGCATCCATCCATCCATCTATCCGTCCATTCATCCATCCTCTGTCCATTCATCCATCCATCTGTCCATCCATTTACCCATCGATCCATTCATCCACCTATCTACCCATCCTCCACTCCTGCAGTTAGAAGGTACCAGTCCCTGTGTCCAGCACTGGAACCACCTTGGTGAACAGGACCAATGTGCCTCCTGCCCTCCAGGAGGACCAGTCTAGCAGGCAAGAGTTAGAGCCCGTGCTGATAAGTGGCCGATCTCTAGGGAGATCACTCTCACATCCTAGCCTGGTTCATTGCCTATACCCTTTCCCATGGTGACCTCTTGAACACACAAGGGAGGTGTCCTCTGGGAAGGTCAGGGCAAGGAGTAAGTAGTATGATTCAGAGCCCTGGGAGCCCTGAGGTCTCTGCCATCCCAGAACTGTCCATGAGGCCTGGGCTGCTCTGCTCATGGGGCCCAAGCTCTTCTTCTTGTAGCTCATGAAACAACCCTGGAAATGATCCAGGGGAGCAGATGGGCAGATGCTGTGGGGCCTGGGAGGCAGGTCGTGTGATGTTGAGGAAGAAGACAGTGGTCTGACATCATCGGTGGTATGGCACTTTGCCTCTCTGGAGCTCAGTCTCCTTGTCTGAAGCACAGGGGCCATGATGGCACCTACCTGGCAGGGCTTGATGGTGAGGCACAGCTCTGGGTCATGGTCAGTGCTCTGCTCTGCCACCTGATGCAGCCACATCGTAGGAGATGTTTGCTAGAGCCAGGAGGACTTTCAAATCCATGGCCCGTGGGTGGGTTTGATTTTGTCCACACGGTGTGTTAGAATAAATAGGCCCTGGAATTTAAAGATTAGGATATGCCGTGAGACAGCGTAGATTTTTGGAATTCTTTTAAAAGTCATAAGATCCGGCAATACAGGGTCCACGGTGCTTGCTTGGTGTTAAACAGCCAAGCTGAGGAATGGTGATACTGCAGACCCACTGGGTCCCTAAGAGTCCCCCTAAGATCTCTCCTGTCACCTGTGGCACCTGGCTGGCCCCTCTTGGCTGTTGAGTTTGCAGCCCATTTGGAAGACCTCCGTGTTCACTATGAAGACATAAAAATGAGCATCTGTGGTTACCCTATTCCCATGTGGCTTATTCACTGCACTTATTTGCCTCTCACTGCCTGTGCCTTGCCCTGGCATGATGGAGTCTCCCTCCCCGCCTAGCTGGTGGTGGAGACCCAGAATATGCAAATTCTTATAAGCATGAGGCCATCCTGAAGGCAAATGTCCCCGACAGAAATAGAATCATGCATTCCGCAATTTGATAAACCTGTTTCCCCTCTGCAGGGAGTGTGAGTGACAGCCTCCTTTGAGTCATCTGCCCCTCACTCTGTGTTTCCCGTGACCTTGTCCCCCAATAACACGCATTGGGAAGTTGGGAGTCTTTAGAGACAAGGGGGAGGTGGAAAAGTAGAACATTCCTGAGCACCTTGGCTTGGTCCCAGCGCTGTCAGGGACGGACCGTGACTTTCATCTCTGTGTCTTTTTGGCACTTCATCAGATGATGCTAATAAGCCTGCCTCCCTCCCTGGGTTGTGAGGATTAAATTTGATAAACAGATGAGAAAGTGCTTTGAAGCTCAGAAAGCCCCATGTGAATGGAAGACGGGGCTCATGTCTTCAAGCAGCACAATGTGGGAGTGTTCAGACGGGGTTGTCTGCGTTCCTTCCTCACAGCGTCTTGTAACCCGTGGGGGACAGGGAGAGAATGAATGAGTGAAATCCACTGGAAATTTCCCACCTACTCATCCATTCATTCATCAGATACTGGTTGGGGTCTGCTGTGTGCCAGGCCTTATGCACAGCAGGGGGAAAGACAGATGTGACCCTGCCCTCATGCTCTTTATGGTTTGGGGGCAGGATGACCTCCCAATAAAAACAAACAAGAACATTGCAAAAAATCAGATTGTTACAAATGCAGCGAAGGAAACCATTAGGGAGCTGAACGAAAAGAAAGAGCTGTGGATAAGCATTTGTTTTGGATGGGTGGATTTATTTTACTTATTCAGGGGTAAGGATTTATTTTGGATCATGCCTTTTGCCATAGTAGTCCTAAACGAGCCCCAGGAATCCAAAATATGGTATAGACACCAATCGTGATGCACCAGTGGTTGGAGGTGCTACAAGGGCAGATATTCTGTAAAAACTCTTTATAAAAAGTTACTATTCGTATCTGTACAACATTTATTCACTTCTTAAATTTATTTGTTAATTTATTGAGACAGGGACTCCTTACGTCACCCCGGCTAGAATGCAGTGGTTTGATCTCAGCTCACTGCAACCTTGACCTCGCAGGCTCAAGCAGTCCTCCCACCTCAGCCCCCTGAGTAGGTGGGACTACAGGTGCGTGCCACCATGCCCGGCTAATTTTTGTATTTTTTGAAGAGGTGGGGTTTTGCTATGTTGCCCAGGCTGG
Organism: Homo sapiens; assembly: GCF_000001405.40. Taxonomy (NCBI): domain Eukaryota; kingdom Metazoa; phylum Chordata; class Mammalia; order Primates; family Hominidae; genus Homo; species Homo sapiens. The sequence goes on along the minus strand of NC_000016.10, from coordinate 17,459,173 downwards.
TCTGGAACTCCTGGGATCAAGTGATCCTCCCACCTCAGCCTCCCAAACTGCTGGGATTACAGGCGTGAGCCACCACGTCTGGCTCACTTCTTAAATATTGCCTGCGTTCTTTTAGTTGCTTTTTTCCCAACAAAACCATATGATACAAACATTACTCTAAATATACAACTTGATGAATTCTCACAAACTGAACACATCCGAGTATCCTAGACCAGGAATCATAGCACTGACAACATCCCAGATGCACTCTCTTCTTCTTGGGTGAATATTTAAAGAAATTATTAATCGCTGTATATTTCTTTAAATGTATATTATGGAAAATACAGAAATATAACCAGCCAATCAAAACGGCAGCTTCAACACTCTTCTCGTTTAACATGCAGGTAAAGTGGCATTTAAGTAAGAAGAAGTGGGTTAACAAAATGAAAACACATAAGCAAACTCTAACTGGATTTCAAATCCTGATTGCAGCTTGGTTGGTTAATGACGATCAAGGAAGTGCTGAGATGGCCAAGGTTTGGTCAATGTCAACTTAACCAGTTTGAAGAGTCTTTGCTCCTCTGGTAAACAGCTGTGCTGTTTTGTTCTGAAGTTCAAGTGGAAAGGATTAAAGTTAGATGTTAGGAGGAACTGTGCTCTGGGTCCCTTGGAAAGGAATTCCCCATTGGAGGCCCTCTCTGATGTCTGCATTGCTCCCACAGTTATGGAAAGTAATGGCCCCAGAGCTCCCCATGCCTGTCTTCTGTGACTGAGTTCTGGACATTTCATGTGCGTCTTTTGGATTCACTGTGCATTTGCTTCACGTTGAGTATTTGTACTCTATTCCCCCAAGTGTTGGACATGAAATTAGCATGATGAATGGGTCCCCAAATGGGCCAGTAATGACTACATTAACTTAACCCTGAACCAAGACTCTCCTATTCAGAACCAGGGTAACAGAACCGCAGTACAACGTTAGCAGCAATTCAAAAGGGCATCGGAGACAACTAATCATTTCATAATGAGCGAGGGGAGAAGCAATAAAAGCCGGGAGCCCAAGGACGGCATGATAATTTTGCAGAGTCTCAGCTCTCAACCAGACTCACGTTCATAAAATAAACAAATGTTTTTGGTAATGGAAAGCTAATGTATACATTATTTAAGGATAGTATTAAAACCAGACTAGATGGATCAAGTAATACAACAGTTACCTCATTAAGCATCCTTTCTTTGGGGATGTGAAAAAGTTATTCTTTTTTTTCTTCTTCTTTTTTCCTTTTGAAATGGGGCTTTATTAATTAGAGATGTAATGGGAAATCTTATTTTTTTCCCCAGACTAGTGGCTGTTTTCTGTTTATTTTTTAATGGAGGACTATGCTTTGCAGATGTTCTCTTTGAAATAAAAGCCTATTCATTGTCTCTCTTTTGCACTTTCTTTTATCCTAGCTCAAAAGGGGCAGCTGTTATGAAAGACACTGAGAACCCCGTTTGCTTGTCATCAAGTATTGCAGATGATTCTGTTGTGGATGTAAAATGCTCTTATTGCCTGCTTTTTCTTGTAACCCTATTGAGGGATAGTTTTCAAATTGTGACGTCTGATTTTCTCTTGTTTAGAAGGTGAGTTAAAGACAGAAAGCAGGGAGAGATGTTAAGCTAAACGTCTCCTAAGGAAGGATGTTCAGTGAAAGACTGGGTGGTTTAGAAATGGGTAGAAGTTAGGTTATTCATTCTTCTTTGGCCTGGAGGCTGACTGCTGTTTGGCTTTCTTTTAGAATTAAAGCAAACAAAAAACGCACAACAGCAACATTTGGAGGAAACTGACTGTTTATTGGAGTGAGCAGGCAGATACAGCCCTCCAATGAAGGTGGGTGCTAGAAAGCAGCGATGGGAAATACGTAAGCCAGAAGGAAACCTAGAGCTTTGTGAGTCAGGTGTGGGCTCCAGATGGAATAATGACAGCATAGGGTCCTCTTCCTCCTTTCTTAAAGAAAAGGTAAATTTTAAAAATCAAAACTTGAATTAGTAGCCAAAATCAATGATTTCCAATCCAAATCAAATTTAGAGTGCCTATTAAGAAATTCGAAATTCTGGTCTTCATTCCCAGAGGTAACCATTTGAGTGAGGGGGGATGTGGCTGCCTCGTGTACACGGGCCCACCAGGTCACTTTACTTGTCTGTGTTACCCACAAGATGGCTGTTGGGGTTTGAGTTTGCAACTTTCAGAATGATAATAATAATAATTGCTATTATCTATTAGATGTCACTACGTGGCAGGCACTGTGCTGTACTGAGCAGCGTCTCCTAGATTATCATTTTAATCATTATATCAGCCTTATGATGTGGCTGCTGATAGTATTCCCATCTACAGATGAGGAAATTGAGGCATAGAGAGGGTAAGAAATCACCTGCAGTCACAGAGAAGACTTGGAATTTCAACTCAGCCAGCGTGACTCAGGAGCCTGTGTGTCAAATGCCATGCATGTGCCGCACAGAAAGATGTAACAACTCCCATTAGGTTTTCTTCAGAAGGACACTGCCAGAAAGTTGGTACTGTTGCCGGGCGTGGTGGCACATGCCTGTAATCCCAGCGCTTTGGGAGGCCTAGGTGGGAAGATCGCTGGAGCCCAGGAGTTCAAGACCAGCCTGGGCAACATAGTGGGACCTCGTCTTTACAAAAACATAAAACAATCAATCAGCTGGGCATGGTAGCATGCCTGTAGTTCCAGCTACTTGGGAGGCTGAGGTGGGAGGATCACTTGACCCTGGGAGGTTGAGGCTGCTGTGAGCCGTGATCGCACCACTGCACTCCAGCCTGGGTGACCGAGCAAGATCCTGTCTCCAAAAAAAAAAAAAAAAAAAAAAGGTTTGTACTGTTTGCCTGCTGCAAAGATGGTACCACTGAGACCTAGCAGTGAGTGAACTGAATTGCCCAAGATCAAACCACCACATAGAATGTACAGAGTGACTTATTGCCTGTAAAAAAAAGGTCGAGTGTGAAACTGACTGTGGACGTGGACATCTAGGAAGCTGAAAGTCTGGCTCTGGTAGAAGTACCCTCACCCTGATTCCCATCCTCTGTGTGCACAGAGTGAAGCTGGGGTGACGGCCTCCACCTTCCATCCATAGTCTTGCAGCAGAGAGGTAGCACCTGACACGTAATATTTTGATAAGTTGCTGATTTGTATTAAAATAATAATTACAGCGATAATTACAAGCACGGATTTCACTGAGACTCAGCTGCTGACGGTGAGAAAAAATAATTAATTGCGTATTCTCTGGAAATCAAATGGAAGCCAGACCTGGCCTTTTTCCTTTGTGAGAGTCCAGCGCAGGTTTTGCTGTAGGTTGAAGGCCATGTATTTTGCCAGATGCTGTTTATGTTAATAGTATTGATGGTAGATTTCCATGCGAGGAGTCGCTGGTAATTGGGTGAACATCATCTTTATGCGCAGACGCCGCAGAAAATAGCCTGGCCGGATTCTGATGGTAGCACCATCCCTTAAACCATGAAACAAACTCCACCCTGGAAGTAAACACAATAATAGAGGAAAACAATTTAAATCTACCTTTTATTTATTTATTTATTTATTTATTTATTTATTTATTTATTTAGAGATGGAGTCTCACTGTTGCCTAGGCTGGTCTCGGACTTCTGACCTCAAGTGATTCGCCCACCTAGGCCTCCCAGAGTGCTGGGATTACAGGTGTGAGCTGCTGTGCCCAGCCATTATTATTAAATATTCTTAAGTACTCTAGCATTGGCAGGTACCTGGCCATCATGAAGAAGTCATAACTAATTTAATTTGATTGCTCTCGTTCTCTTTATACTTCTGTTTTTGAAGCTGATTGAATTGTAAGCTACTTTATTATAAAAACTTGCTAAACTTCTCTTGAAGTAGAACATGCATGAGAAAGAATGCAGAAATCATGAATAAACAGCTCCAGAAAGGGATCACGCCCAACTAACCAGCACCCGAATTCAGAGCCCACCAGCCCCCGGGATCCCGGCCACGTCCACTCTGACCCCATGCCTGCAAGGATAGGGTCTCTATCGTGACTTCTAACCCCACCAGGTACTTTTGCCTCTTTTTAGAAATGGAATCATACAGTCTGTACTCTTTTGTGCCTGGTTTGTTTTGGTTAACATTGCGTCTGGGAGTTTTATCTCTGTCCAGGGTTGGCGAACCCCAGCTTACAAGCCAAATCTGGTCCTTTGCCTGTTTTCATATGGCCTGTGAGCTAAGGATGGATTTTATGTTTTTAAATAGTTGCGGGGGGGGGCGGGGGGGGGAGGAAAGAATGATATTTTGTGACGCGTGAAAATTATATGAAATTCAAATTTGTGTCCACAAATTGACTGGGCATGGTGGCTCATGCCTGTAATCCCAGCACTTTGTGGGGCCGAGGTGGGTGGGTCACTTGGGGCCAGAAGTTTGCTACCAGCCTGACCAACATGGTTGAAACCCCATCTCTACTAAAAGGTACAAAAAAATAGCTGGGTGTGGTGGTTGATGCCTGTAATCCCAGCTACTCAGGTGGCTGAGGCAGGAGAATCACTTGAACCCGGGAGGCAGAGATTGCACTGAGCCAAGATTGTGCCACTGTACTTCAGCCTGGATGACAGAGTAACACTGTATCTCAAAAAAAAAAAAAAAATTGCGATCATAAATAAAGCTTTATTGGAACACAGCCATGTCCATTTCATTTATATATCAGCTATGGCCGCTTTTGTGCTATGACAGCACAATTGAGTAGTTGCAACAAAGACTGTATGGGCCCTAAGCCTAAAACATTTACTATCTGGCCTGTTACCAAAAAGTTTGCTAACCCTATGTCTATATTGGTTCACAGAGTTGTAATTGTTCATTTGCATTATTTCATTGTGGAATATACCACAATTTACATATCCATTCTGTTTATGGGCATTTGGGAAGTTCCCAGTTTGGGGCCATTATAAATAGTGCTGCTGTGAACATTCTTGGACATCTCTTTCGGCAAACATATGCAAACATTTCTGTTGAGTATATACCTAGGAGCGGAATTAATTTAACTACTTTTTTTTTACCAATTGATTTGACAATTATATTTTAATTTGGAAGTCTTACCTTTCAGAGTAGGAAGTAAAGCACAGTAATACTTTCAAATGCTGAAACTCTGTAACAAGGCTTATTTTCATAATTAGTCTTGCAAAATTCAGAGTCCGTAGAAACAGTTTCTTAATTGTCCATTGTTCTTCCATTCTTAGTCCCTTCTAGGCTGTTGGGAACAAGCCCGATGTCAACTGCTTTAGTTGCTTTTGGGAATGGTGCCATCATTTAATTTCTTATACCAAAGCCATATTGTCCACAGCGCTCTTATCTTTATTCAGCAAAACAGGTTTGGCAGAATTAGGTGTTTTTTTTCTAGATGTCACTTTCTGCTTTGATTGACTTCTGTTTATCTCTGGCTTTCTGGTTTTCTTGCTGGGAAGCAGATGAATATAGCCCTGTGTCCCCAATAAGATCTCTAGCCTGCAGTAGCGTGTGTCATTTTACATTGAAACTCTGTGCTGAAATATCCCTTTGGGGACTGCATATGCTGTACATGGCCACAGCATCGGAGCACGGAGACTTCCCCGGAGGTGCTGCCTCAGTGTGCGTTGTCAGCATTGTTTAGAAATGCAGGATCCTGTGTCAGTTTCTGAATGCCAGTCACTTCCCATTTGCTGCTCCACTTTTTGGACACTAGCACTGACAGGGTTGGAAGAGTAAAATTAGGATACCCTAGGATCCACCCATCTTTCAGGTTTGCTTGGTGCTGGCTGAAAAATGACTTAATATTCTTTCTGGGGCTTGTCAAAGAGTCCTGTCCGTTCTTCTCCTAAGCCAACCCACTTTACCAGGAGTAAAGCCCTAGCTGTTGTAGGAGCCTGTCTTCTGATTCTGCCTGGTGCGATGAACAAACTTAAGGAATGGCACAAGAGAAGAAGGTCAGCTGCTGTTTTAGTATTACTTTTGGAATGAAATTTGAATTTAGTGCAGAAAGGATTTGTGGACTTGAAACCCTTGGGCTCAGCTAAAATCCTTTCTATGTGACTCAGGATCTGGAAGCCTCAGTTTTCGTCTTTAAAATAGGGCTGCAAAGCTGCAATGCTATTGTGGTTATGATTCCAGAGTGGAATTCCCAGATGTGAGAAACTTAACCCTTAAATTCTGGTAGTTTGCCTCCTTTCCCTTTAGCTTAATAGGTTGTCTTTTTCTGTTGGAATATTTACTTTTGTTAAGGTAAGACTAGAATTGTAAGTATTCATTGAAACTCTTTACAAAGGTGTGTGTGTGTATGTGTGTGTGTGTGTATTCTAGGGGAAGAACTTCTCTTTTTAAAGACTACTTTCTAGATGTTCTAACGTGCTAATTACAACTGATAATTAACTTGGTCTAAAAAGAATCTTAATAGATTTCAAAAGTAGAAAACTTCCAGGCTTCCTTCATAAAACAATAAGATATATTGAAAATTAGCCTCTAAAAGACAATCGCATAGAAATTTAAACAATCGAAACTCTTCTAAGTAATTCTTAGATCAATGAATAGATTAAATTTGACATTTCAGATTATATATTGATTAGCGAAAATGAAAATACTTCATATCAAAACTTGAGATAAGGTTAAAACTGTGCCCAGAGGAAAACTGGTAGTCTATTTTAAAAGCACTTTAGGTTTTGACATTAAATATGAAAGAGTAAAATAATTAAAATAAAAGTCCATTAAAAAAATAATTGAGGCTGGGATGGTCTCGAACTCCTTGGTCTGAAGCCACCCTCCTGCCTTGGCCTCTCAAAGTTTTGGGATTATAGGTGTGAGCCATGGTGCCAGGCCTGAGACCCTGTTACTAACAAAAAAAAAAAAAAAAAGAAAAAAACTGAGAATCAAACAAAAGAAAGTAGGAAAGGGACATTAAGAAAAATAAAGGCAGAAATTCACAAAACAGAATGCAAACACGATAGTATTAATTCATGAGATCCTTTAATGACCCAACCATACAAAGTGCTAATTTCGTTCCTCTTAGGGTTAGAATCTATGAATAGGCTGTAGGTTCCTTAATTCTCAATGCTTGCTCAATGCTTCTCTTATAGCAATTGAGTAAGGGAACCTGTCAGTAGCAGGAGGCACCACTGGTTTCATGTTATTAGGATGGGCGGGTTAGGGGAAGTTATCACTTAGCCTGCCCACATCAAAACACAGCACACTTCATGTACCTTTTTTCTGCTGATCAATTTCCTCTCATTTTTAAGAATAGTTAAGAATGGCAGAGTAGCTTATCATTTTGTAGAATACCTGTAGTGTCCTGCAGGTTCCCAGTGAACTTTCTCCCCAGTTTTCATGCCTTACTGTGTCTTGTAAAGCCAGGGTTTTCCTCATTACTGAGTGCCTTGAGCTCTGGGGAGCAGGTCCCTGGGGTGATGGGCAAGAGTCTTCTATCTCACTAAGCTCAAGGCTACTCCACAGCGGAAATGGGAAGCCGACCTTGTTGGTTTGGAATTGACTTTGATGTCCTCTCAGCAACAGCCATTGATAATCTACTGTGTGTCACATAGTAGAAGTTTTCTATGAGTGCATGCTTTACAGATGTACCCAGGATGTTTGCAGACACTTATTCATTCACTCAACAGATTTTACCAAGAGCCTACTAGGTGCCAGTCACTGCACGGGAGCTGGGGTTGGAGCAGTGGACAGAACGCGTTCCCTGACTTCCTGCAGCTCAGGTTCCGATGGAGGGGACAGTGAGTCAGGGAGAAGGGGAGGGTCATCTGGGAAGGCTTTTCCAACAAGGTGACATTTAAGATGAAACAAAGAGAAGATAGTCCGGCATGGATTGCGGGGAGAGGAGGTAAACAATGTGGTCATTATGACAAGGACATGAAAGTCATTTGGGAAGAAGGACAGGAACAAGAGCCTGCAGGGGCTTCCAGGCCACCATCAACTGTTTTCTGGGGTGAGGTTCCCAACAGCCCTGCTAATGGGTTCATCATCTCTGTTTTATTAAAAACCTAGAAAAGTTGACTGGTTTAGAAATTGCAAGATTTGGAGGTGGAACTTGAACACTTGCAAAAAGTTGATCACGTTCTTTGAAGACAAAAATCACTCTGTCCAACAACCTTCCCAGAGTCCCTCTGCAGTTATTATCACTCCACCTCCAATGAAAGAACATTTGTCCTTTGCATGCAACGGCTTTTTCGATTCCCCACCTGCCCCTGCAGAATGATGATGTCCCCAACTCGGAACTTCTCTCCCTCATCTCCATGTCAAAACTTACCTGTCTTTGGTCCTGTCCTAAGGTGTTTGATTTTGAGGGTGGTGGTGTCTTACACTCCCCTCAGCTTGGTAACACTGATCTAGAGAGATGGCAGATGGGGGCTGCCTGACCTGGCAGCAGTGTCTGTCTGTGATGGCGGGCTGTGCTGTGCTGGAATGTCTTAGTCTGTTTACGACGCAAGACAAAGTGATCTCGACTTTCAGGAGTCAGGATACCTGGATTCCAGAACCTGTTCTGTGTCTTGCTTGGTGTGGCTTTGGGCTGCCTGCCTTTCAGGTTCTCTGTTTCCCCGTCTTTAAAATGGTCTGAGGGATTCTGGGTCCCTTGTGCTCTGAACTTTTAGGTCTCTTGTGGTTACCTGTGCCCTGATTGCACATGTCTCTTCTTCCAGCCGTGTGTGTGACCCACGTGTCCTTTCCCACTTCCATGTGTACGTGGCTGTTTTGGTGTGATTGTCTGCAGAAAAGAGTCCTTTCCTCCCAGTACCTCCCACTTCTACCTAACAATAAACTCTAGAATCCTTCTCACCTTTTTTTTTTTGTTTGTTTGTTTGTTTGTTTGTTTTGAGACGGAGTCTCGCTCTGTTGCCCAGATTGGAGTGCAGTGGCGCAATCTCAGCTCACTGCAACCTCTGCCTCCTGGGTTCAAGCGATTCTCCTGCCTCAGCCTCCTGAGTAGCTGGGATTACAGGCGCCTGCCACCATGCCTGGCTAATTTTTGTATTTTTAGTAGAGGTGGGGTTTCACCATGTTGGCCAGGCTGGTCTTGAACTCCTGACCTCAAGTGATCTGCCTGCCTCCACCTCCCAAAGTGCTGGATTACAGGTGTGAGCCACCACTCCCGGTCCTTCTCACCTTTTATTAGTAACTGCCATCACCATCATAGCTGGTCTTGGATTCATTAACTCCATCAGGTTATTCCCAGTGGTGGAAACAGTGAATGGCACACAATAGGTGCTCAGTAAATATTTTTGTTTCCTTCAGAAATTGCCTGAAAGATCAGATGAGATGTCTTAAAAGTGAGAGCTATGGAACCCCACTTTAAGATGACATTTTAAGATCCAAAGGCCAAAGATATTCTAGAACAAGGAATCATGCCTTGTTCCATGGGTTCTTGTCAGCTCCTCACCCATACTGATGGCACCTTAAGGTCCACCTGTGTTCTTAGTAGTTGATGCATAGTCCTGTTGATGATGATAAATAATAGTAATTAGCAGCTACCATTTATTAAGCACATACTACATGTTAGGCGTTTTATATTTAATGCTTCCAACACCTAGTGTTGTCAGCATTGTCAGAGTCACTGTTTTATGGACAGAGGAAGTGAGGCACAGAGAGGGGAAGTAACTCTCGCAAGGTTGCACAGCTCCCCACAAGCCCGTGTGCATAACCACCACGTCACTTGATGCTAAGTCCCGTTGATGGGACTGAAGACCAGCCAGACAGGGGAGGCGCCCTCTTCCAGGTGCTGGGCCTGCCCCGTCCCCGCAGCCCATAGGGGAAGTGTCCACAGCTGCAGGCCTGGCAGACACCCAATCTTCTCCTACCCTCTCCAGGGGCTGCTGTTCTCCATGCCCGTGGAATTGCTGAGATCCTGCAGACAGCAGTGAGAAGCTGGCTACTGTCGTCAGAGCCTTTCCCCAGGATGGGGCTGCAGATTTGGCCCCAGCCCTCCTTTGGCCTGCTCAGCTGGCCTGGGGCAGCAGGAGAGAGTGGAAGAGAGGCATGAACTTGCTTTCATCAGAGGGAGCCCAGGGCATGCTCTGTGGGTTCAGAGGAACTTCCTTGGGCGTGTGGGTGAGACCAGGCATGGCATGACACTTATATGCCACTTCCTTCTCCACCAAAACGTCCCTCTTTGTCTCAGTTGGTGGAATGAAGTGCAATGCAGTAGAGAAGCACGGGGACTTGGCGCCAAGGTGCCGGAGTTCGCAGCCTGGCTCTGCCACCCAGCAGCTGTGTGACTGAAGTCTTTGTGCCTCAGCTCCTTCATCTGTAAAATGGGGATGATGATGAACCCACTTCAAAGGGTTGTCAGGAGAAATAAATGAGTTAATACATGCACCTCATTTAGCACAGTGTCTGGGCCTGTATTAAGCACCATAACATGCTGCTGCTGCTGCTTCCTCCTCCTCTTCCTCTTCCTCTGCCCTCCTCCTCCTCCACCCTCCTCCCCTTCCCCCTCTTCCTCCTCCCCCCTCTTCCTCCTCCCCCCTCCACCTCCCCTCACCCTCATCTTCCATTATTATTATTACTGTTGATTCTTGTAGGAGGAGGAGGAATTGGATGAGGGAGATTTGCCTGGTCAACTCTGCCTCTTCCTCTCCCTCCTTCCTCTGGAGCTGTGTGGGGACTAGATTGTGTTGCTGGCTGTGTGGCCTGCGGTCAGTCACATAGCTTCTCTGTATGCATTTTCCCACCTAAAATGAATACAGCAATTGTAATAATGATAATAATGATAATATGCTTCATTTTAAGATGCACATTTTTTACTGTGTCGCCCAGGCTCACAGCCATTTTATTTTATTTTATTTTTGAGACAGAGTCTTGCTCTGTCTGCGCCCAGGCTGGAGTGCAGTGGCGCAATCTCGGCTCACTGCAACCTCCGCCTCCCGGGTTCAAGCAATTCTGCCTCAGCCTCCCAAGTAGCTGGGATTTTAGGCATGTGCCATCACGCCTGGCTAATTTTTGTATTTTTAGTAGAGATGGGGTTTCACTATGTTGGCCAGGCTGGTCTTGAACTCCTGACCTCAAGTGATCCACCCGCCTTGGCCTCCCAGAGTGGTGGGATTACAGGTGTGAGCCACCACATCTGGCCAAAGATACACATTTTTAATATTTAGTAAATAGCCTTTCTGAAATCTGGGATGAATTTTACAATTGATGTGTATGTTTCCTTAATGTTTCAGCACACACCCTTTTGCCCCAAATTGTTATTCAATCAATGATGCATGTCACAAGCGACAGGGTCTTACAATGAAGCACAGAGGCCACAATGTCCACAATGTGCCAAGCAAGGTACTGGGTGTTTTTTAAATGCCTCATTTTTTAAAACTCTTACTGCAGCCCCAGAAGTAGTACTCATATTCTCCCATTTTACAAATGTGGACATTGAGGCTTAGAGGGTGAAAAGTGGCTTTCGTGGAAGGTCGCTTGTTCACACAGCAGAGCTGCTATCCAACCACCCTCCATGGGTCTTACGACATAGGCTGAAACTCTTTTTCCAAGAGCATCCCATAAGCACCTCTCTCCTTCTCCCTGGGATGTAGGAATATGTTCCTAAAGACAGCTTCAAGCTTCTAGGATGGAAATGCTAGTGGTAGTCTTAAAATATGAGCCCCTGCCAAGTTCCAAATGTCTTTGACCCATGAACTCAGCAGCAGGACGGCATGTCTGGGAGACCCTCCCAAGTCATGCTTTGTGCAGGACACAATGTTTTCGGAGCTTAAAGCGTTTTATAAAATAATGTGGGATTTGTCCCAGAGCCTGGCACAGGGTCTAGAATGCTTGAGTCCTGTTTTCCAGTTGGATTAAACTAAGGTCAGACATTCTGCCCCAAGCCTGAAATGTATCACGTGGGCTGGGAGCAGCCCCTGGCTGTCAGGTCCCTCCCAGGCTACAGGCACCCAGGGGACTTCCCATCTGTCTCTCTGTCCTGTGTTGAGAGTGATAGTGGTTGGTGGGCATTGGGAGGGTCTTAGGGAAGAGAGGAAATAAATAGCAGGCCGCTTGGTTTAGAGCAGGGCTGTTGGGCAGAGTCCAGAAATTATCTTGCTAACAGTGACAGTCTATGAGTTGGTGGGGAAGCGAGGTCGTGAATAATTGATTGCTGCTAACTGAGTTGTGAAAACCATTTTCGGAGATTCGAATGTGGAGGCTCTCCGAAGGAGGGAGGGATGGAGGGGAGGAGGGGGTGGGTGGGAGAGTAGACAGGGATGAGAGCGTCCTCTTCCCTTGAGTCCAGAGGTCCCTCTTGGGCTCCCCTGGGTCTGGTTCAGCGAGTTTGGCTGCAGTCCCCCGCACTTGAAAATGGCCTTGGCTGACCCTGGGCCCTGAGAAGGGAGCAGCGGGTGGCCTCAGCTCTGGTTGGGTTGGGCTGTTCCCCGCTGAGGGTTGGTTGAGTCTCCAGGCTGAGTGGGAGTCCCCAGACTTTCACCAGTTCAGAGCAAATCTTTTGAGTCTTTAGAAGGAGTTCCTTGTAATGCAGACGATGGGGTCTTCGCCTACCTCCTTCCAGCCTGATCACCTGCAGAATCGAGGGAAGACATGGGTGTTTCTGAAAGCAGGTCTCACTCCCAAGACTGGGAGGGGCACTGTGTTTTCTGAATATGACACTCTGGGGCTTGTTGAGCCATTTTTTTTTCCTAGAAGAGGCAGCATCACCTGTTGATGGAAACCAAGAGCCTGGGTTTGAATCCTGGATTCACTCCTTCCTAATTGGATGAGCTTGGAGCAGTCAGGTTCCCTCTCTCTGCCTCAGTGTGCCATCTGTAAAGTGAGGATGACAGTGGTCCCTAATCTGAAAGGTTATTGTGAAGAGTCAATAAGTGAGCATTTAAAGATGAAGTACATAAATACATCTATATATCTGTGAGACTGCTGTTGTCTCACTTAGTCATCTTTATTTATGTATGTATTTATTTTTGAAACTGTGGAGCATGGCTTGATGAGCAGCTCACAGAGGCTGGATTTCTCCCTCAGCTGGACACCTTTGTGCAGTGCCCAGCCTGCACAACTGGGCTTGGCAGCCCTTTATAGGATGTCACCTATATTAAATAGCAGGTGGTTGCTCTCCAAAGAAATCTTGCTCTCTCATTTTCAAGCCTGACGAGCTTTTCTAGATCTCTCATATCTATAGGTGCTCACCCAAGTCTACTGTTTGACCGACCACCGTGGCCCGAGCCTGAGTTTCCAGCTGGGAGTTGGAATAGACTCTTGAGCATCCCTCGAGAGGCAGGGTGCAACACATCACCACAAGGCCTGGTGCCTCCTGAAGAGCGGTCTCCCTGCTAGTGTCCAAACTTTGTAAGAGTTCCCCCTCTTTATCCCATTAAAAATAAACACCGTTTTCTTCACTCACTTCAGCTGCTGAATGGTGCCCCTGAGAACAAGCGCTTGTGTTTCCTCCCGTGGGCTCCAAAGGGAGAGGAATAAACAAACTATAAACAGCTGTTTCTCCGCTGGTGACGGGATTCAGACAATAGACCCTCCACGCGTGTTAATCAGCTGCCTTTTCTGAGGCGAGTTTGCATTGAGGCCACAGAGGAGCCTCCATGCTGGGGCGGCACTGGGTGGAACTTCCTGAGCCAGTAGTGAGAGTCGCTCAAAAGAGCCCAGCCCAGGCCTCCACGCAGCCCAGGTGAGCCCGGGGCCTCTCTAGACAGATGTTCTGGCAGCTGCCAGGAAGGGCTCCCAGCCTTCCTTTCTGGTGACTTCTTGAGAGAGGCCCTTGGGCAGAAGAGTGGCCTCCAGCCGACTCACTCTATGTGGTCACCTCTTTCTTTAACAATGGATGGTGCTCACTCAAATGCCATTCATCTGACAAATATTAATATTTATGGAGCAGCCTCTACGTGCCAGGCACTGGGCTAGGTTCTTGGGACGTATCAGTGAACAAGTGTGGCTGATGCCTGTAATCCCAGCACTTTGGGAGGCTGAGGCAGGAAGATCTCTTAAGCTCAGGCTCCTTGAGACCAGCCTGGGTAACATAGTGAAACCCTGTCTTTCCAAAAATCAAACAATTAGCCTGGCATGTTGGTGCCTGTGGTCCTAGCTACTTGGGAGGATGAGGTGAGAGGATTGTTTGAGCCCTGGAGGCAAAGGTTGTAGTGAGCTGAGATCGTGCTACTGCACTTCAGTCTGGGTGATAGAGTGAGACCCTGTCTAAAAAAACAAATGGTGTCCTCCCTTCATCCATTCACTCTTCTAACCCATTTTTATTTTACCAAATATTTAGTGAGCACCTACTATGCTCCAGGTGCCATAGCTAGGTTCTAGGGACACATCAATGAACATTTGAAAGTGCATGTCTGCCCTTTATCCATTCATTCCCTCAGTCTGTATTTTGACAAGTACTCATTGAGCACCTACTATGTGCCAGGCACTGCACTAGGTTCTTGCGACACATCTGTGAACATTTGAAAATATATGCCTGTCCTTCATCCATTCATTCCTTCCAATAGTATTTATTTTAACAAATATTTATTGAGCATCTACTATGTGCAGCATGCTCTCCTAGGCACCTACAATAAAATGGTGAGCTGGGCATGGTGTCTTGTGCCTGTAGTCCCAGCACTTTGGAGGCCAAGGCGGGAGGATCACTTGAGACCAGGAATTCCAGACCAGCCTGGGCAACATAGTGAGACTCTGTCTCTATTAAAAAAAAAAAAAAGAAGAAGAAGTTAGCTGGACATGGTGGCATGTGTCTGTAGTCCCAACTTCTTGGGAGGTTGAGGCAGGAAGATCACTGAAGCCCAGGAGTTTGAGGTTACAGTGAGCTGTGATCACCATTGCAACCTGGGTGACAGAGTGAGAACCTGTCTCAAAAAGACAAAAAAAGTAGTGAACAAGATAGAAAAGGTCCCTATACTCCAGTACTGAGGGTTAGACTGTAAATTATAAACATATAAATAGGATTAGTTTAGCAATTAGTGGTCTTCTAAAAACCACTGTGTATTAGACGGTGACTATGGTGGGCTGAGACTTGTTTGGCTGGGATGACCAGGGAAGGCCTCCTTGAGGAGGTGATATTCGCACTTACACCTAAACATGAAGAGGAAACATTATGAGGACCTCTGAGGAAACAGATTTCCAGCCAGGAGGCACAGAAAATGTGAAGGCTGGAGGAAGCTTGGGATTCAAAGAGTTGATGAACGGCCAGTGTGCCTGGTGGTCATTGAGTGAGGGGAGCCTGGTGGGGGAAAGGAAGAGGGGTCAGTGGGTGAAAATATGGGGAGCTTTGAGATTGAGACCAAAGCAAGGAGTTTGGATTTTATTGAGAGTGTCATGGAAAAGTATTGGGAGCTCAAAGCAGGAAAAGGATCAGCTTTGAGCTTTCAAAAAGAAAACCCTCTAGTCTAGATATGATGACAAAGTGCAAAGCAGTTTGGATTGGATCCTGGAACAGAAAGAGGTGTGTATTTATATAATGTCCCACTCCTGCTAGATAGGTTAAGACCCATGGGGTTAGGTGATTAGTTGTATCACTACGTTTCTAATGCCTGTCATGTAGCAGGAACTTAATATATGCTGTATTAGTCCATTCTCACACTTCTATAAAGGTACCACCTGAGGCTGGATAATTTATAAACAAAAGAGGTTTAATTGACTCACAGTTCCGCATAGCTGGAGAGGCCTCAGGAAACTTACAATCATGGTGGAAGGCAAAGAGGAAGGCAGGCACATCTTACATGGTGGCTGGAGAGAGAGACAATGCAGGGGAAACTGTCAGTTTTAAACCATCAGATCTCGTGAGAACTCGCTCACTATCATGAGAACAGCATGGGGGAAATCACTCCCATGATCCAATCACTTCCCACCAGGTCCCTCCCTCGACACGGGGATTACAGTTCGAGATGAGATTTGGGTGGGGACACAGAGCCAAACCATATCAGATACTATATCATGTATGTTTATATTTTATATCATACTATATATACATACTATAAAATGATGATAATATAGGTAGCAAGTACTTACTGAGCATTTACTATTTGTCAGGCACATGCCAATTCCTTTGCTTCAATTAACTTTTAATCTCTGCCACCCTGTGAGGTAACTACAATTTTCATACTTATTTTACAAAAGCATTTAAGACCCTTGCCTGAGGTCACAGAGTTGAGTCGAGATTTGCACCCAAGCGGTCTGCTCCAATGCGTCCAGTCCTCAAATGCTGAGCTAACTCTGCCTCTCATAGAGTGAATGCAGAATGAATCAATAATTTGTATCATCTTTGCTGATTAAAGTAACACACGTTCACCGAGAAACATTTAGGAGATGAATATGTGAAGAAGAAAATCCAAATCCCCTATATTGCCACTCTCAGTTTAGTTTTGGAGGAAGGTTAAGCCATGAAGTTGCTAATTTGAGTAGGAATAAGGCGATCTTGTTTTTGTCTTTCCTCCAAAAGAATGAGGATGCAGAAAGCTGGGCTCAGGAGATGGGGAAGAGGGAAGAGAGCTGCAAAGGCTTATTGGAGGATGCTCTGCAGTTCTTCCCAGCATCCCCTGGGGTGGTCCTTGCCCCCTCTCTCAAGGTGGGGGAATCCATGGGCTCATTGAGAATCCAGAGCTGTGGAACCTCCAGGGTCTAAAAATGCTCCAGGCAGCCTGTGGCAGTGATAAGTCTGCAGAGAGTTGAGGCTCCTCAACTTAAATATGTGGGGCAATATGTGGTGTTAATCTCATTCAGAACCGCCCTCACAGACACCCCAGAAGAATGACCAAATATCTGGGCACCCCATAACCCAGTCAAGTTGACACCTAAAATTAACCATCATGGAGGTGGGGGGTAGGTGGGCAAAAATCACTTTAACACTTTTGATTCTGATCTGCAATGAGTTGTAAGCTCTGCACTATCAATTTGATAACAGCTTTTTTAGTCAGGGTTCTCCAGAGAAACAACCAATGGGATGTATATGAGACACACGCATACAGTTTCATTATAAGGAATTGGCTCATACAAGTATGATGGCTGAGAAGTCCCAAGGCCTGCGGTGGCAAGCTGGGTCCCAGGAGGGCCAGAGTGTTGTTCCAGTCTGAAAACCAGCAGTCTCAAGATCTGGGAAGGGCCAATGTTTTCATCTGAACTCAAAGGCAGGAAAAGACAGGTTTCCCAGCTCAAGAAGCCAGGCAGAGGAGCTCACCATACATGGGGGTGGATCAGCCACCAGTGCAAATGTTAATCTCAACCAGAAATATCCTCAAAGACACCCCAGAAGAATGTCTGACTGACTATCTGGGTACTCTGTGGCCACATCAAGTTGATACATTAAATTAACCATCACAGAAGGGGATGGCAAAAATAACTTTAACGCTTTGACGTTTAAGCTCTGGAAGCTCATTTTTGGGTCACGTGTGGAGGGTTATTGTAGAGAGCTGGATCTTTATCCTCCTTTTGATAATGATCCTATCTTTATCCTCAGCCATTATCTGACACTTAGTGTTGCTGAGGATTTCCTGAGGGAGACTTAATCTTATTCAAGATCTGTTCTTGCGATTGCTACTTAGAGTACCTGCTATTTAAAAAAATCATCCAAGAATTTGAAATTTAAGGCAGGACTTTAAGGAATTAAAACAAGAGTCCAAAGTCCCAATTCCCTTGAGGCCAGGAGAAGTAAGTTGGTACTCTAGGACAGGTGCAGGGCGATAGGGAATGGTGAGGACTTTGGTGGACAGAAGAGCAGAGGCAGTGGACTGTTGCTTCTTGGCTCCACTGCCTGTGACTGTAAGAGAATCAGGCCCAGGGTTATCCATTCTTTCAGGTATTAAAAGCAACCGGAAATTTCCTTTTTTTTAGTGCAATATTTAATAAATATTAACAACTAATTCAGTTTTGTGTTTTTTTCAGTAACACCCTGTGTGGCCAAACAAAACATTTCAGTGAGCTGGATTTATCATAAAGGTCTCTATATAACCACTTATGAATTAAATTATGATAGTGATAATAACAATAAATGATAATTTTTCCTGTCGTCCCAGCTACTCGAGAGGCTGAGGCAGGAGAATCGCTTGAACCTGGGAGGCGTTCTGTCGCCCAGGCTGGAGTGCGGAGGCATGAGCTGAGGCACTCCAGCCTGGGTGACAAAGCAAGAATACATCTCAAAAAAATTAATGATAATTTTGACAAAATATGTAACATTTGTTTGTTTTATTGTGTGCCTGGCACTACTCTGAGTCCTTAACTATATTATCTCATTCAGCCATCAGAACATAGGTAGGCACTGGTTATGCCCGTTTTACAGATGAGGGTCGGTACCATGCTCACAGCCACGCCATTAGTAAGTGTTGGAACTTAGCTTTTCTCGTTCAGCCACCTTTGCTTTAGATTTCTATGCAGTGCTGACTCCCCTGACCCAAAGTGTGAAACTTACCCCTACTGGACTTCTCCAGCCTGGGTTATTATAGATCGTAGCAGAGAGCAGTAGTCCATGGAGAATATTACACTAGGAAGCTTATATTTTATTTAGGCAACCATAAACCATGCTAATCACATTCAAATACAAATGCATCTATTCCTTTCATTGACATGTGAAGTGGAACTTAGTATCCAGATTCTGCAGATGAACGGATAAGATTCCATTTCTATTTCAAGGCCACACAGTTCATTAGGGGCAGAGGGGGCACTGGAACTCAGGTCCACAGGCCTCTAAGGCTCATGGTCTGCTACTTGTTCATGTAATTAAGATCAAAGAACGAGAAAGAGCTGATAGAAATGGCTGACATTGAATGCAGTTGTGCTGACTGTAATTATGTGTGTATGTGTACATGAAAATTCTCATCCAGGAAGTCATTCTGATACTTACCACTTATTGTTTGCCTGTATGGGTGAGCAAGCAGCGTGCTCTGGTTCAGTGCATCTCTTGAATCTTTGCTTTCTCAATGAATATGTGTTAATTAGAAAATGTTATGAAGGTTATCAGTTCATTCTGCATTCATGTTGACGGCCAGATCTTTGGTCTCATCTGAAAGTTCTACTGGGGAGGATTTGCTTCCAAATTCACTTACGTAGTTGTTAGCTGGCCTCAGTTTTGCATGGGCTGTTGCACCAAGGGCCCCAGTTCCTTCCTTGCTGGCTGTTAGCTGGAAGCCTCTTACAGGTCCTAACCATAGGGAAGCTCACAACATGACAGTTGGATTCCCCAAAAGCCAAGGATCTAAGAGAGAATATGGGAGAGACAGCACCTAAGATGCACCTAATACGCTGCAGTCTTTTTAGAACCAAACCTTGAATGTGGAATACCATCACTTCTGTATTTTTTCTGTTTATTAGAAGTGAGTGACTAAATCTGGCTCACATTCCGGATGGATTTGGGTGGGAGTGGGGATACTGGAGTGGGTATCCTTGGGGCCATCTTAGGAGCTGCCTACTACAGGTACCTTGGCACAATTTAAATGACATTGAATCTTATAGGAAGTGGTTGAGTCAAAGAGGAAGTCTCGGTTTGTTGTTAGCACATCTTTATCACCTTTCTAAAACTTGTCAGTTTCCCTTTTTAACAATGGAAAGCAGACATTCAGAACCTACTACTACAGTGTTTTCTAGCCGGATTACAACAGTACCATTCCTCCTTTCTTTTCTTTCTTTTCACATTATCTTCTGTTTAGGGCTTGTGTCAACTCATTTTTCATTTGGGATGCAGGTATAAGTTTCTCTTTTAAATATATTCAAATAAACATTGCATAAATAATAGCACACAATACATGCAGATATGGCAAAATTATGTCGGTCTTTGGAAGGATGACTGTAATTTAGGGAGCCGCTCTTTTCCACTATCCAACAAGAAGTGACTGTTTCTCTGGGAGCGGCTGGTTTTATCTGGTTTCTGATGAGGTTCTAGAGGGTAGCAAAAAATCTTTCACCCATCTGTCCGTCAACTTTGTTTGGGGATAACTGGAACTCTGTGTGACCAATTCTGAGGCTGCATCTGAGTTTAAAGGCAAAGTTCTGCAATCAACTAGCCATGTCCACCATGGATGCAGGAGGAAGAAATTGTGCCACGTATGCCATGTGCCTGCCATACTTGATCTAAATCATTGCTTCACTAACTTTTAGCCACTATGATGATGACAATGATTTGATAACAGCTTAAATTTCTGTATTTACCAGAATTTACCAATATTTCTGTATTGCACTCATCCTTATGACAACTCTTTAATTTCAATGATCAGATCTAATTTATAAATGAGAAAACAGACATGGAGGTGTACTGACTCATACAAGATCACCTAGTAAGTGAGCTGTTGAGCTTGGATGCTGATATGGTTTGGCTCTGTGTCCCCACCCAAATCTCATGTTGAATTGTAATTCCCAGTGTTGAGGGAGGGGCCTGGTGGGAGGTGATTGGATCATGGGGGCGGACTTTCCCCTTACTGTTCTCGTGATAATGAGTGAGTTCTCATGAGATCTGATGGTTTCGAAGTGTGTAGCACCTCCCCCTTCACTCTCTCTCTCCTGCCACCATATGCTTGCTTCCCCTTCACCTTCTGCCATGATTGTAAGTCTTCTGAAGCCTCCTAGCCATGCGTCCTGTACAGCCTGTGGAACTGAGTCAATTAAATCTCTTTTCTTCATAAATTATCCAGTCTCAAGTTGTTCTTTCTAGGGATGCGGGAATGAACTGATACAGATGTGAACGCTGGTAGTCTGATTCAGGCACCCATGCTATCAGTGTCTACCTTACATATAGTCAAGTATCTGACAGTCCTCCACTCTTACGTAGCGTATGTTTAATCTGGCCTCCACTTAACATTTACCTTGGCCATAGTTGCCCCAATGAGGACATCAGTGTCCCATACAATAGGCTTTTTTGGTGAAGTACAAGAGTAGTGGTCATTCATGCTATCTCTTACCTTCACAATTACCATATTGAATGAAATAATGGCTATAAAAATGCTATGGGTTGGGTCAGCCACCAAACCAAAGTTAGGGGAGAGCGCTATTAACATCATCATCTTCTTCCTGTTTTCCTCTGCGATTAGGTTCGTCTCACAGATGCCTGATCTCATCTGTGGGGAAATTCTAGAATTGCAGACCTTTTTAAATATTCTCCCTCTCTGGCCATTAAGGGCCCCTTAGTGGTTTTGGAAACCAGTGCTCCTTCCTTCTACCCAGTGGGAAAGGTTTTCGTCTTTTCCATTTCTTTAATCCTTTCTCTCTTCCTGAATGTTCCATTCGCATTTGATGTGAGGGTTTTTCTTCTTCTGATAGTTTGTAATTTTGGTTCCTCTGCAAACCTCAAGAATTCTGTTGGTAAGTATGTATGATCCCGTCCAGAAAGGCTGACTGCACCGTGCGGCAACCAGTATTCAGCCTCTTTGCTGCAAATACTGCTCAGTATGATTTAGCTTTGAGGACATGATGCTGGAGTTCAGGAAAGTGAACTTCACTGTATTTTTTAAACTTGCCAGATTTGTGTTCCTAAACACTTTGGAGAGCTCCTCCTGCCTCCCAGAACAATTTTCTGTAATTGGTGCATGGGGAGAGGTATTTTGAAGGAGCGATCTGATTCCTCCTTCCCTCTCTTCTCTTTATCTAAACAACCGCTCCACGAACAGTAGGCTGTTATTCTTGTTGGACCAGGTGATAGCTGTGCAGGGTGGCGTTTCAAGAGACATGTAACTCTGAGCATTGCAATGTAGATACAAGTGCATTCCAAGCAGATGTGGGTGACATCGTGCACATTGGCTTCACGTGGGACCATTTCCTGGAGTGGCTCCAATAAACATTTGGTACAGATAAAGATTGCTTGTCCCCAAATGCCTTCTTGGCTTCTGTGGAGCCAAATACGATTGGAGGCGGAGGATGCCGGGTTTGAAAAGTGGGTTTCTGTGGCCACATGTGGGAGTTTAGCCCAAGGGAATGGTATTAAAGTGGGAAGCCGGCAGCTTGTACCCTACACGGGCCCAGATGGTTCCGGATCTCTTGCCTTCATGTCTGAGATGTCTGGATTTTGGCAAGCATCGTTTTTTTTCTTTTTTCCTTATCATAATTGGTGTTCTTTGAGTAAAGTGTTCCAAATGTAGTCTAAGGACTGAGAGCCTCAGACAGATGGCCTGAGTTTAGAGCTCGGCTTCACTCAGTTTTCGGATCTGTAAAATGGGACCCATACTGTTTACCTGCCACAGAAGGTTCTCATGAGGATTCAATGAGCTAATGCAGGTGGATCATTTCGCACAGGTCTGGCCCCCAGGAAGGACTCAAGAGGGTCAGCAATTACTATTGTTATCATCACCCATTTCACATGCATGGCTGTGTGGACTTTCTCTCTGGGAAACCCATATGTTACCCAGTGAATGGAATAAGTCTTCACTTCTCTCACGCCTGTGTAAGCCAAACAGTTCCAGAAGACCTTGCTCTTCTGTATTGTCAGCGTAACAGAAATGCTAGTTTAATAAAAAGGAAAGCACCAGTGGAGATGTAAATTGTGTTTCTGAACTGTTATGTAATTCTCCACTGCATCTCATTTAATCATATTGTATTGAGGTCATGTCTTAGCTCTCTGGTCATTTGAAGTAGATTCCCTTTTGGACTTCTATCCCTAACTCTAAAAAATTCCTCAGGGTAAATTTCTGCTTTCCATTTTTATAGAATGACCTCGTTCCCAACCCGTAGCTTAAAAGCTGAATGTGATTGCAGTAGCTTTAAATAAGATGATCAAATTCAGTTTCACCAATGCTGCCTGGGCCCATACTATGTGCCATCCACGCCCCTACTATGTGCCAGCCACGGTGGTAGTGCTGAGATCAGACCACAGCAAACTCCTGAAAGCAAGGCGATATCATGGCAATGAGTGGGGACTCTGGAGCCAGACAGCCTTGGTTCAAATCCCTTTACCCCTTCCTGTCTGTATGACCTTGGGCAAGTCACTTCATCTCTCTGGGCCTTGACATGCTCATCTCTTAGACCGTGTAATTGTCTTTTCTCACACTGCTAATAAAGACATACCCGAGACTGAGTAATTTATAAAGGAAAGAGATTTAATTGACTCGAAGTTCTAACATGGCTGGGGAGGCCGCACAATCATGGCAGAAGGCGAACGAGGAGCAAAGTCATGTCTTACTTGATGGCAGGTAAGAGAGCATGTGCAGGGGAACTCCCATTTATTAAACCATCAGATCTCATGAGACTTATTCCCTACCATGAGAACAGGATGGGGGAAACGGCCCCCATGATTCAGTTATCTCCACCTGGCCCCGCCCTTGGCATGTGGGGATTATTACAATTCAAGGTGAGATTTGGGTGGGGACACAGCCAAACCATATCAGTGGAGACATTACTACTACTTCCTGCCTTTAGTTGGAAGTAAATAAAGTCATGCATTCTTCATGCCTCCTATAGTACATACAAATTCTTCAGTAACTGCACAACATCTACCCCAGCTGCTCACGGGTGATGTAAGATGAAAATAAAGTCAATGAGAGAATCCTTGGAGGATTCAGCCCTGGAGAGAGGGCACCAGGTCTTTAGTATACCAGGTTCCCTTTGGCCACCTGCTGGAGCCTGGCACATAGTAGGAACTTTGTAGATGTCGGTTGAATCAATGAAGACTCCTTAGACTTTTTTTTTTCCTTCTCATCAGGAAGCATTTACCTTCACAAGCTCTGAGGCCCAACTTAGATGTAACCAAACCCACAGCCACCTTCAGGCAGGGACAGAGCCTGAAATAGCCCAAAGGGCCCTCATCACGTACACTTCTTCGTTTACTGCAGCTGCCGTTGCCTTTTTTAAAAACTTGCTTGTGTCGTAGAAGAAAGTGACCAGATAATGGATTGCTGGGTTCTTGTAGGGGGTGAGGGGACAGTGTGCCTTGGTAAAAGAAGGTTCCAGAAGGCCAAATGGCTTTCCTTTAGCTTTATGTGGGGCTCTGAGGCCCGCTGTCAGCCCCTTTCCATGCATTTCTGCTTTGGAGTCTATTTATGTGAAAAGTCAGTGAATGGAGAGTTCTGTGCGTGCTTCCAGGACAGATCCCAGGAGGAAGGAAATGGTTCTTAATGTACTGACACTTCAGCCTGGTGTAACCCCTGACTCTTGCATATGGTGCGTGCCACGCCGGACCTGAACCATGTACGCAGAAGGCATCTTACAGGCATCTCTGCCTTGTTGCCTGGGAAGTAAGTGGCCTGTCCAGCCCTGCCAAGAAAGAGCCAGCTAGGAAAGATGAACTAAGGTGTGTGCCATGAGTGCATGGGCCAAGCGTCACTGAGCACCTCCTGTGAGCTAAGCATGCTTTCTTCTTTCATCTGCATTAAAACTCCACACCTGTGTTGTTGGGATTGCTAATTCCATTCTTCTTCTTCTTCTTTTTTTTTTTTTCTTAGAGACAGGGTCTCGCTCTGTTGCCCAAGCTAGAGTGCAGTGGTGCAGTCATAGCTCACTATAGCCCTGAACTCCTGAACTGAAGAGACCCTCCCACATCAGCCTCCCAAGTAGCTGGGGCTACAGATGTGTGCTACCACACCTGGCTAATTTTGTAATTATCAGTATTATTTTTGTAGAAATGGGGTCTTGCTATGTTACCCAGGCTGGTCTCGAACTCCTGGCCTCAAGTGATCCTTCTGCCTTGGCCTCCCCAAGTTTTGGGATTACAGGCATGAGCCATTGTGCCTGGCCCCATTGTTTTTTTAAATGATTAACTTGAGGGTTACAGAGAACTGGCTTATTCAGGGTTGCTAAGCCTGATCTGTTTTGTTTATAGCTCACTTTTCTTAATAATTGTTTTGTTTTCAGAAATGACAAGTAATGCATCTTCATCATTGCATACTTACGAAAGACAGAAAGGCATTGTGTGGATAACAGACTTTCTCTGGCTGTTGCCAGAAGGAAGAGGGATGTGGAGCGAGGTGGTTCCTGGAAGGAAATCCTGTAATTTACTAGCAGGTGATGACACGCTTGTCACCACCTTCTTTGTGGATGGGACATGCTTCATTCTGACCCTTCCCAGAACTTTTCCCAAAACATCATTTGACATTGATGATGATGGAGGCAATCTGCAAAGGTTGGTTCCAGGGCAGAGGCGGGAGTTTCTGAGCCAGAGTGGGTCATTCCCATGCTGTCCACTTAGATAAAGCCCTGGCTTAGAAAACCCCAAACACACTGAAGTGGATACTGTAATGGGATTTATGCAATACTCTATTAAGGGCAAACCCAGTCCCATAAATACATGCCCGAAATTCAATCTGCCAAATGAAACGTTAAAGGCGCCAAATGGATTTCTCGAAAGGATCAGAGCTAAGATGTAGTTTGCCTGCTCTTGATAAGCTTATCCAGCCTTGCCGCTAGGAATGAAGGAAAAAAAAGCGGGGGTGGGGGAACAGAGTTAAGGATTTTACTGTATTCTCCAGTATCTTAGATATTTTCTTTTTCAATGAAAGGGGAGAAGGAGATTATCAGGCCTCTGGCTGTGAAGCTAGTGTTCCTGATTCAAATACCTTTGAGGCTATAGAGGAAATGCTGTTAAGTCCCTCGCTGGAGCCCAAATTCCATTCTTCAGACCCCAAAGCCTCCTCGGCGGGGTTCCTTCTGTACCTGGTAGGCTCAACTACCCAGCACCCAGATGACCAGGGTCATGGCTGGACCCACTTGTGGGCCATCCCAAGTCCTAGTTTCTAGCCCCAAGTTCTGTCTTTGACCCTGAGCTGGCTGCTACCATCATGCGTGTTTGTGGATTCTGAAGTGGGCTGGGGGAAGATGGCCACTGCAGACACTGTGGATCATTCTAGGCAACCCTTCCCGACCGTGCTTCCTTACTTTTTATGATTCTCCCATCTGCTGGAAATATTGTTTTTCCCAAAAAGGGGATGTTGCAATAGCTCAACATTTCTTAAGATTTTCTTTCTCCATCTGGAGGCAAGCCAAAGGTATATCACTAGAGTTTTCATTTCCTTCCAAGCACATGGGAGTTTTTTCTGCCATCAGAGTGTGACCTCAAAAGAGTCACTTTTCGGGGTGATAGCATGGTTCAAAAGACATGGCTTGTTGGGTGGGCATGGGAGTTTTGGGCGTGGCTGCATGTGGGGCGAGGTGAATTTGGCTCTCCACTTAGCAAGTTTTCTCTTCCTTTTTTTTTCTAACACAGCTGATGGGCTGAGCCTTTGTCATCATTACCGTCACTCCTGATTCCCATTCTCCTCAGGGCTTAGGTCTTTGGAAGCTCCTGGGCTGGGATTGGGTTGGGATTGGAGGCTGTGGGTTTGGAGGCATCTTCGAGGGCACTGCCCGTCTCTGCCCGAGTGATGCTCTGACCACAGATGAATTCATCGTTCACTGTAAAAATCAAATACGTGGCCCTTGCGTGTTTTTTTTTCCTCTTTTGACAAGACAATTGATGTGCCATCTCCAGCGTATCTGCTTGGGTCGGAAGACTTGCTTTAGCCTCCTCTAGAACAACCAGCGTGTCTTTGGGTTTATTGCAGTCTACAGGATCTCTATGTTATTTAAGGACTAGAGAGGTGAGCGATGAAAAAGGGAAAGATATAATGGGAACCATTTTTTTAAACAACTTTATTGAGATGTGATTTACATACTGTAAAATTTACACATTTCAAGGGTTCTATGCAATAATTTTTAGTAAACTTACTGAGCTGTGCAACCAACACCATAATCTAGTTTTAGGACATTTTCATAACCCTGATAAGACTCCTTATGCCAATCGGAGTCCATTTCCAGGCACCCGCTAATCTGCTGTCTCTATAGATCTGCCTATTCTGGATATTTTATATAAATGGAAGCATGCAGTATGTGGTTTTTGCACTGGCTATCACGTGATGTTTTTGAGGTCTATATGTGTAGTCGTATATTGCTGAATAGTATTCCACTGTAAGGATATACGGCATGTTATTTACTAATTCACTGGCTGATGGACACTGGGTTTTTTCTGCTTTTGGGGCTGTTGTGAATAACGCTGCTATGAGCATTTGCATAGAAGTCTGGGTGTGGACATATGTTTTCATTTCTCTTGGGTAGATTCCTGGGAGCAGGATTCCTGGGTCACATGGCAAATTTATATTTAACTTTTTAAGAAATCGTTGAAGTGTCTTCCAAAGTGGCTGTGCCATTCTGCATTCCTGCCAGCAGTGTTTGAGTGGAACCAGCCATTTTTTTTTTATCTTCTTATAAACTGGATGGTGAAGAGGTTTATTAAATACCGCTGTGTGTGAAATACAACCATTGGTATCTGCCTGTGGGCAACAGACCCTCACTGGGGCCTTGATAACACACAGGAAAAGCCTCCACACCGGTTTCACATTATATCCCCCAGCAAAATTCAGAGCTTCCAGACCCCAGAAGGATCCGCAGCCATGGCTGCTTCTCCCTTCCACCCTCCAGTCTTGCTAGCCACACACCCCTGCAGTCCATCTCCTTCCAAAAAGGATTCGCTTTTATAAAAAATGCTCTGTGTCACGCTGTTGCTAATTTAGCAACTTTATTGGACAACGTGATTTACCATCCATGGCCTGCCTTCGAATGGATTCGTTTACCTGCATTGATCGCTATATGTCCGTGTTAACTGCCACCAGAAAATGCACAGCGGTGGTTAAAAACGGTGTAGCATTTTGCTTTCTGATAATGATAGTTAACTCCATCCTTGATCACCAATGACATGGTATTCCCCTTCTGAAGATACACTTAAATTGCATAACTCTGTTCCTTGGTGATGAGAAAATAAATTACTTTTCTATACTGTGTTCTGCTAAGTGCTTCTTAAATTTGGGTTCTTTAGTAGGTTTTCCTTCTTTTCTTTTCTGGGGGTGCTCTTTTGCTTCTCAAAGTGGGGTCCTTGGACACGCAGCCTCAGCATCCCCTGGGGACTTGTTAGGAATGCAGAATCTCAAGCCCCACTCCCGACCTTCTGAGTCAGAATTTGCATTTTCACAAGATTCCCAGGCGATAGATGTGCACGTGAAGTTTGAGAAGCGCCGCTCTAAGCCATAGGTCAGCAAAATAAGGCCTTGAAGGACACATCCAGTCAGCTCAGTGTTTATATAAATAAAGCTTTATTGGAACACAGCCACGCCCACTCGTGTATGTGTTGTTTTTTGTGGCTACTCAGCATTCCACTGCAGAGCTGAGTAGCTGCCACAGAGACTTTATGGGCTGCAGAGCCAAAAATGTGTATTCCTGGATCTTTACAGAAAATGCTTGCCCACCTCTGCTCTGGAGATGGTTTTATTTTTATTTACTTATACATATTTTAAATTACTAGCTTTTTCATGTTTAGCTTTTCTCATTTTGCATTTATTATACATTTTGGGTCATTCTACATTTCTTTTTTCAGCTAAGTTATGAGTGCTGTTCAGCCCCAGTTTACTTTAGATACTATCTCTTAGAATGAGATAATGAAAATTAAAAGAAGCTCAGGCTTCAGGTTCTGGTCTACAAACTAAAAGGTTTTGAGGATCCCTGAGGTGGCTGGTTAGCTCTGTTTTTATGTCATTTTATTTTTTGCAAGCAAGGGGGTTCATGGATTGTGAATCTGGAAGACCATATGTAAACATTCACAAATTAGGGTGGGGAAAAAAAGAATTCCTTTGTCAGATCATAGGGTCTGGTTAGGTTGGGAAAATACAGGGAGAGGAGCCATGAGAGGCACCCTGGAAAGGGAAGCAGGCAAGACTGGGGGCCCCTCCAGGAATGGGCCTGCACTTGGTTTAATGTTCTGCTGCCGCCATCTTGAAATTTATAATTTTTGAACAAGGCACCTGTATTAGTTTGGTTCTCCAGGGAAACAGAACCATGTACAGGCTGAGTGTCTCTTAACCAAAGTGCTTGGGACCAGAATCTTTGTGCATTCTGGATCTTTTCAGATTTGGGATATTTTGTGTTATACTTACTGGTTGAGCACCCGTAATCTGAAATTCTGAAATCCAAAATGTTCCAGTGAGCGTTTCATTTGAGCATCATGGTGGTACTCAAAACGTTCTAGATTCTGGAGCATTTCAGATGATTGGGTTAGGGATGCTCAACCTGTGTATTATAATCCCAGCACTTTGGGAGGCTGAAGTGGGCAGATCACTTGAGGTCAGGAGTTCAAGACCAGCCTGGCCAACATGGTGAAACCCAGTCTCTACTAAAAATACAAAAATTAGCTGAGCGCGGTGGTGGGCACCTGTAATCCCAGCTACTTGGGGGGCTGAGGCAGGAGAATCACTTGAACCTGGGAGGCAGAGGTTGCAGTGAGCCAAGATCACACCACTGCACTCCAGCCTGGGCGACCGAGCAAGACTCTGTCTCAAAAAAAAAAAAAAAAAAAAAATTATTATGGGAATTGGCTCCCATGATTATGGAGTTTGGGAAGTCCCTGCAGCTACTCTCTGCAAGCTGGAGACCCAGGAAAGCTGGTCATGAAATCCAGTCCCAGGCCAAGGGTCTGAGAATCAAGGGAGCCAATAATGTAAATCCCGGTCTGAGCTGGAGAAGGTGAGATGGATGTCTCAGCTCACGCAGTAATGCAAGAAAAATAAATTTCTTTCTCTCCCTCTTTGTGGGCCCTCCATCTACTGGCTGATAACCACCCACATTGGAAAGGGCCATGTACTTTACTGAGTTCACCAGTTCAAATGTTAATCTCGTCCAGAAACACCTTCACAGATGCACCCAGAAGTCATGTTTAATTTGGGCACCCCGTGGCCCAATCAAGTTAACACACAGAAGTAACCATCCTCGCTGCCACTTTTGTTTGACATGAGGCCCTACAACTTAATGTAGCCATTTCTGGAAGATGGTGATTGGAACAAAAGAACTTAAGAATTCGCCATCCTTGGAGGTGAGAGCAACATACTTGCCGTTGAGTTAACCTGCGGCAGAATTATTTTGGGCCAGTGATTTTATTGCTGTCGCATTTCTCATCAGCAGTTCAACAGGTTTCTTGGCTGTCTTTCTCTTACCTTACTCTGTTTGTGGCAAGGAAAGAAAGACCATTTTTAATGATTTCTTGAATTAAGCAGTTAGAGACTTAAGCCTGCTTGGACAGAGGGGGTTTCAAAGTGAATTTCGGATTATCTCCAGTTAAGGATGGCGTTTGATCCTCACAACTTGAAGGTAATTACTTTCAGGGGATGTATGTTGCTCCTTTCCCCCTGCAGAGGTAGAGTGAGAAATGCTGCTTTTCAAAGACGGGTGCTTCTTAAAGAAATTGGGCTCCCATCCCCTTTAGGTTTGAGGTCCCTGAGTCTTTTGAGCAGTTGGGGTTTTTAGGCCACAGGTCCCTGTGGAAGCTTCCCAATGGCCCTGCATCCTCCTGATCCCTATGGGGAGGCATTTCATCCATTGACCCTGCAGGTAGCTGATTGAGTCTGAAATAGCAGCCTCCCAGCCCAGCAGGGACCAGAGTAAAGGAACATTTGCTGTAATTTCTTTCCTCCTCCCTCTCTGAAAGATTGTTAATCAGGAACCTTTTGGAAACAAAAAATAAAAGGAAAGCAAGAAAAAAGAGACCTAGTTTGGTGAACCCAGTGGAAAACTACCACACGGCCGAAAGCTTCCCGAAACCCCTGGCGGCAAGGGGATGTCAGTTGGTGAGTGGGCTGCGGCTACAGATGTCTCAAAAGCTCAGACACATTGATGACAAGAGATGCTTTTAGCACTTTTGGAGAGACCAAAGGACTTTTGATGATCATCATTATGACTGTAAATAATTATGCATTTGTAATCAGAGCTGTGACCATTTATTGAGCATCTAGCATGGGTCAGGTCCTGGGCCAAGTCAGGTGCATCTCTTAATTCTCTCAACAGCCCCTCAGCCTGGCTCATTTTATAGACAGGAGTCTGAGGCTCTCAGATTTAACATGGTCAAGAGCACACAGCTGGAAAGTGACAGGGTCAGGTGTAAGCTCTGCCGCCAGAGCTTGTGCTGCACCCTCAAGCTGTCCTCTGTCCTCACTGTCCTGGTCAAAAGCTACTCCAGTCCTGGTGCAGTGGCTCATGCCTTTAATCCCAGCACTTTGGGAGGCTGAGGCGGGCAGATCATCTGAGGCCAGGAGTTCAAGACCAGCCTGGCCAACATGGCGAACCTCTGGCTCTAGTAAAAATACAAAAACTAGCTGTGCGTGATGGTGTGTGCCTGTAATCCCAGCTACTCAGGAGGGTGAGAATCGCTTGAACCTGGGAGGCAGAGGTTGCAGTGAGCCGAAATCACACCACTGCACTTCAGCCTGGGCGACAGAGTGAGACGCTGTCTCAAAAAAATAAAAAATAAAAAGGTCCTCCAAACCCCCGCCTCTCCGGTAGTACTGTCAGAAGTTAGGTGTGGATTGAAATTAATGAGGTTCCTATAGGTTTGAACTCTAAACAATTGTTTCCCAGAGTGTGGCTGAGATGATTTGAGGTGGTAGACAGGTGAACGTTTTAAAAAAAAAAAAACCTTTTTGTATTTAAGTGAAATGTATGTAGCTGGCTTATTAAACCTGTGATTTTAAAGTGAACTAATGGTTCCTTTTAAAACACGAATGTAAGAGAAGAAACAGTGAGTCTTTTAAATACAAAAAAGAGTGTGGGTAGGATACATGTGGATGCTGATTCAGCTGTTGTAGAAGCATCTTCTGTGCACATTTGGGCAACCTTGTGTTGGGGATGTGGGGTGACGCATTTGAAAAGCAGAACTTGAAGCTGGGAGTGATGGTTCACGCCTGTAATCCCAGCGCTTTGGGAGGCCAAGATGGGAGGATCACTTGAGTTTGAGACCAGCAAGGAGAACACAGTGAGGGTCTGTCTCTACAAAAAATAAGAAATCAGCCAGGTGCGGCGGTGCACACTTGTAGTCCCAGCTACTCAGGAGGCTGAGGTGGGAAGATTGCTTAAGCCTGGGAGGCTGCCGTGAGGCGAGATCGCACCACTGCACACCAGCCTAGGTGGCAGAGCCAGACTCTGTCTCAGAAAAACCAAACAACAACAAAAGGCAGAGCTTGACTTGGAGATGTTGTTCGTGGTGGCAAAGAAGTCTTGAGCCAAGCGTCAACATTTTAGACTTCCTCATTCATGATGGTGGTGCTATCGTCCCTTCTCTTCCGTGGACACGATTTCACCACTTGCTGCCCAAATCCCAGATACCTTCGCTGCCTTTCAGAATTATTCATGAGTGTTAGCAGGAAGCCCTTTCCACAGCTTGTGAGATTCCCCATCACATGGGCTCTGCCTACCATGATGCCTGATTTTGTATCATTCACCACCTAATTACTCCCAAGCCACACTCTCCTTTCTCTGTCTCTATCCTGCCTCAGGGCCCTTGCACTTGTTCCTTCTTCTATCTGGGATGCTTTACCCTATATTTTTGCATGGCTGACACCTTCTTAGTATTCTGGTCTTCACTCAAATGTCATCTTTTTACAGTGGCCTTCCCTTTTCACCCTACTTAAAGTTTTTCCTCTCTCCTTAGTCATATGAGAGGTCTGTGAATGTTTTCTGTAAAGGGCCAGACAGGAAATATTGTAGGCTTATGGGCCATAGGGTCTCTGTTAAACCTACTCAGCTCTGCCATTGTTGGGCAAAAGCAGTCAGAGGCAATAACTTAGTGGGCGTGTCTATGTGTCAATAAAACTTTATTTACAGAAACAGGTGGTAGACTGGATCTGACTCACTGGTCAAAGTTTGCTAATCTCTGCTCTATGCTATTGCCTTGTTTTGTTTATTTATTTATTTTTTGAGATGGAGTCTCACTCACACTTTTTCCCAGGCTAGAGTGCAGTGGTGAGATCTCAGCTCACTGCAACCTCTGCCTCCCGGGTTCAAGCAGTTCTCATGCCTCAGCCTCCTGAGTAGCTGGACCACCACGCCTGGCTACTTTTTGTATTTTTAGTAGAGTCAGGGTGTCACCATGTTGGCCAGGCTGGTCTTGAACTCCTGACCTCAGGTGATCCATCTGCCTCGGCCTCCCAAAGTGGTGGGATTACAGGTATGAGCCACCGTGCCCGGCCGTAATGCTATTGCCTTGTTTTATTGTTGTCATAAATTTATCACTATCTAAAATAATCTTGTTTATTTGTATGTAACTTTTTCTCCCCGTATCTAGAACATAAACCCCATGAGGACAGGAATCTGTCCTTTCTTCTTCTTTAATGTGGTATCCTCAGTCCCTAGCACTTAGTATGTGCTCCATGAATATTTGTTAAACAGATAGATACTGTCATTAATGGGATTCCTGAATTTATTCATTCTCCAGACATGCATTGCTCACTTACTTTGTTCCTTACAAAACATTGGGAACAGATCTCGTGGCAAAATACACGTATAGACATGGAAGTGGTCATGGTACCACATGACGTGCTAAACGAGGTAGGAAGTGGCACAGGGTGGCGGGACATTAACTTTCTGGAAGTTACAGGTGGCTTCTTGGAGGGAGCGCCATCTGAGCTGAGTTTGAAGGATGTATTTAAGGTATTTGGTAGGCAGGAAGGAGCAGGAAGGGCATTCAGGACTCAGGGAACAGCCTGGGCAAGGCACGGAGGCAGGAACCAGCCTGGCTGTGTGCTGGGGGAAAGAAAACCATTCAGGGTGGAATAAATAAGCCCAGGTGTAGCAGCAGGTGGAATGAACAGCAGCAGGAAGTTGGAGACCCTATTGGATTACTTTCCTATGAACAATTAACAAAGGGCCTTTCCTGAAATATGGGCTTGGGTGCCATGTGTTTAAATGTGAGCTTTGGTTTCTGGGAAGCAAAATGTTACATTGCTACCTAGAAGTGTAAGAAGAATTATTTGTCCATGGGTCTGGTGAAAGCTAATACACCTTCTTGGTTGATTTAGCCTCAACTATCTAGAGTGGGTCGACATTTGGAAGGGAGCTGCATGGTGTCCTATATAATTGGTAGGTCCAAGAAAAATGGTTTCTTGGCTCTTAAAATATATAGACGATGTTAATGAGCAGCCTTCTGGGTCTCACCCTACAATGCATCTAAATGCCATCAGTTGTCAGTGGGGAGTTAAGCACACAGCAAAGGGCAGCATCTGGCTACGGAAGGAAGTTGGGGGAATTGCAAGCGCTGAGTAAAATTTTATTGAGGTGGGCCAGCCCTGCTGTTTACGAGGTGCTTCAAGGGAAATCATGACCTGCAAAGCTAAAGACCATTCCTCCTTACCACCCTGGTGTTGGGAACCGTCCCCAAGACTGCAGGGAGTCCACCTCCAACTTCTAAGGCTTGGCCAAACCCTAATGAGGCTGGAGCCAAGTTCAAGGGTGGAGGCTGATGCCACAGGAGGTTACAGGAGAGGGAAACAGATGCTGATTCAGCACCTAAAATGTGCCAGGTGGTGGTGATGTCTGTACCTACCATGTGGTACAGTGTCGGGGTGTGTGTCCACGTATCTTTTTTTTTTTTTTTTTTTTT
Organism: Homo sapiens; assembly: GCF_000001405.40. Lineage (NCBI taxonomy): Eukaryota > Metazoa > Chordata > Mammalia > Primates > Hominidae > Homo > Homo sapiens. The sequence continues at coordinate 17,424,868 of NC_000016.10, read as the reverse complement.
TGAGATGGAGTCTTGCTCTGTCACCCAGGCTGGAGTGCCGTGGTGCAATCTCAGCTGACTGCAACCTCTGCCTCCCGGGTTCAAGCAATTCTCCTGCCTCAGCCTCCCGAGTAGCTGGGATTACAGGCACCTACCACTACAGCCAGCTACTTTTTGTATTTTTAGTAAAGACGGGGTTTCACCGTGTTGACCAGGATGGTCTGTAACTCCTGACCTCGTGATCCGCCTGCCTCGGCCTCCCAAAGTGCTGGGATCACGGCATGAGCCACCGCACCCGGCTGTGTCCACCTATCTTATTTTCTTGGTGTTTCTACAGCATCCACATAACACTCCCCGGTCATGGTTTATTTACTTCATATTTTTCTTTGCATCCACTCACTTTTTACTTAGCTCAACCTAAGCTATAATGTCCATAAAATCATGGTCTTCATGAAGCCTATCGTCTTCTCATACATCAGCATAAATACATAAGTATTGGAATTTGTAATGAAAGGTTTGTTCATGAACCGAATGGAATAACTTGTGGGTGCCATTTGTAGCCTACTTGGCCTTATCTTGTTCAGTTCTCTCAGGTTTGCTAGAAGGTGTCCTTGCTTTCATTTGACAGGTGAGGAAGTAGAGAAGTTTAGACAGTCACTTAACATCACACAGCTAAGAAGTGGCAGAGTCTGGATTGGGACACAGATCTTTTTGGGTTTTAAAGCCCAAGTTATTTGCATCAGCTTTTCAGAAGAAGTAAAGGGTGGATGATGACCGAGTGTCTCCTGGGTTGGATGGACAGATTGAGAGCTTGTAAGAACAGGCATAAATGGTTAGATGAGGCCAATAGGACTTCCTGCCCCTTCTTGGGAGGCAGAGATGACTTTGGCCACGGTCCTATAGGTTCCCATGGATTTTGCTATAGGACTTGCTTATACTATGAGAATTGCTCCTGGGTCACCACTGCTGTGGCATGATGAGCCTGTAGTCATCTCATGAAATAACAGTAATCCTTTGGGAGGCCGAGGCAGGGAGATCACCAGGTCAAGGGATCGAGACCATCCTGGCCAACATGGTAAAACCCCGTCTCTACTAAAAATACAAAAATTAGCTGGGCATGGTGGCATGCACCTGTAGTCCCAGCCACTCAGGAGACTGAAGCAGGAGAATCGCTTGAACCTGGGAGGCAGAGGTTGCAGTGAGCTAAGACTGAGATTGCACCAATGCACTCCAGCCTGGTGACAGAGTGAGACTCTGTCTCAAAAAAAAAAGAGAAAAAAGAAAGAAATAACAGTAATCAATATTGACTCCTGCACAAAAGCCCAGGGGAGTGAGGTTGTAGGGAGGACAGCACGTGGGATTGTCCCCACAGAGCCACTGCACAGTCCCAAGGATGACAGGGGGCCCCTCCTTTGTATCGCAGGCTGATTGGTATTCAGCCCTCAAGGAAGTGCCCTTGAGGAAAAAACAATCGCCTTAATGGGTTCTGAATGAGCCTTACTGCCAGCCATTGTTGGAAGGCCACAGGGAGGAGACTCAGCTGCCCCTGAGGAGTGGCAGTGATGGCCCAGTGCAGAGCTGATCCTGTGTTTTGGGGCAATTTCACATGAGATGAAACATCAGGCGCTGCTGGGGAGGCCTGCCGAGAAGGGCGGCCCCACTGGGCAGTGAAAGCACCTACTCCAGTTTAAGGGTGGAATCTTGGGGCAGAGGAAGAAGGGACCAGATAAAGTTGGCAAGCCCAGCGAGGTGTCCAGGATATTAGCAGGGAAGAAAAACCTCCTCTGGCAACGATAATCACATTGTTCCGTCAAATTCTTAAGTCATCGTTATTGAAGGTCCCACATTTGGATGACTGTGCTTCGACGTACTGCTAGTCTGTACGGGGACTTTGCAGGGCTAAAAAAGTCAGCCTCTTAGCAGAAGACCAGAGCTCACCGATGCAGGGCGTGGTGAGCAAAGCACTGGTTGGATTTCAGCCCCTATTTGCCACTTTGCGGTACACAAATCATACAACTATTTGCAGTGACCCCAAGGAAGATCTAACTTGTGTTTCAATAAAAAATATCTGTGAGGCCAGGCATGGTGACTCACACCTGTAATCCCAGTACTTTGGGAGGCTGAGGTGGGCGGATCACCTGAAGTCAGGAGGTCAGGAGTTCTAGACCAGCCTTGCCAACATGGTGAAACCCCGTCTCTACTAAAAATACAAAAATTAGTTAGGCGTGGTGTTGCATGCCTTTAATGCCAGCTACTTGGGAGGCTGACAGGAGAATCGCTTGAACCCAGGAGGCGGAGGCTGCAGTGAGCCAAGATCGCACTACTGCACTCCAGCCTGGGTGACAGAGTAAGACTCTGTCTCCAAAAAAAAATAATAAAGTAAAATTTGTGGGCCAGGCACAGTGGTGCATACCTGTAATCCTAGCACTTTGAGAGACCAAAGTGGGAGGATCACTTGAGTCCAGGGGTTTGAGACCAGCTTGGGCAACATAGTAAAACCTCATCTCTATGAAAAATTTTAAAAAATTAGCTGGGCATAGTGGCACACACCTGTAGTCGCAGCCACTCAGGAGGCTAAGGTGGGAGGATGACTTGATCCCAGGAGGTTGAGGCTGTAGTGATCTATGATCATGTTACTGCATTCCAGCCTGGGTGACAGAGCGAGACCCCACCTCTACAAAGATTAAAAAGTTAGCCAGACATCATGGTGAAACCCCGTCTCTACTAAAAATACAAAAAATTAGCCGGGTGTGGTGGTGGGCATCTGTAGTCCCAGCTACTCGGGAGGCTGAGGCAGGAGAATGGCGTGAACCCGGGAGGCAGAGCTTCCGGTGAGTGGAGATCATGCCATTGCACTCCAGCCTGGGTGACAAAGCAAGACTCCGTCTCAAAAAAAAAGCTAGCCAGACACGTAGACCTAACTACTTGGAAGGCTTAGGTGGGAACATTGCTTCAGCCCAGGAGTTCAAGGCTGCAGTGAGCCAAGATTGCACCACTGCATTCTGGCCTGGGTGATTGAGTGAGACTCGGTCTTGAAAAAAAAATGTTAACAGTTCTCTGGTATTCCATAATAAACTATCTGAAAACTGAGTGGCTTAAAACATTAATTTTGTTTTGTTCCTAATTTTGTGGATCAGGACCTTAGGAAGGGCTCTGCTGGGAGGTTTGTCTCGGCTCCATGTGTTGTCCACTGGGGCTGGAGGATCCACTTCTAAGACTTTATCGTCCGTCTGTCTGGTGCTTTGTTCCTCCTTGACCCCTCTGTCTGTTTCTCTCCAGGTAGCATCAAGCATCTTCCTGTGGCTTGATTGTCTCACAGCTGGATGGCCTCAGGGTAGTGTCACTTCTGATGTGGTGGCTGGCCTCCAGCAGGCAGGAAGGTGGAAGCTGCCATAAAGTTAAGGGCTACACTTAAAACTGGCACAGCATCACTCCTGCCATATTCTGTTGCTCAAAGCAGTCACAGGGCCTGTCCAGATTCTAAGGACGGGAAAAATAAGTCCCACCTCTTGAAGGGATGGGGGTGGCAAAGTCACCTTGCAGAAGAGCATATGGGATAGGAAATATAGCTGTGGTCATCTTTGGAAAATGCAGTCTGTCACTCCTTAATTGGCAGGGATTTTTCAGGAGCCTTGTAGTGATTCTCCTATCTTAGACTGCCTTAGAATCCCATAAAAAGAATAATGACAGACAAAGCACAGGCATGTTCTCCTAAGATCGAAATATATGTCTGAGTCTTGATTTTCCATGGCTTCTCCATGGAGTCCTAATGATTGAGCTGTAAGGTTACTCTAATAAGGTAAACAAGCTGGCGGAGTAGAAATAATCCCAACACAAGTCACAGCTGTGGCAGAAGGGAAGCCGATATTAATACATGCATACCTGTGGTGGTGCAAGAGTGGTTGACTCGTGTTTGGTGTTTGGTGTGGGCCCAAAGACAAGAGGATCTAGCTTGGACCAACTCATCTCCCATCCAAGCATTAGAAATCTGAAGTGTGTTTTATTGAGTCCAGCAACAAAGATTCAGTTGCTGAAATGGAGACAGATTCAGACAGTAAGGTGATGTTTTTGGTTGGAATTTTCTTCAAAGCTAAGCCCTGGGGTCATTATTGGGCATTAGTCTCCCTTTAAAAATATGGTGTAATAAATGACATGCACACACATTCAATAGAAAGAACATTTGCACCCTTCGCAAAAAAAAATCTGAATAATTAGCCTAGTACATTTTTTTGGATAGTGCTAAACTTCACAAAGAATAATAGGAAGAGAGGTTGCATATTAATTATATTTGGAGAGGAGTTGCCTTGTTCTCTTGAAGTGTTCCAGATAGAAGAAGCCTTGGATAGCAACCGAGTCCTGGCTACTTAGCTATGACTATGAGCAGGTACCTACCCTGCGTCTCCCTTTATTCACCTATAAAATGAAAAAAATTACCTAACCCTGGGACTCTTTTAGGTATGAAACAATGCAATACAGTTTTTAAAAATTGCTTTGTGAGTTCAGAAGTTCTTTACCCATTGAGCCATTATTGCTAATAATAATTAGCGTAGCACGTTTCTGTTGCCTAAGAATTAACATTAGCCATTACTTCCTGGCTCATTTAAAAATATAATTTATAGGGTCTATCATTTCTTGAAAATACGAAATTAAAAAATTATGTGTATAACTCTAGCATTACCTAGGGTTTGGGCACAAGCTATAATTTGGGCACTTGTGGCTTATATACACATTAATTAAATTATTTTTGCTAGTTTTGGATAACGTGGGTAGCACTTTCTAAGATGAAAGGCTTGATCCTACAAAGACAAAAGAGCAAGCCATTAGATGATATTTTGCTGCTTTGAATAAACTTCACCCAGTCATTGAGCCCTATTGAATGGACTAACAGTAATGAGTGGATTACTCTCCTTCCAATAGATTTTGGATTCATTATTTATCAACAAATAGTTCTTTGAGGGCCAGTGAGGGGAAATTATCCTTGCTATGAGTGACCCAGTGGTTTCCTAACTCCTGTCTCATGGAATGTTCCTGCCTTCATGAACTAGCCAAGGTCATTCCATACTCAAATCAAAGGAAGCAGGCTCCCTCTCTTTCAATTTACAGAAGGAAAAAGAGGTCCATGGATTAGCTTTTCCCTATATTAAGTGTTTTTTGTTTTGTTTTGTTTTACTGTAACTTTTTCTTATATTTTAGAAATCTGAACCCATTTCAGCATGTGAAAATGCAGTGAAAGATGTTGTCTAAAATGCAAAATTAAAGTACCAAGAGTCATTTCAGTCAAAGGCATTGCCTGTTTCATTGAGTTTACAAACTGCGTGGCTACTGCTAAATTGAAAGGCCACTGTATTATGCTGTGTACCAGGGATGGGCGAATCTGGCCCACTGCCTGTTTTTGTAAATAAAGCTTTATTGGAACACAGCTATGCCCATTCATTTACCTATTGTCTATAGCTCATGCTATAACTGCATAGAGGGCATAGAGACCCCTGAGCTATGTCAATGAGTGTAATGACATAAGAGCAGTCTATCTTTTTTTGTTTTTGTTTTTGAGACAGGATCTTGCTCTGTCGCCCAGGCTGGAGCGCAGTGGTACCATCCTGGCTCTCTGCAGCCTCAACCTCCAGGTCTCAAGCGAGCCTTCCACCTCAGACTCCCGACTAGCTGGGACTACAGGCATTCACCACCATGGATGGCTTCACGAACTAGCCAAGGTCATTCCATACTCAAATCAAAGGAAGCAGGCTCCCTCTCTTTCAATTTACAGAAGGAAAAAGAGGTCCGTGGATTAACTTTTCCCTATACTGCGTGCTTACTGCTAAATTGAAAGACCACTGTATTATGCTGTGTACTAGGGTTGGGCGAATCTGGCCCACTGCCTGTTTTTGTAAATAAAGCTTTATTGGAACACAGCTATACCCATTCATTTAGATATCGCCTACAGCAGCGCTCATGCTATAACTGCAGAGAGGGCATAGAGACCCCTGTGCTGTCAATGAGTGTAATGACATAAGAACAGCCTTTTTATTTATTTATTTATTTTTTGAGACAGGATCTTGCTCTGTCACCCAGGCTGGAGTGCAGTGGTACCATCATGGCTCTCTGCAGCCTCAATGTCCAGGTCTCAAGCGAGCCTCCCACCTCAGACTCCCAACTAGCTGGGACTACAGGCATTCACCACCATGGATGGCTTATTTTTGTATTTTTTGTAGAGACAGGGTTTTGCCATATTGCCCAGGCTGGTCTCAAACTCCTAGGCTCAAGCAGTCTACCCACCTTAGCCTCCAAAAGTGCTAGGATTATAGGTGTAAGCTACCACACCCAGCCTCAAGCTACTTTTTTTTTTAACTCTGAACTTTTTTCCAGGCATGACAAGCAACCAAAGCTGCCATTTTGTTGTGACATGGCTCTGTCTGAATATTGTATTCTTCCTCCCAAACCTGCATCAAATATGATAGGCTGGAAATAAAATGGTTTTATTGTTTTTAAGGGAGCATTAGGCTATGGTTAAAAAGAAAAGAGAGGAGGAACTTGGAGTTATATAAACGGGTATAAATCCAGCCTCCACCTTAATCTTTTCACACACTACATTCTTTGTCTAATCCATAAATAATATATTTATTAAGCATCTAGTCCTAGCTGCTGCCTAAGGTGTGTACAAGCTGAACAACTGTTCATTATGCTGGATCTTACAGGGTTCTGATCATCTACTGCTGTGTAACAAATAGTTCTCTAACGTAATGACTAAAACAGTGCTTTAGTATCATCTCTCAAGGTTTTGTGGGCTGACTAGACGTGGCTGGATGGTTCTTTCTTGGATTTCTGCATATGTTACTGACACATATGGAGTGGGCTGTGATCATCTGAAGGTTTGGCTGTGGTGGTTGCTCAAGGTGTCTCATGCACGTGCCTGGCAGTTGGTGAGGGTTGTTGGGGGGAGCTCAGCTGGAGCTGTTGGCTGCATCAGACATGGTCTATCCTGTGTGTCTTGGGCTTCTTGCCACATGGTGGCTGGGTTCCAAGAGGGAGTTTCCCCAGAGTAAATATTCTAAGAGGTCCAGCAGGAGCTGCAAAGGTATGTATGTTATCATTGAGGCTTAGAATTCCCAGAACATCACTTTCACTGCATTCAATTGGTCAGCTGAGTCAGTAAGGCCATCTTGGCTTCAAGAGGAGGGGAATAAGACACTACCTTTCGATAAAGGCATGTCAAAGAATTTGAAGCCATCTTGAATCTGACGCATATGCCTACGGTGGTGAACTAGCACACGCCGGCTTCTTTGTTAAATTGTAACTTTGAAGAGTCCTGATGCAGAAGCAGCAGTCTTGATGCTAAGAGAGCTTTTGTTAGAGTAGTTTGGCCTGGAAAAAGCCCAGAGGAGGCTCTGGGAGATGAGCAAGCAGGAATGGGAAGGTTAAGTCGCGTTAACCAGGTGAAGAAGGGAGGTCAGAGTAATCCAGGCACAGGAAACAACCTGTGCCAAGGTCCTGGGGCAGGACTGCAAAAGGATCCAGACTAGACTAGAGCTGAGAGAATGAGGGAATTGTGATGGAAACTAAGGGTTAGTAGCCAAATAATGAAGACCAGATTTCCCAAGCTTCTAAACTTCATTTTTCTCCCATGTAAAATAGGATAATATTTACTATACGAGGCTGTTGTGAGGATAAATTAAGAGAGTCAGTAGAGCCTTGCACAGTGATGTTTTCTTTTCTCCTGGAAATGACTGTGAGTCAATGGAAAAAGCATACCACCTGACTTCTTTTTGGTGTCCCTATCTTACTCATGACCTCCTTCCTCCAGGGTCAAAACTGAGCTTACAAAGTTACGCCTTCAAACTTGCAAGCTATCCATAAAGTCTTACCAAACTGTTAAGTGTAGTCCTGGGAATTGTGAAGGGTCCAAAATGGATCTAAACCATTGCCTGGTTATTATTTGATTATTAAAGCAACACCAGCCACCTCGTTAGCACTTGTGGGTACTCTAGCAGCACCAAGGTTAAACGTCTCTGCTGGCTGTCCGTGCTCATTTGCATGGCTTCCTCCTCTCCCCCACATCTCCGATAGTTAATGCACATGCTCACTCTCACTTCCTTGTTCAAAGAGATGTTTCACCACGGTGCAGATGCTTGCCCCTGGCAACCCCTGGTGGAGGCAGCCGCTGAGAATTCCGTAAATCTGTCCTGCTCTCCCGCAGAACTGAGAATCTAAATTCTAGCATTCCAGGAGCTGGGGAGGGTAAAGGCTGTTGACATTGACATGCCAGCAGGAGCCGCAGCTCCTCCAGGGTCATTTTGAAAGCCAGAGTCTGCCGATGTGCGTGGCAGCCTCCTAGCTGCACAGGCTGATTGTGATAGGGATGTGCCCACTGGACCCCACAGTCCCCTCCTTTCTCAGTCCCTCCCAGGTACCCTCTGTGCTTTCGCATCTCAGGCCCCGTGTGAGGAACCAGGACACATGGCCTTTCATGGGGAGCTCGCAGTCTGCTGAGCTAGGGAGTTTATACTTTTCCCCAAATAATTCCCCCAAATGAGTGGGGCCCATCCTCTCCACTAATGAGGTCGTGGCAAGGCCAGTTTCTGTTCCATAAGCACAGGCTTCTTTTTGTCCCTGAAATAGCATCGCCGTGGAGTCTCACAGTTTATCCCGGAAGGGATGTGGGGTGCATTATCTGGCAATGTCTGGAGACATTTTTGGTTGGCAGGACAGGGCGGGAGCTGTATAGGCATTTAGTGGGTACAGACCAGGGGTGCCACTAAACATCTTATTCTACAGAGTGCAGGACAGCGCCACAGCAAACAGTGATCCAACCCAAATTGTCGGGAGGGCCGAGCTTGGTAGGACCTCTGCTCTCCTCTCATTGCCTGCTTTTCTCTTGTCACTGTGTCACTGCCATACTGACTTTCTGGTAGTTCCTCAAACATATCCAGTCCTGTCCCATTTGGGGACCTTCATGCTTGCTGTTCCTTCCAGAATGTTCTTCCCCATAGAAGCTGTCTGTGATTCTTGATCCATGATCAGGGATCCATTTGATTCCATGATTACACCCTTTATTCAACACTTCCCGTGTGTCTGACACACTGCATGCACAGCAAATGGAATCTCGTATTCCTGCTCACCACAGCAGCTTCTCCTTTTCCTCCATAGCTCTCATCCCCATCTGAACTCTCCATTTATTTCTGTGGGTTTTTTTTTCCTTTTTTTGAGACAGAGTCTCACTCTGTAGCCCAAGCTGGAGTGCAATGGTGCTATCTCAGCTCACTGCAACCTCTGCCTCCCGGACTCAAGCGGTTCTCCTGCCACAGCCTCCTGAGTAGCTGGGACTACAGTCACGTGCCACCACACCCAGCTAATTTTTTGTATTTTTTAGTGGAGATGGGGTTTCACCATGTTGCCCAGGGTGGTCTTGAACTCCTGAGCTTAGGCAATCCGCCCGCCTCGGCCTCCCAAAGTGGTGGGATTACAGGCGTGAGCCACCGCGCCCGGCCTCCATTTATTTCTGAGATTACCCCTCAATGACCTCTTTCCTGCTGCCTGTAGGATTCATAAAGACTCGGATTCCAGCAGTGTTGCTCACTGCTGTGTTCTCAACTCCTGCACCAGCTCTTCGCATACAGTAGGCACTCAATATATATGTGTTGCAGTGGAGGGGAGGGGATCAGAAATGGGGGAGATTGAAAGTAGGGAGAGGAGAGGAGAGTTTTTGGAGTCAGAAATCCTGGCTGCACGCACCAATTCCAGCTTTGTGTTTTGGGGGAAACCTGCTTAACCTCTCTGAACCTCAGTTTTCCCTTCTGCAAAATGGGAATGAACATCATTCCGCCCCTGTGAGGGTGGTTTTTGGTGTTTATACCCCAGGCTGTGGGTGCTGTGTGTCAGACACGCGGGAAGTGCTGAATAAAGGGTGTGATCGTTTTTCTCTGCGGGGGGTCTGCAGTTCTGATTCCCTTGGAGAAGGCAGAGTGAGGAATCATCGCAGTTACCGTCCACACAGTGCTCACCACATGCCGGCCCCGTTGGGTATTCATGCGCTTTAATCTCACAGCATCTTGTGTTGTCCTGGTCCCCGTTCCATAACTGAGCAAACGGCAGTTGAGGGTGGTGAGGGGCTGCGCTGGTACACACAGTGAGGAGGTGGTGGCAGGGGTGACCTTCAAGCAAACCCAGGCTGCCTGGCTCCATAGCCTTAACCAGGACACTCGCCACTCCTCTAAGATTTGTTTTTCATCTCCCTTTGCAGAAATGCCCTTTTGCTCATTTCTCATTATGTGTGTCAGGGCTTCCTGTGGGTGCCCAGTGGAGTGTGGGAGGAAGCGGAGAAAGCAAGGCGCTTACAAGGAGACTCATCCACGGGTCCGTCTCGTTTTGTGCCTGGGTCTTAATTTATAAAGATGTCTGATAGCCAGGCATAGTGGTGTGCACCTGTGGTCCCAGCCACTCCAGAGGCTAAAGCTGGAGGATTGCTTGAGCCCAGGAGGTCGAGACTGTAGTGAGCTATGATTGTGCCACTGTACTCTGGCCTGGGTGATAGAGCAAGACCCTGTCTCTAAAAAATAAATACAAATAAATGAAGCCCACCAAATAAATGAATAAGTAAATAAAGGTGTCTGGGTGACAACACAGCGAGGTCAAATAAATAGAAATAAAGCCCACCAAATAAATAAATAGAGATGTCTGGGTGACATCACAGTGAGGTCAATGCCCTTGAAAGTTTAGTGTGACTCAGTTTCCCTAGAAAGAAGAGGCACAGCATGCTTGCAGGGCCACAGCAGGAGGCCCTGGTTTTTTGGTTTGGAGGCAGAAGACAGGAGTAAGGAGAAAATCTAGGCCAGAACCTTTACTGGGGTTCCCACAGGAAAGGTGAGGCAAGGCAGGGCAAACAGTTTGGGATTGACCGGCTTGAATAATTTCAGGAGGGCTTTGGGCTCTAGAGGGGTCTCTAGCTGCCTGCTACCTGGCCCCAGGTTGGTTTAGGGCGGGGGAAAATTGGCTTGGTGTGTGAGAGTTAGATATGGTGATGGCTGAGGGGGTATAGACTCTGGGTTTGTTGGTTTGCATGTGAGAGGCTTGCTCCTGGTTGAGCCCTTTGCTATCTCTAAGAACGGGCTAGAACTGGGAGGGGATGTCTTTACCCAGGTCTATAAAACCCCTAATGCTAGAGCATCTACAATACAGAAAATCTGTCATCTCAGCACTTTGGGAGGCTAAGGCAGGTGGATGGCTTAAGCCCAGGAGTTCAAGACCGGCCTGAGCAACATGGCGAAACCCCATCTCTACAAAAAATACAAAAATTAGCCAGGCATGGTGGTGAGCACCTGTAGTCCCAGGTACTCCGAACACTGAGGTTGATTGAACCCAAGAGGTTGAGGCTGCAGTGAGCTGAGATTGCACCACGCACCACTGCATTCTAGCCTGGGTGACAGAGTGAGACCCTGTCTCAAAAAAAAAAAAAAATGATGACAAAAAATAAGAAAGTGTAGTTGAACTAATTAGCCATGTGATGAATGGATGGCAAATAGACAAATGCATTATCTATGAAAACACACAGAACACCCCCTTCCTTGCTCATGTGTGGGTACCCAGCATGACTGCTTAGAGTCCTTGAAGGGTGTGAAGCCAGCCCAGTGTCCCCTCAGTGCACAGTGTGTGGCATTGATGCATGCCTGTATACCATCATCAGATATGTTACTTCTTTTTTGAGTACCAGGTCCCGGGGGCACAAATAGGATGACTGTGGCCATACCTCTCTTTGGGCTGTATTCACTGACTGCCTACTGCGTGTCAGGCACCAGCCTGGGCACTGAGCATACAATGGTGAGAAATTAGACATAGTTTTTGACCTCATCCAGCTTGTGGTCTGGACTAGTCTTGAGGAAAAGGTGGGGAGTGTGGCTATATGTATTATCTCTCCAGACACACTTGGCCTATATTGGTCGCAGAAGTCAGAGGCTCAGCAGATACGAGCATTGTGAACATGGGCTGGACTGCAAATCAGGTTCAGGATTTGACCAGTTACACATTCTTCTGACTCTCCCCAGGAGTGCTGCCATTAGGAAAACATCTCGGAAAGGAATTAAGCACTCTAACTGTAGATACACCCTTATTGAAGTATTCCTTGTTTGGGAAAGTAAATCTCTGTTAGGTCTCCTTGGGACTCAGTCAGTTGGGCTGCCTTCCAAGATGGTGGATGGTGATCCACTGGGAGACCTAGTATAAGAAACTGTCCTGTTTCCACTGGGAAATCAGGAAAAGAACTTTGATGTCTTAGAATCTTTAGAGCCTCTTTACCTCTTTTCTTCCCCACCCCCACACCCCCAAATGCTTCAAAGTAAGACTATTTCCCCTCCCCCCACCCAATCCTTGGTGTTTGGTTTGAATTTGGTTACCACGGTATTTAATCTGTTTACACGAGTTTTATTTTGGCCTCTAACTACAGAATGAAGAATGTGGTAGAGTCTAGGCTGAGTTAAGCCCAGAATTCTGGAATCCTTGGTATGTGTGTGGGGTTTGTGTGTGTTTGTGTACGTGTGTGTGCGCCAGGACCCCCTCACGTGGACCTGGTGCTGTGTGCCAGGTTCTGCCCTGTATACCTCTGCACCCCCAGGAGTGCTATTCACCTAGTTTCTCGTGTGAATCATGCACATGGACCTGGGCTGCACGGTGGCTGTGAGAACAAACTGCACCTCACCAGGATCTTCAACCCCAGGAGCTGTGCGGAGCGTTTTTGGGGGCCATTTTGGGGCTCAGAGAAGGAGTTGTAGGTATACTTCTTACACATGCCCTTCAAATCAAGTTGATATGAGGTTCTGGACACTCGCTAATTAAAACATGAATATTGCAATGTGGAAGATCTTGTTCCCCCTTTTATGCCCCCTCTTGCCCCACCAAGAAGTTTAAATGGGCTTTCTGAAAATGTGCCCAGAGAAAGACAACATCCTTTTCACCTTAGGCCTCCGGGCCACCTAGTGATGGGCAGCCGGATTGTGAGTCAGCAGTAGAATTTGAGAGTTAGCAGCTGAATTAACTGTGTCCATCAGTCAGTAAGGTAACTCTGTTGCTCATCAGAGGCCTTCAGGGCACCGGAGTTTCTTCTTGGACAGTTTCCGGAGCCCCTGACTGTGGTTTAAAACCAGGTAGGCATCTGGTCATTCTCCCACGATGAAGGTGAAGCCGAATGTACCACAACTGCTCTTGTTGAACTACAACTATTAAGAGATCAGAGGTCCCAGAAAAGTCACCCTCTTGATCAGTGACCCCCAAACTCAGAGGCAACCAAGGGGTGTTTTCAGCTGCTGTTTGGAAGTGATTGTTCTCAATTCATTGTTATGAGGCCCCATTGTCACAGCCAAAAGACTTCTTCAAAAAATAATAAACTGCCTATTCGTTGGGAGAAATGACAGAGAATACCGTCTAAGCAATTTTTTTTAGTGACTGGGCATTTTTTTAGCAGCCCAAGGTGATAGTAGCAGCATTCCTTGTAGAATGACACAATACAATGAAATTTAGATATAATTAATTAATTAGGGAGCAAATTGTATTAAGTAGGTAGCTCTTTGCTTTAATGGCAGCTTATGAAGAAACTACCACCATGAAGGGGGTTATAATGTTATTTTAGCTTTTATTATCAACATCAACAATAGCAACTGATACTTTTGTACAAACTCATATTACAAGTACTATGTTCAGTCCTTGGTTTAAATTGACTTCTGTAAGTTTCACAACTGGCCCATGAGGTGGGTGCTGTTATGAATAATATTCTCAGATGGGAGTTGAATAATTTGCCCAAGGTCTTCCAGCAAGTAAGGGCTGGGGAGCAGGGTTCAGACCCAGGCAGGCAGGTTCGAGGGCCCCGGTTCTTTACTGCTGGATGTGTTAACACACCTGTTTATTAGACCATTGACAGCAATCTGTAAAATATGCAAGAAGCCTGGTGCTAATGAAAGTAATGGCAGGCTGCTGGGCATGGTGGCTCACGCCTGTAATCCCAGCACTTTGGGAGGCTGAGGTGGACAGATGGCTTGAGGTCAAGAGTTTGAGACCAGCCTGGCCAACGTGGTGAAACCCTGTCTCTACTAAAAATACAAAATTAGCCGGGCATGCTGATATACGCCTGCCATCCAAACTATTCAGGAGGCTGAGGCAGGATAATCGCTTGAACCTAGGAGGCAGAGGTTGCAGTGAGCCAAGATCACACCACTCCAGCTTGGGCCGCAGAGTGAGATTCCATCTCAAAAAAAAAAAAAAAAAAAAGTAATGACAGGTGATATGGTTTGGCTGTGTCCCCACCCAGATCTCATCTTGAATTGTAACTCCCACAATTCCCATATGTCGTGGGAGGAACCCAGTGGGAGGTGATTTAATCATGGGGGTGAGTCTTTCCTGCGCTGTTCTCGTGATAGTGAATGAGTCTCATGAGATCTGATGGTTTTGAAAAGGGAAATTTCCCGCACAAGCTCTCTCTTCCCTTGTCTGCTGCCATGTGAGATGTGCTTTTCATCTTCTGCCATGGTTGTGAGGCCTCTCCAGCCACATGGAACTGTGAGACCAATAAACCTCTTTTTGTAAATTGCCCAGTCTCGGATGTGTCTTTATCAGCAACGTGAAAACAAACTATTACAACAGGCAGTGGAGAATCAAAGCTTAATGTACCCGCTTTTCTCTCTATGCACTTATGGCTCTAATACACCTTTTGTATCAATACTTTTGGATTTCCTGAAAGAGCAAGTTATGTGGGGAAACTAGCCTGGTACAGAATCCATTCTGGCAAAAGGGGCAGCCAGCAGCGGTCAAGGATTTGGGTCTGTGCCTGGTGGTGGCAGTGTGAACTCATTAGCAGCAGGGACAGGGTCTGTGCTGGTCAGTGTCCGTGTGGTTGGGACATGATCACCCACAGCAGAGCCTCCACATTTGGCTTTGGTTGTCCAAGCATCCTATACATCATCTTGCATTATTCAGGACATTCTTTTTATGCCTGAACTGGGCAGCATGGAGTCTTTTGTTTGCAACCATAAAACTCGGTCATACACACACCCTAAAAATGTGTCTCAGCTGGGTGTGGTGGCTGACACCTGTAATCCCAGCACTTTGGGAGGGCAAGGCAGGTGGATCACTTGAGGTCAGGAGTTCGAGACCAGCATGGCCAACATGGTGAAACCCCATCTCTACTAAACATACAAAAATTAGTCGGACGTGGTGGCGGGCACCTGTACTCCCAGCTACTCGGGAGGTTGAAGCAGGAGAACCACATGAACCCGATAGGCAGAGGTTGCAGTGAGCCGAGATCACGTCACTGCACTCCAGCCTTGGCAACAGAGTGAGACTCCATCTAAAAAAAAAAAAAAAAAAAAAAGTGTCTCAATACTTCAAAACCAACTTGGGTAATGTTAATGGACTTTCTTTCTCAAATGTGTGGCCACCCCCATCTTTTCTCCTGGCAAAAGGAACTAGGAAGATCGCTGTGGTTCAAGATCAATATTATGCACATCATTGCTGAAATATGCACATCATTGCTGATTGGCTTATGCATGAGGAGCCTGGAGGAACTGTCGAGAAATAGCAGGTCCAAGCTGCTAGGACTTTTGTGTTCTTGGGTCTAATGTGTTTATTTCAGTTCCTCCTTGCCTTCAAACTGCCGGCCTCTCTCAAATCCCTTCTTATTTTCTGCTTTCCAGTAAACTTCAAAATAGAACTGAATTGCAAGTTGGAGCTTGACCTGTTACTCTTTCTAGCGTCGAAGGAGGAGGTTCTGGTACACTTTGGCAGCTTCCTGCTCCTTCTGTTCACTTTTAGAAGGTGGTGGCTCTGAAAAAGGTCTTTGTAATTTGCATCTTTTTTCCCCTGACTAAGGCCTTCTTCGGTTTTGACACGTGTCATTATGGGCACATTGTTTGGACCAGTTTCTAGAGCCTCATTTGGGTTCTCAACGCTGTCTAAATCTGGCCTTTGCGCTCAGAACAGACCTGGGAATGTCACACAAAGTCCTTCTGATGCCACCCCCACCAATATCTAACACTCGTTACTCTTTTTTTTTGTTTTGTTTTGTTTTTTGAGATGGAGTTTCACTCTTGTTGCCCGGGCTGGAGTGTAATGGTGCGATCTCTTGGGTCACCGCAACCTCAGCCTTCTGGGTTCAAGCGATTCTCCTGCCTCAGCCTCCTGAGTAGTTGGGATTATAGGCCTGTGCCAGCACGCCCAGCTAATTTTTGTATTTTTATTACAGATGGGGTTTCTCCATGTTGGTCAGGCTGGTCTCAAACTCCTGACTTCAGGTGATCCGCCGGCCCTGGCCTCCAAAAGTGCTGGGATTATCGGCCTAAGCCACCATCCCCGGCCTATTCTTTTAGCACCTAGAAGCACATCAACCAAGGATATTGTGGTGCTAGGCAACGAGGCTTGAATACACTGGAGGAATTTTTCCAGTTTGAAGCTGGAACTAGTTAGGAAATTTAGGAGTGAGCAATTGTTAAGTATCCAAGCACAAAACTCAGGAGTGAGTCTGAGCCATGAGAAAGCTGATACTGACTTTAGAAGATCAATATTGTGATATTCCCAGGGCTTTGCCTCTTAGATTTCATGAGAATTTATAATATGTTCACACTCAATGATTGCTTACCAAGCGTATGTCACTGCACTTACTTAGCATGCACTTTGAAAAGCAAAACATCATTTATTCCTTAAAAAGAACTCGGTGTTGTACCCATTTTCCAGGGCAGGTGATTGAGGCTCTGAGAGGCTATCATCGTATATTTTGTATTACTATAAAGGAATATCTGATGCTGGGTAGTTTATAAAGAAAGAAAGTTTATTTGGTTTGTGATTCTGATGGCTGGTAAGTTCAAGATTAGGCATCTGCATCTGGCGAGGGCCTCCGACAGCTTCACTCACAGTGGAAGGTGAAGGGGAGTTGGCATGTGCAGATATTACAGGTAAGCAAGAAAGCAAGAGAGAGGGAGGGGAAGGCCAGACTGTTTGTAAACATCCAGCTCTTGCAGAACTAATAGAAGGAGGGTATTGATCTATTCATGAGGGATCCACCCTCAAAACCCAAACACCTCCCATTAGACCCCACCTCCAACACTGGGGATCAAATTTCAACATGCGGTTTGGAGGGGACACACATCTAAGCCATAGCAGAGGCCAAGTTACTTGCTCAGGGGCACATAGCCAGAAGGTAGAAGGCCCTGGGTTAGAATGCAGACCTGCCTGAATCCCAAGGCCATACTCTTCCTTGAACACCATGCAGTGGTTATTTTAGTAGGGGTCACACAGATGGGTGGGGAGCAGGCAGAGAAATAAACAAAGAGACTGAGTGCTGCTGTCTCATGCCTATAATCCCAGCACATGGGAGGCTGAGCAGGAGGATCAGTTGAGCCCAGGAACGCATGTCCATACTGGGCAACATAGCAAGACCCCATCTCTATAAAATATATAGAGGATTTATAATGTGTCCACATTTAGTGATTGCTAACCAAGCGTATGTCACTGGGCTTAGCAGGCACTTTGAAAAGCAAAATATCTCTTATTCCTTAAAAATAACGCTGTGTTATACCCCTTATATATATACACATATATATAAATTTTTAAAATAAGAATAAATAGGCTGGACGCAGTGGCTCCTGCCTGTAATCCTAGCACTTTGGGAGGCCGAGGCAGGCAGATCACCTGAGGCCAGGAGTTCAAGACTGCTGGCCAACATGGCGAAACCCCATCTCTCCTAAAAATATAAAAACTAGCTGGGGTGGTGGCAGGGGTCTATAATCCCAGCTACTTGGGAGGCTGAGGCAGGAGAATCGCTTGAACTCCGGAGGCAGAGGTTGCAGTGAGCCGAGATTGCGTCACTGCATTCCAGCCTGGGTGACAGAGCAAGACTCTGTCTCAAAAAAATTAAATTAAAAAATAAAAATAAAGAAGCAGCAAAAGGTTTCAAATTAAAAGGGTGACTTTCGAAAGACCATATGACCCTGTGGGAAGAGACATACTATGTTCTTATGTTTTATTTTTCTGTTGCATACCACACCCAACCCAGGGCCTCATATATTCCAAGCACATAGAATAATTTGTTGAAGGAACATTGAGTGAACAAGGAAAAGAAATGGCCATTTCTTCTTTTGTTTTTTCTTTTGAATTAACCCTTTAGCTGTTCAGCATCTTCCTCCTTGTTTAAATGGGCGTTGTGGTCCCTTTTGACCCCCAGCTTCTGAGGCCTGCTGGGGAAGGTTGGCGTGAACACAGCTTCTCTTCCCCAGGGCCTCCTGGTCTCCACTTGTCTTCCCATCTGCTTTCCAGATGATCAAATGACTCATCAGCTCCCTGCAGCCTTCCCAAACCTGCTTTTTGTCTTCTCCGCTCTCTTTCCCAATTTCTTAGGCAGGACTCCTCTGGCTGTGAGTGACGGAAACCAACTTAGTCTAGTTTAGGCCCCATGGGGGAGCTTACTGGATCCCAGATGGTGATTCACAGGAACCCTGGGAGAGACCTCACTGGAGCACAGAGAGGGGAAGCAGTGTGCTCTAAGTCACACAGCTGTTCATTATGGGGAGGGTTGGGAGAGCTTGAGAATTTTGAGAACAAGCTACATGCAGGTGGTGACTATTTATTTGACTAATGTACTCCCAGTGCCTAAAACAATAACACTCATCATATAGTAGGTGCTCAGTAATATTTGTTGAATGAGCATGTGAATGCATGAATAGTGGAGTCTCTTATTTTTATAAAATAGAGTCTCACTCTGTTGCCCAGGCTAGGCTGCAGTGGTGCAATCTCAGCCCATTGCAGCCTCCACCTCCCAGGTTCAAGCGATTCTCCTGCCTCAGCCTTCCAAATAGCTGGGATTACAGGCATGCACCACCACGCCTGGCTAATTTTTGTATTTTTAGTAGAAGTGGGGTTTCTCCATGTTGGCCAGGCTGGTCTCAAACTCCCGACCTCAAGTGATCCACCCACCTCAGCCTCCCAAAGTGCTGGGATTTCAGGCGTGAGTCACCAGTCTCAGCTGAATAGTGAAATCTTAAAGTTTTCATCCCCCCTCTGTATGGATAGGAAGTAACTGAGGGCAGGGAGGGGAAATGGAGGAATTCTTTACATCACTGTGCCCTTCTTTTCACTCTCATCATGCATCAGGGGCCCCAGGGCCTGGCTTCTGCTAGCTTCAACCCTGGGTTCTCGTCCTACCTTGAGGTTGTCTCAGCCTCTGCAGGTGACAGAGAGCCTGCCTGCCCCAGCCTCAGCCTGGACATCTCCCAGCTCACGAGGGCACCACAGTGAATGGGCGTCATTCAGTTCTTGCATCAGACTGGCTCGGCTGACCACAGCAAGCTACGGCCCCCGAGGAAGATGCCAGGAGCTGGGTTTGCTGCCAAGGGCTCCCTGCTGCTGTCCCTGTGATTTCAACTCCCCAGGGCTCCCAGTGGGTGAGAACAAGGGCTGGCTGTGGCAGAGTTCTCGTCTTTGGGTGGGGTGTGTGGCGAATGGAAAGTCAGCCGCTCCGGCCTCGTGGCTTGGCTGCTGCGAGCACGGATGCTTTATAAAGTGACTTTTCAAGGCCTTCTCCCTCCACTGGGCCTTGGCAGCCACGCTGTTTCTCCAGAACTGAGCCGGCCTTGTGTCTGTTGGGAAGAAAGACATGAAAATGAGGGCTGGAGCGGACGCAGGGCCCCGATTCCAGGAGAAACAGGGCATCATGTTGTGCTGCTGCCTGGGGCAGAGCTGACAAGCGCCACATTCATTCCTCAGCAGGAGTTGGCTCCCTTTGTGGTATCAAATGCCCCCTCTGCACAGCCGCGACATTGATCAGCAACATCAGCTGTGTAGAGAGGTGGCGCGGGGTGGCGAGGCCGTTTGATTAACCAGGGGCCCTCTAAATGCTGTTTTTCTAATCTGAGTCATCCCTCCAGAAAGTTATGTGCTTGTGTGTGGCAATATTACAAGTGTATGTTGTATTCTGTGTGGAGGGCACCTCTCAGAGGTGTGCAAAGAGGCAGCCCTTATTTGGAGAAGAGGGGCAGATGCGCGTGGTTGCAGCTCTCTGCACACGTTTATGCCTGTATTTCTATCCCTATGCTATGTTTGCATGCCTTTTGTGAATGTACACAACTCTGAATGTTTTTCTTTTTAAATTTTTATTTTTTAGAGACAGGGTCTCAATATATGCCCAAACTGGTCTTGAACTGCTGACCTCAAGTCGTCCTCCCGCCTCAGCCTCCCGAGTTGTTGGAATTACAGGCAACTGCCCCTGTGCCTGGCCAACTCTGACTGTTACTTGTGCATCTGTTGTTGCATGCATGAGTGGGTGCGTGTCTTCCTAAGACAGAGAGGCTTCCTGGATTCGAAACATGGCTTTGCTTCCTATGCACCATGTGATGAATTCCCATCAGCCTTGGTTTTCTCACCTGTATAATGGGGATGATCATGGTTCTCACCTCACAGGAGAGTCTTGGAGGTTAAATGGGGCAACATCTGGCTCCAGGTCAGTTGTTGACGTGTGTCAGTTACTGTGGCTGTTACGGTTTTGACTTTGCAGGCTTGCTAGTATGTCTGTGTGACCTGCTCCACGCCCTCATCCTCAGCTGTAGCAGGAATTGTGTTGGTGTTTTCTCTTGCTTTCTGAACAAAGGATCCAGTGCTCTGAGTTCTGAGGAGGAAAAGGGACAGGATCTGAGACTCTTTTGGTTTCATCAGGGGCTGCTCAGCTCGCTGTGTCCCACCTGGATGGGGGAGGAGTATCCGACCCTTCCTGGGCCCTGAGTCCCTCCTGGGTCACTCAGGCTTGTCACACCTCCTCCCTGAGCCCCCCCCCCAACCACACATAGACACACACACATACAGTTATGCACATTGAATCTGTCTGACGTTGCTGCGGTTTCCCAGGAGGGGTTTAAATAATTCTCTGTGGCTGTGGTCTGAACTGCACAGAGAGAATCTCGTTGTCTCTAACCTGCTAGTGGATGGCTCCCACCTGGCCTGACCTCTGGCTCCAAAGGGCAAGTCCAGCGTTTCAAGCTGCTCTTCTAGCCCTTATGAACCTGAGGTCTTGGAGGACGGCTCTCAATGGAGAATTGTGTCTGGAGAAGAGACAAGGGTGAGGTATTCCCAGATGGGCTTTGAGGAAAGGGCCTTTTGCCTCTCCTGCTGTGAACAGCTTTCATGGCTCTTCTTCTGCAGTAGAGTAGTGATACAGTTTGGCTATGTTCACACCCAAGTCTCTTCTTGAATTGTAGCTGCCATGATTCCCCCACGTGTTGTGGGAGGGACCCGGTGGGAGGTTATTGAATCATGGGGGCAGGTCTTTCTGGTGCTGTTTTTGTGATAGTGAGTGACTCTCATGAGATCTGATAGTTTTATAAAGGGGAGTTTCCCTACACAAGCTCTCTCATTCTCTCTTGTTTGTTGCCATGTAAGACGTGACTTTCACCTTCTGCCGTGATTGTGAGGCCTCGCCAGCCACCTGGAACTGTGAGTCCATTAAACCTTTTTTTCTTGATAAATTACCCAGTCTCTGGTATGTCTTTATCAGCAGCGTGAAAACAGACTAATCCAGGTGTTAAAATCGCCGGCCCTGGCAGAAGATTTGTAGGTTCAAAGCCAGGTTTTGCCGCTTACTGGTTGTATGACTTGGGCAAGACGCCTGCCCTTTGTGAGTGTGTCTCCTCATCTGTCAAATGGCTATAGCTGCATCCAAGGCTGGATATGAGGATTAAAGGGAGGTATTCCCATAAAATCCATAGAGTGATCCCTGGCCTGCAGGAAGCATTGGTAAGTGTTAGCTGTGGCTGGCTTATTACCATCAGTTACTTGTTTGTCTCTGTGTATCGTCTTCATATTTGAGGTCCTCACTCTGGAAGCTGGGATGATGGTCATTCCGCACAGGCCTTTGATGTCATAAGCACCTGGTGAATATTTTGTGATTCATTTATCTATTAATTCATCAGAAAATAGGGTATATCCATCCTGGGCAACAGAGTGAGACCCTGTCTCTACAAAAAATTTTTAAAATAGCCAAGTGTGGTGGAAGTTGCCTGTAGTTCCAGCTTTCCAGGAAGCTGAAGCAGGATTGCTTGAGCCCAGGAGGTTGAGGTTTCAGTGAGCTGTGATCATGCCACTGCACTCCAGCCTGGGTGATAGAGTAAGACCCTATCTCTTAAAAAAAAAAAAAAAGAAAAGAAAAAAAAGGATATAGTAAAACAAACACCCATGTATGTAGAATAAGACAAGCTCAATATCAAGAGAGCTTAATGATGGGCATTTTCACCTTCCATTTAGGTGTTTGCCATGGAGACAAGAGAGAGAGCTTCTTTTTGTCCATGTCTTAAAGGAGGAACTGTATGCTCCAACAGCCCCCAAATAAACCCCTCATAGGTTTGAATCCTATTTTTTCCACAAGCAGTTTATTTTGTATTTTCTCATGTTGTAAACTATCTTTTAAAAAACATTATCCATAACCCACCATTCCAACCCAACTGCAATTTTCACATCTTCAGTTTCTTTCTGTATTTATACCCATTGTTTTAAACTGTGTACACTTCGTCTTTTTCATATTCACTTAATAGTGCTTTGTAAACCCTTTTTTTTTTGTTTTTGTTTTTGAGACAAGGTCTCCGTTGCCCAGGCTGGAGTACAGTGGGGCAATGACGGCTCACTGCAGCCTTGACCTCACCGGCTCAAGGGACCCTTGTGCCTCAGTCTCCTGGTTGGCTGGGACTACAGGTGTGCACCACCATGCCTGGCTAACTTTTTGTGTGTGTGTGTGTGTGTTTTTTTTTTTTGTAGAAACAGGGCTTTGCTATGTTGTCCAGGCTGGTCTCCAACTCCTGGGCTCAAGCTATTCACCTGCCTCAGCCTCCCGAAGTGTTGGGATTACAGGCGTGAGCCACCACGCTCAGCCTAGAAACACTTTTAAAGCTTTTCTGTCATCTCTCTGCTGATCCTGCTAATTAGCGCATAATTCACCACTGCGTTGATGCACCTTATTTAATGTCACCATTGCTCAATTGTTGAACATTTAGATTTTTGTTGATATTCTAAATAAATAATGTTGTAAATATCTTTGGGCCTATGGCTTTTATTTTATTTTCTAATTATTTCTGTAATAATTTTTTAAGCAGGAGCTGACTGGCCAAGAAACATTCCATAAATGTTTAGTGCTCCTAAATGTTGTGGAAGTTGATATAATAATAATAATAATAATAATAATAACCATAGCCACTAACCCTTCATTGAACAACTAGGCCAGGCATTATCTGAGTGCTTAGCATACATTTTAAAATTTACCCCTCCCAGCTCCTTGAGGTGGGGATGATGTTATTCCCATTTTACAGATATAGGAACAGAGACAAAGAGAGGTTAAATTACCTGCCCGGGAACATAGAAAAGGATGTTGAAGAAGCCATCCCTTTCCTCAAAAAACTCAGTTGCAGAACACTACACATAGTTACATCGGTAAGCTCAAAGTTGCCCTGGCCAGTTCTTGTGCCATTTCCACAACTTCAGCTTGCAAATGCTAAATATGTGCCCATAAGTATATCTCTCTGTATAAATTTAGGCAGAGATTGAACTTGCAGGAAGTCCGTCTGGCTTTTCTGGAAGACTCTCCCACCCCGGGTGGCTCCATTCCCAGCAACCTCAAGGCAGAATGGTGGAAGTTTTGGAAATTGATCTGAAGTCCGTTTCCCTTGCTTCCTCGTCCCTTTTCCTTTGTAACATCCTCCAGCCCAAGGGCCCAGTGTCCCTATGTGCTATCATCTCCCTTGCAAGCTTTCCAGCCATGATCTCTGAAAAAACTCATCCACACTGAGCTGGGGCTGATTGGAATTCATTCCAGGGAGAGTTGCATTTTGTCAAACACTAATGTTAAAGAATTGACTCTGAAGAATAGATTGTAGACAGGTGTGTGTGTGTGTGTGTGTGTGTGTGTGTATGAAAGAGAGAGTGAGACAGAGAGACAGAGGAGAGAGAGCTGGATTATGTCATCCCCCTGGCTGTTACTTCTGTTTTTCTTCCCCTTTTTTCCTCTTCCCAGTATAGGGTTACTACTTTCCCAATATAGGGTTGATTCCCGTTTGTCCTTCAAACTTCAGATCAGGTGTCCCCTCCTCCGGCTGGCCTTCCTCGCTCTAACTCCACACCTTGTTTCTTTCACTCGTGGCTTTCATTACAAGCTGACTTTGAAGGTTGATGGGTTGATTCATTGCCTGTGTCTCCTCCTAAACTGCAAGTTAGTTAGTTCCTTCCTTCCTTCCTTCCTTCCTTCCTTCCTTCCTTCCTTCCTTCCTCCCTTCCTCCCTCCCTCCCTCCCTCTCTTTCTTTTTTTTTGAGATGGAGTCTCTTTCTGTCACCCAGGCTGGAGTGTGATGGCATGATCTCAGCTCACTGTAACCTCCGCCTCCCAGGTTCAAGTGATTCTCATGCCTCAGCCTCCTAAGTAGCTGGGATTACAGGCGCGTGCCACCACTCCCAGCTAATTTTTGTATTTTTAGTAGAGACAGGGTTTTACCATGTTGGCTAGCTGGTCTCAAACTCCTGACCTCAAATAATCTGCCCACCTTGGCCTCCCAAAGTGCTGGGATTACAGGTGTGAGCCATGGCGCCCAGCCCCTAAACTGCAAGTTCTTTGGGGACAGTAGGTACTATAATTTGTGTTAGTCACTGAGGTACCTAGAATCTAGCATAGTGCCAGGCACAGGGTCAGCTGCACCCACTGTTTGTTGATTGAATGCTTGATGTGTCTCCCAGCATTCCTTTCACTGTCAGCCCCTGTCCTTCCTGTCTACCTGGCCGAAGACTGAGAAAGCTGCTGTTGCCAGGAGAGAGTTTGAAGCTGTGATTTCCTTGTTGCCAAATAAATGAGAAGCCTGGTGAGGGCCAGTTAGCCTGATGGCTGCTGTTGGAGAAGAAGTCCGCTGGCTGGATCCTTAGCGATTGTGTTGAAAACACAGCCACTCTATTTTGTTTTCCTTTCCCAAAGAAATATTTGCTTTATCTCTGGCAGTGTGTACTTTATTATAACAGAGCTGGAGGATGTTGACCTGAGAAGTAAAAAAACATGGTTTCCAAAGAGACTCTGTCAATGGCTTAAAATTAATAAACGTGCAGCTGTGGGTGGTGGTGGGGGCTGGAGTTGGGGGCGAGGGCCGGAGGACAGGGGTGCAGAAGTGATTAAACTGCTCCTGTTTTGCCATGGGGATGACACCGCTTTTCTTTTAGTGGCAGGTTAAGGGGATGAAAATCTGAATTGGCGTATCTTTAAACAAGTTATTACTTCAGCTGTGAGATAATTTGTTGAGAAAATGCCATTATTTTTCCAATATAGGTCCTTCGGACTGTGCAACCGGGGCATGATGCTGGCAGCTGCGGTTGCATGTAGATGCTAAAGCATCATGGAGCGGGAGAATGAACTTCAGGTTAAAGCCTGTTTATTCTTAAATAAATTGAGTTTTCTGTTTTCCACAGTGTAATGAGGAGGGAGCAGGGCTTCCCTCCTGCTCTCAGTGCTGGAGGCCTGGAGTTGTCCACACCCCTTCCCTTGATGCTTAGGATCCTTCCAACAGCACCAGAACCTCTGGGGACTCTCATTCTGCCCAGAAAGGCCAGGGAGAACCCAGGTCTTTACCCTTTGTGGGGAGGAGCCTCGAGGATGGCCTTGAGCATCTCAGCCTCCGTTGCCATGCTTCCCAGTGACTTTGAGGATGTCATCTGTTATGGGTTGAATTATGTCCCCTCTCCTGCCCCCAGATTCATATGTTGAAGTCCCGATTTCCAGTACATTGGAAGTTGACCTTGTTTGGAAAGACGGTCATTGCAGATGTAATTTGCAAAGATGCAGTCATACTAGAAGCGGGGGGGTCCCTAAGCTAATATGACTGGTGTCCTTATAAAAAGGGGGCATTTTAATTAGCCAGGTGTGGCGGCATGCACCTGTAATCCCAGCTACTCAGGAGGCTGAGGCAGGAGAATCACCTGAACCTGGGAGGTAGAGGTTGCAATGAGCCGAGATCGAGCCACTGCACTCCAGCCTGGGTGACAGAGCAAGACTCTGCCAAAAACAAAACAAAACAAAACAAAACAAAAAAACAGTGGGGGGGGGCGGGGACATTTGGACATAGCCATGCACACAGGGAGGACACTTTGTGAAGGCGAAGGCAGAGAGGGGCATGATGTATCTACAAGCGAAGGAACATTCAAGATTCCCAGCAGACCACCAGAAGCCAGGAGAGGGGCATGGAACATTCTTTCTCACAGGCTTCAAAAGGAACCAACCCTACCAACACCTTGATCTTAGATTTCTAGGCTCCAGAAATGGGAGGCAATACATTTTGATTGTTTAAGCCATTTAGTGGTGCTTTGTTATGGCAGCTGGCAAGAAACGAATACATCATCCAAGGGCCATGGTTCACCCATCATCTACTCCCCGAAAAAAATCACTCATACTCACTTAAATCCACGTCTCCACCTGTGCCCTGAGTAAGTCCTTAAATCTGCCATGTAGGCCACCGAAGTTTCAGCTGTCTCTGCCCTTTAGTCTTGCAGAAACACAGTCGGTCTTACGTTGTTACTTTACAGGTAACACCCTCCCTGTGACATTCTAAGCCCCAGATGGGGAGCTGGGCCTCTTTCTTTGTCTTGATTCCAGCAGGCACTTAAGCAGTGCTTGTTGGATTCAGTAGATTTGCCCACTCTGACTCCTGAGATAGACTAGATGCACTTCTAGTCCTTATCTTTCTGGAGTTTTAGCCTCTTGCCTTGTCAGTCCTTTGGTGACCATATGCCACTCAATATTTACGTGGCCTCCGTGGATCCAAGGTCTGCATTTTCCAATCTGGACTCGTATATGTGAAAGAGCTGTTCACGAGATCAGCAGTTTGAGCCAGCCTGACCAACACGGTGAAACCCCGTCTCTACTAATAATACAAAAATTAGCCGGGAATGGTGGTGCATGCCTGTAATCCCAGCTACTCAGGAGGCTGAGGCAGGAGAATCGCTTGAACCCGGGAGGCAGAGGTTGCAGTGAGCCGAGATCGCACCACTGCACTCCAGCCTGGGCAATACACTGTCTCAAAAAAAAAAAAAAAAAAAAAGAGCTATTCAAACTATGGAGTGCCCTAGTAAAATCGTAGCAATGACTCATTCCGCTGTTTGTATGTCTGAAGAGGGACAGTGAGCTAGACTCAAAGGCTCAGGTTCCGGTCCAGCTTTATCATTCACCAGATGGCTATCCCTAGGAAAGTCACTTGACCTCTCTGAACTTTAGTTTTCTCAGCTTGCCTTGTCTGCCTGGGTTGGCAGGGAACCAAGAATATGTGTGAGAGGCCTTTGATAGCATCAGAGCAGAGGCTGTAGACATAGAGTAAAGGGGGGAATGAAAAGGTTCTCATGGTGATCTGGAGAACAGGTACCCCAGCAAAAGGGGTCTCCATGGGAAGGGTGGGCCCAGGGTTGCCAGATCGTCAGAGTTTTTAATAGAAGCCGGAAAGGCGGTTTATTATGATGTATCCCAGCCATCCAATGTTGTCTCGGGTGTTTTTTAAGCACCACAGGTTCATATCAAATTAGATTGCAGACTGTTTCTGGGCCCATGAGCCACCGTTCTGTGATGCCTGCTGTAGGATTTGATTCAGATAGAGGTCGATGGCAATGCTTATTTCCTTTCTGTTACCCGAACCTGCCGATCCAAGCATCCTCCTCAATAACTCTGAAATGCAAGAGTCAATATTAACCAAGGAAAATTTACGTTGTCACCCTCCAGGAAGCCTTCCCTGATCACATCCCTCCTGAATTGAATTGGATCAGAGGTTGGCCAGCCTTTTCTTAAAGGAGCAGATAAGAGGTATTTTAGATGTTGAGGGCCCTTCAGTCTCCTTGGCAACTACTGAACTGTGCCTCTGCAGCCGGAAAGCAGCCAGAGATAACATGTAAACAAATGAACGTGGCTGTGTGCCAATAAAATTTTATTTGCGAAAATAGGCCACGAGCTGAATCTGGCTATGGTATGGGATGGTAATCATTTCCTGATACTCTAGTTAGATACTTTTTTTTCTGAGGTGGAGTCCCACTCTGCCCAGGCCAGAGTACAGTGGCCTGATCTTGGCTCACTGCAACCTGCACCTCCTGGGTTCAAGCCATTCTCCTGCCTCAGATTCCCGAGTAGCTGGGATTACAGGTACCTGCCACCACGCCCGGCTAATTTTTTGTATTTGTAGTAGAGATAGGGTTTCACTGTTTGGCCAGGCTGGTCTCAAACTCCTGACCTCAAGTGATCTGCCTGCCTCGGCCTCCCAAAGTGTTGGGATTATAGGCGTGAGCCACCGCGCCCAGCCTAGATAGCTTTTTTATGTACTACCCTAACACCCTGAATTTAGCCCCTTATCAGCAGTCTACTACCACAACTAAGAATAAACACATTTATTGAGCACTTACTGTGTGCCAGGAGCTGTTCCAACCCCTTCATTTATCTTTACTCATTTCTCACAGTGAGTTTGTGTGGAAGGTCCTGCTGCTATCCCCATTTCACAGATGAGAAGACTGAATCACAGAAAGGTTAAGCAACATGCCCAAGGTCACCCAGCTGAGCTTTCAGACTCAGAAGCAAATAACGCTTTGCTTCTATGGCTCACCCAGCAGGTATTTCACGTCATCTCTGTATTTCCTTGATGCCCAGCACAGGGACTGGCTGTAAGGTTGTGCCCAGGAGTCACTGCATGAGTGACAGGCATTATTTCCGGTTTTGCAAACCTGTACAGGAGGGGTGTAGATACAAACGTTGCATTGTAACCCTTTCTAAATAGACTCAGAGAGTCTGCCTGGGACAAACTTTCCCAAGCCAGACGCCTTTGTTTTTCATGCGTCGAGAATTTGGCAGCTCTGGCTTGGACTTGCACAGGGCTACTTTTAAACATCTGGTTCTCTTAGCAGCCCTAAAATCCAACAGCACCCATAACAACTTTCATCTCTCTGCCGTGGCGCCTTGTGAAACATCACAGCCCCCCTTGGCTGATTGTAGGAATGGTGAACAGAGTCTGCTGTTCACCAACCAACAGATGAGAGTGACAGAGAGGACACTACATCTGAGTCCTTCCCCGAAGGGTCCCTGAAGAATTCCATGTCAATATGGTAAATTGATTCCGATTTGAAAAGCCCTTCACAGATTTCACTGTATTTAAAGGAGTCCCCGATGAGAATCCTTTATATTGTGAATGATCTCCTGGTAATTGATCTGCTTTAGAAGTTTGGCTTCAGTTTAACAGGGGCACCTGTGTTGTTCTGTACTTCTGTGAGCAGAGCTCAAAGTATTATAATGAGCAAGAATAATTATTATGATTATTTATAGGGAGTCATTGTGATGTGCCAGGCACTTGTGACATATGCTTTGTTTTATGTGATTATTTTTATTTTTTTAGAGATAAGGTTTCGCTGTGCTGCCCAGGCTGGAGTGCAGTGGTGCGATCATGGCTCACTGCAGCCTTGAATTCTTAGGCTCAAGTAATCTTTCTGCCTCAGCCTCCCAAGTAGCTGGGACTACAGGAATGCACCACCCTTCCATTTTTTAATATTTAAGAGATTGGTGTGGGTGGGGGTTGATATGATTTGGCTCTGTGTCCCCATCCAGCTCTCATCTCGAATTGTAATCTCCATGTGCCAAAGGAGGGACTTGGTGGGAGGTGATTGGATGAGGGGGGAGGTTTTCCCCATGCTGTTCTCATGATAGTGAGTGAGTTCTCATGAGATCTGATGCTTTAAAAGTGTTTGGCAGTTCCCCCTTCACTCTCATTCTCTCCTGCTGCCGTATAAGATGTGCCTTGCCCCTCTTCCTCTTCTGCCACGATTGTAAGTTTCCTGAGGCCTCCCCAGCCCATGTGGAACTGTGAGTGAGTTAAACCTCTTTTCTTTATAAATTACCCAGCCTCAGGTAGTTCTTGATAGCAGTGTGAAAATGGACTAATACAGGGGGGATGGGCAGGGATCTCACTCTCTTGCTCAGGCTGGTGTTGAACTCCTGTCCTCAAGCGATCTTCCTGCCTTGGCCTCCCAAAGTGTTGAGATTACAGGCATGAGCTACCATGCCCAGCCCAACAAATGCTTTATATACTCTGTTTCATTTGTCCTTTTCAACTCCTCTAAGGGGTAGGTGCTGACCTTTTGCCTATAGGTAAACTGAGTCATAGAGAAGTTAAATTGTGTGCCCAAGGTCACATAGCTGGTCAGTAGCACTGCTGGGATTCAAACCCAGGCGGTCTAGCTCCAGGGCCAGAGCTCTTCCCACCCTCCTCTGTTGTTTTCTCTAAGCGTGGTGGCTTTATTTATCTCCAGAAATGCTGTCCTCCTCCATGGTCTGACATGGAAGCTCAGGTGCTTCTTGCACAGTGGGTAAAGTTGTGCTGTATGTCAGTGAGGATGGACTGCTGCCTCCAGGGCACTCTGCCCAGATGCTCCCTATTGGAATCACTGGGCCATATCAGCTTCTCTGAGAGAGCAGAATGAAAAAGCTGGCAGGGTTGGACTTGGTGGATCGTGTGGAGACCACCGCTGCCTCCCATGGAGAAGATACCTCCATGAAGGCAGAGTAGAAATCTGTTCTCCGTGAACTGCAACGGTGATCGCTGCTGTGGTGGGTGACATGAGCCACCCCTGTACCGTCCAGTGAGGTGGCCAGCAGCCACATGGGGCTATATCAGGAGCCCTGGAAATGTGGCTAGAGCAGTGAGAAATTGAAGTTTTACTTTTATTTCATTTTCATTAATTTAAAACCTGATACCTGATTCAGTTATTAAATATATTTGGAACTACTTGGGTCTGAGAATTTACTTCATTTGACATTTAAAAAAAAATCAATTGGCCGGGCGTGGTGGCTCATGCCTGTAATGCCAGCACTTTGGGAGGCCGAGGTGGGTGGATCATGAGGTCAGGAGATCGAGACCATCCTGGCTAACACGGTGAAACTCCGTCTCTACTAAAAATAGAAAAAATTAGCCAGGTGCGGTGGCGGGCGCCTGTAGTCCGAGCTACTCGGGAGGCTGAGGCAGGAGAATGGTGTGAACCCAGGAGGCGGAGCTTGCAGTGAGCCAAGATGGCGCCACTGCACTCTAGCCTGGGCGACAGAGCAAGGCTCCATCTCAAAAAATAATAATAATAATAATAATAATTAATTAATTAATTCTTTTGAGATGGGGTCTCCCTATGTTTCCCAGGCTGGTCTTGAACTCCTGGGCTTAAACAGTCCTCCCACCTTAGCCTCCAAAAGCACTAGGGTTACAGATGTGAGCCACCACACCCAGACTCATATGACATTTTTCCGAACTCTAAAGATGTAGCATGTATTGCTGGTGAACATTTAGCATCTACATTGAGATATGACAGCATGATCTCATCAGTGGGAGTGGGAGCTAAATATGTGTACACACAGGCATTGAGTGTGGAATGAGATAGATACTAGAGACTGTGAAGAGTGGGAGGGTGGTTGGGGGGGATGATGAGAATTACTTCATGGGTATAATGTACACCGTTTGGATGATGGTATACACTAAAAGCCCACACTTCACCACTCCACAGTTTATCCATGTAACAGAATTGCTCCTGCACCCCTTACATTTATAGAAATAAAAAATAAACACATTGAGGTATGCCGTCATGTAAAATACACACCATCACCTTCAGATCCACCTGCTCACATCATGTGCTACAGTTGTGGTTTCTTCTGCAAACCAAAGTGTCTGCCACAGGCCTCAATCAGTTTAGAGGTTTCTTTTGCCAAGGTTGAGGACATCCCCAGGAAAAAGGGATGAAAGTCGCTGGAGGATCTGGCCTGTGCTTTTTCCAAAGAGGGCTTTGAGGACTCTGTATTTAAAGGGGAAAAAGTGGGCAGGAGGGGAAGGAGGAAGGAAAGAAAAGAGGGAAGGTAGGGAGTGAGGTGAGAGGTCACATTCTTATGAGGCTTTAATTAACTCTTACCGAACCCACATCTTGCATTTGAAAGGAGGGGGTAGGGGAACAGTCACTTATATATTTGTCTCAAGCTCAGTAAATCTGTATTTTACATGGGATAAAGTAAACATAAAGTGGAGGGAAACGTCAAATATACATTTGTCTTAGGGTGGGCAGTGGGGGATGATTTCTAGTCTTGTCTTTGTCCCATACCTCTGAAGATAAGCTGTTAATTTACATTGTCAAGGCGAGGGAGGCCACCTGGAGAGATATGTGGCCTTCTGTCTTGCAGCTGTCTGTTTAGGAACAAAGGGAAAGGCAGTGTTTTGCATGACTCAGTTTCCAAGCATAACTCTCCCATTTGGCATAGTGAATTTGGGGTCCTGAGAGAGAAGGGGTTTCCTTTCTCCTTCCGATGGTCGTTTATTCATTCAATAAATATTTTTTAGGAGTATCAGCTAGTGTGCACGATGAGGATGCAGCAGTGAATAACACACAGAGATCAAACAGACCAAAAAAAGTAGAACCTGTTAACATGGCAAATATTATACATGGGATTAAAATAGGAGGATGTGTTGAAGAGGGTGGTCCCAAGAGAGCCCTGAGGGAGGTGACATTTGGCCCTAGACCTCAACGACCAGGAAGCCATGTGAAAACTTGGATGAAAAACCTCCCAGGCAGAGGGAAATGGCCTTGAGGCGGCAGAGAGAATGGAATGTTCTAGAAACCTTTGGCCATCGGTGCTGGAGCACAGAGGAAGAAGGAAGCATGGTGTCAGATGAGCTTGAGGAACAGGCAGGGGTAAGATCCTATAGGGCTTTATGATCAAGGAGAGAAGTTTAGATTTTATTTCCAGGGAGATGGGGAAGTCATGTAGGATTTACAAATTGCTATGTTGTATGTTCTTTGGTTTATGATTTTATAAGGGTGCCTGTATTAGTCATTTCTCATGCTGCGAAATAAAGACATTGAGACTGGGTAATTTATAAATGAAAGAGGTTTAACTGACTCAACGTTCCACATGGCTGTGGAGGCCTTGCAGTCATGACGGAAGGCAAATGAGGAGCAAAGGCCCATCTTACGTAGAGGCAGGCAACAGAGAATAAGAGCCAAGTGAAAGGGGGAACCACCCCTTATAAAACCATCAGATCTCGTGAGACTTACTACCATGAGAACAGTATGGGGGGAAACTACCCCCATGACTCAGTTATTTCTCACTGGGTCCCTCCCACCACATGTGGGAATTATGGGAGCTACAATTCAAGATGAGTTTTGGGTGGGGACACAGCCAAGCCCTATCAATGCCTCTGATGGCTGCTGGAAGAAGAAAGGACCCTGGGAGTAAAGGGATGTTGGGATCCAAGATGACTGGGACTTGGGTTAGCATAGTGGTGGTCAAGGTCAGAAGTGGACAGTTTGTAATTGCCCAGTGGGTTTATTTTGCTCACTGTCCAGATAGGGCTGATTTTATCAAAACAGGGGAATTGCAATAGAGAGAGTTTAATTCATGCAGAACTGGCTGAATGGGAGACTGGAGTTTTATGATTCAAATCAGTCTCTCTGGAAATTTTGAGGCTAGTGTTTTTCAAGGATAGTTTGGCGGACAAAGTTATGGGTGCTGCTGGTTGGTTGGGGATGCAATCACAGGGGTGGGTGGAAAATGGTCCTCTTCTGGTGAGGACACAGTACTGGTTGGTGGGTCTGGGTCAAGCCATCATAGTCAGAAATGTAAAAATCTTCCCCTAGTTCATATCAAGTGTTAAATAAAAGAAATGCAAAAACCTGAAAAGACATCTCAAAAGGCCAATCTTAGGTTCTACAGGAGTGATGTTATCTGCAGGAGGAATCAGGGAAGTTGCAAATCTTGTGACCTCAGGAATAATGGCTGGGAATCCTTTACACTAGCAGAATTCAGGTTTTTTGTTTGTTTGTTTTTGTTTTTTTTCTTTTGAGAAGGAGTCTCGCTCTGTCGCCCATGCTGGAGTGCAATGGGGTGATCTTGTCTCACTGCAACCTCTATCTCCCAGGTTCAAGCGATTCTCCTGCCTCAGCCTCTGGAGTAGCTGGGATTACAGTCACGCACCACCATGCCTAGCTAATTTTTTGTATTTTTAGTAGAGACGGGAGTTTCGTCATGTTGCCCAGGCTGGTTTTGAACTCTTGAGCTCAGGCAATCCACCAATCTCAGGCTCCCAAAGTGTTGGGATTACAGGCGTGAGCCACTGCCCCTGGCCAAGGCTCCTTTTAATCCTTGTAACCTAATGGACCTACATTAGCTTTACAAAGGTGGTTTAGTTTTGGGGAAGGACTGTTATCTTTTAAAGTATAAACTAAATGTCTCTGAAAGTTAGCTTGACCCAAGCCCAGGAATGATCATGAGCGGTTTGGAGGTAAAGGCAAGATGGGGGTTGGTTAGATCAGACCTCTTTCACTGTCATAATTTTCTCACTGTTACCGTTTTTGCAAAGGCAGTTTCAAGTTCTGGACAGACTCTGTTGACTTACCAGTGAATTGGAGATGTGTTGGCCACAGGGGCCTGAAGGATAAAGAGGCATTGAAGGTGCCTCCTCCATGCTTGGCTTGTACACTAGGGTGGGTGGTTTTGCTTTCGACTTAGGCACCTTCTTACCACTCCCCACCCCGAAGTATTAATTTCATTCCTCCTGTGTCTGCCTCGTTCTTGCTGGCAGCTTATTCACGTACATACAGCCGCAACTTTATTGGATAGGCCTGTTTTGAGTGGGGAAAGAGGAATTTGTTCTCTTTTGGTTCGGCTCAGGGCCCTATATTCCTTGTACTCGCCTCCCCCTGTTGAGTTTGTTTCTGCTAATGGAAATGATGTTCGGATTAAGAACAGATCTCTTAAACCTAGAGTTGACTTCCCTGACGTTTTATTCCCCTCTCCTGCTGCTTTGTGAGGAGATGCTGAAGATGCTGAAGAGATGGGCAGGGGGTGAAGTGATTATTTAATTGTGTGCAAATGAGGAGTGGTAACTAAAGCAGGTACAGGGCACGACCTGAATCCTGCAGGAGCCACACCTGACACGATTCCCTTCCCTGACTTCAGGCTCTAAATGAATTTCTAGTTGACTAAAAATACCTCAAGACCTGGGTGGCAGCTTAAGCTGTCGGTAAATTTAAAACAGGTTTGCATGCCACTGATTATAGCAGAGGATAAAAAGTTAGTGGAGAATTTTGTTTAACTCCTGGTTCTCCATCCTGTCTTGAAGCCTACACCCTTTGATTCTTGGATGGATTGCAGTGGTGGGCTGTATATTTCACTTTATTTTTCTTTGAACTTCTCAATCGCCAGGGACTATGTTGGATGTGTTTTAGGCTGAAGACCTGTCTTGCTTAAGAGAAGATGATGTAAAAATGGCCTGGGGCTGATCAGACAGAAAGTCCAGTGTGAGTCAGAAGTGTTCTATGCCTGGCTGGCTAAACAGATCCACTCCGGGGCTGCATATTTATTTGCAAGACACCTCCAGAATGTCTGTACTCCTTTCTCAACCTTCTGCCTCTTACAATGATTGTTCTATACTATCCTGCAGATAAACCATAATTAAACAAAAATAGTAGCGAGGTGTGGTGGCGTGTACCTGTAGTCCTCGCTACTCAGGAGGCTGAGGTGGGAGGATCACTTGAGCCCGGGAGGTTGAGGCTGAAGTGAGCCAGGATCGTGCCGCTGCACTCCAGCCTGAGTGGCAGGGTGAAACCCTATCTCTAAGAAAAATAAAAATGATAAAAACTCAATTTGTTAAAGGCTTTCTATGCATTGGCACATTGAATCTACACAGCCACTTTCTTGGGGATCAACAATGCTGAATTTTACTTGAGCCCTGTGCTCCTGCAAAAGAACAAAGGTTAAAGGAATCCACTCACCTGTTTGTGTTGCAGAAAATGCCTCGCTGCAAAGAACCAGTGTTGCCCACGTGACTTAGCTACAACTCGTGGATACCCTTTTGTTTCCCCAGGACAGGGCTAGACCCAGACCCTGCATATTCCCATTTGTTACCTTATAAAGGATGAGCTGGCTGCTCATTCCCACTGATCAATCAGAACAACATGCTTGATCACCAGACTTTGGATCAGACTCTCTTCTTCCTCCAGGTGCTTTTGCCTTGACCCACACTGAGCGTGAGCCAGCACACAGCCCCTCCTGAGAAAAGGCTGGCATCAGGGTAAAACATTCTCTGATCTACTCTCTGATCATACCATCCTTTCTTCCCCAAACCTGCTTTTGTTTCTCCTTTTTGTTAAAAGAAAACTCCTTTTTGCCTAGCCTTTGAGATGCTTCAGGATCCTTAAGATCTTATGGTAAAGCACCCTCCGTAGTGTGATTTTTCCTTTCTGCCCTTCGCAATAATCCTTTCCAATGATGTTTCTCCTTACTTAATCCGGATTAGTTTTTTCTTTAACTGTTCATATTAAGTATGCTGGTCTCCATTTTGCAGAGGAAGAAGTTGGGGCTCAGGGAGGTGGTGACAGGCAGAATGGGGAGCTCTGGTCTGTCTGAACCCAGAGACCGTGCTTGTTCCCTTAACTAGTTCCTGAGGCCCTGTTCATGAATTGTAGACTTTATCTGAACTCTCTCTGGTCCTCTACATGCTTATCATCTAATCAGAGACACAGACAGTCACTCACAGTGGGTTTGACTTACAACTTTACGTTGGTGCAAAGCGATGTATCTTCAGCAGAAGCCTTACTTCGAATTTTGAGTTTTGATCTTTTCTCAGGCTAGCGATGTATTTGGATAGTGTGTTTTGTGTTTTAGCATCCTGTCATGTCTGCAAAATGTCCATGTACAGTATTCAACACTTCATTATAAACTAGGCTTCGTATTAGATGATTTTGCCTAATTGTAGGCTAATGTCAGTGTTCTGAGCATGTTTAAGGCAGGGTTGGCTAAGCTGTGATATTCGGTAGGTTAGGTGCGTTAAATGCATTTTCAACTTAGGCTATTTTCAGCTTACGGTGGGTTTATTGGATCTAACCCATTATAAGTCACGAGCATCAGTCTAAGATACTGAGTCATGGTTTGTGTAGCATCTTTGTTTTATAGCTCTGGGAAAAGAGAAACTCATGCAATATCACTGTTTTTTATGCACTTGTGTATTCCTCTGAATAGAATCTTCACGAGGAGAAAAATCTTGGTGTCTACAGCAGAAATAGGCATGCCAATGTTGAGCTTCCAGCCTACGTGGTTAGGAAAGGTTCTTGGACCGGGCAAGACTGGAGCTGCTCTGAGGAGAAGGGGTTCCATGTGGAAGTTGCAGGACTCACATATAGGGTATTATTGGTTAGAGATGCATGGGGGTGGGAGAGTCCAGGGAGGGGGTAGCAGCGGTTCCCTTGCCTGCCAGGCAGCCAATGGCACCTTCTTCTCTGGGCAGTGGTGAGCCACTGCAGGTCTTTGGGCAGGAGAATGTCATAATGACAATGATGATAATAATGATCACGCTGATAATAGCCTGTGCCTCAGGTTTTTATAGCTCCTCTCCCAAGGTGCCCTTCTCCGGAAAGCTGGGAGTGCTTCACAGATGTTACCTAATTAATCACTAGTGCTTCCCTGCTGAGGGAGGTGGGGGGTGGCGAATATCCCCATTTTTCAAAGGAGGAAAACCAGGCAATGGGAAGCTCTCAGGTAGTCTAGTGAAGCAGTGTGGGTGCTGGCAGAGACCCTGCAACAGTTGTTCTTTCTCTCTTTGCCTCCAGTCCCACAGCCCACCTTTCGGGAATAGAGTGGCCTAGGACACATTGGTTTGTGCATAGGGAGGTACAGATAAGAGGGTCTATGCATGAAGGATGGAGGAGAGGAATCCATACACTGAGTGTTTAGAGATGCTCGAATATGGACACCTGGGGGTCAGATGAGGTCACTCCTGGCTTTGGGCACACCCTAGACCTTGATATCCTCTTCTTCTGCTCCCTCAAAGGTGTCTCTTGGGGCATTTATCATCCTCCTCTGAGTCTGTTGACCTCCGTGGCTGTTCTGTGCCCTCTTTGAGACAAGGATCTTACCTTTTATAATCTAACCTCAGAGCCAGGTTCATGCGCTTTGGCTTGACTATTAAATTTGCCATCTTTTGACATGGGTGAGTCACTTCCCCTCTCTTAGCCTCAGTTTCTTCATCTGTAAAAGGATGATGACAACTACACCTGCCTTATTGGGTTACTGTGAAGATTAGATGAGGTAATGCATGTCATATGCTCAACAGTGCCTGGGACATTTAATAAATTATCAGTGCTCTTATAATAGGGGCTTAAAAATATGAACACTGGATTACTGCTCTAAACTGGCTCGTGGATACAGGCATATCTTCTTGGATGCAATTGACATGCAACGGAAATACTGAGTAGGAATCAGCTTCCTTGAAATGGAATCATTTCTCCTGTTGATGTGTATTGTAATTTTAAAGAAAACATATGCGCTTTTTCATTTCTGCCTGGGTGTAGTAAAGCTTTTGTTCCAAGTTCCTGAGCCCCTCCACCTCTCCATCAAGTATCTAGTAATCCATAAACAAGGCTTAAGCTGCTATTTAAAGCAACTCTGCTGTTAATCCCTTTGTAAAAGCAAATCCTTTGGGAATGTGAATAACCTCCCCGCCTCCAGCTCTTTCCTTTTGAGCTTATTGTGTAAATTCAGGTTTTTCCTATTTTATTTCTTTTAAGGTAGTGTTATCCATGACTGAGAGTCAGAGATTCAGAACTGGAAGATGGATGGAATCTTAGAGTGCCCGGCCCAACATCTTCATTTAAAAGATGGGAGATGAGGACCTGGCGAAGGGGGTGCTTTTCACATTTGGGTAGCAGTAAAACTCAGGCTTAGCCCATGTCTCCAAAAGTGTTTCTCAGCTGTTACATAAGTGATTTTTTTAATTGTCATGTATTTATTTAAAGCGATACCGGTTTTCCCCCCTAAATAATACCAATACAAGCAGTATTCATATCGTGTTGGCTCTGTGGCAGGCACTATTGGAAGCACTTGCCGTAAATTAACTTTACATGTTTTAAGTCATTTACCCTTGAACCACCTCTGTATTCAGTAGGTGCTATTGTTAGTGCTGTTTTGCAGATGAAGTGCAGTTAGCCCACATCTATTGCCACTGTTAGTTGAGTAAATAAATTCATTCCTAGAAATCTTAATTTCTCCTTCTGTAGTGTTTCCTTGGATTTAGAATCAATTTCATAGACTGTTGTTAACTCACTTGTCCAGGGTCACACTGCTCATAGGTGACTGTCAACTCCAGAGCTCATCAATTACAGGTGTCTCTCTATTGACCAAATGCATGGCCGTAAAGCTTTATTTTAAAAAGAGATCTATTTCACTACAAGATGAGAGTTGGTTGAAGAAAATACTGAGTTACTGGACTGGGTGGTACAGAAATATGGCAAAAACCGTGAAACTAGTGCATGGGCATTGGAAGTTTGGAAACGTTACAGAATACCGTGTATTGTGTCAAAAATGCATTTGCAAATTTTCAGGAAGGGCTCGTTGGGTGCCAAGGGCTATGTGAGGTGCCAGAAACAGACAAGTAGCTGGAAACAGATCAAATCAGACAAGGCTACTTTCTTCGTACAGCATATAATATAGCTGAAAAGAGCACACAAGAGAACAAATAAGATATTACAGCCTCTGGCAGATGTTCCAGGGAGGCCAACAGTGGAGTACATAGGTGTGTGTGTGTGTGTGTGTGTGTGTGTGTGTGTGTGTGTGTATGTGTGTTTATGTGTGTTATGGGGATGGGGCAGGCAGCGGGGGCCTCTATTTACTAGGTTCAGTTGTCACATCTACGAAGAGGTGACACTTCCAATAAGACATAAAGGTGAGTGACATGGACAGGTTTGTCTCTTCATCGGATCATGTCTCTCTGCTCCGTCATCTCCTCTTTGGGAGTAAATGCAGA
Source organism: Homo sapiens (assembly GCF_000001405.40). Classification (NCBI taxonomy): domain Eukaryota; kingdom Metazoa; phylum Chordata; class Mammalia; order Primates; family Hominidae; genus Homo; species Homo sapiens. The sequence continues at coordinate 17,385,080 of NC_000016.10, read as the reverse complement.
GAACTGTCAGGCTGTGAGCAGCTTTTACCTCCTTCAAGGACTCTGCAGTCACCTAAAATCAGGAATTCCTCCAGGCCCGATGCTGGGAATAGGACAGCACTAACTGTCGCCCCTCTGTCAGGTGTAGATTGAGAAGTGCTTCCACCAGCGATTGATTTTTTGCTTTCTCCATGACAGAGGCAGCAACAACAGGGTTAGTTTATTACTAAACGGAATGATTAATTCATCTGTATCTTTACATACCGGTGCTGTCAAAGAGAAGTCAGATGAGTTTGGAATGCGGATTTTTACTCACCCTCGGAGCTGCTCCCTGCTTTTAGCTAATAGCTTTGCTAAATAAAACAGCCTATTTCTGGCCAACTTCCTTCCCTAGGGCAGGAGTTGCAAAGTTAGATGTTTTCTGGGCAGGGTTGGTAGTGAGAACAAGTGTCCTGGCCACATGGGGACTGGGCACTCCCACACCACATCTGAAGTAGACAGTGCCTCTCAGATTCAGTCAATTCAAAGTATGAACCCAGTGAGGCCAAATCTAATTTTTCAAAGAAGGTTAGACATCCAGAATTTGAATGCACAGTCTTCCTGAGCTTTGAACATTGGCGGCTAATTGAAAAATTTAAAAACACTTTGCAGTTCAAAACAAAATATATAAGAGTCAGATTCAGCTAGGGAGGTGATCAGTGGGTGACCTCTTTTCTGAGGGCCCCTGAAAACCGGGTCTGGCCAGCCGAGAGACAGAATGGGCCCAGGGTCTCTCAGAACTTGGTGGGACTAAAGGAGAAGAAATTGGCAAAACCACCTACTTACCTGGGATTGGTTGTACAGCATCAACTCCTACCTGCTCATTTGCTTTCATTCTGATCCTTTGGGCCCAGGGCTGGAACTGCTTTATAGAAGCCCAGGTTCTATGCCAAGTGTTTTACATACATTATTAGCCCAGGTGATCCTCCCAGCAACCCCCAGAGGCCGATCCTAATGTTATCCTCATCTTATGGAGGGAAACCGGAAAGCTTTAAGAGGTTAAAACTTCACTTAGGGGCCGGCGCGGTGGCTCATGCCTATAATCCCAGCACTTTGGGAGGTGGAGGCAGGCAGATCACCTGAGGTCAGGAGGGCGAGACCAGCCTGGCCCACATGGCGAAACCCTGTCTCTACTAAAAATACAAAAATTAGCCAGGCGTGGTGGCGGGCACCTATAATCCCAGCTACTCGAGAGGCTGAGACAGGAGAATCACTTGAACTTGGGAGGCAGAGGTTACAGTGAGTCGAGATCTTGCCATTGCACTCTGGCCTGGGCAACAAGAGTGAAACTCCGTCTCAAAAAAAAAAAAGAAAATTCCACTTTGGGTCACACAGCTATTATAGAAAGTAGCTGAGTTGGAAAACACACCCTGGCCTGTTTCCAGTGCCCAAGACATTGAGGGATACTCACTAGTCTCTTTCTTTGACATAAGCGAGTTCTTGATTCAGCTCTTAAAATGTAAATGTTCCTTTTGTTGAAATCATTCATCTTATCATTGCCATTGCAAGTCAACAGTTGCCGAGCCAGGACCGTATGTCAGACACCCTGTTTGGCTCTGGGAAAACAAGTGGATAAGACCCAGCCCCTGCCACAAGGAATCTTGAATGTTACAGTGGAGTGAGGAAGATGGGTGCTTAGAGAGAAGTAATTACAGGATAGAGTCGTGGTGGCAGTGACCGCAACCAGCTAGCTGAGGAGGGAGTGGTCTACTTATCTTCGGAGGTCAGGAAAGGTTTCCAATAAAACGTCTTGAATTGGGAAGGATAAATATGAATCCTCCAGGTGGGCAAGAGAAGAAGGGATTCCTGGCAGAGAGAATGGGCCGTGCAAAATGAGGAGGAAGATGTGAAGCTGCTGTGCATTTCCTGTGTTTGTGGCTAGTGACGGTGGTTTAGAAGGAACGGTCTGTCCCTGTGCTTGGGATTGTGACTGTGTCTTTCTCACTCTCTCCATGGGAAGCCTGGCTTTTCTCCTCCCACCAAAAGGAAAGCCTCTGCCTGCAGCTTGTTGGAAGTGAGTACGTGGGTCTCAGGACAGGCGGCATGGTGTGACTCTGTCTTGGGAGATGGGACTGGGTAGTTGTTTGAAATTTGTCCTCTGCAGTCAAACCTCCTGGGTTCAAATCCCAGCTTTGCCAGTGACTGTGACCTTGAGTATGTTGCTTCATTTCTCTGTACCTCAGTTTCCTCACCTGGGTAATGGGGATGGGAGTTACTCCTTCTTGCGGTCTCTAGGAAGTAATGCACTAAAGTGTCTTGCACGAGACGTCTGGGATAGTGAGTGCCAGTATGGGGACCGTTATCTGGAGTATGGGGACTGTTATCTGGAGCATGTGTGTTGTGGTCCACATGGCCCTCAGTATCCTGGTTGACTCAAACGTAGATAAGGGGGCATTCAGAGGCAGTTACACTGGCTCCTCTGTAGGGCCAAGTTCATCTCCCATGTGCTGTGCTGGTTGCACTCTTGGCTGGCCTGCCCCGAGTCCTGAGATGCCAACCTTTGTGCTGTGCTTTGATCTCCAGGCTGTGCTCTGCTGACACAGTGACACTGTGCAATCCACTCTGTGTGGGGTCCCATTAACACTGAAATTCAGTAATCTTAAATAGAATTAGAAATGCAATTCCACATTTGTAACAGCCACATTTCAAGTGGTGGGCAGCCACGTGTGGCTAGTGAGTTCCACTGGGGTCAGTACAGAGACTGTTTCTATCATCACAGAAAGTTTTATGGGGCAGCAGTGCCTTGGACAATTCCTGGGACCTTAAAATGCCTCTTGCTGAAATGGGCCCACCGTGGAGCTCTCCGTGTACCTGTGATGATGTGCAGTGATACTTTCCACCCCAGAAAGATGGAGAGGCCCAAATACCGGCATCTCCATTTGCCCCTTCTTGCAGCCTTTTGGCCCAAAGTGGCTTCTCTCACTGTGAATCTAGCCAAGAGAGTGCCCAGCACATAGTGGGTGTCCAATGACAATTGAGGGAGGGGGCACGGCACAGTGGGTAAGAGCATGGACTCTGGAATCATCCCTGCCCTCATCCCAATTCTGGAAGGTGGCCTCTCTGTGCCTCAGTATTGTCATCTGTTCAATGGGGAAAATACCAACAGATGCTTCATGGGCTTGCAGTGAGGATTAACTGAGATAAAGTTGAAGTGCACTGTTAGCCCACATCCATTGCCACTGTTAGTTGAGTAAATAAATTCATTCCTAGAAATCTTAATTTCTCCTTCTGTAATGTTTCCTTGGATTTAGAATCAATTTCATAGACTGTCAGAACTAAAATGTTAGACATTTTCTATTAATAATTCAATCTCCATTTATTTTATTAAGATATTGCGACCAGGCACAGTGGCTCACACCTGTATTCCCAGCACTTTGGGAGGCTGAGGTGGGTGGATCATTTGAGGTCAGGAGTTCAAGACCAGCCTGGCCAACATAGTGAAACCCCGTCTCTATTAAAAATACAAAAATTAGCCAGGCATGGTGGTGCATGCCTGTAATCCCAGCTCAGGAGGCTGAGGCAGGAGAATTGCTTGAAACTGGGAGGCAGAGGTTGCAGTGAGCCGAGATCATGCCACTGCGCTCCAATCCAGCTTGGGTGACAGAGTGAGACTCCATTTCAAAAAAAAAAAAAAAAAAAAAGGTGTTGCCTTTTATTTGTTCTTTTTTTTCTTTTTTGTTTGAATAGCATGAAATAAATAAAATTGTCCAGCTTTATTGAAATGTAATTAGCTTGTGATAAATTATGCATATTCAAAGTGTAAAATTTGATGAGTTTTGATATCTGTATCCACCTGTGACATCATCACCCCAAATTATTGGATATAATGAACATCACCCCCAGGATTTTCTTATTTCTCTTTACAATAACTACCTCCCTCTTCCCCAAACCCCATCCACAGGCAAACAACTGATGAGCTTTCTCTCACTCTAGATTTGTTTACATTTTCTGAGTTTCAAACATTAGCGATTAATTGAAAAGTTCTAAAACGCTTTGCAGGCCAAAACAAACAAAAAAAGAAACAACGACAACAAAGTATAGCCCCTCATTGTCCACTCTCACCCCCAGCCCCTGGAAACTGCCATTCTTCTTTCTGTGTCTATGATTTTGACTACGCTAAGTACCTCCTATAAGTGGAATCACACAGTATTTGTCCTTTTGTAACTGGCTGGTTTCTCTTAGCATAAATAATGTCTTTGAGGTTTGTCCCTGTCACGGAATGTGTCAGAATTTCCTTCCTTTTTAAGGCTGACTAGTCCATGGTATGTGTGTATTGCATTTGGTTTATCCACGCAGATCTTCCAGGAGGGACACTAGGCTAGCTTTCCCCTTTTAGCTACTGTGAGTAATGCTGCTTTGAACACAGATATGCCAATAGCTGTTCAAGCCCCTTCTTTTCACTAGGTTGTGAACCCAGAGGAGGAATTGCTGATTATATAGCATTTGACATCTAGTTTTTCTATATTTAATTTTTTGAGAAGCCACCTTATTATCCCTCCATCTGTGAATGACACTTGCTTTTTAAATATAAGGAGTATAAGCATGTGATAACAAAATTCCCCCATGAGAAAAGGATATAAAATAGGAGACTTCTCCTTCTTTTCCAGTCTCTGTCTTTAAAGGAATCATTGCTAACAATTTCTTGTATATCCTTCCATGGGATATACAACCACTTTGCAGAGTTACTGAGAGTCAACTGCTTCGTCTGCTAAATGGGCACATCTCGCTCCAACCACCTCTTTTTATTTTTATTTATTTGTTTATTTATTTATTTAGAGACAGATTCTGGGTCTGTCGCCCAGGCTGGAGTTCAGTGGCATGATCTCAGCTCACTGCAACCTCCGCCTCCTGGGTTCAGGTGATTCTTCTGCCTCAGCCTCCCGAATAGCTGGGATTACAGGTGTGCACCACCATGCCTAGCTAATTTTTGTGTTTTTAGTAGAGATGGGGTTTCACCATGTTGGCCAGGCTGGTCTCGAACTCCCGACCTCAAGTGATCCGCCTGCCTTGGCCTCCCAAAATGCTGGGATTACAGGTGTGAGGCACTGCTCCCAGCCCTCCAACCACCTCTTAGCATTGTTGCCAGACACAAAGGAAAATGGAGACAAAAGTGCATATTTCTTCCAGAACTATCAGAGGCCAGCAGGTCTTCCTACAGAATTCAGCCTAAGCAATCTTTCAAATACAAATACAAATGATGGTCTTTGGAAAGACCAGTATTTTCAAAAGTGTCTTGAGAGTGAATGTCTGGCTCTCTGGAGGTAAGGGGTGTGTGTGTGTGTGTGTGTGTGTGTGTGTGAGAGAGAGAGAGAGAGAGAGAGAGAGAGAGAGAGATATCCTTCATTTCATAGATGTGGAGACTCAAAGCTTTCCCTGGCTTTCTGTTATTCTCTAGGATAACATGAGGCCCAGAAGACACCAAGATTCAGAATTCACAGCAGTGCCTCTGTACAGATCACTGTCCTCTACCCCCAGCTACCCCCACAACATGCCCAGTGGCCTGGCTGGGCTGGATCCTGCTCCCACCCACCACACCTTGTCTAATTTCTCTCCCGCATCCTCCGGGGGCCAGGTTCCCATTTTCATGCCATTCCAGTTTGCTGAAAAGCCCTGGGGTGTCTCTGCCCCCAGGCAGGCTGGGCTGGCCTCACAGAGGTTTTCCATCTCTTAGTCGGCCTCCCTGATTTAAAGCCGCCTGTCAGATGTTGGAGATTAAGTTAGAAATCAGCCATTTGCGCTGAGTTTTGGAGAAGCTGCTGCCAAATGGGAACTCCTGAGTCTTTTCTTCTATATATAGTCTTTAGGGTGAGCTAACTGAAGTTAGCAGGGTTTATTTTAGGAGGTGTCTCCTTGGAGCGGAGTGTGGTGGGTTGGGCTGCCTGCCCGGGGAGCATTTGAAAGATTGCTTAGGCTGACATCCTGCAGGAAGATCTGCTGGCCTCTGACAATTCTGGAAGAAATATGCACTTTTTTCCTGCCTTTTCCTTTGTTTCTGGCAGCAAAGCAAAGGAGTGGTTGAAGGGCTATGTGCCCATTTAGCAGACAAAGCTGTTGAATCTCAGTAACTTTGCAAAGTGGTTGTGATAAAGCGGAGGTAAGACAGGTCCTCTCATTCCTTGTTTTGTATCCCTTGTGGTAAAAGTTAAATTCCTTGAAATATTCTGTCTATGAAGAAATACTAAGAAAGTAGGGGATGGAGTGGGTTTTAATCTGAGCTTAGGAGAATACAGTATAAAGAGCTTGGACTTGAGAGTCATTCCTAGGTTCTAACCCCAGCTCAGCCTCTTACTGGTTCTGCAGCACTGGGCCAGTTACTTTTCTGCCTCAGTCTCAGTTTTCCTGGCTGTGAACTGGTCGTAATTTGCCTTACAGTGTTGTCGTGACGGTGAAAACATGAGTTACAAAGAGTTAAGGCCAGTGAAGTACCTGGCACCTAATACGTGCTTCATAAATGGCAGTTATTGCTTTATTTGAAGAAAAGGAAACTTTTAGCAACATATTCCTAGAAATTACCTCAATTAGAAGGAGACATCTTGCTAGAATACTAACTAGGATTTTAGGTTAAATTATGCAGTCATATATTAAAAGATCCACCTTTTGGGAAATATCCATTGACTGGTGACCTGGCAGAAGGAAACCTCAGGCTCATTTCTCTGCAAGGTCCTGGCCTCTTTGAGTAAGCCCAATAGACATAATCAAGATGACAGTGTATATTATTTAAAAGGTGATTATATTAAAGCATTTTTTGGTGAAAAAAAAAAGTCTTGGAACAAATAAATACCTATTTGGTATGGGAACTGCAGTCTCTTCCTCTTTCTCACACACACCCATGCATATTGTCCCTTCAACATTCGTGCCATTTGTTGTGTTTAATTATAGGGGAAGTGAAATCCTCTCCAAAGTTGCCTGCTAGTTAATTGCTGACGTTTCATTCTCGAACATTTATTGAGAATAAGCTCTGCCCCATGCCTAGTGGAGGAAACCCCCGTGACATTTGAGTACTGTAGACAGGTTTGACCTATTCCAATTCAACAAGAGAGAAAGAAGCAAGGGAGAAAAAGAGCAATGCAGATCATCTGGGTATCTTCTTTGTCCTCCAAAGCCTCAGTTCTTCCCTTTGTACAATGAGCACAGCTGGATTTAATGGGCTCCAGGTTCTTTGCTGCTCTTTGAGGCTGAAACTCAGGGGAGGTAAAGAAATTCTTTTGCTTGTTCTGAACCCCAGTGGGCTGATCCAGAGCTGCTTGTACACCCTCCCCTTTCTAGATGAGATGGTTCCAGCGTGAATGGGGATGCTCCAGTGCTTGAAACTCACAGGCATCACGTGGTTAAGCTAGAAATAGAAAATAAGTCATGTCTGGGTTTCGAGGACTCCCTGACTATTCTGGTTATGTTTGGAACAGAGCGTTTATGAGAGGCTGAACTGAATGGATGGGATCATAGCTTCCATTCCATGGAAGGCAGGGTCGTCCAGCTTTCCTGATGGGAATGTGTTTGTTGGGCAGGGGTGGGGTTGGGGTGATAAGCTTCTTGGGGAGTGAGCTAAATAAGCCATTCTCAAAGCCCTTCCCCTGAGAATAGAGCAGGCTGGCTGTCCCGCCAAACAAAGAGCCTGGATGTCTTGAACCACTGCAGTGATGGGAAGATTCTGCCATCCAGACAATGGGAACTCTATCGCCATGTCTAGCTGAGGACAGGGGGTTAGTGTCTGGCCTCATGAGGTCCCAACAGGTCTGTTTGATGGGCAGGTTAACAACATAGGCACTAGAACCAGGTCCTTCTTCCTGGCTGGGGGATCTTGGGTGAGTTATTAGTTAATCTGAGCCTTGACTATTCCATCTATAAAAACAAGACCCAGAATAGTACCTAATTTTGTGTGTGTGTGTGAGGCAGAGTCTCACTCTGTCACCTAGGCTGGAGTGCAGTGGTGCGATCTTGGCTCACTGCACCCTCCACCTTCCGGGTTCAAGCAATTCTCCTGCCTCAGCCTCCTGAGGAGCTGAGATTACAGGCATGTGCCACCATGCCCGGCTAATTTTTGTATTTTTAGAAGAAATGGTGTTTCACCATATTGGCCAGGCTGGTCTCGAACTTCTGACCTAAAGTGAGCTGCCTGCTTTGGCCTCCCACAGTGCTGGGATTACAGGTGTGAGCCACCACACCTGGCCTGGTTGGGTGCATTTCTTGTTCATTCGTCATTTGGTCCCTATTTTTTTTTTTTTTTTTTTTTTTTTTGAGACAGAGTTTTGCTCTTGTTGCTCAGGCTGGAATGCAATGGCACAATCTCGGCTCACTGCAACCTCCGCCTCCCGGATTCAAGCGATTCTCCTGCCTCAGCTTTCTAAGTAGCTGGGATTACAGGTGCAAGCCATGATGCCCAGCTAATATTTGTGTTTTTAGTGGAGACGGGGTTTCACCATCTTGGTCAGGCCGGTCTTGAACTCCTGACCTCAAGTGATCCTCCTGCCTTGGCCTCTCAAAGTGTTGGGATTATAGGCGTGAGCCACTGTGCCCAGCCAGGTCCCTGTTCTTTAACAGAAAAGACAAGTCACCAAATCTGTTTTAGGCCCTTCAGATGCAGCTGTGAGCAAAAGAGACATCACCCATCCTCTTGAGCACTGGCTTCTAGTTTGAGTGGCTGGTACCCTGAGGAAGGGTCTGGAAGGACACAACCTGCAAGCTTGGCTGGCTGTGGTTGGCCTACCTCTGTCCTCTTAGGTTGGGGTTTCTCAGCCCCATACTATAGATGTTTGGGGCTGGATAAAGGATCAGCTGACCTGTGCATTGTAGGATATGGAGCGCCATCCCTGTCTCTACCCTCTAGGTGCCAGTACACGCTCCCTTTCAAGTTATGACAAATAAGCGTGTCTCTAGACAGTGTCAAATGTTCCCTGGGGGACAAAACCACCCCCCTGGTTGAGAACCACTGCCACCAGGTCGTGAAAGCACAGTGGGATGGGCCCCTCTAAGCCCTAGGGCAACGCTGGCTGTGATCCACAGTCCCACTTCCTTCTCTGTAAAGTGGTTGGATACACAGGTCAGGGTTTATTAACAGTACAGGCTCTGACGCAAGCAAACACACTCAGTGATTAATGCTAATGGTAATGGTGGTGCAGTGATGACCGTCCCTTTTCAACACTGCCACCTCCCCCTGCACATACATCGTAGGGACACCAGTGGCTCCAGCCGTTCAAGTCTGGGTCTTTGCCTGTGGTGCCCCCAGGGCATGGTAGTGAAAGGCCGGGCTCCGGAAGCCACCTTTATCTGAAGCGTGGAAATGTGGTTCCAGGCTGCCTGTCCCAACAGCAGACCCATCCACCTGGCCGGTGGGGATTGATCTGATGGGCACGAGGGCCCAGGAGCATGTTCCCGGCCTCTCTGGATCATGGACTGCTCTTGAGCACCGAACTTGACCAGCCTTATCAAATCTGACTGTATTTCCCTTTCTGTAATTCACCAGAGAGCCTTGTAAATCAGCAGCCACTAGCAATTCCTGCTTTGTGGTGGCTGTAAGACTCAGAGCAACTTGTTTTTCCAGACCTCTCGTCTAATCTTTTCTGTGTGTGTGTGTGTGTGTGTGTTTTAAATGTTATCTTGAACAAGAAACAGCTAAAATTTTATTTTTTTTTTTGCATTGCGACAGGGTTTTTGCCCAGGGGTCTGTTGGATGGGCCGGTTAACAATATAGGCACTAAAGCCAGGTCCCTCTTGGCTGGGGGATTTTGGGTGAGTTATTAGCTAATCTTAGCTTTGAATTTTCCATCTATAAAACAAGACCCAGAATAGTATGTACTTCATAGAGATGTTGCGAGGATTAATTAATGCTTATAATGCTTCTAAATGGGCTTAAAGCACTACCTAGTCCATAATAAGTGCCTAAGAAATGTTATTATAGGATTTGAAGTTGCACGGACTGGAACTTGAATCTTGGTCTCTGCCCCTTACCTGCTGTGTGACATTAACAAGTGTCTCCACCTCTCTGAGCCTGTGTCTGCCTTATATTAATAGCTGTGGTTGTTGCAGGTTGAGCCACCAGTGTGTCCTAGTTGGTCTGGGATATGCCTGATTTTTAGTGCTGAACGTCCCATATCCTCAGTCCCAGGCAAGCTGGGATGCTTGGTCACACTGGTTATGGGGTTGAAATAAACCATAGCACCTAGCACATTGTAGGTGTGAGTAAATGGAAACATGCCAGAAGTAGTCTGTCCCATTTGGTTATGTGTGGGAGGTGGTGGGGGGATGTTTTAGCTGCTCATTTGTTTCAGCCTACAAATACTCATGCCATTTTCCTCAGCCATAGAACTCTTGCAAATTGATGTTTTCTAACCTAGATTGATTTTTTTTGTCCTTCTATTTTAGACAGAAAAAAGATTTTTTTTGACTTTCATGTTACAAGATATCACCTCTTGTTTTTTTTTTTCTGTCTGTAATAACAATACTGAGGGTTGAATAATTAGTACGGCATGGTAGTAGCAACATAATGTCTTAGACCGTGTGGGTTATATCATGATCCCTAAAAATGGGGAATAGGAATTATTTGAGACTTATTTTGAAAATCTTCAGTGTGCTGATTCACTGAGTTGGTTTTCAGAAGTACCTTTGGATCTGATTATGTAAAAGCCAAATATTATAATCTAGGGAGTAGGAGTGAAGGCTGATCCTGATGAAGATTCCAATCAATCTACACAGGAACTTTGGCAGTGACTCCCTGTTGCTCTTTGGATAAGACTCAAGCTCCTTCCTAGCACCCAAAGGGACTCCCTGACCTGGTGGCCCCTACACCAAATCCTACCACTTTATCATATGCTACTCACCTTCTCAATGTTGATTCTAGATTCAGACTTCCTTTCTTTGTGTCCTCAAAATTATGAGTGCCTTCCCACCACAGAGCCTTTATTCATGCTTCTCCTTCTGCCTAAAATGCTTGTCCTCTCCTCTACCTTGGACAAGTTGATTCTCACTCATTCTTTGGCAGCCAGTTTAATTCTCCCTTTCTGAAAGAACCTTTCTGATCTTCTCTCCTGGATGAAGTTCCTGTGTTTTCTGTCCCTACCTTCTCCCCTTTGGCAGCATTTATCACAAATCTAACTAAATCACCAATTTTGCAATCAGTTGTTTGATATAAGATGATGGAATCAATACTCCCTGTAGCTATCTTGTTAAAGATACCTTATGTGTCCATTGAAAAGGAGACAGTTGTTGAATTTTATAGGTATTACGAGAGGCTGGAGAATAGTGTTCACGAGCAGTGTTCTCAAGCTGGATCTCCTGAATTTGATCAAATTCTAGCTCCAACACTGTGCAGCTGTGTGACTTTGGGCACATGGCATAACCTCTCTGAGCCCAGGTCCCTCATCTGTAAATAGAGGCTAATAGGAGTCCATTCCTTAAGGGCAGTTGTCAGAATTAAGTGAGTAAAATATGTCAGTGCCTGGCACATGCTGTATGTTGGTGTTGATGGTAACAACCATTATTATGAGTTCTACAGCTAGTAAAAATAATAGTATTCATCATCTTGAGAAATTCCGCCAGCTGGCTTAAAAGTGTGTGGCTGGAGAGAATGAAACACGTGTACTACACGGTAACTTTGTTTTATTCACAAGTTTTGTGGCTGTAGAATTGTCTGAAGCCTCAGTTTCCTCATCTATAAAATGGGGCCAGCATTATCTTCCCCACAGAGTTGGTGTGAGCATTCAAAAAGCAGCCTCTCAAGCCTAGGTTGAGGCACATAGTAGGTGCCTGATGAACGTCAGTGGCCCGAGCACTGTAGACGCTGATTACTGGTTTCTCAGACGCCACAACTTGGGATGCCAGAGCTTTTGCTTGGGATCTGAGAAGCTGGACTGTGAATATGGATTCCAACAACAGCCCTTCAGAGAGCATTCTGCTTCTCTGTGATTTAAAACGAAACAAAACAAAAAATAATATTGGATGATCCAAGGTGCTGGTTTTATATGGCAGCTAATGAGATAGCAGGGCAAGTAACTGGAGAATGTATTGCTAACAGGCACAATAAATATAGCTATGATTATATATTAGCAGCCCTCAAATGGCCCATAATGCAGTGAGTACATGTGAGGTCAAGAACGTGTTAGAAAACAGATGTTTGTTGTTAGTCCTTATAGACCACACTTTTTAAAAGAAATACGTATTTGATGATTTATTATGATCAGACATTGTTGTAAGTGCTTTACAGATATTCGGTGAATCCTAATAACAGGCCTGGGAAGTAGGTATATGTCATTATTATTATTCCTACTTCGCATATGAGGAAACTGAGGCACCAAGATCTCAAGTAATTTGCTCAAGTTCAAACGGAAAATAATTGAGCCGGCATTTGTACACAGAGACTCTGATACAAGTTTCCATGTTCTTAGCCACTATTCTATGCTGAAGTCACACGGAAGAAGATAATGAATGGAAACGGATAATTGAATGCAAAATACCCACTTTCTCTTAAAAATGGGCCAGACCAGCTGTCCTTGGTCCTGAATTCGACAGGCCTTACCATTAATGGAACTTGTTCTTGAACATTAGCATTGGGAGAGTTGTAGTCCTCACACTGATGGAAGCTATCTAATGTATTCTGTCTGCCATTGACACTGTGCCCCTCTAACACCCTTTCCCCTAAACTGATTTTCTTTTACCATGTTGGAATGTGAGTAGTTTACTGTACCTGCTGAAAGCAAGGTCTTAATTAGCCTTAATTTTTGAAGTCTGCAGCTGTAAAATGTGTTGAAAAGATTGAAAAGATTAGTGCACTAGTAATAAGATAATTGTCCCTGAGAAATGCTGTTAGCATGTAAACACAGTTAGCATGTGAAATCAGAACAACTGTAATATTTCCCTCGTTTGGTGTTTAAAGATGCTCCTGCGTGAATAATTATAACTAAATGCAAAGTGCAGAGATGGGATGCTGCATGTTTTTCCTGTTATTCTTTCCTGCTTCTATCCCAGCTCAGAAGTAAAACTCTTAGTGGAATCTTGTCTGAAGCTAGCCTCCCCTCCCCCACAGCCATTTGAAATTAGTACCAAGAATGGGGCAACTTAGAACAGAGGGAATTCCAAAATTAGGGATACTCAGCAAACAAAATCTACAGATCCCATAGCAACTTTTTTTGGGGGGGTGTTGAATGAAAGAGACCACACATGCATACCTGTATGTGCATGTGGATGCTCACATATGTGTGTGTACACACATGCATATTCACACACATACACTCTCTCTTTCTTTCTCTCTGTCTCTTAATAAACAGAGCTGGAGAAAACTAGCCATGGCTATACACAGCAGAAGCAGATGTGATAAACCTCATTTTACCTTTTTAGACCTAGAAAGGTTGCAGTAAAATATGCTGCACCTGCCACCACATGAGGTCCTTCCTTCCTTCTGTGGAGTTTTTGCATCCTTTGATAAGTTGGAACATACTTCAATTTTATGAAATTAGTACGTATAGTACCTTCCTAACAGACCATAGCTCATCAGATATGCTACATATCCTATAAAGACTAACCTTTCTGCTTCCTCATCTCAGACATTAGCCAATCAGTAGGTTGAGCTTGTCTCCTTCTGCTGTGTCATTTATACCCCAAACTCTTCTTTATAGGGAGGACTTGCCTTGACTTACAGTCAGGAAAACATCCTACAGCTCAGAAGTTGGCTGAGTTCTCAGCATACATCTCTCAGATTCCACCTATAACATGAATTGGGTTTCCGTTGATTTTGGTTCAGCAAGAATTTACCAAGTGCTTTCTATGTGGCAGTCTTAGGACTTCATTAAGCATAAAAACAAAGAAGATAGTCCCTGGTCCTGGGGAAGTGGGACAAGTTGTCAAAAGTATGTAGCAGGGGCTGATGAGAAGACAGGACTCTCACCCCTATCCATGGGAGTCAACTTTGCTCTCTGCCTTGTATTCCTGGGTGTGCATTCATAGGTGCTTCTTGAGTTAAATTATTCTTGGACTTTGCAGCCACGTTACTTTACAACCTGTCTATGGTTCATATCCCGTCCTTCTCTCTAACCTCAGGTCCTCCAGCTGAAAGTGCTGGGCTTAGCTTAGGATCCACTAAACCAGAGATTACAAACACCAATGCCCACAGCAGCCACACTGGCAGCCGTAAGTGAAGGACATGTGTCTGGGGCGGGGACTGTGGCAAGCAGGAGGGCCTGTGACCCTTCTAAGGGAGATAGCTGCTTTCCAGTGCCAGAAAGGCAGTGCCTTAGGAAAATGCTGGATTTGTGTAGCTAGGTCTTCTGATTTTTCCAAAAAATGCCAGAACTTTGCAGTTTTATGGGAAACCTCCTGAATGTGAAGTATTGGCATCCTATGTAGGTTTTTGTTGTTCTTTTTAAAACATTGTGCAGGCTGAACAAACTATGCCTGAGCTGAATACTGCTTGTAGATTCCAGTTTCTGTTGGCCACCTCTGCAGTCAGCCCATGAAGATCGTGTTCTCAAAGTGCTGGCTAAACAGAGGCCACTGCTGAGTCACTAGGGTTGCTTCCCACCACTTCATGAACGTGTTCAGTGTGAGACCACACACTTTACCTTGCATCTTGTTTCTCCAGCTCTTTCTCATCCTGCCCTCCCCGCAGATGTCTCAATGAAGTCCCTGGGAAAGTAACACTTACTCTCCTGAATACAGCCTACAGTTCCACCAAGCGTGGCATGCATGTGAGCGAGGGTCCCCCAACCCCGCCCCACTGCAGAAGGCGTAGAAATGAAAGCGGATCGTTGTAAGCTTTGGATCCGCCAAATGGGACTTAGCACAGCGTCGTCTCCTGCGTGTTGATTATCAACTTGCTTGGGGGATCTCAGGCTCTTGCCTGACCTTGGCATGAGGTCTGGCAAATTTGGCTTTCTGGGTGTAGAATTGATCGTTTCAGAAACAAAGCCATTGAGACAGAGTTAAGGAGAGTCCTCTATTCACGGATGAAAGGAGCTCATTGTATAAAATTGGTGTGACCTGGACCCCCTTCCTCTGGCCCCCTCCTGTTGTTCCCTTCCCCCACAGCTGGGGCTTTGTAAGGGTCTCGCAGGATGTTCTATCCCAGGCCATACTTTCTTCCCATCTTCCTGTCTCTGAGGCTGCCCCGAACAGAAGGAGAGCTGGGCTTGGAGCCCCTTTGCACGTTTTTGGCTCCTCGGGCCAACTCTGTTGTCGTGGGTGATGAGAGCACTTCCTTCCGAGAGAGCTAGGAGAAAAACAGCCAGGCTGTTCACAGGCAGCTGCCCAAGGCGGCTGTGCAGGAAGAGAAAACAGTGGGTGCTAAGAACCTCTTCCTGTTCTGCCTTCTGCACGGGCACCTCCCTTCTGGGTCACGGCCCTGAAAAGTCAAGACTGTTGAGCTAGAGGAAGATGGTCCTGTGTGTATTAACCTCAGTGCTCAACTTCCTGATGGATTATTTGAGTTTTTCTGTTTCTGCTGTGAAGTCACGGGATCCCGAATTTTTCTTCTTGAGGTTGGCGGGTGAGGGTTGGAGTCATGTTCATGGGGTAACATGGTACCTTCCTTTGTGGGGGAGGGGTAAGGTATGGTGGTGAACAGATAGGAAGGTCATAAACTTAGATGCTTTCAGGGCTCAGCCCAGGTGGGCAGGGTGGGGTTGTGGCAAACAGAAGGGGATGTGCCTGCCTTAAGTGGACCTGCCTACCCAGTGGGTCAGATCTTTCCACATTTCACGAAAAGCCACAAATCAGAATATCATGATTTCACCCTAAATTTTAAATGCTGGCACCTAATTTTAAAAAAAGTATTGTTCAAAAATTAGCCAGGCTTAGTAGCATGTGCCTGTAATCCCAGCTCCTCAGGAGTCTGAGGCAGGAGAATCGCTTGAACCCGGGAGGTGGAGGTTGCAGTGAGCCGAGATCACGCCACTGCACTCTAGCTTGCGTGACAAGCAAAACTCCATCTAAAAAAAAAAAAAAAAAAAGAAGTATTTTTGTGCACCATGCAGATCACACCATACCACATCCAAGCATTTTGGTTACCTTTTTTTCTTTTTTTTTTTAAACCTCTCTGAAGATATTAAGGTTAAATGGGCCTGGCTCTGTGGCTTTCAACCAAGTCTTTGAAACTCTCTGAGCCTCAGTTTCCTCCTATATAAATTAGGAACAGTACTACAGGGTATTCATAATCCAGGAACAAGGAAATACTTAATGTCATCAAGAGAAAAAGCAAACTGGGCACACTGACTCTTGCCTGCAATTCCAGCAATTCGGGAGGCCAAGGCAGTAGGATCACTTGAGACCAGGAGTTCAAGACCAGCCTGGGCAACATAGGAAGACCCCATCTCTACAAAAAATGAAATATTAGCCAGGCGTGGTGGCACAGGCCTGTAGTCCCAGCTACTTGGGAGGGTGAGGTGGAAGGATTGCTTGAGCCCAGAAGTTCAAGGCTGTGGTGAGCCATGATTACATCACTGCACTCCAATCTGGGCAGCAGAGCAAGACCCTGTCGTTTTTTTTTTTTAAAGTAAAAACCAAAAAAAAAAAAAAAATCTATCTATCCAGTCTTTATGGCCTTCTGGGAACAGCCACTTCATGAGGATAGAATGTGGGTTTATTGAAGTAATGCTCATAAATGGTGAATTATGGTATCTCATAAGGACTTAACCAATGATAGCGGTCTACTGGGCGCTGTCATCAAGGCTGTCATCTTCATTGTCACTATCGTTTCATTAAGAAATATTAGAGGAGGTTGAGGGGACAGGCTGCAGGCAGAGTCCCTCCCCTGCTGAAGCTTTCTGACTCCATCCTGACTCTAAATGTAGAAGGCCCATCCGTCCCCTGCAGGGCCACCTTCCAGCCAGGTGTTCTCATCGTCTCTCTTCTGTCCTAGGAAGGCAGCTCTACATCCCGAGCTGTAGCCTGGGACTGCAAAGCTCTCCACTCCCCACCTCCTGGGATCGTTTTTTCCGCCCCCCGTGGTTTGTGTCGGCAGTTCTGTGTGTGGCCTCTTGGAGTCATTCCAGACGCGAAGCACTGCTGAATCACAGTTTTCCTGTATCTTCGACAATAGATGTCCTGGTCAGAGGCTCTTGTGAAGGAGCAAAAGAGGAGGAAGTGAAGAAAAGCAGGGAGGGATGTGCATAGAAATTTATTTTGGCAAAATGGGATGAACTCCAGATTTGGTATCAAAAAACTGACATTCTACACTGAATTTTAATCCAAACTGTGTGTGGCCCTTAGGAAATAGGCCTTTCCTCCTGGATCTCCCATGCCTCACCAAACAGTGATGGGTTTGATTCAGGTCAGGGACGGACATCTAGGGAAACTGGAATCTATTAATAATATCTGCTCCTCGGGCCGTATTGAGAATTTGAGGCCAGGTGGACTGCTTAGTAACAGCTGCCTCGGGCAACTTATTGTGAATTCGCTGCATAACTGGTCTGCACCTCTAAGTGCTTTTCTTGAACTCACGATTTTGGATTCTGGAGCTCAAATATGAACTATTTTCCTGTGGAACAGAGATCTCACCCAGCAGTCCCAGAAGTCACATAGTATCATTGGAACTCCAGACAATGTCTGTGGGACACTTGGCAGTATTGGTTCCAGTTGGGCCACCTGCCATCTTGGTGACCACAGCAAGTGGGTGCAAAATTGATAGGTGCTGCGGCCTGTGCCTGGGAAAAGCTAATTATCGGGATGAATTATAGATGTGGCGTGTGTTCCCAGCTCCAGGAGGATGTGTGTTCAAACACAGCCTGGGTGGCCACCTTTAGAAAGATTTGCGGCATGGTGGGATTTAGCCAGCACTTCCTGTCTGGGCCATGTCGGGTAACGGCTGCCTTCTTGGCACGTGGCAGGTCTTGTTTATGGTCTGAGATGCCTCTGAGCTGTGAAAAGCAAAACACTGTAAAGTGTCGCCAATTGTCTTCTAAGAGGAACTAACATTGGTGGCCCACCCACTCTGTCAGGACTGAGCCGGGCTCTGGTAGAACATCTCAGTCAGTGCTCCACAATGAGTGTGAGAGGATCATGGTGATGATTATTACCATTAACCACTGGAAAAAGCAAAGTAGTCGACCTGAAGACTCGCAGCAAGGAAATGAGAACATCTAGTATGAGGAGCATCTGATCCAATTCAGTGCTCCTTATGGCTTCTTAGTGCCAGATGCTGATAGAACCAGGAACTGTGGTTTAATGATTCCAGTTCAAGATGTGGTTGTACCACTGGGAAGCAGGGTAGCTTAGTGGTCCAAAAGGATGCCCTGTTTCAAATCCTGGCTTCACCACCCACTAATGAATGAGTTTGAAAAAATTACTTCTCCTTTGAGCCTCAATTACACCATCTGTAAAATGGGGCTTTTGGTGCCTGCCTCCTGGAGTTCTTGTAAGGTTGGTTTGTTTGTTTGTTTGTTTGTTTTAAGACACGGTCCCAGTCTGTCACCCAGGCTGGAGTGCAGTGGCACTATCTTGGCTCACTGCAGCCTCTGCCGCCAGGGTTCAAGCTGTTCTCGTGCCTCAGCCTCCTGGGTAGCTGGGACTACAGGTATGCACCAACACGCCCAGCTAAGTTTTATATTTTTAGTAGAGATGGGGTTTCACCATATTGGTCAGGCCAGTCTCGACCTCCTGACCGCAAGTGATCCGTCAGCCTTGGCCTCCACGGATTACAGGCTTGAGCCACAACACCCAGACAGTTGTAAGAATTAAATAAGATAATATTTACAAACCCCTTACAGTAATACCTGGCATTCAGTGTGAGAACAATGTTAGCTGGTATTTTGATTATTGTCAATATTGACTAGCTATGTGACCTTAGGCAATTTGCATTAATATGGGGGTGATAAATTCTGTTGCTTGCAGTAGCCAGGCCAGCTACTCAGTCTGGAGCTGTTTTCTTGCAAGAATACACATCCAGTGTTGCTAAATCTTCTGTTCTTAAAGGAGACGTGAGAAATCTAGATTTGCATGTGAAGTATCCTGGTTTTAAAACATTGGCAATGAATGATTTCAAGTATTTCATCAAGGCTGCAGGCCAAAAAAAAAAAAAAAAAGCAAACCAGCTTGAAGCATCCACAGGCCACCAGTTGGGCATTCTTGTCTTAACACTCTGTAGCTCAAGCCTCTAATCTTTTCAGGTAGGTTTCTTCAAAACCTTGTAATTCTAAGATGGTAATTCTGTGTACTTTTTAAAGAATTACAAAACCTCTTGAGGCACACACAGAACAAAGTATTAAATACAGGAGTTTAGATTTTTGATAACCATTTGTGCTCAAGGATACACATACCAAGCTGGAGAAGCATTAAGATAATTCCCAAGTTTCCATGAGTCTGTGGTTTCTCTATCTTCCAAGGCTGTGGGTGATGAATTGCCATCTCCAAGGGCCTAAGCTTCATTTTAAGGTTCTACTGCTCATTTCTGGGTCCTGGGCTAAAAAAATGTAGAATGAAAGTAGGATAGCAGAAAGACCAGCTTTTTAAGCTTTTAATACAAAAGAGAGAAAGAGAGCGCGCAATACACCCAGTTTTAACTGCCAACGTTTCTGTAAAACATTGAGAATCCCCTTGTTCTCTCTGTGGGGTTTCTGTTTTCTCCCCTGAGCCCTATTTGAAGGTGAGTTCACATTTTCCAACAAGGTGAGGGCTGTGTGATTCTGGCCTGCATTCACATTCCAAATGCAGTCTTTTTTAGAGAACAAGGACACCTCTGTATCACTGGCATCCCTCCCTCATCACCCCATGCCGCCTGCCCTGCACGTGCCCAGCCTTCGTCTTAGGAGCCAGTGTGAAATCCCATGGGGACATCTGAAGAGAAAGCCCCGTTATGCAACACCTTGGTTGCTGCAATGAGACCCTAAGAAGGAGGAGTTGAAAAAGAGTCCCACTTCCCTGAGGAGGAAATGCTGGAAAGTGGAGGGTGGTAGCCAGGTTTTTTAGGGCAAGGCAAATCTCTTCACCAAAGTGGGGAGAAGGGAACACTTTGCACCCGTCCTGGAAATTTCTTGGGGGTGCAGAGCGTGAACACCAACGCTCTTAAGAGTTTCACGCATGCATCCGACACTTGATGGCTGGCTGGGGATCAGAGGCAGGAATCGTATTCTTTGTCAGTTTGGAAGCTTTTTCAGTCTTGCATTACACATGGTAGAGTTTAGGTATCATGTAAAGTCTCTCCGGTTCAGCGTACGTAAGAATCCCCCAAGGGTGTTTCATAACAATGTAGATTCCTTGGACCCTTGCCCAGAGATTCTGATTCAGTAAGTTCATACTTTTGATTAACACCAGGATATCGGTTAAAGGACTAGTTTCTGGCAACTTACAAACTTGCTTACTGCTCCTGGCTCCATTCCTGATTAGCCCTGTGTTTTTGAGCAAATTATTCTCTGAGAGTATCAGTTATCTGATCTATAAAATGGGGATCATGATACCTCCCTTGGCAGCGTTGCAGGAATTTCGTATGCTTGGCATAAAGTAAGCATTCAAAACGAATTAGCTAAATTTGCTCAGTTCACTGCCGTCACGTGACATAGGTTGCACTCGTATCTACGGTAACTTGCAGTTCAGAAGACTTGTGGTTTAGTAGGGTTGAGTATAGAGGGATATGTCTCAGCCTTTGTAAGCCTGGAGGAAGAAATCAAAGAGAAGATCATTTCTGAGGTTGTAACTATGTACAGTATTTATTTTTATTTAATGTTCACGACAACTCATGATGTCAGTGGTATGCTGTGTTCAAGACAAAGAGGAGCCTATCTTAGGGTTTCCTGGGACAGTCTGGGTTTATACCTGTTAAGCTTGTATAATTATTAATAGTGTCCCTTACAAAAAGGTCCCAGAAAATCTGTTTTCCACTTTGTTACAGTAGCTCTGTTGGCAAGTATAATCCTACCTGTTTACGTGGGGGTCAGTGAGAAAAATAAAGCTCACAGAAGCTAAGGACTTTGCCCAAGGTCGCAAGTGGTGCTAGGTGGTTGTTATGGACTGAATTGTACCCCCACCCTAATTTCATATGTTGAAACCCTTCCTCCCCCAATACCTCAAAATGTGACTATTTGGAGATAAGGCCTTTACTGAGGTGATTGCATTAAATTAATGGGGCCCTCATCCAATCTGACTGGTTTGTTTATAAGAAAAGGAAATTTGAGCCAGGCCTGGTGGCTCATGCCTTTAATCCCAGCACTTTGGGAGGGTGAGGCAGGCAGATCACCTGAGGTCAGGAGTTCGAGACCAGCCTGGCCAACACGGCAAAAGCCCATCTCTACTAAAAATACAAAAATTAGCCTGGCATGATGGTGCACAGCTGTAATCCCGGCACTTTGGGAGGCTGAAGCAGGTGGATCACTTGAGGTCAGGAGTTCAAGACCAGCCTGGCTAACATGGTGAAACCCCATCTCTACTAAAAATATTCTAAAAAATTAGCTGGGCGTGGTGGCAACCACTTGTAATCCCAGCTACTCGGGAGGCTGAGGCAGGGGAATCGCTTGAACCCAGGAGGCGGAGGTTGCAGTGAGCTTGGATTGTGCCACTGCACTGCAGTCTGGGCCACAGAATGAGACTCCATTTCTGGCACCCCAAAAAGAAGAGGAAATTTTGACACATAGATACCCGGGATGCATAGAGAAAAGGCTGTGTGAGGAAACAGTGAGAAGGCCACCATCTCTACAGGCTAGGAGGAGAATCAGACCTCAGAAGCCAGACCTGCAGACACCTTGACCTTGGACTTTCAACCTCCAGAACTGTGAAAGGATAAATCTCTGTTGTTTAAGCCACCTCACCTGTGTATTATTATAGCAGCCCTAGCAAATGAATACAGTGGTTATGTATGGTTTGAACTCTGGGGCGACCCCTAAACCTGCCCTCTTTTCCCACTGAATAATTCATCTTTGTCCTGCACTACTAGGCCTGCAGCTAAGTGACAGTGTCCCTTTAGGTTTCTGGCTGGTCATTCAGACTTGGCTAGAGCTGGACATTCTCCAGCAGGCTCGAGTCATGAGTGAGTTTTCATTCGCTGTGATCTGCAATCCCAAGAAGAGTTTCTTAGATTTTCCAAGTTATCTGGTGGTTGGATGATGAGTGACAGTGAGACACCATCTTTTGATGGTGGAAGATTCCCAGTTCTGGCCTTAATTAGAGGGCTCTTGGCGGAGAGAAGGCACCAAGCCAGCCTTCTGAAGTGTTCCCTGGGAGCGTCTGTGGAAGAAGGTAGCATGTAAATGTCCATTGTCTATGTTGTTGATTTGGTGGGCTTCACGGAGATACCTGGCTCTGAAGGCGTGAGTTCCAGTGTCATTATCTCTACACCAATGTCATTGCCTAACACCAAAGAACAAGCACTGTCTTCTGAATGTCCTCAAAGCAAAGGAAGAGAACATGCTTTCCAATGGCTG
Source organism: Homo sapiens (assembly GCF_000001405.40). Taxonomy (NCBI): domain Eukaryota; kingdom Metazoa; phylum Chordata; class Mammalia; order Primates; family Hominidae; genus Homo; species Homo sapiens. The sequence continues at coordinate 17,362,734 of NC_000016.10, read as the reverse complement.
AGGCTTAGCTCAGGGCTCAGAATCCGCCAGGAGAGCCAGATAGGTTTGATGTATGTGTGGAATGATAACGAACAAAGTCCTCCTCCTCTCTCTACTTTCTTTGTTGGGGCTTAATTGCTTGTTAAAATTAAGCCTTTGGCCTTGAGCCTGGCTTCTTGGTCTTACAAGCAAGACTTTTGAGGTGTAGACAAGTTTCATTGCTCTAAGACCTGTAATCAGGCTCCTGCCTCTTATTTAAACAGTTACCTTTGGGAATAGCAGTGTACACAGAGTCACTTTAAACTCATTTCTGTCTCCCTCATGGTGCCTGCCACGCATAGAGCTAGCTACTGAATCGGAACTTAGTAAACACGTGTGGATTGATTTAGCTAACTTTACATGGTTCCTTGCTGTGGCAAAGTGACTGTTTTGTTTCTAGTCATGATATGTGTGCTAATTTCTATCAACCATGTCCGCTACCTTTTTAAAAAAGACAGATGGTAAAAAAAAAAAGATTACGGTATTTGTTAAGGTGGTACTGCTTATTTGCTGTAAGTATTCTTGATTTTGATAGACATTATCCAAAAATTGTAGGATTATTTTGTCTAAAGTAATAATATATTTTCCAGCAGAGCTCTTGTGAAAGAGTGGAACCCAGTGTTCTCCAGTGTAAGATGCTGGGATCAGATCCAGGCTTTCAACAGCATCTGTGTGACTCGGACAGGTTACCAGTCTCTCTGGTCATCAGTTTCTCCATCTCTATACTAATGATAGTGATAATGATAGTATCTACCTCTTAGGGTTATTACAGGGGTAAACGAAATGATACACGCATAGAAGTTAAGCCCAGTGCCTGGAACATAGTGAGAACTTAACAAATGTCATTTATTGCTAGTATTCAACTGTTCAGAACCTCAGTCAAGTAATATGCCCATAGGACAAAGTTAAGAATAAACCAAAGGAATGAAAACTGTATGTATTTTCAGGCAAAAGGATTCTGAGTAATCATTTCCTGTCATGTTGTGTTGGTATCTAAATAATAAATTCAGAAGGACTGGTATATTGGGCACACAGGATTGAAGGCTAATTCAGAGGCATGCAAGATCCTGATGGTCACTTATTTCCTTGCTTGATGTAATAATAGAGCTAGCACACAGGGCCTGGCACCTAGGAGGCCCTCTATAAATGATCGCTGTTAGCTGTAGTAATTTCAGGTTCCTGGGATGCATTTGCAGACTTAGAGAAAGAGCATGTATTATTTAGGTTCTGAGTCTGTGAGTGTTTGTGACAACACTTTTTGATCTATCGAGGTCAGTGTTTAGAAAGTATATCAGTTACTGCCACAATAATGCTGTATAACAAATGACTTCAAAACTCAGTGGCTTGAAACAACAAGCATATATTTTCTCTGTGTTGGCAGGGGGTCGGCTGATCTAGGCGGGGCGTGGCTGCACGCTGTAGATTGTGTACAGGTTTGTTTCACGTGTCTGGCATCCTCCTTGGACCAGCAAGGTACTGGGGACATGATCTCTTGTGGCAATGGCAAAAACACAGTAGGCCACACTTGATCACCTAAGCATATTTCAAGCTTCTGCTTATGCCACATCTACTAACCTCCCATTGGGCAAAGCAGTCAAATGGGCAAACCCAAGCTTAAGGGCTGCAGAAGCACACAGTAAAGAACTGTCGAGTCACATGACCAGAGGGCATGGATCTAGGAGCTGTGACGAATGAGGGCCACCAATTCAGTGCACCTGGTTCCCCATTTGACTTCCCCAACTGAGCCATTGCAATAGATGATAGGAAAGGGCTTTCCTTGTTGTAGGCGGTTCCATGGTTACTGGTACCGGCATTAAGATTCTAAAAGCACTCCACTGTAGCGTGCACGCACATTGCAAATTCCCCTTTGGTCTCCAGGAGGCTTTCCTCTGATGGACAGGAATTTACTCTACTGTAAACCAAAGAGTCCCAATTTAGACAGATAGGATGGATTAGGCAGACAGCATCATTGACCTGGTTCCACTTCGTTAGCCTTTCCAATTAAGGAGGATGTTGCTGAAAGCGAGACCTCACAGATATATAGTCATACCTTGAATCCTCTGGACTGAGGCTCTTTAGGGAGAGTCTTCCATTTCCAGTGTGTGCAGAGGGAGGAGAGCATAATGATGCTGGCAAGTGAAACCCAAGTATTAATGATGTGGCCCCTTGTGAGGACTTTATCTTCTTCCCAGTTAGTTAATGAAGATGCTAAATAGATAGCATTTGTGCTTTTGCTTTCCAGAATCTTCTTAATCTTGGATCCCTGACCATGCACTGATAAGGTCTCTGATTTTGGAACATCAAATAGAGAGCTGATGCTTCACTGTGTCTAGAGATCAGGCTTTTGATTTTGTCAACACAGTTGACAGAGATTTCCTGTGACTTCCCAAGGAAAGTCTTGTCCATTGGAGCTGCTTTTAGGGGTCAGGATGGCATTCTCCCCTCTTCAACCTCTTGGAGATTCTAAGCAATGAAGCATTAAGTCTCAGACAATAGCCAAATGGTCTGTGAAGTACAGCTTAATTAATCTGGGCATGCACCCAACACCCCAGTCTGGTGCTTTGCTAGCACTTGGCTTGGAGATTGAGGCTAATTTTGAGGCTGAGATGCAGCTTCTTATCTTATAATCAAAATCGAGGTGGTAAGATCTGAATGGACAGACAGACAGACACAGACTACTCTGACCTGAACAGCAGATGTTGCATGCTCTCGCCCACTAAGCTCGTACCAGGTCTGACTCATGCTGCCACCCACAGACCAGGAGGATGGTCTTGCTTCCCAAAGACAAAAATGGGTCCTGCCCCAACACAGGGAAACAGGAAGTACAGAGTAGACTCTTTCTGCATGCGAGTGATACAAAACCTGCCTGATCAAAAGAAAGTTGCTCTATGAATGTCGGGTTTTACCAATCCTAGCTGCCACTTCTTCACCCCTGGGAAGGAATCAGTAAGGATTTGAAGAGACAGGCCCAAAACAGCTCCTTCATGACTTCCCCAGATTCCTTTATAGGTCAAGGCTGCAATGTGGGGAGACGGGGAGAACATATTCCCCTCCATGTTTTCTTGGGTATGAGGAAGACTCAATGCCTGGGGGAATGTGAGAATTAGAGTGGGATGTTCTCTTGGCAGTTTCCTTTCAGTTACACCAATGGAGAATTACTGGGAGTTGGACTCAGAATTGGAGTTGGGGGACGACGAATTCCTCTTCCTAAAGGACAGAGCTGAGCAGAGCTCACCGTATTTCTGAGATCGTGCCTCTTACACTCCTCAGAATTGGGCATCATTACAAAGATACCGTAGAACAGTCATCAAGACAGTGAATGGCAGCTCACCTAGAGAAGGGGTTTAGAAAGTTCCAATTTCCCTGCATTTCCTTCTTGCTCACAGTATGGGACAATGGGCTGGTGCTAATTTGCATGGCTTCCTAAAACCCCGTGGTGGAAAATCTGCTAAGACAAAGCAAAGCTTCAAACTGGATGTGTACTTCAGGGCCCTAAAATCATGCCCATTCTCTATCAGAGGAAGCTTGAGGTTGTTTTTCCCAGAATTATAAATCCAAGATGATTAAGTTCAGAGCAGACGTGGTATAGACAGAAATAGCCTTCATGTGCTGGGTTTCCTGTTTTCTTTGGAAACCACTCACTGGACACCACCAACTCCTCCCATCAGTCTTTTCCTCCTCCTGTACCCTCCCTGTCTCTCCTCCAACCCAAAGGGTTCATGCTTAATGACCCGAGACAGTACCACCAAGCATTCCCAGTCAATCGGCTTTTGTACAGAGTGAATGAATAGGACATTTCTCTGGCCTTCTCTATCCTAAAAAAAGACCTTCCCCAGACCATGGAATGTGCTCCTCAAACCAGAAATTAAGCTGCTCGCTCTCATTCCTTCCCTTGTTCTTTCCAAGATCAGACACAAATTGATGATGGCCTTGTTCCTAGTCAGGACTTTATATTCTTTCTGGTTTATTCCTAATCCTCTTACGGAGCCAAACTCTCCTTATAGAGGGTTTGGATACACGTTGAGCTCTTTGGCAAGGGTGCCTTGTTTCTTTTTTCTTTACATTTTGTTGTTTTGTGTGATCTCCATGTGGGCATTTCCTTCATAAAAACTTGAGCCTCTTTCATCACTTGTGCGTGAGAGGAAGTGTTGGGGCGGCCTGCAGACTGGGCCAAGCTGTCCTGATGTCTCTGTAGAATGGAGGACACAGGTTGGGCTGCCCTCCCCGTGGGGTGGCTTGACCACTGGGGAAATCAAGCTTTGTTTGAAAATGATGCTGGGAGCTTGGCGTGGTGGCTCATGCTTATAATCCCAGCACGTTGGGTGGCCGAAGTGGGAGGATCATTGAGGCCAAAGTGTTGGAGAACAGCCTGGGAAACATAGCGAGACCCCATCTCTACAAAAATAATTTTTTAAAAAAGCCTGGCATGATAGTGCATGCCTGTAGTCATAGCTACTTGGGAGGCTGAGGTGGGAGGATCACTTGAGCCCTGGAGGTCGAGGCTGCAGTGAGTGAGCTATGATCATGCCACTGCTCTCCAGCCTGGGCAACAAAGCGAGACCCTGTCTCTTAAAAAAAAAAAAAAAGGAAAGAAAGAAAAAGATGCTGGGGTAGTAAGTTAACTTTTTTTCACTCCTCACGTGCATTTTCTCCTTTCATCCTACAGGATCCACACCCAAGTCCGCTCATCACCCTGGAGACTCAGGTAAGTATCTTTCCTGTCTTGGCCACTTATCTCAGCCTTAGTATTCCAGCTCTCAAGGGGACTTGTCCCGTGGCTCTGAAAGGCTGGACAGGCCCATGGCTGCCCCTGGTCCCATTTGGATGTGTGTGTGCCTGCACATGTATGTATACACACTGGCATATAGTGTACACGTGTGTGCAATGGTGTGGGTGTGCATGGGTGCACATTCGCACCCAGGTGTCTGGTGCCCCTCCCACCTGTGGCGAGAACCATAATCATTTCTTTTGAGTTTTCGTCTGTCCTTCGCTCCTGCCCAACCATCATGCGGAGGTTCATGCAAAGGAGAGAGGAGACAGAGGAGAGCCATGAAGTGGGAAGATGCTACTCTTTGATGCCTGAACTTGGAGGACTTTTATTCCTTGGCAGTGAGGGCAGCATATGGAAGGAAGTTGCACCCTTTCATCTGCTTGCGTGTTAGGCCATTCTGAGGAATTGTGATTGCAGTGGCATTTCCGTGTGGGGAGGAGGATGACCAGCGGGTCTTGTAAGGGAGGGCACGGCCCTGACTGTCTGCTTTCTGCCTTCCTGGGAGCTAGGACAGTGCAGCAGCTATGAGTATAGGCCTTGGAGTTCAACAGAGCCAGGTGGAATTCCACCTCTGTGTCTTCTAGCCCTGCAGTGTTCATGGGGCCACATAATGTCTAAGCCAGTGTCTTCGCATCTGAAACGTCATCCCAGTGATAGTGCCCACCTTGCAGAGTTGTGGTTGAGGGTCACAGGAAATGATGTTTATAAAGTCCGGGGTACGTGCTAAGTGCTTGTGAGTGGTAGCGTTTTTTTTTTTTTTTTTTTTTTTTTTTGAGACCGAGTCTCTGTTGCCCAGGCTGGAGTGCAGTGGCATGATCTCGGCTTACTGCAAGCTCTGCCTCCCGGGTTCACGCCATTCTTCTGTCTCAGCCTCCCCAGCAGCTGGGACTACAGGCGCACGCTGCCACGCCCGGCTAATTTTTTAATATTTTTTCTAGAGACGAGGTTTCACCGTGTTAGCCAGGATGGTCTTGATCTCCTGACCTTGTGATCCGCTCACCTTGGCCTCCCAAAGTGCTGGGATTACAGGCATGAGCCACTGCGTCCGGCAAGTGGCAGCTTTTTAAACCAATAGAACTGTTACTTTTCCTGCTGGATCTGAAGGGGACGTTTCTTATCTTTGGATTAATCATTTCCTTAGCTCTTTGGGTTTGGCTGACAGTAAAGAGAGTAGGCAGACAGGACAGGCCTCGTTCAGAGCCCCACAGTGAATAGCTTGCAAGTGTCAGACACAGTCAAACCTGTTCGAACGTTTCAAGGCTGAATGACAGCTCAGCGATTTCAAGGGTTTCTGGGGTGGACTGGAAAAGACCACCTGCTCCCCTGGCCTTTGCCTCCTCCACCTTGGGTCCTTGCCCTCTCCTTGGCATCTCTGCTTGGGTTCTCCTAAGAGGAATGAGGAGACCTTCCTTGCTTCCTCCCTGATGGGGAAGGCCAGCAGATCTTCACAGTTTCCTTGTGCTTTTCTGTCCTTGCATTCTCTGGCACACAGGTATAGCCACGGGGGCCCCAGGGCTGACCAGGCGCCAGGGCCGGCAGGGAAGTATAGAAGGTGCAGCTCTGAGGAGGAAAAGGATTCGGTTTCCTCTGCCTGTTTGGCTGTCCTCTGGCTTGGTTTTGTCTGTCCTTATCACCTTGACCACCTTTGCCTTATGTAAATTTCATCTATTCTATAAAGTCACCTAAAAATACATTTTTCCTTAACATAACTCACTTTGCTTTCAGAAATAGACTTACCTTAATCTAATGGTTCTAAACCGGGGGGTGGTTTTGATTCCCAGTGGTTATTTGGCAACGTCTGAAGACATTTGGTGGTGGTCTCATCTGGTTGGGGGGTTTACAACTGGCATCTAGTAGGTGGAGACCCAGGTTGCTGTTAAATATCCTACAACACACAGGCCAGCTCCCCACTGGAAAGAATTATCTGGTCCTGGGCCTGGCACGGTGGCTAACGCCTGTATCCCAGCACTTTGGGGGGCTGAGGTAGGCAGATCACTTGAGGCTAGGAGTTCGAGACCAGCCTGGCCAACATGGTGAAACCCCATCTCTACTGAAAAAAAATACAAAACATAGCCAGGCATGGTAGTATGTGCCTGTAATCCCAGCTACTTGGGAGGCTGAGGCAGGAGAATCACATGGACCCAGGAGGTAGAGGCTGCAGTGAGCCAAGATTGAGCCACTGCACTCCAGCCTGGGTGACAGAGTGAGACTCGGTCTCAAAAAAGAATGATCCAGCCCTAAATACTAATGGTGTTGAGATTGAGAAACACTGTCTCAAGCAATAATATTCATGGAACCACAAGTTTGAAGGGCTAGTTATATATTTTTTTGCACAACATTAAAATAGATATTAAACTGTGAAAATATTGTTCCTGTACGCACCCTCTGATGTCACCTAAACTTCCTATCAGAGATGTGTGTGCTACCCTTTGGGAAACGTGTCTCTACCCAGTCTACCCCAGGGACTATGAGAGAACTTCCACGGTGTGTTTTTAAAATGATGGTCCTTCTTTTCCTTATCCTTCCCCAGAAGGATACCCTATTAAACTTATGAAAACCCATGGGCGAACATCTGTGTCCGGAACTCTGGAAGTCAAATCTTATCTCCTGGGAGTGGAACAGCAGAATCCCTGGATGGTTCTGTCTTTGACCTTCCTGTATCCTTCACTCTGGACACCACCCCATCAGCCCTTCAAAACCCTCATGGGAAAGAGGAGTTGCAGACCAGTGGCTTTGGCCAGCACCTGAGGCTTCCAGCAGCAGCTCCTTACACAGTGGCGACTCTTAAAGTCCAATCTGTTAGCCCAAGGGACCTGAACCTCCATCTGCAACCAGCAATGGCACAAGGTAGACTCTCAGCATTTGTGCTATGCCATTGGGGAAGAGCTTCAATTTGTCTGCAAACGATGCTCCATCAGTCTCATTTGGTTCCCTGTCTTTGGGGAGCCTGGGAATATTGTTCTCGCTCCCCGAGTTCTGATTTCCCATGTTAAAGAGATGTTGGAACCCAACCAAAGTGCAAATGTTTCTTTGTGACTGTTGGCACAAGCCCGTGGCCAGATCTGACTTTGTGCTGGCCTCAGCCCATTGTGAGGTGAATGATGGGATCCTGTTCAGCTGCCTGCAGGCAGGTCAGACAAGGGGGTCAGGTCCCTTTCTGGCAGGAAGTAGTGCCTCAAATGTTACCCATATGCCATGAACAAGATGGCAGATGTGGCCAAGCTTGGAAGAATTAACTCTGCAGAGGTTAGGTGACAGATGTACCCTGAGCCCTGGGTCAGTTCCCGCTTTTCTCCCAGTGCACTTGGCTTCTAAGGACAGCATCGCCTGCTCCATCTTGAGCCCAGCTGTCACAGGTTAGCCTGCCTGTTAGATTTCACTGAGAGCTGTGTCCTTGCACAATGCATCAGCCGCTTTGCTTGTCCAAGACCTGGCCTGCATTAGAACACGGCTGTGCAGGGGCCCTTTCCTTCACGCATCCCTCTCTCCCTCGTGTGAATTGCAACGGTCCTCAGCCATCGCTTGGTTAATCTGTCCCTGTGCAGCTGTTCTGAGTTGGGGGAGATGGATTGATTGGCTGCTGAGGACTCCTCTAATGCTCTTTACCATTAGCACAGCAGAGCTTTGCATCTGTTGGCATCAGCAGGACTCTCTGCTTAACGGCCAGATTAATAGAATGAGGAAGCCGAGGAAGGTTTAAATCCCTGGTGTCAGCTTCCCGGCTCGGCAGGCTGCCCCTGGGGAGGCACCAAGGAAGCCCTGACTTGCAGTGATGAATGCTCCTCTGGTCTCCAGATGGTGACTGCCAGCGAATCAGGTGACCTAGAAATGAAAAAAAAATAAAAAAGGAGTTCAGTGAGTGGCTAGGTGGCATTATTCTTATCCTCATTCTTACTAACATTTACCATTTGCCAAGAACTGACTTCTCTCATTTTATCCTCAAATGCCATGGTTACACAGGTGTTTGTGTGATACCCGATTTCCACATGAGGTACCTAAGGGTCAGAGAGGCTAAGTAACTTGCCCAGGGTCACACAGGAAGCAGATAGTGTTGATGCACATTAGACTCAGGGTTGCATGACATCAGAATCTTATCTTCTCAACTGCTTTCCTATTTTGCAAGAAAATAAAGTTGCCTTGACTAGTAGAAAGATTTGCTAACATTCAGGCAAAGCTGGAGAAATGGGCTTGGTATATGCAATCCAACGTCCATAGATAGACAGACGGACAGATAGACAGTGCCTAGCACAACTATCCACAGATGTACTTAGATATATGGGTAGAGAGATGCATGATGGGTAGATGGATAGAAAGATTCAATGCTTTGCGCAGTGAGTTATCTTTGACAGTTTGTCAGAGGGCTTGGGGGTAAAATGGTTTAAGCAATGGACCCGAATGAAAATTTATTTTAAAAGAACAAAAGCAAAACATGTCCCTGCGCATCAGTAGTGTTTTGATACATTGGAATCCTTATTACTTTATTCTTTCTTTCTCATCGATCCCCAAGACAGTTGATCATTTCTGAATCCACTCCAACTGGCAAGGTCTCTTGCCATTTAATTCTAGTGTCTCTGCCTCCTCCTGCCCTCACTTCCCCCACCCTCAACAGGCTCTCTGTCAATTAGCTAATGGCCTCCACTCAAACACTGAGATACGTTGGGAGATATAATAAAGGAGCTCTTTTGCCGAGTCAAGATTTGTCAATCTGGGTATTTGTGAACTCAGCTAGAGTTAGAGGGAAGCAGGTCTTCGTTTATGCTGAGATCCCCCTCAGGACCTGGAGATCAAAGGCATCAGGAGGAAAACTCCCAACTTCTGGGTTTTCAAAACCAACCAGATACTTGAATTTCTTTGATCAGCTAACTTGGGTTAGAGGGAAGGGAATGACATTCACATGATTTAAAGATGATGCTGGGGCCATGATGATTGTGAACAGGGCTCCTGTAGCAAATGAGTAGTGATATGAATGGAAGTTAATACTTGAGAAATTGTATCTATGTAAAGGGATTCATCTATTTCCTTATTCCGTAAATCACTATTGGGCCATGTGGAGACAAGGCCTTGTGCTAACTGTGAAAGATACAGCAGAGAAAAACAGAAGTTTCCTTGCCTAGAAAGCATCCATTCTAGGAGAGTCAGATGAAAAAGGTACAAATAGATATTAATAAATGCATCCGTAACTTCAGATAGTAATAAGTGGATGGAAATAAGACAAACATGTTTGTAAGAGAGTGACTGGGTAGAGTGGAGGTGGTTGTAAAATCTCCCAGGTAGTGGGGGAATCTGAGCTGGAGAGATGAGGTTTGAGCTTCTGAGCCCAGGAGGTGAGATGTGCTGAGGAGCTTACAGTTAAAAGTTAACCTTGCAAAAAGACCCAATGACAGAGTTCTGAATTTTTTGCGTAGTATGTCTGGGTTCCTATAAAAATAATGCCAGTTATTCTTAGATTCAATTAAGGCATTTGCTCCTTCAGTGCTTTTGTGTCATTATAATGTCAAGATGAATAAAGAATTACTTTATCAGGCAGGGGAGAAAGAAAAGGACTAAGGAGGTAGGAGAGAAGGAGAGAGGCTTAAATTCAGGGCCATCCAGTGAAACTAATGTCTGATGTGAGCATTTGGAAGGCTGGAGGAACTTTAGATCTTAGCAATGTTATGCTGAGCTGGGGGCTGATGTCTGAAATTTGGCTAATAGCTAATTAGCTGACTGATGTTCAGCTGAACTTAAACTTAAGTATAAACCAGTAGTTCTCAACTAGGTCAATTTTGACCGCCAAGGAGACATCTGACAATCACCTGAGACTTTTTCCTTTTCTTTTTGAGAGAGTCTTGCTCTGTCACTCTGTCAACCAGGCTGGAAGTGCAGTGACTCCATCTCGGTTCACTGCAGCTTCAACCTCCTGGGCTCCCACCTCAGCCTCCCAAGTAGTTGGGACTACAGGTGTATGCTAATTTTTGTAATTTTTGTAGAGGTGGGATTTTGCTATGTTGCCCCGACTGGTCTTGAACTTCTGGGCTCAAGCAGTCCGCCCGCCTCAGCCTCGCAAAGTGCTGGAATTGCAGGCATGAGCCACTGTACCTGGCCCAACATTTGTGATTATTATAACTTCGGGGTGAAGGATGCTACTGGCATCTAGTGGGTAGAGATCAGGGATGCTACTAAACATCCCATAATGCACAGGAAAGCACCCCCCCCCAAAAAAAAAGCCTCAAATGTCAGTAGTGGCAAGGTTAGGAAACCCTGGAGTAACTTCGTTTGTTCTGAGGACAGTTTATTTTACAAAGACACTTCCAGCCATACAATTGCAACTTCCTTGTTTGTTCTCTTGTTTATGTTCAAACATCACCCTTTCTGGTTTAAGTTCAGACTTTAACCAGCTGTAGGCTGTGGTTGTGACACATTCATCTTATTTATTTACTTATTTATTTTTTTTGAGACAGAGTCTTGCTCTGTCACCCAGGCTGGAATGCAATGGTGTGATCTTGGCTCACTGCAACCTCTGCCTCCCAGGTTAAAGCAATTCTCCTGCCTCAGTCTCCTGAGTAGCTGGGATTACAGGCATGTGACACCACACCTGGCTAATTTTTGTATTTTTAGTAGAAATGGAGTTTCACCATGTCGGCCAGGCTGTTCTCGAACTCATGACCTCGTGATCCATCCATCTTGGCCTCCAAAAGTGCTGGGATTACAGGCATGAGCCACATGCCTGGCCGACACATTTATCTTCTAATGTGTCCAGACCTGCATTGACATGACTGACTCTGGGTACACAATGACCCATGATACACAGGAACATGTACATCATGTGTTTAAAAACTGAGTTCTGTTGGATCATTATGGGAGAAGAAACCTCATCAGGAGATGGTTTCCTAAGAGATTTATGGCTTACTAGTGCAAAGAATGTGCAGAGTTAAAAAAAAAATTTTTTTTTCTTAATCCAGCTACTTGGCTGGGGTTTGGAGAGGGGTTTGCCAAGGTCTCTGGACTGATGGAGAAGATCTTTCAAATATCTTGATATTTAGGCCTGGTTCTTCTTTCAGGGATAGACCACAGGCTTGTTTGTGCAAACTTCTTTCTTGTGAAGCTCTTCCCCTCTCCTGGGATTAACACAATTGCTGTCTCCTCTCCGTTCTTCCGGCTCTGGGCTTCGATTAACCTTTTCCTCCACAGAGAGCAGTTTTTGGAGTAATCGGGAAGCTTCTGAATGGCTCTTACCTGAGTCTCCAGCCCATTAATTCTTATGGTGCCCAGCATCTGTTGAGAGGATGGTGAGACTAAATTGCTTCTCAGCCCATATGTTTTTTTCCCCCGTCAGCCTCCTTATGGGAGAAGAACCTCTCTGGGGCAGAGAAGGCTAGTTTGGGGAGGGACCAGATTGCTTTACTATAATCTTTTCCTCTGGCTGTGATTTGCTGCCTCTCTAGTTAGCCCTGGTGGGGCAGGGAGGTGACCAGCCAGACCACTGCCTGGGCAGAGACTTGGCTCAATGGACAGGGAGTCTGGACTTGGAGCATGGAGTCATTCTCAGAGAGGATCTGCGATCTCCTGGCCATGGGATCTTCTCTAGTCTGTATGACTCAGGGTGAATGATGTGATACAACATTCCGCAAATAGCCAGCAAGTTCCCCAAAGTGCAGCCACATGCACCATTTCAAAAAATAGATCGTGTTGAGATCACCATTCCCCCCTTCTTGTTGGGAGTGGACTTCACCGAAGACATTGAAAGTTTGAATTTAAGCCCTTAACTCAGAACACTTAAAATGATCACTCTTGGCTGGGCACGGTGGCTCACGCCTGTAATCCCACCACTTTGGGAGGCCGAGGCAGGCGGATCACGAGGTCAGGAGATTGAGACCATTTTGGCTAACACAGTGAAACCCCGTCTCTACTAAAAATACAAAAAAATTAGCCGGGTGTGGTGGTGGGCGCCTGTAGTCCCAGCTATTTGGGAGGCTGAGGTAGGAGAATGACGTGAACCCGGGAGGCGGAGCTTGCAGTGAGCTGAGATTGCACCACTGCACTCCAGCCTGGGCAACAGAGCGAGACTCCGTCTAAAAAAAAAAGATCACTCTTGTCAATAATGATTACATACACTGAATAGATGTTTCATTGAGATGGGAACTGTACATTGGACATGCATTCATAAATTTAGCACTTTTATGTAACATGAATTAAGCATTTATACTGCATGCGAGTCCCTCTTCTAAATTAAGTTCTTTACATGGATTTGCTCATTTGCATTTCACAACTATCTCTTATGGGAAGTATTACTGTCATCCCCGTTTTACAGATGAGAAACTGAGGCGCAAAGAGGTTAAGTTACTTGCCCAACAGGTAGCAAAGGCAGCAAGATTTGAACCTAGCAGTTTAGCTTTCATATATTGGGAAATAACCCTGGGAGTTACTAACCTTAACCCCATTTTACAGAGGAGCCTGCTAAAGCCAGAGAGACCAAGTTTCCTTTTAAAAGTTGTACGGTCAGTAGGTGATAGAATCTAAACTAGAGCCAGGTGACAAATGAAATCTGTCTCCTTCCCTGCTATGTTACAAGATAGGTAGAGATATCAATAAGATATAGAAGGAGATTAGAGATTAGATCTAGACAGATTTGACACAAAGAATTGACATAGAGATTTGATATCTATTTATTGATACAGAGATTTGATATGTATTAGATGTGGATATAGATTAGATCTTGCTTGCTATAGATCACTCACTTGGCAATCCAGAGCACATGGGCTTGGAAACATCTGTCCATACAGAGTGGATTCTAGGATGAGTAGCTGAAGCCCCAGGCTGTGGCACGGTTTGCCCTGCAGACGGTGAGCACAGCAGTGGCACCTTGAGGAGGCCATACTCACATTTCCCTTCCAGCACACGCATCTTCTCTCAGGGCACCCCCACCGCCATTGACTTCAAGCACTGAGGCAGAAGCCCGTGGTGCTGCCACTGAGCAACAAGGCAGTGTGGCTGGTTTTGCATTGACTTACGAGCCGGAGGCTCAGCGAGGAGGCATCACTAACATTTGGCATAAATAGCACACGCACCAAGATCTTTGAAGCTGAAGCGATCTTCTCCATGGGGTTTTGGGGCAGGGCTGTGCATACTGCGGAGCTTAAAAGAGAAGGTTTCGATGCTAGAATGTTCAGGCTGGGTTTGCAGGTTCTAGTTAATGGAATCATTCAATGAAGAAAATTGCTTTCACAAAAGATAGCAGCACGAGGGAGGTCCAGGTGTATGAGGGATGTAAAAATCCGTAGACAAGGCCCAAACTTGGGGAACGTGAGAGCTGGAGGGGTGATTGCATGTTTTCTATGTGCCTGGGATGTTGCTCAACACTTTATATGCGTGACCTCGTTTCCTCATAACAACATCCCTTGGCGAAGGTGCTCTCACACCCTTCCTTTGCAAGTGAAGACACTGAGGCATGGAGAGGCTCAGTCCCTGGTCCAAGACCACAGAGTTTGGGAGTGGCATTGAGAGGGCCCACACTTAGGCCTCCCTCTTCTGCAGTGCTGGCTGTGACTCCCATACCTTAGGGCCTGTTGGGTTCCATCTTTATACTTGACATGGAAGGAAACCAGGACCCAGAGCTGCTGAACAATTTGCCCAGTCGTTCAGCAGCTCAGTAGCAAACCAGGATTCCTCTGCTGCTCAGGGATAGTGGGAGGTGGAGGCTCAGCGTGGAAGATCCACAGCCCCGCACGCCCTCTTTGTGCCTCCTCCTGCTGTCTCCATGTTGGGTGTTAGCAAGATGAAACATGTTGGGTGTCTTCTTCCCCCGCAAGCCCCAGCCCCAGATCCACTCTCCACCCCTCTCCTTTCTTCTCTGGGCCTCCAGAGGCTAACCTTGATGGGTTTCATCAGCAAGGACTTTTCTTTGCTTTGGCCAAGTAGAGGAACTGGTAGGAGATAGGAAGGTGGGAAGAGATGAGATGAGGGTTTCCATGGGTTGGCTGTGTCTGTACCCCTAGCAAGGCCACAGCTGCTGTGGGGCTGCCCTCTCCCGTGGCTGCAGCTACTGTCTCCGTGGTCCAGGAACACCACTCCCTCCCCTTCAGGCCCCAGGGTGGTGACAGCTCCTGGCTGTGGCCAGCCCTGGTGCATAGCACCTCCCTTGTTAGTTTTCCTTATAAAGAATCTCTTTGTACAGTCTCTTCAGTTTGGAGAGTAACATCTCTTTCCTTCAGGGACCCTGACCGGGCCCCCGCCTCGCTGGCTCAGCACTGCCAATGGGACTTGCCATGGGGAGTCACTGTCATCTTGTGTCATGTTTTGATTAAAGGAGAGGGTCTTCCAGTGGAGGAGAGGTCCCAGAATGGAGACCATGGGACAGTGAAGCTCTTGAAACTGAATGCCCAACGGTGGATTGTACGAGCTCTTTTTTTAGAGAGAAGATCATAGCTGTCATTCTATTTGTGAAAACTGTCCCCCAAAACTGAGCCAAAAATAAACATTCTAAACAGTCTCATGCTAAATAAAGCACCAGAGAAGCCACATGTGTGAGAAGAGATGCCCCAGGCAGGGTCAGCTTGGAGTATTCTCATTCATTCATACTCCTCTGTCTGTCCCAAGTTGGTAAAGGCATTCTTCAGTGGGGAGGGACTAAGGCCTAGGGCATGGTGGGGTGGGGAGAGGCGGGGGACAGGCCTTCAGCTCCTTCCGGTAGCCCCCAGAGCAGACAGACAGACAGAGAAGACAGGTTATTTCTGCCTGCAAGCAAGGCCTTCACAAAATCACTTTTTCTTGGTTCTCGGTCACACCTCCAGGAAATGTTAACTGTCCTAGTATTTGAATCTAATTTCTTAGAAATGCCGCCACCTCTGGTTTGTACCTCTGAGAGCCAACAGGGAGGGCCAGCGCGTAGCTGCTTCTCCAGACCAGGTGGTCCTGCAGGAGGGAGTAGCAGTGGGGCTACCCCGGCTCCCCCCTCAATGTGATCTTCCCCGCTGCCTTCAACTGCCTTTCTGAAAAAGAGTATCTTATTAATAATAACCCCGTTCTCATTTTCTTCTGGGAACTGTAGCTCATTTTTTCCACTGAACAAAAGAGAACTGGGTGGAAAGCTGAAGTTAGCTGTGGTGCAGGTGCCAGATGGGTGGGGTCGAGGACAGAAATGCAGTTTTATTGTCCTGAGAAGGAAAAACCCAGCCAGCTCAATGCTAGAAGAAGGAACTTCCAGCTATAAAACGGGCTCAAAGAGAGTTCTTGGTCAGATGACCAGTCTCCACGTTCACTGGCCCAGTTAGAATCAGGCACCAGTTATGGGAGCAGGAGGTGACTTTCTCATTTCATGGCCCTGGACTCAAAGTTGTGCCATGGGCCTCCTCGTGGCCATCTCTGACCTGCACATGGGTTGCCTTTGGCCTCAG
This sequence comes from Homo sapiens, assembly GCF_000001405.40. Classification (NCBI taxonomy): domain Eukaryota; kingdom Metazoa; phylum Chordata; class Mammalia; order Primates; family Hominidae; genus Homo; species Homo sapiens. Next base: position 17,346,573 of record NC_000016.10, on the reverse strand, counting down.
GAAGATTTTTAAATTTTTTAAATTTTTAGAGAGGGGAAGAGTGGGGTTGGAAGATTTTTGAAAAACTGATAGGTAAAACCACTCTGAGCTGCTGGATGTCCATGACTGGTGACCACCAGCTGCCCCTTTGCATGGGGCCTCGGGATGGGGTCACTGGTTCATAGAAGTCCCCACCTGGCCTGCTGCGTTCATTCACCTCAGTGACAGTCCCCTGGGTATTGTTTGTCCTGTCCCCTGCACACTCAGGACTCTGGATCCTCCTAGGGTCTCACCTGCAAAGTGGACAAGGGCAGTCTGGACCTGGTAACCCCAAGCAGCCCCTTGGGGAGGTGAGAACGGGCCTCGTGGGGGCAGGTCATGGTCTATGCAGCAGACCCCCTGGCTCACCACTTAGCTGCTGTGAGACCTTCCACACGCCAGCGATCCCTTTGTGCCTCAGTTTCTTTAAAAAATGGTCAGAGTAGGCCGGGCTCGGTGGCTCACGCCTGTAATCCCAGCACTTTGGGAGGCCAAGGCAGGTGGATCACCTGGGGTCAGGTGTTCAAGACCAGCCTGACCAACATGGCGAGACCCCGTCTTTACTAAAAATACAAAAATTAGCCACGTGTGGTGGCACACGCCTATAATCCCAGCTACTCGGGAGGCTGAGGCAGGAGAATCACTTGAACCCAGGAAATGGAGGTTGCAGTGAGCCGAGATCAAGCCACTGTACTCCACCATGGGTGACAGAGCGAGACTCTCTCTCAAAAATAATAATAATAAATAAAAACGGTTGAAGTAACAGCAGTAGCCACCTCCTAGACTTGTTGGGATGATCAGATGGGTTAACGTGCATTAAGCAACAGAACAGTGCCTGGCACCTAAGCACTTAGTATTACTTTCATAGTCCTACGTTTGAATCCCAACTCTTTCACTTGCTCAGTGCATCACCTTTGAGAAAGGCTTTTAGCTTCTGAGCTTCAGCTTCCCAACTAGTTAAAGCAGCCATGAGGACTGCTAAGAGGATAAGCTGGAGACACCCTCTTGTCACTTGTGAATGCAAGCTGCGTCACCCCCTGCCTTTTCTCTCTTGTGGAAGTAGCAGGCTTGGGGAGCAGAGGCTCTCCAGCCTCCGTGCCTCCATGCACTGCCTCCTGCATCCCTGTGCCACAGAGAGGGCAAAGACTTTGGCATTCTCTGCAGGGATTTGCTTTGTGCCTTCTCTGGAATGTTCCTCCTCCTCTGTTTAGGTAGCTGGTTTCCTCTTTACAGAGAGGGAAGCAGCACGAGTTGAAATACCAGGATGTTTTTGGCAGCCAAACTAGGTGCTTGTCTCAAGAGCAAGCTGGGACATTTTTTGCCTGCGTGCAGTTCAGAGATGAACTGTGTCGTCACCACATGAGTGAAGCCCAGAACTGCCTGGATGACGAGTGGTCAGAGTAGCAGAGGCTGAGACATCTTCTAAGGAAATAAAAACGGGCCAACAGCTGGCCCCTTGGGTCTCACCTCTGCCACCCACAGGCTGAGGAAGCTCCTTTTCTGGCCTGGGGTATGTTCAGACATGGCCAGGTAGTGGACTTGCCTGTGTTAGGCCGGGCGCAGTGGCTCACGCCTATGTATAATCCTAGAACTTTGGGAGGCTGAGGCAGGCAGATCACTTGAGGCCAGGAGTTTGAGACCAGCCTGGCCAACATGGTGAAACACCGTCTCTACTAAAAATATAAAAATTAGCCAAGCGTGGTGGCGCATGCTTGTAGTCCCAGCTACTCGGGAGGCTGAGGCAGGAGAATCACTTGAATCCGGAAGGCAGAGGTTGCAGTGAGCCAAGATCACCACACTGCACTCCAGCTTGGGTGACAGAGACCTGTCTCAAAAAAAAAAAAAGAATCCTTAGACAGTTGGCTGCGAAGACACATCTCAAAAGCCCCAAGGTGTACCAGATCTTATCAACCCCATTCTTTTGCCTCCAGCCTCACTACAGTGCTTAAGGGACTCCCTTCCCCAGGGCAACCTTGTTTACCCTGTGGACTGACTAACCTGGGGTCACTTGATCTGGGCACTACTGACATTTGGGACAGGATTATTCTTTTTTTTTTTTTTTTGAGATGGAGTCTCCTTCTGTCACCCAGGATGGAGTGCAATGGCGTGATCTCGGCTCACTGCAAGCTCCACCTCCCGGGTTCGTGCCATTCTCCTGCCTCAGCCTCCTGAGTAGCTGGGACTACAGGCGCCCGCCACCACGCCCGGCTAATTTTTTTTTTTTTTTTGTATTTTTTAGTAGAGACGGGGTTTCACCGTGTTAGCCAGGATGGTCTCAATCTCCTGACCTCGTGATCCGCCCGCCTTGGCCTCCCAAAGTGCTGGGATTACAGGCACCCGGCCTGGGACAGGATTATTCTTTGTTGTGAGGCTGTTCTCTGCATTGTAGAATGTTTAGCAGCATCTCTGGCATGTACACACTAGATTTTAATGACACTCCCTCCTCCAGTTGTCTCACAAATGTCTCTGGACATTGCCGAATATCTCTGGGGAGCAAAAGCACCCCTGAGCTGAAAACCACGGTCCTAACCAAGTATGGGTAGCAGAGAATGTGTAAAAATCAACACCCGTTGACTGTAATGAGACGGAGCTGGTGACGTTTAGGTGAAGTCTGCTGGTTGAACGCCTCCCTGTAAATGTCATTGGGCTTTAATTTTTTGCTTCCAAGTGACCTCATGTGACCTGGAGTTACAAACAAGATAGCATGTGCCAAGTGTTTCACTGTGGGTGTGATGAGGTACGGAAGAACGCTCTCTTGATTCCTCTTCTCATTTAAAAAGCCAAGCACACTGGGTATGGTGGCTCATGCCTGTAATGCCAACACTTTGGGAAGCCAAGGTGGAAGGATTGCCTGAGGCCAGGAGTTTGAGACTAGCCCGAACAATATAACAAGACCATCTCTACAAAAAAATAAAACATAATCTGCGTGTAGTGGCCCGTGCTTTTAGTCCCAGCTACTCGGGAGGCTGAGGTGGGAGGATCACTTGAGGCCAGGAGATGGAGGTTGCAGTGAGCTGTGATTGCGCTACTGCACTCCAGCCTGGGTGATAGAGCGAGATCCTGTCTCAAATTATTCTTTTTTTTCATTTTAAAACTAAAACGCCAGCACAACCTTGAGGCACAAAAGGATGTAGGGCCTCCAGCTCACATCTGGGGGATGGAGACCCCAAGCCCACCTATGCCTGAGTCGCTGTTGATGCAGCAGGCACTGGGTGCCGTGAAGCAAGAGGAGTTCGTGGCACAATCCCGGAGGCCTGTCCCCTGAAAGACCGCAGGGAGACGGTTTTCAGATCTGCAGTAGTTTGGCTGTCACAGGAGATTGTGGGTTTGCCTGACACCCGAAAATAGTCTGTGGCTTCAGGGGCTGACGTTGTAACATGTTCAACCCTTGCTGGCATTTACTCCCTGGACTCTGTGAAAGGGTCCTGTGTGCAGAGCAGCTGCCTGAGACAACCAGGCTGCTGTGTGCCATGTTGGCCGTGAGGTGTTTACGTGTTACTTTCTTGTTGGGTGTTCCACCCTGTTCTCTGCGGGCAGCTGTGACTGGAAACATGTTTTTTCAAAATTTATGTTTTGTTTTTATAAACATTTTTCTTTAGGGACTCGAAGTTTTTTTCTGGATTTGCTTTTCATCATCGCAATTATCAATAGCATATCATATTATCATGTGATAATATTGATCAGTGTATTCAATAAATATGTGTTGAGTGCCTACTACGTTCTGGATACTGTTTTAGGAGCTGGAGATACAACAGCCAACATGACAGAAATTCTTACTCTTCTGAGCACACATTCTATACAGGTAGTAAATGAGAAACGCATGTGTTTTTTTTTGAGACAGGGTCTCTCTCTGTTGCCCAGGCTGGAGTGCAATGGTGCGATCTCGGCTCACTGCAACCTCCGTCTCCCGGGTTCCAGCGATTCTCCTGCCTCAGCCTCCTGGGTAGCTGGGATTACAGGCACGCGCCACCTCGCCCAACTAATTTTTGTACTTTTAGTAGAGATGGGGTTTCACCATGTTGGCCCGGCTGGTCTCGAACTCCCAACCTCATGGGATCTGCCTGTCTCGGCCTCCCAAAGTGCTGGGATTACAGGCATGAGCCGCCACGCCCAACCGAGAAATGCATGTTGATATGTCATGTCAGATGGCGATGAGAGCATGGGAGAGCAAAGCAGGGGAGGACTGTGGGCTAGGTAAGGCCAGTTGGAGATAGGTTGCCCTTTTCCTTTGGTGGAGACAATTCCATGCAGCAGTGTTTGAGCAAAGATCTCAAAAGCATGAGTGGTGGAGCTCTGCAGAAAGAGGAAGGAACAGGAGCAGCCAGGGCAAAGGCCCTGAGATAGAATGTGGTTGGTGTGTTGGTTGCCAGCAGAGCCTGGTGTGGCTAGAACAGCATGAGTAAGGGAGAGAGGGGCGGTGGAGGTGAAGCTAGATCATTAGAACCTTGGGAAACTTAGAAGGGTCCTTGCTTCACTCCACACTGGGAAGTCTTCAGAGGATTTTAAACAGAGGAATGACATGGCCTTGCCTTGGAAAATGGGATTGGTGGCTGCCCTGCTGAAAATGTACTGTAATGGGTCAAGGGCAAGAACAGGGAGATGGGTGAGGGGGAAGGATGTTGTAATCTGTTAGGGGACATGCAGGGGTGGTTTGGACCAGAGTGTTAATAGTGAAAGCCAAAAGAAGTAGTTTATACCTACTCCGTGTACACAAAAATTAAAAATGAAATAGTTTGATGCTGGATGTGTTCTGAAAGGAGATAGAGCATACGGGACCTACAGAGGATTAATGCAATACAAGCACATGATGAAAACAATTAAATGATTCAAAAGCACATCACTTCCTATACCTATTCTTCAGAGATAACTGCTGTTAATTTTTTTTTTGCTACTACTTCCAGATTTTTCCTTTGCATTTTAACTTGTATTATGTCGGTGCACAAGTTATTGAAGTTTTTGCCATTTAAAAGTAATGGCAAGAACTGCAATTACTTTGTGCACCAATTTAATATGTGTACATGAGTGTATTCATGTGCATATTGGCAGGAACCTGTTTCCTTGAAATGGAACATCATATTTTATGACATGTATTTTCTGAAACATATTTTATGGTAACTTGCTTTTCCTCTCTATCTTATCACTCATCTCCTGTCAGCACATATCATTCTTCGTCGTTATTTTTAACTTTTCTATTTTGTCCAGTTCTGTTTTCAGCACCTGTCACAGTCTCTGGGATGTAGTAGCTGTTCAATAAAGATTAATTAAATGCACTAAATATTTCATCATCTATTTCACTGATTTCCTGTTGGTAGACATTTAGATTGGTTTTTTTCCCCCTATTTTAAACTATGCTGCCTTTAGCCATTCTTGTAAATACACCTTTGCTCGATTGGGTATGTACCTCTGTAGGGTAAGTGACTAGATTTAACATCACTGGCTCAAAGGGTGTGTGCATTTTAAATTTTATATTGTCCTATGAGGAGGTTTCTTCACATCTCCGGTCAAAGCCTTACGTGGTTTCCTGTTTCCTCTTTCAAAGGCACTGGTGATTGTCCATCTTTATAATCTTCGACAAACCAATGAGTAAAAACAGTATCTTGCTGCCTTGATTTGAATTTTAGATATGAGTGGATCTAAGCATTTTTTTACATGGGGTATTTGTGAATTCCATAGCTCCATTTTTCAGGATTCTGGGTCCTAATGTTCTGATTGTCTGCCTCCTTGGAGGAAATGATGGATAATGATGGCTAAAAATTGTTGAGCATTTACTATGTGCCAGCCCCTGTGCTAAGTGCAGTGCATGGATTAACTCAGTCTTCCCATAAGGAAGATTCTCTTTAATCTCCCCATAAACCTGTGTAAGTGAGGTATGGTTGTTATGCCCTCTTTCAAATAGCAAAACTGAGGCACAGAGAGGAAAGGGTTAACTGAGTCACCCAAGGTCATATAGAGAGTGAGTGGGGAGCTGGTCTTTGGACCTACGCAGAACTCTTAACTACCATTCTGTGCAGTTTGTGTAATTGGTAATGGTGGCGATTGTTCTTTAAGATTTAACCATTCTGTGATACCTCGAAAGCAGAAAACCAAAATGTTCCTGGGTAAGGAAATGATCTGAACACAGGCATGGCGCTCTGCCTGAGCTTGGGGCCCCAGCCCATGTGGTGGCAGCTGGAGACAGAGCTCTGTGTTCAGCCTGTGAAAGACAGCTGAGCTGCAGGCACATTCTGTGACATGCCCACGGCCATACAAGGAAATAGTATCACCTCTTTCCACAGTGAGTCACTTTTCCTTCTTAGGGAGTCTCCAGTTGAGCTGCAGAACTGGATCTGGGAAACCAACTGCAGAGGTGTCAACTGTTAGAACTGTAGATTGAATCAGATGGATGGATATATGTTGGATGGAGGGATGGGCGGATGGATAGAGGGATGAGTGGATACAGGATGGGTGGGTGGATGGGTGGGCAGATGGATAGAGAGGTGAGTGGGTAGATAAATGAGTGGATAATAGATGGGTGGACGAATGGGTGGATGGATAGAGGGATGGGTGGATGGATAGAGGGATGGGTGGACAAGGGGTGATGGATGCATCATGGATGGATGTATGATGGAGGGATAGATGATGGATGGAGGATGGATGAATGGATGGATGGATAGGTGATGGATGGATGATGATGGATACACAGATGGAAGGGAGAAAAGACGGAAGGAGGGAAGGAAGGAAGAAGGAAGGAGGGAAAAAAGGATAGATAGATAAAATATCTCAGTTCATTTTTTAAAAATTCCTATTGTATACTAACCACTGCTTTAGGTGCTGGGGATTGGAAGATGAAGGACCTGGTGCCCTGCCACCAGTGAGCTCACTGTCTACAGCAGGATAGTGTCACCTTCTCTGTGTTGTAAATCCCTTCGGAATCTGGTCAAAATTATGCTCCCCTTCTCTGAATATTTTCAAATGCAAAAAAATGCAGAGGATTAAAAAGGAAAGTGGTTATATTGAAGTACAGCCGTCAAAGTATATATAAAAATCAGAAAACTGTGGAGTAATAATACATTTGCTTCTTTATTAACACATTAAAGTAGATTTGGCATCAGGTCTAATAACTACCCTAATTTTGAAGTAATGACAAGTATAAACAATATTTGGAGACATCTGCCACCAAAGCAATGTGACATGAAAATATCTGCAATTTCTGTTGGTGTCAAAGTCTCGGGTGTTGCTAATACTACTGCAGTCTGTTGCCTATATTCATAATTGAAGGTCATGCTAAATTTCAGTTAGAGTTAGTGAAAATAATTATGAATATGTACAAGTTCATCAGCGGGTATGTACAAGTTCGAAGACCCCCAGAATTCTCTCTCCATAGATCCCCAAACTCACAGATTCCAGAAAAATGACTCTGGGCTAGATGGAGAGAGAAATCATAGCAAGATGTTCATCACAGGGTATATACTCACAGAGTCAAGTGGTGCACAGGATTCCACATTATTTAAATGATTTGTGTCACCATCTATCTCTCTCTTTTTTCCCTCCTGACTGTTTATAGTTGAATTTTTGTAAGATAGATTTCTGATGTTTCTCCCTTGCGGAGTGTTATCAGTTCTGTGATCATGTAGGAGTGGGCAGTATAACCTAGAACACTCCTGGAAGGCTTCCTGGAGGAGCTGTTGCCCACAGCATGACCTTAACGGGTGAATGATAATCCCAGCACTTTGGGAGGCCGAAGTGGGTGGATCACCTGAAGTCAGGAGTTTAAGACCAGCCTGACCAATATGGTGAAAGCCCGTCTCTACTAAAAATGCAAAAATTAGTTAGTTGTGGTGGTGGGCACCTGTAGTCCCAGCTACTTTGGAAGCTGAGACGGGAGCATTGCTTGAACTAACTGCACTCCAGCCTGGGCAACAGAGCGAGACTCCGTCCCAAAAAAAAGGGTGAATGTGAGCAGGCCACGAATGACCAGGATAAGGGGACACGAAAGACCATTCCCGACAGAGAACAGAGATGAAAATATTGAGCCTTGTCAGAAAATCACAAGAAATACAATATTCATGGAGCACAAGGCTCCTCTTCCTTTATAAAGTCTTTCCAGCCAGCCCGGCAAAGCGTAGGTTTCAACTTCTCCTTTGTTGCAGCCTTTTCCAAAGTGTCAGATGTAAAAGAGAGGAGCAGGCCTTGGCAGGGGATGGGACTGATAAGGCAGGCACAGGCCCAGGTACTGTAGACCACATCAGGGAGCTTCAGATGTATCGTGTAGGTAATGGGGAGCCACTGAAGATGTTTGAGGAGCAGAAGAGCATGGTCCAAGATCAGTTTGAGATGATCACTCTGGCTGCTTCGTGGGGAATGGATTGCAGAAGTGAGCCTAGAGGCAAGGAATCAGAAAAGGGGACATTCAGTTCAGGGGAGTTATGATAAAGGCCTGAACTGGGACAGGGAAAGTGGGAAAGGAAAGGAGGGGACAGATTTGAGGGCCATTAAAATGTAGAACGGGGGCCGGGTGCGGTGGCTCACGCCTATAATCCCAGCACTTTGGGAGGCCGAGGTGGGTGAGGTCAGGAGTTCAAGACCAGCCTGGCCAACATGGCGAAACCCCGTTTCTACTAAAAATACAAAAATTAGCCGGACGTGGTGGCGCATGCCTGTAATCACAGCTACTCGGGAGGCTGAGAAGAATCACTTGAACCCTGGAGACAGAAGCTGGAGTGAGCCGAGATGGCGTCACTGCGCTCCAGCCTGGGTGACAGAGCAAGACTCTGTCTCACAAAAAAAAAAAAAAAGAAAAAGAAAAAATGTGGAACAGACAAAGTAGGACTCAGGAAAAAATAAGATCGGGAATGTGTGAATAGGGCAAGTTTGGAGAGAAGAAGGAATTCTCGGAGACAAGGGTTTGTGGTCCCACAACCTCTTGTGATGTTTTTAAGGAGCAGGTGGCTAGGGAGAGATCTAAGGAACCTCCCACACCATTTTCCCAGGTAACCAAGGTAGGCTTCCCTGGATTTAGCAACGTGAAGTCCTGCACCCAAGGAGCTTGGGCTGAATTGCAATGCTGCAAGTTCAATTAAAGGTTCTCAGGAGGCCGGGCATGGTGGCTCACGCCTGTAATCCTAGCACTTTGGGAGGCTGAGGCTGGCCAATCGCTTGAGCCCTAGAGTTTGAGACCAGCCTGGGCAATGCAGTGAGACCCCCTCTCATCTCTATAAAAAATTAGCTGGGTGTGGTGGCATGTGCTTATAGTTCCAGCTACCTGGGAGGCTGAAGTGGGAGGCTGGCTTGAACCCAGGAGGTGGAGGCTACAATGAGCCATGACTGCACCACTGCACTTTAGCCTGGGTGACAGAGTAAGACCCTGTCTCAAAGAAAAAAGATTCTCAGGAAGTCAGTGTTACCACCTTTGCAGACCACTGTCTCCCTGCACTGAACAAAGGCAAAAAATTGTGAGAATTTAACCACTTAAAAAAACCCAAAAAACCCACCCTGTACTTTGTAGGGATTTATATGCCTTTCTGGGGCTGAATAATATTTTTTTGTTCAGAGCCACAGTTGGGGTTACATACGATCTTACAAAATGCTATGATAGTGTCCACCAAATATTGTGTTGCAGAATATATGCCTTTCTTTTCCAAGGGCTTTTAAAAAAATGGTCACTGGCTTGTGCAGGCCAGGGAGCCCTACTGCACTTCATCTGAGAAAGCGGGTGAGCATTTTTTCTAGGACTGCTTGACACGATCAGGGTTTCTGGCCCCTGAAGAGGCAGCCACTGGCAGGGAGCAAGGCCAGTCGGACACACATACGAAAGTCCCTGTGTTTGGGGATGTCAGCTCGGCTGGGGTAGAAGCCATGGTGGCCCTTCCCTGTGGGATTCGGACGGGCTGGACTTGCCCCAACCAGTGTAGAAGTTGACTTTCTGCAAGGTATGTGTGTCTCTTTGATGGCCTGGGGTGAGCCTAGGAGGAGGAGGTTTTCTCTCTCACACACATGCATGCACACCCACACCTGCATCTGTACACGCATCCATATCCACATCCATACCCACACCCGCAACCACACAGTAGTGAAGGACGGGGCCCCAGAGTCAACATCTTCTCACTGGCCTTTGCCTGCCTGCTGCTTTTTGGCTTCTTTCCTCTCCATCTCCCCTGACCGTGGACAGCTGCATTCAGAACTCACCATCATGGAGGAAATGGGATATTTTATTTCCCTGACAGAAAACAGAATCAGATGACAGTATTGGGAAACACTGGGGAACCGCCGTGGGGGCTTGGATCTGTTGTTTTTCTTGTTAACTAGGAGTTACAAAAACACTATTGTTGCAGACCTTGCTTTGAAAGTATTTCCAAAGTGTGTTAGTCCATGTTAAATCCATGGCACGGAACTGAATGTGCTTCGGTGATTTAATCAGGTAGGTATCAGTTTCCTCTCTGCCTTCCACGCTCTGCCCTCCATCCACCTCCGCACGTTTCTCCATGCTGTGCACACACCTGGGACACCTTTCCTCTTCTTCCTTTACAAAGTCTTGCCAGCCAGCCAGGCAAAGCGTAGGTCTCAACTTCTCTGTTGCAGCCTTTTCCAAAGTGTCACATGCAAACTGGTGACTCACAAGATGATTTTAAGCTATAACTCCACAGACTTTATAGAAATTAATAGCTCTCTGTTTATTTTTCTAGTTACCTTCCATTTATAGCAAATTATACTAGTTTTTCCACTAATTTAGGAGTAATGTTTCCCTTTTAAATTAAGCCATTGAAGTAAAAATATAGATGAGCTGATTTAAAGAGCCCTGAAAAATAAATAAAACAACAGACATTACATGGATAGGGCAAAAAATGGAAAAGTTACTCAATGAATGATTTTTTTTTTTTTTTTTGAGATGGAGTTTTGCTCTCGTTGCCCAGGCTAGAGTGCAATGACGCTATCTCGGCTCACTGCAACTTCTGCCTTCCGGGTTAAAGCGATTCTCCTGCCTCACCCTCCTGAGTAGCTGTGATTGATTACAGGCGCCCGCCACCATGCCCCGCTAATTTTGTATTTTTAGTAGAGATATGGTTTCTCCATGTTGGTCAGGGTGGTCCTGAACTCCTGACCTCAGGTGATCTGCCTGCCTTGGCCTCCCGAAGTGCTGGGATTACACTCGATGAATGATTTTAAAATGGGAAGGCTTCCTGTGTTCTGGGCTGCGCTCTTCTGCAGTTCCTGTGGGAGCATGTGGATAGTAATTCATTCATTTTTCTGATCTCGGTTTTCTCACCAATAAAAGGGGCTGCCTCATATGTTGGTTAACCCTTGTTCCAGGTGGCCAGTAGGTAGTTTTTTTTTTGTTTGTTATTGTTTTTTTGTTTTTTTGAGACAGAGTCTCACTCTGTCGCCCAGGCTGGGTGCAGTGGCGCAATCTCAGCTCACTGCAACGTCCCCGCGTTCAGTTGAGTCTTGTGCCTCAGCCTCCTGAGTAGCTGGGATTAGAGGCACCCGCCACCATGCCCGGCTGATTTTTGTATTTTTGAGTAGACATGGGGTTATGCCATGTTGGCCAGGCTCATTTCGAACTCCTGGCTTCAAGCAATCCACCCACCTCAGCCTCCTAGAGTGCTGGGATTATAGGTGTGAACCACCACGCCTGGCCCAGTAGCTAGTTTTTATTGGACCCATAAATAGTTGATCTTTTTTTTGTTTTTGTTTTTTGAGATGGAGTCTCGCTCTGTCGCCCAGGCTGGAATGCAGTGGTGCGATCTCAGCTCACTGCAAGCTCCGCCTCCTAGGTTCACGCCATTCTCCTGCCTCAGCCTCCCGAGTAGCTGGGACTACAGGCACCTGCCACCACGCCTGGCTAATTTTTTGTATTTTTAGTAGAGACGGGATTTCACCATGTTAGCCAGGATAATAGTAGATCTTTTTTTAAATGTGTACTTCTCACTGTCCTTGCTAGACTGCAAGGTCCCCTCGGGGAGGGACTTTGTAGGCACTATTAAATGCTACACCTACACATTCCTGGGTGGTTAGTAGAAAAATGGCCTTTTCAAATAATTTCCTTTTTTTTTTTGGTCTGAAGTGTGAATTCATCATTTAGGTGGAAGGTATGGAGAAGGCTTGCATATTGCAAATCAGACAAAGAGGTAATTAATGGGGTGGAGGTCATGGCAGGTGGCTCTTACTGCAGTCACTTTCCTGTGAAGAAAGGCCCTGGCTGTAGAGAAGGGACTTGGCAGTCTGTACTCCAGGACGTCATAGACCCGTGTAAGCCCAAGACCAGTTTGTCAATCATGAGGCACTGTTGGGAGGAAACACTTAGCACGCAGTTACTCACTAGTGACCAATTTGTTTTAAAGCCCCGGCCTAAGTTGTTTATGCTGCTGAGTAAGTTACAGGCAACAGAAATGTATTGCTCACAGTTCTGAAAGCTGGGAAGTCCAAGATCAAGGTGCCAGCAGGTTTGGGGTCTGGTGAGGGTTGCTCTCTGCTTCCGAGATGGTGCCTTGTCACTGTATTATTTGTAGGGGATGAACTCTGTGACCTCACATGGTGAAAGGGATGGAAGGGCAAAAGGGGTTTACTTAGTTCTCTCCATACCTTTTGTAAGGGACTAACCCCATGCATGATAGCGGAACTCTTCTGGCCTGATCACCTCCTAAAGGACCCACCACTTAATACTCTTCCCTTGGGGATTAAATTTCAACATGAGGCCGGGCGTGTGGCTCACAGTTTTAATCCCAGCACTTTGGGAGGCCGAGGTGGGCAGATCACTTGAAGTCAGGAGTTCGAGACCAGTCTGGCCAACATGGTGAAACCCCATCTCTACTAAAAATACAAAAATGGGCCAGGCATGGTGGTACATGCCTGTAATCCCAGTTACTTGGGAGGCCGGGGCAGGAGAATTGCTTGAACTCGGGAGGCAGAGGTTGCAGTGAGCCCAGATGGCTCCACTGCACTCCAGCCTGGGCGGCAGAGTGAGACTTCATCTCAAAAAAAAAAAAAATAAATTAAATTAATTAATTAATTAATTTCAACATGAATTTTGGAGGTGACATGGACGTTGAAACCCTAGCAACCCTCCAGAATCATCATTCTAAACAATCACTTCACACTTTAGCTCCAGATCTGTGCTGTCCCATATGGTAGCCACCAGCCACACAGGGTTACTGAGCACTTGAAATGCAGCCAGTTCCAACTGAGCTGTGCTCTAGGAAAAACTTAGCTCAAACAAAAGAATATAAAACATCTCCTTAATGCTTTTTCATATTTGTTTAGATTTGATACTTTTTCCATATGGATCACATGATGAAATGACAATATTTAGGATGTATTTGGTTAAATCAAATAGATTAATCAATTTCTTTTTACTTTTTTAAAAAACACAGCTACTAGAAAATTTGAAGTTGTACATGTGTCTTGAATGAGGATGAAGGAAATGGACCTGGGTCAGAGTTGAGCCAGAGAAAAGCCCGGAACACAGTTTTTTTTCCATTTTAAATTGTGATTTTCTCAATTCCTGGCCTCAGTCTCCTGAGAGGGAAGAAAAAAAAAAGATTTGAGTTAATTGATGGTTCTGGTTAGTTGGGCTCAGTTAATCAGGGTTCTGCCTCTAATTGCCTGTGCCGTCACCTCTTCCTGGGTTTGCAAACACTCTGCCCTTGTTACCCACTGCTCATGCCCTCTCTGGATTCTGCTTGAGCTACACACGGAAAGGCGGAGGTTGCAGAATTCGGAGCTCCTGCGGACAGACAGGTGGAAGAGTGACAATGGAATGATGGAGTATCTACTGGATGACTATAAATGGCCAGTCTAGGAATGAACTTGAGGTTTAGTTATCTGAAGGCCAGAGTCCTTGGCTCCTGTCTCTTCCAAAACTGACCAGTGTCCACCTGTGGGGAGGTGTGTTGCAAGCTGACCTCTAGAGAGGGACTTTGGAATATCATTCTGTGGAAATTGTAATAGTCCCACTTTGCTCAGGAAGCCGTGTGTGTGTGTGTGTGTGTGTGTGTGTGTGTGTGTGTGTGTGTATGTGTGTGATGGACTCTGGCTCTGTCACCCAGGCTGGAGCGCAGTGGCACGATCTTGGCTCACTGCAACCTCCGCTTCCCGGGTCCAAGTGATTCTTCTGCCTCAGCCTCCCGAGTAGCTGGGATTACAGGAGCACACCACCACGCCCGGCTAATTTTTGTATTTTTAGTAGAGTCAGGGTTTCCCCATGCTGGCCAGGCTGGTCTCAAACTCCTGACCTCAAGTGATCTGCCCGCTTCAGCCTTCCAAAGTGCTGGGATTATAGGCATGAGCCACTACACCCAGCCTGGTGTGTGTTTTGATCGCCTCCACTTCACCCCATGGTTGAAGTAGATTCCCACCCTATGGGGATAACACCCAAAGCTGGACAGACCAGATGGACAGCAGTTTATGTGTCACGTACAGTCAGCCCCAGGGAAGCAGGTGCTGTGCACCATGCAGGGCCACACGGTTGTATCTGGGGACAGGGTGAACATCCAGGGGCCATGGGAGGCAGGCTATGCAGAAGCAAGAAGATGCAATAATCCCTGTGTCCCACAAGGGGATATGATTGTCTTGTTTAAATAATCCCAGAGGCTGGCAGGGAACAGAAACCCACTCTCCAGGGATAGGCAGGCACTGTACCTGGTCTTGCTGAGACAAAGGAGGCTGTCTGGCTAGAGGACCTTATTTGAGGAAGCAAAGTAGTTAGGGAAACTTACATTCAAGCCATATGAGATGCTCTTGGCTTTCCCCAGGTGTCAAGGCAGCACATAATATTAATTTTAGGCCTTATACCACAGTGTGGTGGGGAAAAGTGGACAGTGGAATTATATCTTGGTTTGAGTCCTGGCTGTGGACTCAATCTGAGATAAGTCATTCACCTGGTCAATCCTCAGTGTGCCCATCAATAAAATGGGCTCGTTAACATCTACCATATGTGTGTGTGTATCTGTCTGTCATCAACATATACAGACCCACCACACATTTATCCTCTCAAAAAGGGTGGTTTAATCCCTCCCTCCTTTAAACAACAGCAGTACAACCGCAACCAAATCAGAAAGAGTGTTGAATGGAAAACGTGTGTCTGTTGAGCAAACTCAGTTCTTCAAGCCAAAGGCTACATCTGGCCTTCCATGTACTGTTTCCACAGACTAAATGAGGATTGGTTTTGCATGGCCAGAGGCAGACATTGGCTCATTCTCTTTCAGGGCCAAGGAGCCAGGCTGTTAGTTGATGTCATGCCGAGAGGACATGGCCTCCACCCTTGTTCTGACGCCACTGTCCAAGTGCCGAGTACTCTACCTTGGTGTGGTGAAGGCAACTGCCTGGGATTGAGGCCGGCATGGTCAAGGCGGCCCTGAGAAGGCCTTGTGTGCTGTAGCTTGAGTCATCTCCCCCTCCTCCAGAGTTGGGTCATTGCCTTCTTGGCTTTAGAGGCGGCCTCGCCTGTGCACAGAGCCAAGGGGCTGTGGGGACTCGGAGGAGATATTGGGAAAAGCTGGCAGTGCCCAGTGGCTGCCTGCTCTGCCCATGGGAATGGCCAGGACCTGGTTGAGCATAAGCCCTCCCTTTGTGCAGGGCGGTGGAACATCTGTCAGCTCTTTCCTTCCAAATGCACGGACCATCTTTGTTCAAAGGTAGAACCTCATCTCAGCAATTCAAGGGCAGCAGTCCCTGAAACTCCTCAGGTGCTCAAACGCCACCTGATATGCGCATTGAGGATATCACTGCCCCTTGCTCCTCTACATCTTAAGTAGGGACATTTTCTTTTCTTTTCTTTTTTTTTTTTCCGAGAGGGAGTCTTGCTTTGTCCCCCATGCTGGAGTGCAATGGCGCGATCTTGGCTCATTACTACCTCCGCCTCCCGGGTTCAAGCGATTCTCCTGCCTCAGCCTCCCGAGTAGCTGGAATTACAGGCATGTATCACCATATCCAGCTAATTTTTTTTTTTTTTATTTTTAGTAGAGACGGGGTTTTGCCCTGTTGGCCAGGCTGGTCTCGAACTCCTGACCTTAGGAGATCTGCCTGCCTCGGCCTCCCAAAGTGCTAGGATTACAGGTGTGAGCCACCATGCCTGGCCCAGCAGGGACATTTTCTATGGCACCTCTAGCCTGGGTCACCTTATGGGACCCTGGAGTCACAGCCCAGGGAGTGAAACGATGCGGGTCTTTGATATGTATGGGTGGTGGTGGTCTGGAATCCAGTAAACAGCCAGCAGAATTTCATCATCTGAGGTCTGGATCAACCTGTTCTGCTCCTTCTGGGGGTTGAGTGGATGTAGAGAGAGAATTGCAAGGACCTTGGGGAGCCCAACCCAGTTTATCAGCTGTTTGCACTTATTTGTTTATACGCACGAGTGTGTTGTATATTCATAAATGAACACACAGTTTTGTAATGAGCAAGTGCTTTGTGTCAGATATGGCTCCTGCCCATGTGGAGCTGACAGCTGTGTGTGTGTGTGTGTGTGTGTGTGTGTGTGTATCTACCTCCATATGTGGTGCATATAGATTTGTCACTAAGCAGAGCTGTGACCATTTATTGAGCATCCTGGGGCTATGAATACTGTTCTCATTTAACCCTCACCATCACATTGGTTCATTCAACAGCTATTGATGGAACATGTACTATGGGCTAGGTGTTAGACGCTCAACATTTTGAGGTAGAAACTTCTGGAACCTATGCTATTTTTAGCCTCATTTCATAAATGAGGAAACCCAGACTGTGTGGTCAGGTACCTTGCCTGGGGATACACAATCTGTATGTCACCAAGGTGGGATCCAAGCCTGGTGCCCCTCCCTGTGATGGTTAACTGCCTCTTCTGTGTCCATGTGTAGATTTCCAAGTGGGCATGTCTACAAACTCACGGGTGTCCATGTTTGTGCAAGTAACAGACCCGGAGGCACAGGTTGCTGGTTTGGAGCACGTAATTCCCTACCCTGGCTGGAGTACTACTTCCATGAGTGTTTATTTCCTTATCAGTAGAGCAGTTAGTGATGTCTGTCTACCAGCCTTGTGGAATATGAGAGGGGAAAAGGGTGGGGCAATGAGATAATGTTGGAGAAAGGCCATTTTTGACTGAAAAGAACCATGTGGATGAAGACCCGTATAGATAAAGAACTAAGAAAACCAGCAAGATGAAAAGATTTACTATTGGCATAAGGACGTTAACATGTATCAAATATCTACTATGTTTTCCAATTGATGTTTACAGTTACGCAGCAATGTATTATATCCCCCCATGGTAAAAGAGGGAAACTGAGTCTCACGGTTACAGAGTGGTGGATTGAAATAATTTGAATCCAGATCCTGCCCTGTCCAGAGCCCATGTTCCTTGTGGCAGAGCAGGGCTTGATAAACTACGGCTCATGGGCTAAATGCTGCCAGCCATCTGTTTTTGTAAGTGGAGTTTTATTGGAACACAGCCTCGCCCATTTGTTACGTACTCGTCTATGTCTGTTTTGAGCTACAGCGGCAGAGCTGAGCCGTTGTGAGAGAGATCACGTGGCCTGCTAAACTGAAAATCTTAACTGTCTGACCCTTTACTGAAAAAGTTTGCAAACCACTGTTCTAAGAAGGCCTGTGATAAGGATGGATTTTTAAAAGCAGTACATAGAAATGCTACAAAATGTGAACATGCACACACGCATACCTCCAGCAAAACTTCAGCCATCTGGAGCGTTTTGGAGGCTTTGGGAGCCTCATTTCTGGAGAGTTAAGCTTTACTTTTAAGGAATTTTTCTAAACTCTATCACCCATTTATTTTCCTGCCTTCTCAAATAGAGTACGCTGAATGTGTGTGAAGCCTTCCTTGAAGAATCCAGCCATCATTTCAAGCACTAGGTTTTAGATTCTGCTAAAAGCACTGATGGTTGCGCACGGGCATCAAAAATGCTGTAGCTCTTCACTCAGTGACCCTGGAGTCCCTTTAAAAAATAAAAATCTGCCTCTTTTTTGATAATTTTTTTTCTGCTCTTGCATTTCTTGCCTAGTGTTATTTATCACACCTTCTTTTTTTTTTTTTTTTTTTTTTTTTTTTGAGAAGGAGTCTTGCTCAGTCACCCAAGCTGGAGTGCAGTGGCACAATCTCAGCTCACTGCAACCTCCACCTCCTGGGCTCAAGCGATTCTTCTGCCTCAGCCTCCCGAGTATCTGGGATTGCAGATGTGCGCCACCATGCCTGGCTAATTTTTTTGTATTTTTAGTAGAGACGGGGTTTTGCCATGTTGCTTAGGCTGGTCTCAAACTGCTGACCTCAGGTGATCTGCCCACATCAGCCTCCCAAAGTGCTGGCATTACAGGTTTGAGCCACTGCACCCGGCCTATCATGGCTTTTAATATGCCTGATTGTGACAATCAGCTGGCCCTGCTTCTCAACCCTAGAAATAATCTCATTCATTAGAAATGAATACAGAGAAAAATAGGCTCTGGTGGTAAACCCGGGGCACCTGTCTCTCCCTACTATTCTAGGCTGTTCTGTACAGCCGAGCTCTGTGAAAGGGAGGTTACGTGGTCTGTGGTTGTTTACTCCTGCAATTAATTCAAAGGAGGGAGGTGGACTCAATTTCTCCCTCCATGATGGTCCTCTCCTCCCAGTGTTCAGAGTAACGATAGTCAAGGCAACATCAAGTCCTTGAAGCAGAGGAGTGTGGCTGGAGCCTCACACTTTGCAAATACCTGATCTTATCCTCCAGTTATGCTTCAAGAGCCAGAGCTGGCTGTTAGTTACTTTAATCTTGATCACAGATGTTAGCACAGAAAAGGTTGACTGAGTTTGGCTCACCGCGATGGAATTTAAGACGAGGAAAATGCAGACTTGCCTGTGAAATCCAAGCATAATGGCCTATTCCAAGACGTAGTTATAAAATAGAAGCTGATTGTGATCAATTATGAAAAGGCAGTTGTTGGCCAGGCGTGGTGGCTCACACCTGTAATCCCAGCACTTTGGGAGGCCGAGGCGGGGGGGGGGGGGGGGGGGGGGCGGGATCACGAGGTCAGGAGATTGAGACCATCCTGGCTAACACGGTGAAACTCCGTCTCTACTAAAAATACAAAAAATTAGCCGGGCATGGTGGTGGGTGCCTGTAGTCCCAGCTACTCCAGAGGCTGAGGCAAGAGAATGGCGTGAACCCGGGGGGCGGAGCTTGCAGTGAGCCAAGATGGCGCCACTGCACTCCAGCCTGGGAAACAGAGCGAGACTCTATCTCAAAAAAAAAAAAAAAAAAAGAAAAAAGAAAAGAAAAGGAAGTTGTTGCTCGTTTTTAATCATTCAACCCGAGTATGGCTGTTTTTGTTGACAGGTGTTTTATCTACTTTGTGAATAATTCTTAAATATACATGCTTGGCCTCTCAAACACTTTTTAAAAAATAATTTAAAACGTTTAGTTGGAATATAAAGGTTGAATGTATTCAATGTGTTCAAGGTGTGATGATTTGATATACACATACATTGTGTGATGATGACATTACACAAATGAATGAACACATCATTCCCCACCCGTGCTGTCCATTAGCTCCTCAGAACTTGTCTATTGTATAACTGAGAATTTTTTATTTTGGTTGGTGGTGTTTGTCCTTGGCCTTCTGCCATCAGCAGGGTCGGCTTCATGGACATGCGGCCTGTGCAGTCACACACAGCTCCATGGCTCTGCACTTGTTTGAATT
The DNA here is from genome assembly GCF_000001405.40 of Homo sapiens. Taxonomy (NCBI): domain Eukaryota; kingdom Metazoa; phylum Chordata; class Mammalia; order Primates; family Hominidae; genus Homo; species Homo sapiens. Next base: position 17,326,923 of record NC_000016.10, on the reverse strand, counting down.
TCTGTTGTCAGCATCCTAAGATTCTTAATTAATTTTGCATAAGAGGTCCTGTGTGTTTTTTTTGTTGTGTTTTTGTTTTTTTTGTTTTTTTTTGTTTTTGAGATGGAGTCTCACTCTGTCACCCAGGCTGGAGTGCAGTGGCGCGATCTCGGCTCACTGCAAGCTCCGCCTCCCCGGTTCACGCCATTCTCCTGCCTCAGTCTCCCAAGTAGCTGGGACTACAGGTGCCTGCCACCACGCCCGGCTAATTTTTTTGTATTTTTTAATAGATAAGGGGTTTCACCGTTTCAGCCAGGATGGTCTCGATCTCCTGACCTTGTGATCCGCCCGCCTCGGCCTCCGAAAGTGCTGGGATTACAGGCGTGAGCCACCGTGCCAGGCCGAGGTCCTGTGTTTTTATTTTGCCTTGGGTCTCATGACTTAGGGGGTCTATTCCAGCCATCATGGACTAAGAGCATGGAATACCAAAGGCAAAAGGAGCTTAGAGGTCAACCTTTCAAAATTCTTTATTTTAAAGGTAGGAGAACTGAAGCCAAAAAGAGGGAGTTACTTGCCCAAGATCACAGGAGGATGGATAAAAGAATGGTTACCACGGGATGGGGGAGAGGAAAATGGGGAGGCATTTTCCAATTGGTATAAAGTTTCAGTTCTGCAAGACGAGTAAGTTGTGGAGATCTGCTGGACAGCATAGCACCTGTAGTTAACAATACTGCATTGTATACTTAAAAATGTATTGAGAGTAGATCTCATGTTAATGTTCTTGCCACCAAAAAAGGGGGACACGAGACTTTTAGAGGTGACGGATATGTCTGTTACCTTGATTGTGGTGATGGTGTCACGAGTCTGTGCATGTATCCAGACTCTTCAAAATGCATACATTAAGTACATGCACTTTTTTTTGTATGTCAGTTATACCTCAGTAAAGCTGTTTGAAAACAATCAGGATAATGGATGGCAGATTCAGACAAGCGGAACACGGATCTCAGGTCCCTCCTGAACATAGGGGCTTTCCCCTGCATAGACATGATGCTTCCTGCCCAGTTCATGCTTAGAAATGATGAGCTAATTTAATAATCATCTAACAGTTAATACTTATGAATTTAAATTTCTCATTATCCTCTTTCTCCCAGTACACATAGACACAGAGTAAGTAGCCAGATTAGGGTAAGACTCTCAAAAATGCTAGCAATTTCTCTGAATTAAATGTTTGAATGGAATTTTTTCCCCCACTCATAAGGCAATATATTCCCACGGTTGGAAATTTGGAAAATGACCAAGAAGGAAAAAATAAAATCGCCATGCCAGCTTTTTGTATGTTTTTTTCCAGTCTTCTTTTCCGTGTATGTGTATTTTCTACATAATTGATTTCAACCTCTATTTATGGGAACCTTTTAGATCCCATTTAATATTAGATTAAATTATATGAAATTGCTGTTTTCATTGGTCAGAAAAGGGTCAATATTGGCAATTTGATGATCAAATTGCAAAAGCATCTTCTAAAATCAGAGTATTCTTTTTGTTTTGAGACAGAGTCTCGCTCTGTCGCCCAGGCTAGAGTGCAGTGGCACCATCTTGGCTCACTGCAACCTCCACCACCCTGGTTCAAGCAATTCCCCTGTCTTAGCCTCCCAAGTAGCTGGGATTACAGGCGCACGCCACCTATGCCCAGCTAATTTTTTTGTATTTTTAGTAGAGACAGGGTTTCACCATGTTGGCCAGACTGGTCTCGAACTCCTGACCTCAGGCAATCTGCCCACCTCAGCCTCCCAAAGTGCTGGGATTACAGGCATGAGCCACCGTGCCCGGCACCCCCGCCCAGAGTATTCTTTTCAAACATCATATATATTGGCTGCATATTTTTTTTTCCATGAGGCTACATGCAGTTACATAGCGTTTTTTGAACCACATAATAGATACTTATAAATAAATAACATCCATAATTATATATAAATAGCTATAACTCGTGTTATGATAAAGCATCGTCTTTCTTTGCCTTCATAAATGGAATATTCATTTAAAAATAACTTTCATGAGTATTTTATAACAAAGCTTGAAAAAAAGAGAAGAAAGATCGGTGAAATCATTATTCCGAAATAAAATCTTTGATGCATGTCTTTCCGGTCTTTGTTTTCTACATTTATGTGTGTCTGAAAGCCTGCATTTGTTCACTAAAAACATGTGGTGCACATTAAATAGAATCCTATGAATCTGATTATGTTTATTCCCAATGACCGTGGGGGATCTTTTCAAAAAGGACTACTCAGAGCGTTGTCGGTCCATGGACCAGTGCCATCCCCAGGGTTTCTCACTGTGTGCACGAAGACGCGCTCAGAAACGAAGGACAAGCTTTCAGCAGCTTTTATAGTAACCGGACATGGCATGGCACCTAAGCAAGTCAATCTTTTATTTTTAATGCTTCTTTTTTTGTTTTATTTTACAAAATTAGCACCCTGCAGTAGACTGGGCATACAAAGGCCTTTCTCCACAGCTGGTTTGAGAAGCACTGCTGTGGAACGTGACCATCATACCTGGCCACTGCAAAGGGACAGGCGCTGGCTCCTAGGTCCTCACCGCATGTGTCATGCTGGGCTCTGAAAATCCCTGTGTCTGCTTTCTTGTGGTATTTTTTTCTTTTTCTGTCCCTTCTTGCTGCTCCCAGTGAGCCTGTCTCTAGCGTTACCATTTTCTCCCTTTTCTCTTCTGTCCTTTTCTTTTTCCCTTGACCTTTTTCTTTTTATTTCTCACTTTTTTCCCTTGTTGTCTCTGGATTGGCAAGGTGGAGAGAGAATTAGCAATCCCCATGACCATGCTTGTTAAGATGAGTTGGGAAGCATGTGTGCATGGGACCTGAGCTGGGGTCTCAGAGTGTGCCTGTCTAAAACAAATGAGCTTTCTACCCAGCTGTTGTGACATGTCTTCCCATAGCTTGAGAACAAGTCTGTTTCATACTTTAGTAGATACGGGTTGCATTTTAGATCTGAAGTTGGCCAGCTCTGAATAAGTTAAATGTTTTAAAGCTACATATGATGCTTTTAGTATTATCTGCGCTTCGGAACTTTCTGTGTCTCTGCCATCTGCTCTTGACCTAGAATCGAGAGCAGAGTCTGATCAGACCTGGGCATATTCATCTGGGGACTTGGGCACTACCTGATCTTTTTTTTTCAAAAGGAGAAAAAACCCAGAGAAAGCAGCTACACACTGGTGATGTCCTGTTGCCAGTGAACAGGAGCAAGTGGCAGTAAGCTCTGGAGTGATTCCTCAGGCCCCATCAACCTAATGTCCCCTGGGCTACATGTACAAGTCCGGAGCTGGGAATAAAGTGAACCGTGATGACGAAATAACTGGCTTTAGTTAAATAATTTGCTGTTTACCGCTTCTCTGTTTATGAATCAGTTAAAAGCCCTTTTAAGTGAAATTGGATAGACTACAAAGTGTTGGTTTCATGTGTTTTATTTGCAGTTTAATCAGCGTGATCCAGCTGCTGGAGTGGGGAGAGTGGAGCCGGGGTTTTAATTATCCCTGCTTTGCCCGAGTTAGGAATTCCCAATGGTGCCGTCTGCGCGAAGATGCCAAAAACCGCATTGTTCTTTAATTAGCTGTTGTAATTGTTTTAGTCTAATCTCCGTGATTAGCAGCAGCATTAAATACAGCAGGAAGAATAGGCCTGTCCTCTACGTACTGCCCCAGTAAACAGAGCCTTTCTCCCTTCTGGAGAGGGATATCATAGAAAATCAATTAGAACTCAACCAGTGTTGATTGGAAAATGATAAAGACCAGCCACCATGAAGCAGAGATGGCTTTGAGGAGTTGGTTTATGGCCTCCATGGCCAGCTTGCCTGGAGAGCTCTGCAGCCCTGACCTGCCATGGAGGTATTTGGCTAGGACCTGCCAGATGGCCCTGTCCCTCTCTGGGGATGAGGAAATGGACCGGATTGGCACCAGCTGCTGTTTTGCCTTTAGGTTCTCTGTTTCATGCATTCAGCCACAAGCTTTCATCAAGCACCCCCTTTGTGCCAAACATCATGCCAGGGGCCTGGAGATACAGCACTGCACAAGGCAGAGACAGTTCCTGTCTGCATGGAGTCTATAGTCTATAGGAGGAGACTGATGGTCACCAAACACTTGCACAAGTGTTGGGTTCTTTTAAAGTGTGAAATGCTATGAAGGGGAGCTAGGAGAGAGTTTAACGGAGATAACTCATCTGGTCAGTGAGTTGGCAGGGCTAGGAGGGTGTCCTAGACAATGGAAGTATAAACTGAGATCCAATGAGTAAAAAAGAGTTAGCAGGGCAAAGAGGCCAGAGTGAAGACATATACATCATCAGGAGCAGCATGTGCAGAGGTCCTGAGGCAGGCTGGAATTCGATCCTTTCTGCTCATTGCTCTATTAGAGGCAGGAGAGTATGGTGGGAGTGAGCCAGATTCTGGATCTAAACCCCTTGTTAAAACCCTATCTCAGCTGCATGAAATTCTTCAAAGGACACTGCAGCACTCTGTCTCAGCGTCCCAGGATGTAAAATGGAGATGATGATGATGACGATGATGATTATATTATCTAGTTCATGGGAATGAATTAAGTTTCTACTTGTCGGGTCTTCAGAGCACTGCCTGGTAGGTACTGTGAGGCTTAGGAGGTGTGAGCTGGCATCATTAATCTGTTGGGGTAGCCTTCTCTTTGAAGTTTAACAGAATAGGCTAAAATCTAAATCTGTCATGTACAAGTCTTGTGACTTTGGCCTAGTTACCTAACCTTGCTGTCCCCGCTGTCTTATGCATGAAGCGAAAACACAGTCAAAGAACTCAGAGTTGCCATGTGAGTTAAGTAAGATAACTCAGGGGTTCCGTTCTGTTGTAAGCCATTGTTTGGTGCTCAGAAAGTAGTGGCTATTGTCATTATTCGTGAAACATCTGCTTGGTATGTGTTTGGTGTTGAAACTCAGTGATGATAAGTTCCCTTCACTACTTCTTCTTTCCTTCCCATTGTTAGCAAGGCTGCGCTGTCCTCCCCAAGTTCACAGAAAAGATAGCTCCGCAGCAGGGTTTGCCAACCTTGCCACCATACCATTTGGGGCTGGATAAGTCATTTTTTGTGTGCAGGGGTTCCCAGGTACTGTAGGATGTTTAGAAGCATCTCTGGTCTCTACCGAGTAGATTCCAATAGCACCCCATCCCTGGAACCACAATGTCTATGGACATTGCCATATGTCCCCTACAGGGCAAAATTGCCCCCGATTGAGAACCACTGCTCTAAGGAGAACAGAACAGATAGCTGGGTGTGGTGGCTCATGCCTGTAATCCCAGCACTTCGGGAGTCTGACACGGGGAGATCACTTGAGGTCAGGAGTTCGAGACCAGCCTGCCCAACATGGTGAAACCCCATCTCTACTAAAAATACAAAAAGTAGCAGAGCGTGGTGGTGCATTCCTGTAATCCCAGCTACTTGAGAGGCTGAGGCAGGAGAATTGCTTGAACCAAAGAAGTCAAGGCTGCAGTGAACTGAGGTCATGCCACTGCACTCCAGCCTGGATGACAAAGTGAGACTGCCTCAAAAAAAAAAAAAAAAAAAAAAAAAAAAAAAAAAAGGCTAGTTAGTACTTTGGGAACTGTCCAATGTGGGCTATTACAGTAAAAATAGTAAAGTTTGTTGGGGAGGGCAGTGTGCAGTGGGCAGTTGTGAGATCCTTTGAGCATGAGGCGTTTATAGTGGTTTTCAATTTCAGATTCATGTTGGAATCACCCGGGGAGAGTAAAAAGCAGATGTACAGCCTGCCCCACTGGAGTCTGATGTTGTGGGTATGGATACAACTCCAGGGTAATTCGTAGCTCTCTAGGTGATTCCAATGGGCCTCAGAGTTGAGGAGCACTTTGTAGATGAGGAGCTAACCTACCTGTGTGAAAAAAAGGTACTCAGGGAAACCTGCATGGAATGGTAGGGACAGGGCTCCACCTACCCTAGATGACATTTATTCACATACAAGGCATAAAAAGTGCTAAGTGCCTTACGTATATTTTACCGAAGTCCTTTATGTATGTTAACTCATGCAGTGCCAAAAACAATTCTATGAGTCAGGAACTATTATCATTAACCTCATTTCCGTGGTAAGAAAACCTAGGCACAGAGTGGTTAAGAAACTTTTCCAAGGTCGGCCAGATGCGGTGGCTCATACCTGTAATCCCAGCACTTTGGGAGGGCAAGGTGGGCAGATCACGAGGTCAGGAGTTCAAGACCATCCTGGCCAACATGGTGAAACCGCGTCTATACTAAAAATACAAAAAAATTAGCTGGGTGTGGTGGTGGGGGCCTGTAGTCCTAGCTACTTGGGAGGCTGAGGCAGGAGAATCGCTTGAACCCAGGAGGCGGAGGTTGCAGTGAGCCGATATCGCACCACTGCACTGCAGCCTGGTGACAGAGCAAGACTCAGTCTCAAAAAAAAAAAAAAAAGAAACTTTTCCAAGGTCACACAGCTAAGGAAACTCACAACTCATGCCCCATTTCCTCAGGAGGTGGGGCAGAAAGAGGTTTTGGATGTAAGCATTGGGAATGGTGTGTTTGAGGGTCTTCATAGTGGGTTAGATGAAGGCCTTGATGCGATAGATTGGAGGGAATGCCAAACTTTCACCCATCCCCTCATCAAGCCTTTATTGAGCACCTGCTGTGCTTCAGGCACTGTGCTAGGTTTTTGGAAATACACTGCTAATCAAAACAGGCACGGTTCCTTTTTCTGAATGTTTACAACCTCCGTAGTCTGGGGAAGAAAGAGACAGGAAACAAACAATACATATATCACTACAAATGTTGATTAGTGGTAATAAAGAAGTGAAGAAGGAGCTGCTGTCAGATCAAATGGAGTGGGCTATGTTATGTAGGATGGCCAGGGAAGACTGAGGGTTGAATGAGGAGCTAGTCCCAGAAGAGCCAGAAGAAAGGCTGTTCTGGGCAGAAAGAAAAGAGCATGCGAACTGCCTGGCGCTTAGCATGGTTGAAGACTCCAGGAATTCCAGTGGGGAGGGGAGCTGAGAAAAGGGGATGGGAGAAGGTGGAGAGGTACGAAGGGGCCAGATGACATAGGCCATTATTTCCATTCAGTGGGGAAACTAAGGCCCAGAAATGGGGTGAGGGGTGCCTCAAATGTCAGAGCTGGAATTCAAATTCAGGCTTGGTATCTTGATATGAGATGTTCCTGGGCGGGGTGTGGGGGCTCACGCCTGTAATCCCAGCACTTTGGGAGGCCGACATGGGAGGATCACTTGAGGCCAGGAGTTCAAGACCAGCCTGGCCAATATGGTGAAACTGACTGTACTAAAAATACAAAAACTAGCTGGGCGTGGTGGTGCTTGCCTGTAATCCTACCTATTTGGGAGGCTGAGTCATGAGAATCGCTTGAATCCGGGAGGCAGAGGTTGCAGTGAGCCACGATTGCGCCACTGCACTCCAGCCTGGGTGACACAGATTTAGTTTCCAAAAAAAAAAAAAATTCCTGAATGGTCTCTGTTTCACACTCTCTGACCCATTCTTTGATCAGCCTATGTGTTCTGATGCGGAATTTGGGAAATAGAATAAAGACAGGACCCTTCCTGTCATGCTCTTAGAATCTCTCAGGCAAGGTACTGTGCTGCACCTTGAACATGGTAGGCATTGAACAAATGTTTCAAGATCATTTATTATAAGTTCCAGGCATTCTGATAGATTTTTTTTCATGTATTTCTTTCTGTGGCCTTGAAAGTAAGCCCTTCCCAATAAATGCACAGTCATTGCCTCCATTTTACGTACTTGAAAACTGAGGCTTAAAAAGTGGAGGTAGCTCATTCAAGTTCACCCAGCAAGAGAATAAGGAGAGGCCAGGCATGGTGGCTCATGCTTGTAATCCCAGCACTTTGGAAGGCGTAGGCGGGCAGATCACCTGAGGTTAGGAGTTTGAGACCAGCCAGGCCAACATGGTGAAACCCTGTCTCTACTAAAAATACAAAAATTACCCCGGCATGGTGGCACATGCCTGTAATCCCAGCTACTCGAGAGGATGAGGCAGGAGAATCGCTTGAACCCAGGAAGCAGAGGTTGCAGGGAGCTGAGATCGTGCCACTGCCCTTCAGCCTGGGCGAGAGTTAGACTCATCTGAAGAAAAAAAAAAAAAAAGAGTAAGCAGATCCCAGGATGGAACCACATGGAGTTCTTGTCATCATAATCCTTGCTTTTCCCACTATAGTTTTCTGGTTTTTCTCTGCATCGTCTTGAGTGTCTGGAAGTTCATTATATACATCTGTAGACTCAGTTAACAAATTCATGGAACCAGGTTCTGAATTCCAGTAGTGCTTCGGATCTGCATAACTGACCCCAGGATTGCATGACGTTGCATTTTGCTAAAGCACAAACATCATCTTTGCATGCGGGAAACAGGCCTTTAGCTGGTTGGAGAACCAAGCCAGGACCTTCTACCCTGCAGGAGGAAAGGAGGAAGGATTCATTGGTGTGGGAGCCTTGGTAATACTTAGGAAGTGATTTACAAAACAAAACACAATCTTGGCCTTGTGATGAAATGTACTCCTCCCCCGAAAAGCCATGTGCTGGTGTTGACTTTGGAAGTCTAGCTGTTTGAACAGGAGCTGCTGATTCAGCAGAGTGTCCTGTGATGAGGCTGTGTAGCTCAGTGGTTAAGAGCCCCGGCTTTGGAGTGAGATCAAGTAAACCCAGGGTCCAGTTCCCATTCTCTCTTTCATTTCTTCCTTGAGTATTTATTCAGCATCCGCTATGTGTTGGTATCACGTCAGGCATTAGATATACTGGGAATCTGGAAATCTGAAAATCCAAGGTCTCAGCTTCACCGACCTTAGCAAGAAGACACAGATGATAAACACATAAGGAAATACATAAGAACGCTTCAAACAAGTGAAAAGGTGCTGTGATAATGGTTAAACAGGGTGACAAGACGGGTAATGACTGGTGTGGGGTAGGTAATTAACTGATCCCAGCATTGAGCAATGGGAATAAACTAGACAGATATTCAAGGATGCAGGGAAAAGCATTCCAGGCAGAGGAATAGTGTGTGCAAATGCCCTGAGGCAGGAATGAGCTCGCCGTGGTGGCTGAAACATATTGATGAGTGAGAGGAAGAGAGGGGACATTACAGAGGTGGGCAGTAGCTAGATCCTGTAGGACATCATAGGCTATGATAAGGAGCTTGGATTTTATTCTGATTACAAAAGGAAACATGATTTAACATGTGAGGGTAAAGAGATACTGCATACCATAAATACTAGCTCCTGATGCCTTTTTTTTTTTTTTTTTTTTTTTTTTTTTGAGACAGCGTCTCCCACCGTGGCCCAGGCTGGAGTGCAGTGGTGCAATTATGGCTCACCGCAAACTCGATCTCCTGGGCTCAAGCCATCCTCCCACCTCAGCCTCCCAGGTACCTGGGACAGACACATGCTACCATACCCAGCTAAGTTTTGTATTTTGTGTAGTGATGAGTTACTACTCTGTTACCCAGGCTGGTCTTGAACTCCTGGGCTCAAACCACCCTCCCGCCTAGGCCTCCCAAAGTGCTGAGATGACAGGCATGAGCCACTGTGCCTCATCTGATGCCATTATTTATTGTGGTTAATTTTAATTTGGGCATTCATTTACCAGTCTTCCAGGGCATCCGTCAAGAATGTCAAAGGTTGCCTCACCTCTCTAATTGTAAATGACCCAAAGAGAAGTTACAGTCAAGGAACCATGAAGAAATGGCAGGAGGCAAACACCTAGATGGGGAAACAGATCACAGTTTATTGCTGCAACATTGAGAGCTCCATAAAATCTGCCTGGGGGCCGGGCACGGTGGCTCACGCCTGTAATCCCAGCACTTTGGGAGGCCGAGGCGGGCGGATCACGAGGTCAGGAGATCGAGACCATCCTGGCTAACACGGTGAAACTCCGTCTCTACTAAAAATACAAAAAATTAGCCGGGCGAGGTGGCGGGCGCCTGTAGTCCCAGCTACTCGGGAGGCTGAGGCAGGATAATGGCGTGAACCCCAGGTGACGGAGCCTGCAGTGAGCCGAGATTGCGCCACTGCACTCCAGCCTGGGCGACAGAGCGAGACTCCGTCTCAAAAAAAAAAAAAAAATCTGCCTGTGGTTTCAAAGTGAGCTCTTTCAGGTAACAGGGTCTGTGTAAAATTAGCTTTACCACCAAATCCTGCTGTCTGAGCCAGCCAAGCAGAAGTAAAACAGAGCCTCAAGAGCAGGGATCCTGGCTGGGTGCTGTGGCTCACGCCTGTAATCCCAGCACTTTGGGAGGCTGAGGCAGGAGGATCACTTGAGGCCAGGAGTTCAAGACCAACCTGGACAACATAGTGAAACCTTGTCTCTACAAAAGTTAACAAAATCATCCAGGCATGGTGGCACGTGCCTGTAGTCCCAACTACTTGGGAGGCTGAGGTGGGAGAATCACTTGAGCCCAGGAGGTAGAGGCTGCAGTGAGCAGAGATCACACCACAGCACTCCAGCCGGGGCGACAGAGAGAGACTGTCTCAAAAATAAATAAATAAATAAATAAAAAGCAGGGGGTCCTAACTCTTGTTTCATCTCTCTGAATTCCCCAAATCTGCATGGAGGGGGAGGCATGGTGGTTTTTCTCCCCATCTCCACTGTTGGGCGAAACTCTGTAAATACATGCTGCCAATAACCTACAGTCCCCAGGGCTCCGATGACATGTGTAAATATCTCTTCTCCATGTGGTGTTCAAAGACTGAGTCAATAAGCTTAATTTCCTGTGGATTCCACTGTTTGGTTCCACAGCCTAGAAAATTGATCAGATAAAAGCTGTGCGCTTCGGGGAGAATAGTTTGTGTTGTGAGTGGTGAAAGGTGGAGGCAGTGTGGCCAACCAGGTGGGGGCTATTTCCTAGTGCCCCTTTGCTGTTGTACTCTGTTGGGATCTGACCCAGGTGCGGCTGCAATTTCCTAAGCTTCTCCTGGCGTCTTCTAGGGACTTTACAGATCATCTTCATGTTCTCGTTGGCCCTTTGTCAAAGCGCTAAGATCTTGGTTTAATGCAGTGGTAAGGACCTCCTACCAGGGACTTGCCGAGGCATGATCAGGGCAAGGTCATCTAATTTGAGTTCAGAGAAACTGGGTATAGGGTCAAAGGGCCTAGCCTTGGAGTCAGACTTGAGATCTACCACCAGGTGACCTTGGGCAAGTTGCCTGAGCCTCTCTGAGCTTCCGTTTTCTAACCTGAAGCTAATTCTGTGTCTGCCTCATGGGGTCCATTTGTTCGCCATAATTTATTAAGCACCTACTTTGTGCCAAGTCTTATGCTATGGGGCTGGAGGAAATGCAATGGGAATAGACTTATCTTTGACTTCCTAGAATAATAGACATCCTGGTAGAGAGACGGGACAAAACCAACAACCAACACATAGGTACAGTGTTACAATAACGATCTGCTGTGACTAGTGCTGAGATAGAAGCAGAAGATTCTAGAATTGAGAGTTAGGGGAGCGAGAATTCTCTACTTGTGATAGGGGTTTGGGAAATGGCTCTCCAGGAAACTGACATTTCAGCTGAGATGCAAAGGATGAGGCTGGGGAGAAGAACATGCCAGTAGGGGGAAGAACATGTGCAAATGCACAAGGTGACAAAGAGCATCCACAAGGCAGGAGATAGATGGAGACCAGGGTAGCTGGAGGGAGGGAAAGAGAAATGAGTTTGGGTTGAATGGAGAGGCAGGTTCAGGACATGCTGAGCTTTGTAAGTCAGTCCTAGGAAGGAGAATGGATTTTCTCCTAAGGACTTGCCTGGCTTTTTTCTGTAGTCTCTAAATCTTCCTCCCTCCTTCTGCCTTTTCCCCAGGTGGGCCATCCCCAGCATAGCTCCCAGAGCTGCTCTTTTAAATCATGAGTCAGATGAAGTCTTGACTCTGCGAATAACCCGCCACGTGGCTCCTCATGCCTCTTTCAGTATAAGCCAAGGCCTGACCTTGGCCCACCAGGCTGCATTTGACCTGGGTACCTCTCACCTCTCTACTTTATCACCTCCGCCACCTACACACCTGCCTGACAAACTCGTACCAGGACTGAACTTTTCTCTTTTTCTTTGGCTAAGCTTCTAGCTGTCAAGTTGTATATGAGTTATATAATACAAAGCATCCCTTTTTGCTTTGGCCACCAGGGAGCTCAGAGCCTCATCTAATGTTAATCATAATTATTCTGTTAGCTTTGGTTTGTCAAGTTTCTCCTCTATCACTTTGATTATTGATTTTTCTCTCACTAGTGTAGTGGTTTTCTTGTTTCTGTGTCTTTCATCACAGGCCTTTCTTTCCTGGAATGGGAGGGGATAGATAATAATTTGGTTTCGCATGTTGCTCTCAGCTGATTGTGCATACATTTTCACCCAGTATGCGTTCTCTTGGATAGCAGATGGATGGATGGCTGCCATTCATGGAGGAGCAATTGGTGGGAGTCAGAGAGGTACTTCTCATGCTCCAAGGGAAGCCTGTAGTGCATATTCTAGGACCTGGAATCTAGTGGTTTCTAGAGGGCTCTAAAAAAATGACTGACTCGGCAACGTGCAGCGGGGTGGGCTGACTAAGCACTTTTCCTCCCTCTCTGCAGCACCCCAAGGGTGCTGTTTTGTGGGTGATGAGTGGGCCTGGGGAGGCTCCTGAAGTCAGGGCCCACCAGGTTCCCTGCTGGGGAGCCAGTGACGTGTTAACTTAAGGGCCACACACAAGGGGCCTGTTGCTTCTAATCTTTCTCTAGGATCTCCTGATCTTGAGATTTTGGAGCTCCTGAAATGATTTCTGGACAAGAGTCGACTTTAGAATTCAAAGCTAGTAACTAGTGAGTCGACAAGTTTGGTTTGGCCTGCAGAGTGTCTTAAAACAATTGAGTTCTAATGTTCTTTTGGCTGGACAGACCCTCTCCAGTGTCCTGACCCTCCCAGGGTGGATTGATTTATCACTGATGACCTTGACACATGGCTGAGGCCTGGCCTGTCTGAGGCAACTGCATTTTGAATCTCTGGACAGAATAGAAATAAAAGCCCCTTAATTATATCCCCTTATTCCCATTCTCCCTGTAGGTTCATAGTTTGGGCTGGATCCTTCCAGCCTAATCCACACTTTTCAGCTGAGGATACTGAGTCTTGGAGAGGTTAACAGATGAGGCTGTTTCTTGGGTCCTAACCACAGTCGCTCCATGTCTGGGCAGAACCACTCCCAATGCTATCATGGATTCCTATGAACTTTTTTTTTTTTTTAATGGTTTGGATGTTTTCCCCTCTAATGAAAGGAAACCTTTTCTTGCCTAAGTTACACAGACAGCATTATAGCAGCATCAATGCTGTTGAAGGAAAGAATTCACCCACAGTCCCACGGATCTGGCTAGAAACCAAGCTGTGTGCATGGGTCTAAGCAGTCCCTGTCCACATGCATAGATCATCTCCACATATTTCTAAGCACAGGGAACATTCCCTTCCAAGGAGCCCAACACTCCATAAAAGTCAGCAGGAAAGGGGGGCCTTGTCTGGTAGGTCGCTGGCTGCCAAGGCTGGCTTGTGTGGGAGGCCTTTTTTGGTGGTGTTACAGCTTTACTGGATGTCCTGTCTGTCCCCTTCTCTCTCCCTCCTCCAGCCCCAGCAGCCAGGGGCCTGGAGGTTGGCGGAGGGCTGAGCAGCCCAGCTTCCTGCTTCCTGGCCTCACAAGCAGGCCTCTGTGAAGTTGCCAGGGCTCCAGGGGCAGGGGCTGAGGCTCAGAACTGCAGATTTTTGTCTAGTTCTGGTGTTGGCAGGCAGCCCAGGCCAGTCCCGAGAACATCACCAGACCAGAAACCTGAGAGCAGATGAGGCAGACAGGCACACCTTTGAGCTGGGATAGAGACTATCCAGGAGCCAACAAGGCTGGGGATCTGTGGCCATGGCCCTGGGCGGACATGCCCTCTCTCCCAGCTTCCCTGCTCAGCCCCGGCCAGGGGGAGCTTTTCCAAGAGGATCCGGTTCTTTGGGATGGGTCTGGAACCTACATTTGACACCTAGAAGTCCTTTTCAAATATGAGTACCCTCAGAAACATCTCTGATCCATGAGCGAGTTTGCACTAGTTACCAGAACTTGCCGGAGAAGTAACACTGCATAGTAGCTTAGAGCTAGATTCCCTGAATTCGAGCTCCTTGGACAAGTCACTTTATTCTGTCTTTATTCTGTCTGTGCTTCAGTTTTCCCATCTGCAAAATGGGATAATAGGATTGCTGTGAAGATTAAACAGTAAATAGAATCACGGATACACACATGAGTATGTTGAAAATGGGTGAAAACAAAAACAAAATCTGCAGTCCCGTTAACAGTATTGTACTGATGTGAATTGCCTGGTTTTAATATTGCACTGCAGTTACATAAGATGTCACCATTGGGGGAAGCTGGGTGAGGGAGTGCAGAACTCTGCTATCTTGGCAACCTCCTGTGAGTCTATAATTATTATTTTTTTAAGTTAGAAAGAAAAACATGTTAATGCGGGTAAGGCCCTGAGACAAGACCCCATACATGGTAAGCGCTACAGGAATGCCAGCCCTGATGATCATGAGGATTTCAGGGATGTTTCATTGAGTCCTTCACAGTACTATGCCAGCAGGGATCTTACAGGTAACAGGAGGCAGAACTTCTGTGATCTCCAGGCCCTACCCTTCCCCTGGATCTCCCTCCTACCTGGCCTGAGCTCTGGGCACAGCAGATGAGTCACCCCCTGGGCGTGCCTGGCTTCACGCCTGCTTCATTTGGCTTGGGCAGTGCTGTGTGTCTAGAACGCCCCTCTTCCTCTTGTCTGTCGGCAAGCTCTTTTTCATCCTCCAGCTCACACCTTGACTCTTCTAGAAGGCCTTTCTGGGCCTCAGACCTCTGCTTAAACCCCCATTGATATGGTTTGGTTGTGTCCCCACCCAAATCTCATCTTGAATTGTAGCTCCTATAATTCCCTCCCTCCATGGAGGGACCCAGTGGGAGATAACTGAATCATCGGGGCAGTTTCCCCTATATTGTTCTCATTGTAGTGAATAAGTCTCATGAGATCTGATGGTTTTATAAGGGGAAACCCCTTTTGCTTGGCTCTCATTTTCCTTTTGCCTGCTGCCATGTAAGACGTGCCTTTTGCCTTCCACCATGATTGTGCGGCCTCCCCAGCCACTTGGAACTGTGAGTTCATTAAACTTATTTTTCTTAATAAATTACCCAGTCTCGGGCATGCCTTTATCAGCAGTGTGAAAACAGACTAATACACACAAGGGGGAAAGGAAACTTTTTACTGCCTAAGTTGCACAAACAGCATGAAATCAGCATCAACGTTGTTGAAGAAGGAAGGAATTCACCCACAGTCCCATGGATCTGGCTGGAAACTAAGCTGTGTGCCTGGGTCTGAGCAGTAGGGCAGCTGTTCTCGAAGCGTGGTCCTGAACCAACAGCAGCTGCATCACATGGGAAATGGAAAGAAACGCACCTTCACCTGCCACCCCCAGACTCTTGGAATCACATACTGGGGGTGAAGGCAGGGCTCTAGCAATCTGTAGTTTAACAAATCTTCCAGATGATTCTGATGAGCAGGCTACTGAAGCCCATGAGCAGCCCACGAGGCTGCTCACATGAACCAGAGGACCTAGTTAAGATGCAGGTTCTAATTCAGCCCATCTGAGGTGGGGCCTGGGAGTCTGCATTTCTAACCAGCTCCTGAGTGCTGATACTGCTGGGCTCCTTGAGGCCAAGGTCCACATCTTCTACTCTGATGTAACCCCTTCTGCTACTGTGACAATAAGAGCTTGGTGACTTGCTGTTACAATTTAAACACCGGGTAAATTTGCAGCAGGTGATTATCCTGGGCTGAAGGCAAGGAAGGGAGCCCCATCTTCATCAAGTTTGGGGCTGGAAACAAGATGCGTGTGAGCTGGAAAGGAGGCAGAAGGAAGTTCACCTTTTTCTCCGTGCTCTGACACCATGCTGTGTTTTATTCTAATGGTGTCTGGGAATGGAGCTGTGGGACATGACCCCTGAAAGAAACCCTCTTTGTCTACACTCGGAACAAAGCTCTCTCTTCCTTCTCTCCTTTATTATTATTATTTTTGAGATGGAGTCTTGCTCTGTCATCCAGGCTAGAGTGCAGTGGCACGATCTCGGCTCACTGCAACCTCTGCCTCCTAGGTTCAAGTGATTCTCCTGCCTCAGCCTCCCTAGTAGCTAGGATTTCAGGTGTGTGCCACCACGCCTGGCTAATTTTTGTATTTTTAGTAGAGATGGGGTTTCGCCATGTTAGCCAGGCTGGTCTTGAACTCATGACCTCATGATCCACCTGCCCTGGCCTCCCAAAGTGCTGAGATTACAGGCATGAGCCACTGCGCCGGGCCTGCCTTTTCCCCATTTATGCACTTACTTATTCCACAGATGTTTACTGACCCTGAGTAGGAGGAGGGCACATTATTGAGCAGAAGATGCAATTCCTGCTCTCAGGCCACATCACTATCTGGTGGGGACAGATGCCAGTCACTGAGTGGGACTGTGATAAGTGAAATGGGATTAAATTCCCAGTGTACGGAGACTGTATGACTGTGAGTCTTGACCCAAAGGGAACAGGAGCCTTTCCCCGGGGAAGTGACATTTAAGCTGAAAGGAAGAAGTGTAAATGGAATGAAGATTAATTTAGCAAGAGGAAGTGGCATGTGCAAAGGTCCTGGTGTGAGTGAAAACCTGGTAATGGCTAAAGATACTGCCCAGAAGCAAGAGGGGAAAAGTAGGGCTGGAGGGAAGTGAATGAACCCAAGGGAGACTGAGGAATCAGGAAAGGATTTTAGCTGGGGAGGAAAAGGAAGGTGTTCAAGAAGTGTGCGGGCATTTTGTTGCAGCTCATTCCTGAAATCAGGTCCCAGAAGTTTCAATCTGATCCCATCTTTACAGGGATGATGTGTTCCCACTCCCAGCCTCCAAATTGAGCTGCCTTTGAGCACACACGGCATCTCTTCCCTGCCACCCCTGGCCCCTGGGGCCCCTACCCCCGTGACCTATGCATTTTATTTCACTCCCCACATAGCCTTTCTCACCATCCACCAAAAGGTTAAGTTCACAAGCAAGAAGCATGATTTTTCCACCACTAAGCCCAGAACCACAAGCACACATCTTAACCCTGTTAATCTTCTTGACTGCAATGGCTCATTCGCAAAATAAAGGCATTAAACCATTTGGGACAAGAAGTGCTTCCAAAGAATCCCTTTGAAGGCAGAGGAATGAGATGCAGGTTCAGGGTTGTGGATGTTTAAGGCCATATCCACGTGAAATCTGCAGCGCTGGAAAAATAGGTTCTTGGAAAATTTCCCCTCTTAACAAGGCACAGCACAGACAGTACACTCTAGGAACACCCTCCTGTTTCAGAGAAACCAAGCTGATGCATGTCCATGAAGAGCCTCCCTCCCACCCGTTCATTATGGCTGAAGCAGCCCAGGCAAGCCAGAGGGCTTGCCCTACCCAGGTATGGGGTGGTCAGCGTTGATCCCTCTCCCCTCCATCCCTGCCTTCTTTCAACAAGTATTTGCTGAGTGAGGACCCACGGTGTGTCAGACACTATTTTAGACTAGCAACTCTCAACTGGGGGTAATTAGGCCTCCCCAAGGGACATTTGGCAATGTCCAGAGACATTTTTTTAGTTGTTACAACTACGGGGGACGGATGCTACTGGCATCTAGTGGGTAGAGCCAAGGATGCTGCTCAACATCCTACACTGCATAGGACAGCACTCACCCAAGACGGAATGATCCAGCCCAAAATGTCAGCAGTGTCAAGGTTGAGAAACTGTGTTGTAGACCCTTGCGTGTCTCTGAGCCGCCTTTCCACCTCTCCTACTTTGCATTAGGCGCATATCTTTCTAGCTCTCTCTGATTGCTAGGCTCTGGGCTAGACGTTTGTTTTTCCTTGAACCTTTTTTTTTTATTTTTATTTTTTGCTTTTGCTCACGTTTACGTTCCTCTTTTGATCTTTTGTCTCCATCAACCAAGATGTATACAGTATCCGCTATTTTGCGCCAGACACTGCGCTAAATGCTCTTTGTATTTTACTTCTAATCCTCATGACAATTAGAGGAGATAGATGTTATTTTCCTTGCAGAAAATAATAAATTTCATTTATTGGGCATCTACCATGTGTCAGGTACTGGGAAACCTATTGATTTCTAATCTTCATAGCAACTCTGACTAAATTAGGTTTTCTAATCCCATTTACCCTGAAACTGGGTCTTGGAGAAGAGTAGGGTATTGTTCAAGTTCACATGCCAAGGAAGTTCTAAAGAAGCTAGGGATTGTGGTGGTCTTTGGGTAGGAAAGCAAGTGTGGACCGAACCAGCTTGCAAGGGTGCAAATACAGTTTCCGTCTTTGAACCCAAACCACCCTAGAGAAAGGAAGAGAGAAGTGACCGTTCTTTGTAGATAGAGCTGTATCTTCACCTTACAGGGAGCTGGGTGAGGAGAGGAAAGGTTCTAAGGAGAAGGGAAGTAATCTCTTCATTCAGGGCCTGTCCTGTGCCTGGTGTTGGACTCTGTCCTTATTTAATCATCTCAGCACTTCTCCAAGTAACTTTTAAAGCAGGCTTAGTCAACTTGGACATGCTTTTGAGGCCCAAAGGGAGAAATCAGTTCCCTAAGAGCTGCTAACTTAAGTGGCAGGGTCCAGGGTGGAGCTCAGGTCTCCTGGTCTCTCACCCAACAGAAAGCTTACTGGCACCATCTTGGGAGGTTGGGGTTGTGGGATGTGTCTACAGGAACTGGACATACTTTTCAATTCTCCGTGCCCCTTTGCCATGTTACGAAGCCTTCAAGCTCTCTCACTCTGCTTTGGTTCATTGTAGATCTTGAGAAATGCCAACTGACTGACTGATGGACACACTGAGGGTATATCCCACCACCAGCATACACTGCAGATCATGGAGAGTGGGGAATGGATCTGCAGTCCATAGAATACCCAATAGCAAGTCTCTCTGACTATTTTTGAGACTCTTTATTTTAGAGACTTCCAGGCATCAGTCCCTCTGCAGACCCCAGCAGAGGAAGGTGGTGCACCTTTAACCCTTCACTGCCCTCTCCTTAGAGGCTGTGCTTACCCCTGCTGGGTTTTCTCTCCATGAGCAATTGCCCAGTTGAATTCCATTTATAGACTCTGCCTCCTGGGGTGCAGGAAGGCCCTGGGTATGGAAGCATTCCAAGCCCCGATCAATCCCTTCTTTTATTCAGGGGCAAAGTTACAAATGGGCCAGAGTCATTGGAAAGATTTTCCAGCTCACTGTGCAGAGAAGCCCTCTTATGAAAGATGTATTGATGAATCCCCTTGTACCAGGATGTTACTGGCCTCTTCAAGGCAGGAAATAAGTATCTGCTGGCTCTCTCTCTGCCATAAAAACTCTCTTTCAGATCAGATTTCCTCTGCACCCAAGCACATTTGATTTAAATCATTTCACTGCAAAATATAAATAAAATAGAGATGACTCCTGTAATGAAAAAGAGAAACACCTCAGTAATACAGTTTTGACTTCCAGAAAATAAGGCATTAAAACTGCAGACTCGGCCAGGCATGGTGGCTCATGCCTATAATCCCAACATTTTGGGAGGCCGAAGCGGGCCGATCACGAGGTCAGGAGTTCGAGACCAGCCTGACCAGCATGGTGAAACCTCATCTCTACTAAAATGTAAAAATTACTGGGCGTGGTGGTCTACACCTATAATCCCAGCTACTCAGGAGGCTGAGGCAGGAGAATTGCTTGAACCCGGGAGGCGGAGGTTACAGTGACCTGAGATAATGTCATTGCACTCTAGCCTGGGCAGTAGAGTGAGACTCCGTCTCAACAACAACAACAACAACAACAAAAACCCCACAAAACTGCAGGCTCATATAACTACCAGATTCTCAGGTCCATTTATTTCAGGTAGCACAAGTGAGTAACCGCCAGTACGTGCACCTCTACAGAGACTACACTCCCAAGTTCAGGCTTCAGCTCTGACTCACTCTAGCTGTGTGACCTTGGGCAAGTCACCCTGCCTCTCTGGGCCTCAGATTCTTCCTCTGCATAGTGAAGGGGCTGGAAGAGATGCCTCTAATACCCTTTTGACTTCATGAATGTAAGGACATTCAAGACTAGGAAACTCAAAATTCCCAAGGGGATATATTTCTAGGAATTTGGATGTTTAATCTTACCAAAGGATTCATGTCCTCATGAATGGGGTACCTTAAAGTTGTGACTTTTCATGTATATAAAAAGATTTTAAGAAATTTATTCATATCCAGTTTTTTGGAAGTCTGTCTGCTGCATAAAGTGAAACACACACGTATAGAGGAATTGTATCTTACTTAGACTTAGAGGGAATATATATATATATATATATCTTTTGTGACAGTCTCACTCTGTCACCCAGGCTGGAGTGCAGTGGTGTGATCTCAGCTCACTGCAGCCCCTGCCTCCTGGGTTCAAGCCATTCTCCTGCCTCAGCCTCCAGAGTAGCTTGGAGTATACACATGCGCGCCGCCTGCCTCGGCCTCCCAGAGCGCTGGGATTACAGGCGTGAGCCACTGTGCCTGGCTGACCTTAAGGCTTCAAAGTCAGTATATAGGGTGAAAATGGTGTGTAGCTCGAATTTTTCTCCTCTCATTTATTATCTGTCTCTTGTTCTCTCTCTCCCAATGTTCTCGCTCCTATTCTCTTGTTCTTTTTCCCTCTCCCAACCGCTTATATTTGCATTCTCCCAATCTGAGTACACACAGACTGTGGCTCCTAAGAGAAGAAAGCACTTGGTAAGTTACCCTGAAATTTCCACATACAGAGGGAGGGTAAAGAGCTTCGGCAGTCCTTTGGCACCCAGAGGCTCTCTGGGTTGGCTTTTTAATCCTGTCTCCTTTTCAGGGGTACCTCCTTCTGTTTGGGTCAGGGAAGGGACATCACAGCAGTTCTCAGCAGGTTCTCAGAGGGTACTGTCCCTTCCTGTCCTTAGCCAGAGGAGTGAGAGGATGAGTCAGACTCAGGTTAGAAGAAAGAAGTGACTGCCCCCACAGGGACTCCCCACCACGGCGGTGTCAGGGGAAGGGGAATCTGAACACAGGACTGACTGTTTCTAACATGTGTGGGCTCTTTTCATGTGGAAATAAAGTTCTCCGGAAGTCAGAGTCTGGGGTTTGCCGGGTCCTTATAGTTACAAATGCTTAGTCGAGCAATACTTCGTCTGTTTAATGCTGTTAAGAAAGAAGGTATTCACGTCTATAATCCCAGCACTTTGGGAGGCGGTGGTGGAGGGATCATGAGGTCAGGAGATCGAGACCACCCTGGCCAACATGGTGAAACCCTGTCTCTACTAAAAATACAAAAGTTAGCTGGGCGTGGTGGTGCATGCCTGTAATCCTAGCTACTCGGGAGGCTGAGGCAGAAGAATCGCTTGAACCCAGGAGGCGGAGGTTTCAGTGAGCCGAGATCGCACCACTGCACTCCAGCCTGGGTGACAGAGTGAGACTCCATCTCAAAAAAAAAAAAAAAAGAAGAAGAAGAAGGTATTCTGTATTATATGTAAATATTAAGAAAACTAAAGCTGCACACACATACACACAAACTCCATTCTGCTGTTCGCTCTTATCCAGAGGACATTTTGTTTTGGAAACTAGATAGGGAAAGTAGTGAGATTAGTTACTGTAGTCTTAGGCTCACATTGGACACATGAACTGGAATCTAAGTTGGAGAATGACTCCCATCCTGTCCTGGGTGGTCAAGACAAGGGGGCATCCTGATTTGGGGAACTGGGATGGCTTTGCAGTCAGCACTTTGCTGAACCTCTGTCGCCTCCTTTGTACAATAGGGAGATGATGCAGGCTCATCATCAGGAGTTAGTGAAATTAAACATGACCCCCGGCCCACAGTGGGCACCCTGCGGCACTGAGTGGTGCTATAAACATGCAAGGACTTCCAGATCATTCCTGTGCCATCTGGAAGCTGTCACCCTTTCTTTCTGGGCCTACAGCTGCAATCTTGGTGAGTTTGCCAAGAAACTTAGCATTGAAATGTCATAGGGTAGTGTTAAATTTTACTATCCAAACCCAAGGCCTCATCTGTGCCAAGTTGGGGGATATACAAATGAATAGATATATTTATCTTGAATGCTTTGAGAGTATTCAGAGAAAATAGGTTACCTTCCCAAGCAGCCTTACTCACCGTGGGCAAAGAAGTAACTGGTAGTGGTTTAACTGGTCCAGCAACTTTGGTCAGAGCCTGTTTGGTTCCCATGACTTTTTGTGGGAAAAAAAAAATCTTAACTGTGGATTTACCAGGTTGTTGACATATGACGCTTTTGGACGTAGGCTTACAGCAGGTTGAGGGCCAAGAAAACATGTCAGCTATTTCAAAGGAGCTGAGCTTGAAGAACTAGCTGAAATAAAACATGTTACAATCACTTTAACACCCTCCCCTGCGCGGTCCAAATGGTCCAAATCCCTGCAGCATTTTTTCGCAGCATGCTTATACCATCCACATACAGCATTTCTGTGACTGGAGGACAGTATTGTGTTGGCAACAGCTTTGGGGAGGAAGGAGGGGGAAAAAAAGACACACTGACAGAGATAGTCATCTTTGCACCTGCCCTTACCTGTGCCTGAAGCCAGAATTCCAGCACATCTGCTCCTCACCTGCCTCTGGTCTTTGATCAAAGGTCATTTTGGGAGGAATGCTATCCCAGCCATTGCTCTGAAAATTGCAAACTGCTGCTCTCCTCTGTTCCTCTGATCTACTTTTTTTTCCCTTCACCACGATGGTTATTACCAACTGACAGACTTTAAGGTGTTACTGCCTTCTTACCTTCCAACATAAGCATAAATTATGCCTTCTTACCTTCCAACGTTAGCATAAATTGATGTCTTATGAACTATCATATATATCTGCATGCACCTGTACACACACACACACACACGCACATGTATATACACACATGCATTGCTCACATATGTATTTTGTTCCTGTATCTTGTGTGTCTGCCACATCATTTGCTCTTAACAAATACAAATTAATAAATCATATGTACACAGTGTTTATAAGATAAGCCTCAGTTCCAGAAATGTCAAAATGATGGGAAAAAAAATCTTCATCTGAAAAATCAGGAGAATGTGGTCAAATGCCTGGATTGTCTAGATTGAGGTCCCATTGATCAACTAATCATACCTGTTTCTAGAATCAGAGTGAAAAGGCTGAATGTGTTTTAAAGACAGACATGTGGCGTGAAATGATTCCTCCTCTTACTCCCAGCCATTGTAATATCATTAGTAATGAAAATGTAAAAGGATTGTAGGTGTCTGTGTTCTGGGCTTATTTCTTAGAGCTTTTCCTAGAACCCTCACAATGGCCCTCTTATGCCAGTTTTATGGCAGAGAAAACTGGGGACTCACGGGGGCATCAACATGTCTCTTTGTTTATTGGAAACATTTTTATATGCTCACAAATAATATGCAACAGCAACAGTAATAGCAGCTAAAGCAGAAGTGTGCAAACTGTCTGTAGAGGACCAGATAGATTAGTAAATATCTGAGCCTTTGCTGGCCACATGGGCTCTGTCACCGCTAAGCAGTTCTGCCAGCGTGGCTGTACAGTAGCTGTAGATAATATGCAAATGAACGGGAGTGGTTGTGTACCAATAAAACTTTGGTTCGCAAAAGAGGATTGCAGGCCAGATTTGGTCTTAAAGCTGTAGTTTGCCAACCCCTGAACTAAATATGATTTCCATGAGGGCAGGAACCACGTCATTATTTTTTACATCATTGTATCTCATGCAGGGAGCCCAATTCTTTGCACATGGTAGTTCTTGAATGAATGAATGAGTAAACCAAGGAATCAGTGAGTGGTCTGTCTTTCAAGATCCATCACGACTGAAGCTCCAGTCCTCCCCTTTCCTTTCCCATGTACTCCCCTTCCCTACCCATACTGCCAACCCTACCCCAGCTTATCCCCTTGCATTAAGCTCACGGTCACATGTGTGCTCACTTGCTAGCTCTCTCTCGCTTTCTCTTTTCTCTCCCCCTCACCCATTCTAGACCCAAGGTCAACCCCTTCCTTCCCTAGTCTTCCTCAAAAGCCTTGGGGGATTGAGTAACCCGTTATTGTGCCAGTGGTGGCTTTTTTCTGGAACCTTTTGAAGTTCTGTGGTTTGTTGATTCATCTCTTTACACCCATCCCTCTTTCAGGAAGGGTTTATGGCAGTCTGCATGGGTGTACTAAACAAAATAAGACTGCAAAAATTAAAACTGAGACAAAGAAAGGAAACACAACCATAGGACCATCATACCTTGGAGCTGGAATAGGTATTAACACCTACACCATGGTGGGGAACTGGAGATTTGACAAAGAGCTTTCTGGCTGCCATCAAGGAAAACAAATCTGTCCCTTCCACTGCCCTGTATCCAAATAATTGACACAGGCCATTGCTCATGGCAGGTGGATCTGTTCTCAGTGCTCAGTTCAGATGGAAATTTCTCCAGAGGGCCTCACAAGAGGAGGAAGAGGAAGGACCAGCAGGCTTTGCAGCTTGCTAACAGCAGACAGGATGAGGTATTCATGGCTGTCTGCTACGACGGTGTCCCCTGGTCTAGACTCGACATCTTATGCTGATACTCAGCAGAGTAAGGACACATCCTGGTACCTGGGCCTGGGTTGACCTCGACATGTATTTTTTTATTATTATTATTATTAGTAGTAGTAGTAGTAGTAGTATTTTGAGATCGAGTCTTGCTCTGTCACCCAGGCTGGAGTGCAGTGGCACAATCTTGGCTCACTGCAACATCCACCTGGTGGGTTCAAGCAATTCTCCCATCTTAGCCTCCTGAGTAGCTAGGGTGTATGCCACCACGCCTGGCTAATTTTTGCATTTTTAGTAGAGATGGGGTTTCACCATGTTGGCCAGATTGGTCTTGAACTTCTGACCTCAAATGATCCGCCCACCTTGGCCTCCCAAAGTGCTGAGATTACAGGCATGAGCCACTGTGCCGAGCCCTGACATGTATTTTAGGGAAGCTACCAGAACAAACAGACCATGTGGTCTCCAAGCACCACTGGAGCATAAAGAGGAAGCTCTTAGTCTGAGAGAGAGACCAGGTGAAAATTCCAGCTCAGATGCTGACCTCTGGCCTAGTCTTTCCACTTTTGTAAACCTCCGAGTCTTCATCTAAGAAGTGAGAGTTGATATTAGCATTCGCCACCTGTTGTTGCGGTGGAGTCTGATGAAACGCCTTCGCACTGTGGCCTTTGCATCTATTATTGTATTTAAACTTGGCAGCGACATTGCAAGGTAAATGTCACCCCATCTGCTTCACGCTGTTCTGAGTACTTTAGCTCAGTATTACTCAAGCATTACTTTCTTTCATTATCACCCTCCCAAGAAGAAAAATTTAATTTAATATAAATTCTCCCTTGTGAGAGAAATTAAATACTGTGGGAAAAGATTTTATCAGATAGGGTTGAGCTTTGGGGGACGGCTGACCATTGCAATATCTAAGACTATTATTATTATTTTGAGACAGAGTTGTGTTGTGTTGCCCAGGCTGGAGTACAGTGGTGCAATCTTGGCTCAGTGCAACCACTGCCTCCTGAGTTCAAGGGATTTTCGTGCCTCAGCTTCCTGAGTAGCTGGGATTATAGGCGCCCGCCACCATGCCTGGCTAATTTTATATTTGTAGTAGAGACAGAGTTTCACCATGTTGGCCAGGCTGGTCTCAAACTCCCAACCTCAACTAATCCACCCGCCTCAGCCTCCCGAAGTGCTGGGATTATAAGTATGAGCCACTGTGCCCAGCCTAAGATTTTTTTTTTCTCACACACATATACTCCCCCAAATTTTGCTTGCTTGGTGGGGGTGACAGTCATCCCTATTGAGAATATGTGCTTTAGATATACAAACTAACTCCTATTAAAGCTCTAGTTGAGAGAGAAAGGAACGGAGGCCCAGAGAGGTAAAGTAACATACCCAGAGTTGCACAGCTAATGAGAAAGGATCTGAATTGTCTTATGGATTGCTCTAGACGGTGCTTAAAGCACAGTCTAACTTATAGCAGCAAACTGTACGTGTTATTTTGTGTCTTGCTTTTGTCGCTTACCTATCTAGCTCATCGATTGTTCTGGTTCAGTATATATATCATGGCCCCCATTCTTTTTAATAGCTGCATTAGGCTGGGCGCGGTGGTTCACATCTGTAACTCCAGCACTTTGGGAGGCTAAGGTGGGCAGTCATCTGAGCCCAGGAGTTCCAGACCAGCGTGGCCAAGGTGGTGATGAAACCCCGTCACTACTAAAAACATGAAAATTAGCCAGGTATGGTGGCAGGTGCCTGTAACCCCAGCCACTCGGGAGGCTAAGGCAGGAGAATCACTTGAACCCAGGAGGCAGCAGTTTCAGTGAGCCGAGATCGTGCCGCTGCACTCCAGACTGGGTAACAGAACAAGACTCCATCTCAAAAAAAAAAAAAAAAAAAAAAGAAAGAATGAAAGAAAGAAATAGCTGCATTATTTTGCATTTGCATTCACATAGCATGGTTTATTTAACCATACCACAACTGCTGAGGCTGAAGTGGTTTCTAGTCTTTGGCAATTAAAAACTCGCCATAGCAATCCTCCCTACACGCATATCATTTTGCTTAAATGCAAGTTAAATGTGAAGGTTACATGCCTAGAAATGAAGTCTGTGCACACTTCTTAAAAGATAGCATTTTGTCAGAGGCACAAAAATATCTCCACAAAGCTAAGATTCTTACGGAGCCATCCAAGGTCAGTTTTCACCATGTTCTTAACAGCTAAGCCACTCTTTTGACCCCCAAATTCCTCCCGACCTGGTTATTGATTTAGCTGTGGGCTCCCCACCCCCGCCACCTTTTATGCCTTTGGTCACCAGATTATCCTCTTGTCATCTGGTATTTCCCTACCAGGCTTCCCACAGTTTATTTTTGAACTTCAGTTCTCATCTCATTAACAGAAAGCCTAGGCGGCCAGATTCCATTCCTGCTGCCGGGGTCAGTGCTTTGAAAAAGGGTCGTTAATAAAGCAGCATCATAGCTTATCCTGGGTCCTTCATGTCCACCAGGATGGGGGAAAAGCAGAATCCTTCCTGTGTCCCTCGTCTTTCTGAAACTTTTCTCTAAGAACTCGAACCAGTCTCATTCTGCAGACCTTCCTGGGCCTTCATTATATAAGAGCTATGTTCTGGCAGTTAGGGAAATCTAGCATGAGTGGCCCCCATTCAATTCTGCAGGGGACAAAAAGCCTCTCTTCTCCTAAAGCTTGCTGGTAAGTCTCTATGGCAGAGTCAAGGCTAAATCAACTCCCACATATGGCGACCTCAGCTAGAGAAGCGAGGTGGAAGGGACGCTAGCAATTCAGAGGGTGTCTTTAGCCCCTGTGCAGCAGCGTCGTCTGTAATTAAAGCTGGCTGCACTATTAATATCATCTGAGTAATTAAACTCAATGGTGTTTGGCAATAGTTTGTTCTGGAAGTTCCTTGAGGAAGAGCGGGTTAACGGGATGGAGAGGGCTGCATGGTATTTTGTGCAAATGGAATCTTTTGGCCTCCTTTATCTGGTCCTGAAGCCTGCTGGGGCTTACTGCCACCCCCTCTTCATTCTGTTATTTCCCCCAATTCACATTTGCTGATGAAACATGGTGGCCAGGTTGATAAAGGCATGGAGCTGGATGCTCTGGTGGTGGTGGGTTAACCACGTGCATTTCCCGTCTGCCTTAAGTGCAGTAGGTGCCCAGAAATGGATTTAATGCATCCAGGCATTCATTCCACAAATATTTACCCAATGCCTGTCATGTGCCAGGGTTTGTGCATACTGAAGGGACATAAAAAAGTAGCTTGCGTTCTAGTTGGAAGATTTAGACAATAGGCAAATACATAATATTATATATAAATAGAATATATTCAGACAATAAGCAAATATATATTATACATATTAATAATAGACATTGTAGATTATAATTATAATCTTTAATAGCCCAGAGAGTGATACGTGGCCTGAGGAGCAACATAATTAGAGGAATGGGGAATGCCTATGGGGCAGGGGGTGGTGGCTCTCATAGGGCGTGTCCTCTGACAAGTTGCTTGAGGAGTGAACCATGAGGATATCCAGACGGATATTTTTCCTGGCCTGGAGAACAGCAAGTGCAAAGGCCCTGAGGCAAGTGACAGCATTTGCATTAGGAAGCAGCAGCTGACGGTCTATGAAGAGCAGCACAGGAGGTCAGAGCTGAAGGACCTTCAGTGGAGCCCCTTCCCTGCCGGGTGAAGACTGAGGCCAGAGAGGGGAGAGCTGACTGTCCCAACTCAATCTCGCACAGCAGCAGGTAGACCAGTTTTTCAGGACTCCCACCTCCCATCCTTACGCTTCACAGAGACTTTAAGGGACCTCAGAGCAGCAGGAAAGGTGCTAAGCAACCCGGTTCAACTCTGCAGTCCTCCACTCAATAGCAGTGTGGTATAAATGACGTCAGCTCCTTGAGCCTCATCTTCCTCATCTGTAAAATGGGAACAGTGAGGGCACTCGCCACCAGGCGTGCTGTGAAGATGAGATGAGATCTCCTGGGCTCTGCGTGTGGCATGGGGTGGCTGTGCAGGGAACGTTAGTTATGGGCCAAGGTTTTTTGGTCCTGCAACTGGACACACTATACCTCCAGCCCATTCCCTCGCCCCCACTAGATGTGACACCATCCGTCTCCTCATGGCTGTCACCTGACGGAACCGATTTTACACTCATTTTGACTTGTTTTGTAAGGGAGGGTCTGGTTTTCTCTTGGAGACAAAAATTTTGGCAAGTGAGACCTTACAGGATGTGCTCCAGTTTCCTCATCTGTAGAATGGAGCCGTGATAGCTCTTAACACTGGCTCCCTCGGCAGGAATAATTTTTTTTTTTTTTTTGAGACGGAGTCTCGCTCGTCGCCCAGGCTGGAGTGCAGTGGCGCGATCTCGGCTCACTGCAAGCTCCACCTCCCGGGTTCACGCCATTCTCCTGCCTCAGCCTCCCGAGTAGCTGGGACTACAGGCACACACCACCACGCCCGGCTAATGTTTTGTATTTTTAGTAGAGGCGGGGTTTCACCGTGTTAGCCAGGATGGTCTCGATCTCCTGACCTCATGATCTGCCCGCCTCGACCTCCCAAAGTGGTGGGATTACAGGCGTGAGCCACCGCGCCCGGCCTTTTGTTTTGTTTTATAGAGACAAGGTCTCACTCTGTGGCCTAGGTTGGAGCACAGTGGCATGATCATGGCTCACTGCAGCCTCGACCTCCTAGGCTCAAGTGATCCTCCCACCTCAGCCTCCTGAGTAGTGAGGACTATAGGCATGGGCCCCCATACCAAGCTAAGTTTTTTTTTTTTTTTCATTTTCTTTAGAGATGGGGTCCTCACTTGTTCTCCAGGCTGGTCTTGAACCGCTGGCCTCAAGTGATCTTGCCTTGGCTTCCTAGAGTGCTGGGATTACAGGCGTTCTCCATGATACCCAGCTAAGTTTTTTACTTTTCCTAGAGACACCGTCGGTGGGGGCGGGTCTCACTTTGTTGCCCAGGCTGTTCTCGAACTCCTGGCCTCAAGTGATCCTCCTGCCTTGGCTTCCTGGAGTGCTGGGATTATAGGCGTGAGCCACTGCACCCGTGCTGATATATATTATAAGGACCCAGCATGGCAGTACACATGAGAAGTTCAAAGTGCTCTGTGTTGGGTGGTGTTACTAATAAAACATGGATTTGGAGGCAGATGGAAAGGGGATTCATTTCCCTGACTCAAGCAAGTGCTTTATCCTTTGAGACCTCAGCATTTTCATATGAAAATGGAATATCCAATACTGCATTGAGTTGTTAGGAGAATTCGATAAACATAAATCTAAAGCATTGAGCACAATGTCTAGCTCACAAGAGTCACTAAATAGTACTTCTGCTTCCTCCTCTCCATTCATTTCCACTCTTCTACCAAAAGAAACTCGGAAAGTCATTCCTGATTATTTGTATTTGATTCCATTTTACAGATAAGGAAATTGAGACTCAAAGACCTTAGACTGTAACACAGCCAGGAAGTGGAGGAGCGGGGATTTGAACCCCGGTGGTTTGTGTCAGTCTGGAGAACATCCCCTTTGCCCTCGCTAATATCAGAGTTCACCCTGGATTCTTAATGCTTTGATTTGACTGATCCCTGAGCTGATGGAGAAAAGCCAGATTCTTGCAGCCTGTCCTTCTCTGTCTTTGGTGTAAGCCAGAGGTCAGCTGAGCCCTGGAGAAATCGGATTTGTCCCCAGTTGGCCCCGGGCTCTGCGCTCCTGCCCATCAGAGCCCAGACACCCCTGCTGGCATTGATGTCAGATTCACCTCGCAGTTTTATTCTCAGAGCCTCTCTGGTATCTTGCACGTCTAATTTCCTGTCCCCTGGGGCCTTGGCTGATTAGCCTTTGATTATTCACAAACAGAGAGGCAGGAACAGGGAATCGGGTCCTCTGCTTTAATCACCCACACAAAATTTAGGCAAGGCTGTAGGTTTCTGGAAGGAGCAGGGCTAGGATTTGGAGATTAGAGGTGAAAGCACTAAAAAAATCACCCGCGAAGCCCCAGCCCCATCTCTGCAATCTTTACATGGGGATAAACGCGCTGAGCCTGCCTCCTGTGGTACCCCAACACCCCCCAGGCCTTGCTAAACATGGTTTGGTTTAGGTTTGTTTTGTTTTGTTTTGTTTTGTTCCCTTGGACTGCTCCCTAGCCACCTCCATGTTACCGCAGCTTTCCAAGAAGTCACTTTTGTTGTCACTAGGCCAGAAGACAGTTGGCATCCTTTTAGGTCCCACATAAAATAGGACATTTCAAAACCAGGAGTTCCACTGTGTGCTTTTGGCGCAGGGAGAAAAAAAAAAAAAAGGTGTCTTTTCTTTCTTCCTTACTCTATGAATGCGAGAAATGGTTTGGAGGAAGATGAAACACCTCCAGATTTACAGTCTGTGTTATCATCAGTGCAAGCACAGAGGGGGTTCATTCATTCACCAAATAATCCCAGCTCATTCAGAGCAAAAGCCAGAGGCCTTACAGTGGTCTAGATTTGAACTTGTTGACATGTGGGGCCAGATCATTCTTAGTTGTGGAGGGTCGTCCTGTGCATTACAGGATATTAAGCAGCATCTCTGGACTCTACCCACTAGTTGCTGGTAGCATTCCCCTTCCCCAAGTGTGACAACAAAAATGTCTCCAGACATGGCAAGATGTCCCCTGTGGGTCAAGTTGACCCAGTTAAGAACTATAGCTCTTGGGTCGGGTGTGGTGGCTCACGCCTATAATCCCAGGACTTTGGGAGGTCAAAGTGGTCAGATCACCTGAGGTCAGGAGTTCGAGACCAGCCCGGCCAACCTGGTGAAACCCCATCTCTACTAAAAATACAAAAATTGTCTGGGCATGGCAGCACACACCTGTAATCCCGGCTACTCTGGAAGCTGAGGTGGGAGAATTGCTTGAACCTGGGAGATGGAGGTTGCAGTGAGCCGAGATCGTACCACTGCACTCCAGCCTGTGTGACAGGGCAAGAATCTGTCTCCAAAAACAAAACAAAACAAAACAAAACAAAACAAAACAAAAACCTGGCTCTATAATGCTTTATTGATCTATCCCCCATTTCTTCCTGACCTAAGCTTCTGTTTTTCATCTTTTACTTCCTCCACCCTGGCTTCTTTGCTGGTCTCCACCAGCAACGTGAGGCTTGCTGTCACCTCAGGGCCTTTGCACAGCAGTTTCCCTGTCCCCGAAATGCTTTTTCCCAGTTAGCCAAGCAGCATGCTCACTTACCCACTGGGAGTCTTTGCTTATACCTCACCTTTTCAGTCTAAAGCCTGCCTTGACCACCTTATTAAGAAATGCACCCATTGCATCATCCTAACCACTGACTTCTCTCTTCTACCCTATTCTGTGCACTATTTGTTATATCTGTCATCTTTCTGTGTCCCTGTGCTAGAATAAAGTTCTGTGAAGGCAAGGGTTTTGTTGCCATTCTTCGTAGATGCCTCCCAAGCCCTTGGATGTTACTTCTTTTATGGAATTGTCATCTAGTACCTGCTGTATACCTACACCATGCACTGTCTGGACACCAGGAATAAGGGTGCTTGTACCTGCCCCAAACGACCCTAGAACTGTCATTTTCAGATCCTTCTTGCCCAGAGCTGGAGGGTAAGTTTTGTTCCTGATGCTAAGGGAAAGATACCCTTGCAGATTCCTAGGTGGGGGAAAGATAAGGTCCTCACCCAGGGCAGCAGGGTGCAGGGCTGAGTTTGGGGAGGAAGGCAATTTTGTCTCCTAGGTCAGCCTTGAGGGTGGCTGCGATTCTCCTGGGTGCTGTCCCCTAAAAGCCCTTACAACACAGCCTCTCAACTGGCCCCATTGGTATTCAGGCCACCCCATGCTCTGAATAAACATCTCCCTGCCACCCTCCCTTACACAGCAGCTCTTGCTTGTGGCATGAGAGTGGCGGAAAGACGATAAAAATAGTGTTTAGTTATGCGCACTCTGCTTATTTTGTACTTTCGAGCAGTAACATGCCCTCTGACGGTGTTGGGCTGGCCAGCAAAGCCCATCATTTCTCCCTCATGTGGAGCAGCCTAGAAACAGCCTGAGAGATGCCTGGTCCTTGGACAGGTGTTGCCACCTGTCCGCGGTACCCAGAAGTTGGCCACTGGCTTTTCCAGAAACCTCCCTTTCCCTTCCCCACTCTGCTTTGTCAGAAAGCCCTAAGCAGAGACAGGACCAAATTTTGAGGCTCTGCTGAGCAGGGGACCCCTTCAGAGGAACAGTTGCTTAGCCTTGTAACTGCTCCTGCATTCTCAGCACAGTCGCCCAGGGCATTCCTAATGCCTCAGGAACACCTTATTTTACAGGTGAGGACAGTGAGGCCCAGAGTGGTTAAGCAACTTGTTCAAGATTGCACAGCCATGGAGCTGGGATCTGGACCCATTCTTCTCTGACCCCAGAGCCTGTACTCAGAGCATGAACCCCTCCTGTCTTCTGCTCTGCATTGTTTAGATGCATTTCCCCAAGATGCGTCCAGGGTTTCTTGCCTGCAACTGCTGGGCAATGACCTTTCTGAACAGTAAACATTGGGCACTAGTGGTGACTCTTAAGAGAGAGATTCTGGCCGGGCGTGGTGGCTCACGCCTGTAACCCCAGCACTTTGGGCATCCGAGGAGGGAGGATCACTTGAGCTCAGGAGTTCAAGACCAGCTTGGGCAACGTGGTAAGACCTTGTCGCTACCAAAATTACAAACAATTAGCTGGGTGTGGTGATGGGTGCCTATAATCCCAGCTACTCAGGAGGCTGAGACAGGAGAATCACTTGAAGCCAAGAGGCAGAGGTTACAGTGAGCCAGGATTGTGCCGCTGCACTACAGAAGGAGACTCAGTCTCAAAAAAAAAAAAAAAAAAAAAAAAAAGGAGGGAGAAAATCTTTATGTTAAAAACTACCCAAGCCTCTGGTTTGGGAGTAAATACATAGCTTTACACCTCCAAAGTGTCACGTTATTTAATTGGTACCACTGTCCCTGGGGAACTTCAGTGGCTATGCTAAGTGGAAGTTCCATTAGAGAGATGCTCCCAGGTCAGCGGAATGAAAATTAAATACTAGTTGTTGGGTGTTAAACAGAGGTTTTGGGTGTGTTTGGTGGAGGTAAACTCGGGGATGCCATGATACCCTGTCCTGCAGTCACCTCTCCTCCCCTCCCAACCTTCCAGGACCCCTAGGCAGCAGTGGGGGTAGCCGACAGAGAATCAACTTCCCAATCTTCTAGCACAGAGTTCCAGTAAAAGTCTTCTTGGAAGTGCCCGCTTTACGGGTTAGCTAAAGTAGGACCTCCACTCTCTTTGCTTGTAGCTGCAGGTGGGAATTTTGGCTCTGAAATGCTCCCATGCCTGCAGGGAGCCCAACTCAGCTTACAATTCCATTGCATGGAGCTGCCCAGCATGTGCCAGAGTCCTGGTTCCTGAGGCTCCCACACAGTGACCCTGCCCACTGTGGCCCCCTTAGTGCTCAGGGCTGAGATGAAGTGGATGAACGTCTCATCCCTGACCGTGGGACTGGGCAAAGTGTGGAGAGATGTGAGGAAGTGGCCTCTGTATTCCCATGTGCCCCACTTTGTGCAGGAAAGTGTTTCTGAAAGACCATGTGTGGGCCAACAGGGATGATGTCAACACAAATGTGCTTTTCTCATTCACTTCAACTTTAATGCCAGGGATTTCTCTGCTTCATTTCCCATTGCTATTCTGGTGGCATCGTCTCCTACCAAAGTGGTTTTAAACTTCTCCTTCATCGCCAGTCTGTTCAGGTGACGCTCAGTAAATAAACACTTGACTATACCAGAGCTGTACAGGGATCCACATCAGCCAGCCTCTCTGAATTTCAGGGGCTATTGTGAAGAGCCCTGCACAGCAGGTCATTTTGGATACACAGATCAGCTCAGCAAATACAGAGATGGAACTGATATGTGAGAAACAGAACACAATCAAGAGATAATAACACGAAAAAAATAGAGATGGGAGAGTTTTTTTTGTGAAGTGAGGAATCTCGTCTGTGACACAGATTCAAATAACTAATTGTGTTTCCCTCTTTGCATTGCCTGCTAGGAAGCTCAAAGACAATTCATATCTCTCACATGTCTCATAAGCTCAGAGACAGAGGTCATATCTCTCATAAAACCTATGGTATTATTTTAAATGCTTCTGGTGGCAAATTGAATTTCCCATCATGTATATATAATATATATAATATTTAGAACCTTTCAAAAAACATATATATAGACACACACAGATATATATGTGTATATGTGTGTGTGTGTGTGTGTGTGTGTATGGTTTAGTGGGCACCACCATGCCCGGCTAGCTGGCTAATTATTTATGGGTTTTTTTGTAGAGACGATGTTTTGCCATGTTGCCCAGGCTGGTCTTGAACTCCTGGGGTCAAGAGATCCACAGGTCTCGGCCTCCCTAAGTGCTAGGATTACAGGTGTCAGCTACCGTGCCTGGCCATCCTATCATATTCTTTTCTCTTCATTCCTTTCCTTACCACACCTCGTCCCCACACTGTGTTTTATCTGTTTAATTTTTGGTCAGTGGAACAGTGTCTTTTGTTTAAGCCTTTTTGGAACATGGCATTTTTGTAACACCGAACAGCAGGAATAAATAGCTATTGCGATAAAATACAATTTCCAGGTCTTTTTGTATATGTCTTTCACTTAAGCCAGCAGCTTTCATTCCTGTACCCCTTCTCAGCACATTCTAAGTGTGAGGTCCTCAGCACCGTATTTGACCTTCAGAGCTTTAGGAAAACACAGCTCAGGGGCCTCAGAGGATTTCTGGCCTTAGAACAGACAGAGGCTGGGAAAATTGAGGTGGGTGTGTTCCACCCCACCCAAATCCAAACCCCTCTATTGGTTCTGGGCTGGACACACAGGATCTGTTGTTCATACTTGACTGTGCCACTACCAGGTGGGTAACAGTGGGCAGGACCCCTGGGCCTCAGTTTCGACATCTGTGTAATGGGAAATAACCTCAGCCTGCCAACCTCACAGGTCCCACATCTTACATATGCTGCTCATTGAATGAAAGTTCTTTTAAAATGAGACAATTAGGCCAGGCACAATGGCTCACACCCACACCCAGCAGTTTGAGAGGCCAAAGCAGGAAGATCGCTTGGGTCCAGGAGTTCAAGACCAGCCCTGTGGCAACATGGCAAAACCTCTTCTCTACAAAAAAGTCATAAATAGCCAGTTAGCTGGGTGTGGTGGTGCCCACTAAATCATATATTAACCCAGTCGCTGCCAAAAAAAAGTTAACCAGGTGTGGTGGTGTGCACCTGCAGTCCTTGCTACTCAGAAGGCTGAAGTGGGAGGATCCCTTGAGCCTGGGAGGCTGAGGATGCAGTGAGATATGATTGCGCCATTGCACTCCAGCCTGGGTGACAGAGACCGTGTCTCAAAAATAAATAAATGAATAAAATAAGACAATTGTCAGGTGGCCTGAGGAGGATCAGGATTTGGTGGCAGAGCCAGGGTGTTGATCCACCCCAGGACATTGTAACCACCTCTATCTGATCACCCAAATTAATAGGATCATTTACCAAGTCAGTTATTTTGTCATGTTTCAGATAGGCCCTGAAGTCAGATGAGCTGGCTGTGAATCTCAGCTCTGCCCTTCACTAGCTGTGGGCCTTGGACTTTGGCCTCAGTCTCTTCATCTTTATAATGGAGATAATTATGTTAGTAGTGATTATTCCACATCTAACACAGAGAAAGCCCATGTCATTTGCAGACATTTACAAGTGCATGCTCCATGGTAGGCTTTGACACCTCCTTGGGTCGATT
The DNA here is from genome assembly GCF_000001405.40 of Homo sapiens. Lineage (NCBI taxonomy): Eukaryota > Metazoa > Chordata > Mammalia > Primates > Hominidae > Homo > Homo sapiens. The sequence continues at coordinate 17,290,569 of NC_000016.10, read as the reverse complement.
CAACAGTTTGGGGAGCTAAGAGTACAGTAGGGGATTCTGAACACAGGATCTGCTGGTACTTCCATGCGGTTGAAGGCCCCTGCCTGTAAGGCGTCTCCTTCCACTTTGTTCTTGGCTCCAAGAGTCATGGCAGCCTCCAGAAATAGCTTCATCCATGCCAGGTCCCGGGACTGAGGTTGGTGGTTCTTGGAAATAGAATTTAACCGTAATGAAACATGAGATGGACCTTCCGCTGCCTTTGGTGCTTTAGACTTTTAAAATTAAAGTCAGTCCAGATAGACATCTCTAGTTTTACTTAGAAAGTTGTTAAAAATTATGGAAAGTTTGACACTAACCCTAACTTTCCTTGGTTGAAATTTTGAAGATGTGGCTTTCAGCCTCTAAACTGGATGAGCTGCTTTGCTAAACACTCAAGTCTACCTCTTTTTCTTTTTCTTTTAACTGAGGAGAAAGTAGCCAAGTTCAGAGTCTACTTTGATTGCCAACACGGTTCGATATTCTAAGTAGGACAGCTAAGAGGCAAAAAGAACAAGAAAGAGATGGAAAAAATGAAATCTATTATAACATTTTATTTTTTGGATGAGATAGATATCCTTAAAATGGAAAATCACTGGGATTTCATTTGCTTCAAGCCAAATTTTTGTTCTCTGCAGAAAGTCATCGTCATCTTCCTTTCTTGCTTCTTACAGAGAGGTTGCCCCAGAGACGGGGTGTGTGGGATCATGAAACAGCTCTTAGACTTTCCTCTGCATCACTCTGGGTTTGGGGTTTTGTTTTGTTTGCATGTTTGCGTTTGTTTTGTTTTCATTTTGGTTTTTTGCAAACTTTTTTTTGGAGCCAGTCAAATTTTCCTAGGTACAGAACTGAAGCTTTTGTTTTTAATATTCTGAATAGGAGTCATTTGCATTCTCAACTGTCACCCTGATGATGTTGGGTCTTGGATTTGGAATGCAATCAGAACTTTTTAAATTCCCATACCTAGGGAATCCAGAAAGATATCATCCTAACATTGGGAAAACACATCAGTCAAACTGATTTCTGGAAATGACATAGATTTATGAAATCAGGGAGTTGAGACACACTTACGCTGGGGAAACAAAGCCCCTTGAGTTGAGAGGTACTTGTCACATGTCTCAGGGTAGAACATAAACATGGCAGAAGACAATTGCGGGATTTTATGTGGAAATTCTAGAGGAGGGAAAGAGGGAGGCGACAGACAGAGAAAGGGGAAAAAAGCTGGCACAAATGGTGATGATACAGAGAAGCAACCTAGAGCAGGAGGTAGCAAACTGCCATTCACAGGCCAAATCTGGCCCTCCACCTGTTTTTAGAAATAAAGTTTTATTGGAACACAGCACACCATTCATTTACATACGCCCTATGACTGGTTTCACTCTACAATGGCAGGGTTGAGAGGTTGAGGCAGAGACTGTATGGCTTACAAGGCCTAAAATATTTATTAGCCAGTCCTTTACAGAAAATGATTTCTTGACCCTAGGTATAGATCATCGTGGATGAAAACTTACAATGGTGTAGAATCCCAGCTCCATCTCTTATCAGCTGGGTTGCCTTAGACAAGTGACTTTATGTCTCTGAGGCTCAGGTTTTTTAAAAAAATCTATTTATTGTATTCTTGGGATGTTTTAACAAATCACCTCAACACTCAGTGGGGTAAAACGGTAAGAAATTTTTATTTGTTACTGTTCAAGAGTCTTTGGGTGAGCTAGATGGTTCTTCTGGTCTCAGTGGTGGTTCTCCTGATCTCAGTTGGGCTGTCATGTCTGGAGATTGGCTGCCTCTAAGCTGGTCTAGGATTATCTCAACTGAGAGGAAAGTCATTTGGACTCGCCTCCACGTGGTCTCTCATCCTCCAGTAGAGAGCAAATGGCAGTGACAGGGTTCCAAGACAGAGAAGCCAAACTTAGGGTCACCTCTGCTACCTTCTTTTGGCCAAAGCAGGTCGCATGACCTGCCCATATTCAAGGTATGGACAAGTCATCTCAACCTCTTGGGAGAAGCAGCAGGGCACATTGCCAAGGGCAAGCATACAGCAGGCCATTGCTTGGGACCATCAGTACAGTCGGTCTACAATAAGCATAATAAGACAAGCCCCAAGAAGAACAAAAGAATCACACACAATCCCTGACAGGTAGGAGGTAAGTAAGAAATCCCAGCTGCCGTTACTCTTGCCATGAGTGAAACTGTATAGCTAAGTTATACACCAAGGGTTTTGCTGGCAATTGATTTATCTTGTAGCCTCTCTGCTTGGACACTGCACTATTTTTATATTGGAGAAGGGAGGAGTAACTGTTACCGGCCCCCACCTGAAGAATTATGTCTAGGTGGGGCCCAGTGGCTCACACCTGTAATCCCAGCAGTTTAGGAGGCCGAAGCGGGAGGATGGCTTGAGCTCAGGAGTTTGAGACCAGCCTGGGCAACATAGTAGGACCTCATCTTCTACTACAAATAAATAAATAAATTAGCTGGTGGTGTATGCCTGTAGTCTCATTTACTCGGGAGGCTGAGGTGGGAGATCACTTGAGCCTCACTTGAGGTGGCAGTGAGCTACGATTATGCTGCTGCACTCCAGCTGGCCAACAGAGCCAGACCCTGTCTCAAAAAAAAAAAAAGAAAAATTATGCCTAATAGAGTTCCTGGCACATCTTAAACTCTCACTTAGTATTAATCTTTTTTCCTAAGTGATTGGTAAATGTTAAGCTCCTGGTATTATTATTTCTGCTGCCAGTTGGAACTACCAGTCCTCCACCCCTTCTTTAGATGCCCAGCGTCTGTCTGTCTGTCTTTCTTTTGCCTCCCCTGCTCCTCACTTGACTTCTGTCTTAGGGACATTCAGCAGAGATTTGCTTTCTTCCTCTCCAGGAGCCCCACACAGTGGGCCCTTAATGCAAAGTGACATCTGAACGGAGTCCAGGGCCCTGGGAGGGCTCCCCAGAGGCAAGCTTTTGGCTGAAGCAGCCTCCAACAGAGTCCTCAGAATGGCTAAATTGCAGCCTGACAGTGCAGATCAGGAAAGGTCACTGTGTGAAGTGGCTGCCTGATTGGGGTGGGGAGATTTGGCCACATGCGGTACCGGCTGCAAGGATTCGACAAATTGTCTCATGGTGCAGAGTTACCTTCTGTGAGCCCAGAGTTTTTTCTGAGACTGTGATGAAGTGGCCACAGCCCCAGGAGGTGGGAGGAGTATGATCTAGAGGGATCCGTCTACGTTCTGAGCGTTTGCCTGCTTGAGGATACTGCACTGAGCGTTAATTGAGCAGCCTTGGATTGGGTTGATTCTTGAACTGGATTAAAAAAAAAGAGGGGGAGTGGTGTCTGAGTGGGTGATGGAGCATCTACATGATGAAAAACTAGATCCACGCCAGGCCTGGGTTTGAATCTCAGTTCTGCCTATTTTTAGCTGGCTGCAGTGTTTCTGCGTATGCTTGTTCAGGATATAACTACAGGAGGGAGTTAAGTAGGAGCCAAAATTCACCTACACTCTGGTCATCAAGGCATACTGTAGACTCAGGGCTGCAATTGCCCAGAGTAAGGGGAATCTTTTTTATTATTCTCATAAAGCTGCAGGATCAGTGAATGATCGTGGCCTTGGCTGGGTGGTGTTTGGTGGGTTTGACCTCCCCAAACACCTGAACAGAATTCAGGGTTTGAACTCTGAACGTAAGTTTCCTCATCTGTAAAATTGGAATGAAAACACTCCCCATCTCATAAGTTTGCTTAAAGCAGAAGACATGGGGAGATGCTTAGAGCAGTGTAAGGACACAATCAACGATGGCTATACTTTGTGGTGAAGGTGGCAGATTACCTGGGTTCAAGTCCCCGTCTTCCATTGCTTGCTGGAAAACCTTACAACAAGGATGGGGATGATGATGAGGATGATGATGATGAGGATGATGATGATACCTATCCATGGGGATTGTTGTGAGGATTCAAGAAGCTAATATACGTAATGTGCCTAAGTGTGGCTAGCTAATGAGTATTAGCTAAGCCAGTTTTACATACAATTTTAGTGCTGTGTTGATCAAGGATCCACATGGGTGACAGGTTGACCTGGGCTAAGAAAGTGACAGTGCAGATCCGTGGATACTTGAAGGTGAATGGTTTGGGATGACAAGGAGAGTGGTCTTTATATTGGTGAGTCAGTCCATGGTTTGACCAAAACCCTGAGAACATTCTTGGATGTATTAATTTCTCTAATTTCCATCTGCCATCCCCTTCCATGATTATTTATTCCATACCTCCCTCCCCAGCCTCCCACCCACTCCTCCCACATATTGCTCAGTCTCTGTTTACCCCTTCAAGTAAGTGTGGTGGAGAAGGGTCTTGATTTATGAGCTTACATGAGCCTGGTTCAAATTCCAGTCCTACCAATTACTAGTGCCGGGACCTTGAGCAAATGTCCTAGCCTTTTTGAGTCTAAGTATGTTTGGAGTAATAATAGATCCTCTATGACAGGTTTATTGTGAGGGTCAGAGAAGATCATGAAAGTTAGTGATTAGCAGAGAGGCACGTGGGCCCAGACCCCCATTGTGTTAGCTGCTGTTTATGTTGATATTGGCATAACACAGTCTCTCTCTGTCTCTCTGTCTCTCTCTCTTTCTCTCTCTCTCTCACTCACTCACACACACATGGACACACACACACACACACACACACACACACACACACACACACACAGAGATACACCAGGTTTGGGGCTAGACCCTTGGGGGTTATAAACTTGAATAAGTTCTGCTCCTCAGAAGGACACATTTTTAGGGGGCTATACCATGTTAACAAGCAATTCAGGTGGAAAGTTCTGTAGTGGAGTTGGTAAAAGTGTTCTGTAGGCATAGAGGAGGAGGAGAAAGTCTGGTGAAGGAGACAGAGGCAGGGGTCATTTGAATGCAAGCCAGGGTGAGGGGTGAAGGGCCTGGCATTCCTGGCTGAAACATCAGCAGAAAGCAGGGCCCCCGGGCATGATGGTGAAATTTGCAGCCAGGCCTAAATGCTGATTCTTGGTCTGGGCACATGCACAGTGCCCATTGTCCCACAACCTTTGGTTCTGAGACAGTCATGGGGCAGGAAGGATCAAAGCCCTAGATCAGGTGGGAAATGCCAGAGTCATTAATTCTGCTACCAGATCTCTCCAGAATAATGCTGGAGATCCCCTGAGAGCAGATCGAGAAGCATCTAGCGCAAGTTCCCAGGGCTTCCGGGATGCTTTAAATTACACACTTTATCCTGGTTTACCAGACTCATTTGAATTCTGATTTAAAGCCATTTGCTGGTGTGAGATCATCACTACCATGGGGTCCTGGGTGATTCTAGTCACCCAAGCTTGCAGCCAGAAACTTCTAAGTAAATTCCCATCACTTGTGCATTTTCCCTCATCCCTCCCCAGCAACACCCCGGAGAGAAGAGGCTGGAGCAGCACCCAGGCAATGCATTCTGATCTCAGTCTGGACTTGGCCAGGGCTGCATCCACCTTTGTTTCTGCCCCTGCTTCCTCTCTCTGCATCTGTGAGCAGTGGGTGAGTGGGCTCTTCCAGGATCCATCAGTCAGATCTGGCATGCTCTCCTGCTTAAGCCCCCAGTGGCTCCCCAGTGCACTTAGAATGAGATACGGACTTCTCTCCTCTCTGTGTACCCAGGTTCAGCCCCATCTTGCTTTCCTGTGCTGTATGAGTCTATTCTCCATATCACAGCCCCATCTTCCTCTTCCTGCTGCTAGACTGGTCCTAGACCATTTCTGCCTTGAGAGCTTTGCTTTTTAAATTTTTAATTTTTAGAGACAGAGTCTCACTCCGTCACTCAGGCTGTAGTGTAGTGGTGTAGTCGTAGCTCACTGCAGCCTCGAACTCCTGGGCTCAAGTGATCCCCCTGCCTCAGCCTCTCAAGTAGCTGGGACTACAGGTGCACAGCACCATCCCCAGCTGTGAGAGTTTTGCTTTTACCATTCCTGCTGCCTGGTACCTTTTGCCCGGTATGTGTTTGGAGAAGCTCCATCTTACCATTGGGCCACCCAAATGCTACCTCCTCAGAGAGTTCCTACCTGACCCCATCTGAAATGCCATCCGCTGCCTCTCTCCTGTCTTATCTTTCTTTAAAGTACTCATCCCCAGGTCATATCATATTGGACAACTATTATTTCTCTATTATCTCTCCCCCTGTAGAATGTAAGTTCCATTAGGGCAGGAGCTGAATCTGTTTTGTTCACTACTGAGCACCTAGCACAATGTATGTTGCCTAGAAGGTGCTCCAGTGTTAGTGGGATGAATGAATGAATGAGAAATAGAAGTAATAATAAAAAAATAGTAGCTGCTCCTCAGTAAGTGTTTGCTAAGTACCGGTTGCTGTGCTGAACACTTAACCTGCATTTCTTAACATTTGATCTTCGCAACAGGACTGTTGAGGGAGGAAGGTGCTATTTCTTTCCATTTAATAGATGAAGAAACTGAGGCTTAGAAATGTCAGAAGTAACTTGCCCAAGGTCACGTGGATTTTAAGGGATAATGCTGAGGTTTAGCTCAGAACTCAACCTCTGCTCTATGTTGAGCTGGAACTGTGAGGACCAGGGGACCTTCCCTCTGTGTTTATTCTCTGACTGGGCGGGTGTATAGTGGTAGTGCGGATAACAGTATCACAGCTGGATACTTAGAAAGAAGATGAAGTTGGTGAGACTATATGAGAGTCCTAATTCATGGTTGTCAAATGGAAATATCGTTGAAGAAATACTGTTCACAGACGTCACCATCACACCCCGCCCCTATGTGATAATAGTGATGGGGCTGGATGTCCCAAGACACGTGAAGTATCCTAAGACAGAAGACAGGGTTCTGCAGTGGCCCTGCTGCCCTTGATTAAGGAAATGAGTTGTGGTTGCGTTGGAAGTCCCAAGGAGCAAAGCCGTTGGAGCCCTTTATACATTTCAAATTGGGTCTTTCATTGTTGTCATTTCAAAGGCAAAATCTGAAAATTCTACTTAGTTGTTATTACTGAGTGGGAAGGACGCTGAGGCAGGATTTCAAAGACTCTAGAATGTCAAGTGAGAATCTCACTGTCATGGCAGGCGAGGAGTGTGTGCGTGTGTGCCTATGTGTGCACATGCGTGTGTGTGTACACAAAGACCTGGACTTTGCTGTGTTTGGCATCTTTCTTCACATTCTGCACCCTTCCTCTGGGATGTGAAGAGACGGCTGGCCAGCTTCCCTTTGTGTCTTTTTGAGTGACTGTGACTGCCCCCGGCCTTCAGAGTTTGAGCTCCTGACAGATATTAAAGAACAATTCACTTATTACAGCTAAACAGAAGAGCATATGGAAAAAGCAAACTGTATTAACATCTGCTGCCTGGGCTCCATCTGCTCCCGTTGGCTTGGCTTTGCCTCCAGACGTGCCAGTCTGTCAGTTTTCCAGGGCTAGCTCCTTCTTCCTTCCAAGCGAGGACGGGATGTGCCCCTTCATTTCCATCCACTCGTGCTGGATGACTGGGAATTTCTTAGGCGTTCTGGAAATGTGGGTCTATGCATGCAATATGTGAAGTTTGGAGGTGATGAGCCCTGGATTTTATGCTCTGAACGAGCTGCTTACTAGCTGTGTGACTTGGGGGGGGTGACTTATTGCTGTGTGTCAGTTTCATTGTCTGTGAAATGGGGTTAGCAATAGTAGCTATATCTAAGGATCCTTGCAAGGATGAAATAGTGTAATGCAGGTTAATCCCTTACAACAGTGGCATATAGTAAGTATGCAGTAAATATTCTTGCTTTCAATAAAAATATTCATACACACACCCCATCCTGTGTTACAACTGTTTTCCACAATTTTACACTTCGTCCCTAAAATAGCTCACTGGACTCCATATACAACCAGGTCTTGCAGCCCCTGGGAGGTTCTCATTTTCACAGTTACACCATGAAAGACCCAGCTCCTTCTCTCCTTAAAGAAAACCAAGCTGGGGGTTCCCAGTGCATCAATTAATGGCAGAAATGCCGGTGCCCTTCCTAGAACTGGGCCAACTCAGGGCAAGCCAGCCTTGTCTGCATTTAGCCTGCAGCCTCACCCTCCCACCTGAGCCGATTTTTGCCTCCAGCTAGCAAGGCAAACCAAATGTTGTTATTTTAGTATGTGGTCACCTGTCGGAAATAATTTCTAAAAATGCTTTTCCTCTTTCTCCCCCTGCTCACTTGCTCCCTGAAGCAGCCACATCTTTAGAGCAAATAGACAGCTGTCAGCACCCCCGCCATTCAAAAGGGCATTGTAGTACAGTTGTTCGTGGCTACTTACTGGCCAGGGGGTAGGGAAGTCGGGGGCTGGGGTGAGGGTCTTCAGTAAGGTATTTTATTCCCTGTGCCTCAGTTTCTCCATTTTAGAAATAGGAGTGCTGACTGTGTTTGCCCCCTAGGGCTGCCATGAAGTTTAAAAGGACTAGACCATGCAGGGTGCTTAGAACAGTTCCTAGCATACAGTCAGTGCTGCACTTAGTACTACCATCATTATTTGGAGGTAGAAAGTGGAGTTGCCTGGAGAGCTCTGGCCGGGAAGACAGCCAGATTAAGGCTGGGTGAGGGGAATTATAGCTCACCCTGGATCTCTTCATCCATCCCCATTCTGGGAGACTGAGAGAGAAGGGAGGGGAGTGACATTCCCCTGTAATGGAATCTCAGGTATGGCCCATAGAACCATAGAACCCTACAGCATCCATGTGATAAGGGACCAGAGGGACTGACCCAGGTCCATGTGTTTCCAAGAAGTGTTTGTGGCCCACGGTGGCACCCAAGATGATTTGCGGGGATTCTGTGGATATTAAATAACTTTGAATCATCCAGGGAGGAAATGATTGCCTTTCCAGTGCTCCTGCAATCTCTTGGATTAAACCAATGAGAAAGTCTCAGCACGGTGCTGATGTCCTTAACACCTTGCCAACACTTACACATTTCCCTGTGCAACAGACAAAGGACTCTCTGGGTTCAGAGCCTTAGCCAGGCAACTTGGTCTAGCCAGGGTTCCATAGCATTGTTCCTTTTTCCTTTTGTTTGAATTTTAGGAATCATGACCATCATTTTTTTTAACAACATAAATGTTTATGTTTAAATGTGAGCCAAGTAAAATTATCCAGTGAAGGGAGGAAGTGTTAGGAAGTACTGCCCTCACCCAGCACACTCAGTTTACAGATGGTGGGAGCAGGGTCCACAGAGTACCATGGAGCCAAGCAGTGTCACAACCCCGGGTGTGGCCAGGCAACGGAGCTCTGATGCCTGCCTCCAGCTCTGGTACCTGTCCTTCCACCACTCCCCTGGATGCTGCATGGAGCCAAGCAGAGTCACAACCCCGGGCGTGACCGGGCACTGGGGCTCTGATGCCTGCCTCCAGCTCTAGTACCTGTCCTTCAGCCGCTCCCCTGGATGCTGCAGGCCAGCCTATCAGATGCTTCCTTCACCTGGCCTCTGAGCAGGAGTGACCTTGATTCACAGCAGGTACCCAAAGCTGAAAGAGGGGCCAAATCCAGTTGCTTACCCCTCGCTGTCTGGGGGCTTTTAGAAATCGTGATTCCCAGGCCCAGCCCCAACCCACTAAACCAGTATCTCCCGTGTGGGCACCTGGGCATCTGCATTTTGTGAAGGCTCCCAGATTAGTCCAATGGGAAGGCAAGGCTGAGAATTGGTGAACTAAATGCTGTCATTCCTTCTGCATCATGTTACCTGAGGGAAGAAGAATTGAGAAGAGAGAAAATAAAAGGAGAGAGGAGATGGGGGTAGAAATGCTAATATTGAATGACACAAGCAAACGCAAAGGAGATATTTACAGCACGGTGCCCTTTTGTCAAACTTACAGATACACAAAATAACACTATACATTGTATGTGAACACATACGTATTAACTAAAAATATAAATACATGAATGTGAAGGATAGAAGTGTCCTCTGGGTTGGGAGATGGTGGTTGAAAGCTGGGAGGAACTTCCCAGTTGTCTCTGCAAAGTCTAATTTCTTTAAATAATTGAATAAAACATAACAAAATTGGTACATGGAAGGGCACTGTATTATTTTTCTGTACATTTTAATACATTTTGAATTATTTCATAAATCTAGATTGTATTGGAATTTTTTATATCTGACACATATTTGTATTAGGAAAATATTGAAGTATGTTTCAGAAAATAAGACAAAATCTGACCACCTCCATTCTTCAGAAGATGAATAGCTTTTTATTTATTTATTTATTTTGACACAGAGTGTTGCTCTGTCACCCAGGCTGGAGTGCAGTGGCACGATCTTGGCTCACTGCAACCTCTTCCTCCTGGGTTCAAGCGATTCACCCACCTCAGCCTCCCGAGTATCTGGGATTACAGGTGCTGCCGCCATGCCTGGATAATTTTTGTAGCTTTATTAGAGACGAGGTTTCGCCATGTTGTCCAGGCTGGTCTCAAACTCCTGACCTCAAGTCATCTGCCTGCCTTGGCCTCCCAAAATGCTGGGATTATAGGCATGAGCCACCACGCCCAGCCTGGATAGCTTTTTAGATATCCCTGACCATGGGCAGGATGTTGATTGCAGAATGATGGAGAGGTGGTTGAGAGAGGGGAGAGGGACAAACAGAGGGACAGAAAGAGGACAGACCTAGAGGAGGAGACAGGCTGACATCCCTGGAGGTCTGCATCTTGCTGAGGTCCTCGGCAGTGCCACGGAAGATTGTGCTGGGCAGAGGGCGGGGTGCCCAAGGTGTCCTCTGCCTGACTGCTTGAGGACTTGCAGGGTCCTGTTGTCCCCTAACTGCTGCTGTGGCCACATTTTGCCTTGGCTGTAATTAATATGCAGAGGAGGAGGCCTAGCCTGACTCTCGTGGTCTTCTTTGGCCATCTTGACAGAAGCCATCAATGACCCAGAGATGGATGAAGCCAGATGCTGAAGAAGCTGACCCCTCAGCCCACTCTCTGCACCAATAGTTAGCCCACAGTGTATCCAAAATGACACACTTGTTGAAGACGCCCTCGATAAATTGTCAGCCAATTTTCTAGGTGTTTCACTGCTAAGAAGGGCAGCTCACTTCCAGCCTGGGACTTGAAGGGGCTGTGTTGGAGAGGGAATATTAGCTTGGCTCCCAGGTCTGGTGCTATGGCTTAAATCCCTGATCTGTGTGGCCTTAAGGAAGTGTCTTCACCTCTCTGAGCCTCTGTTTACTCAAATGTTGAAAAAGGACATACTACTATTAATGATCATACTAGTAACAGCTACAATTTGTGTTCCAGGCCTTGTCCTAAGTGTTTTCCCAACATTGACTTAATTCTCATTTCAACTCCATGAGCTGGCTACAGCTGGGAAACCTGCCCAAGGTCACACAGCTTCAAAACGGCACGGCTAAGTTGAGAACCCAGGTAGTCTGGCTTTAGCATTCATGCTCCTGATCACAGAGCCGCGCTGCCTCTTGAGAGGGCTGTGAAGAGGATTAAATTTAAAAAGGCACAGGAAATGCTGTCCCAGTAGCAACGCTGAAAGGTGCATTAGGGAGGGAGAGACTGTATCATGAAATCCTTGAATGCCTGGTGTCACCCAGGATTCTCCTGGTCTCAGGAGGTGTGTAGAGGTAATAGGCAAATTTCGCTTCTCTTCCTAAAGCCCAACCAGGAAGGAAATGTTCACAGTCAGCCTTGGTTGCCCATTCTAAGTTTGGACACTTGCAGAGCTCAGGAGGATCTTCCCTGTGCATAGATGAGGCTGTAAAGTGAAGAGTACAAGCTTCAGAATCAGACCTAGGATGGATCCCAGCCTTGCCCCTTGCTTCCTGGGCGACTTTGCCTGAGTCATGTAACCCCCTTTCTGTGCCACAGTTTACTTTTCTATCTCATCGGATAATATCTCCACCAAAGATAAATGGGAGGATGAAACAAGAGAATCGTGCAAAATCTTGGGTAAACAGTAGATGCTGTTATATGGAGCTTGTCTCTGATGGGATGATGTGAAGCCAACAGATGATGAAGTGGAGCTCCATGAAGCTCCACTTTTCCCTTGAAGCTGGGAAAGTTAGCAGAAAGTTGCATGATGGCAATGACTTTGATTTAGTAGACAGTGTGGAAATCCCAGTCTCGCCTTGTCAAACTCCTCTGAAGTGAAAAGCCTTAATGGGAATACCCCTTAAAGGAAGAGGTAGTGACCCACCCACCTGCGGCAATGAAGAAGAACTTCTCGGAGATGCGTCCTGACTGTCCAAAGGGAAGCAGCCCGGCTTCAGTATCAAGGTGCAGCTGCCGGCTTGCTCTCTGCAAATTTCACAGAAAGAGCCATCTAGTGGCCTGAACAACTGCGGTCCACCGGGTCTCTTGGAACCACCTTGTGTTGGGTGTTTCATGGGTCCTTTGAGGACTAAAGGGAGTTCGGTGTCTGAATCCAGCCAGACTTCAGAAGTCTGGGCACGGCTGGCTGGTCATACACGAAAAGGTGCCACTACTGCTCAGCCCCTTGAATAAGGAACTTCTCCAGTAGCAAACTGTCTACCCGAACTAGATGCCTCATGTTCGCAGGGAGGCGTCTCACTCTGTCAATCATGGCAGGAGGGGCAGGAGGAGGAGGAAACAAAGCTTTTACCTGTCAGCCAGGCAGCCGGCCTCTCTTGCTGGTTGCTCCTCTCACTTCCAAAACTCTCCTGGGTGGGACAACTCTGGCTCATAAACCTGCTGAGATAACCGCTGTGAGCCTCAGTTCCCACATCTGGGAACAGTGGGTAATACAAAAGAACAAAATCAGGTCCTTTGCAGCAACATGGATGCAGCTGGAGGCCATTATCCTAAGCAAATTAATGACGCAGGAACAGAAGACTACATACCACATGTTCTCACTTGGAATTAGGATCTAAACATTGAGTACACGTGAACATAAAGATGAAAACAGTAGGTTGAACCCGGGGGCTCACCCCTGTAATCCCAGCACTTTGGGAGGCCGAGGCAGGTGGATCACAGGAGGTCAGGAGTTCGAGAACAGCCTGGCCTACATGGTGAAACCCCGTCTCTACTAAATATACAAAAATTAGCTGGGTGTGGTGGTGCATCCCTGTAATCCCACCTACTCAGGAGGCTGAGGCAGGAGAATCTCTTGAACCCCGGAGGCAGAGGTTGCAGTGATTGGAGATCGCGCCACTGCACTCCAGCCTGGATGACAGAGACTTTGTCTGGAAAAACAAAAAGCAAAAAGGTGGTGACAGTAGACACCGAGAACTTCTAGAGGGGGACAAGGGTTAGAAAACTAACCATTGGGTACTACGCTCACTACCTGGGTGAAGTGGTCAATCATACTCCATACTTCAGCATCACACAATACACACATGCAACTAACCTGCACAGGGATCCCCAGAATCTAAAATAAAAGTTGAAATTATAAAAATAAAATAGATAAAAATAGATAACAGATGCCCAACATTGTGATAGAATCTGTTTATTGAGTTGTTGGTAGGATGGTTGTCTGTCTCATGCTATTAAAATATAAGCTCGATAGGAGCAGGCATCTGTCTGTCTTATTCACAGACATGTCCCCAGCACCTAAGATGTACTTGGCACTCAGTAAATATCTGTGAATGAATGTATGAAAAGTCGTTGTAGGAGTTCGCATGAAATGATGTGGGTAACCGCTACCTTTTATTAACTGCTAACTATTCTGAACTGTGTCTTTGCACTGGTTAAGTCAGCGTATCTTTTTAGCCCTGCGAGGTTTTGATATTATAGATAGTTTACGTAGGAGGAAAGCAAGGCTCAGAGAGGGTAAACGACTTTCCCTAGGTCACACAGCTGGGAAGTGGTAGAGCTGGATTTCAGATCCTCAAGAGTGACTCCAGGGCATACATTTATAACAACTTCATCGGACGGTGCCCATCGTGTCCTGGTAGCATATCATGATCACCATGATTTCCATGGCCTACTTCTTGCTCTGAACAGTTGGAGAACTGGACATTGGATACACTGCCTCCAAAGGGAGTGACCAGAGTTTCCTTCTGGATGATGACAGTGCACGCGAAAGTTGGTAGTGATGAGGTTTTTGCATATCCACCCTGAAACTTGGTAGAAAATGTCAGGGCCTATTGAAGTATATGGCCAAGAGGGGTACATTCCATCTTGTGAACAGCAGCTCTCAGTCCAGGCTGCAGAAATCATTTTCCAAAAGCTTGAGTGTAGGCACTGCTGTCACTTTGATTCCTGTGGCCTTCCAATCGACATTGGATGTCCTGCAGGCCATGCCAACCTCAGGCATAAACAGGAAGTGCCAGTGGGGCACCCGCAGCTTACAGAGAGCAGACCTTCAAGATGGCAGCCTCCTTCAGGAACTTGGCCAATGAAAACTTGCTCGGAAGCCCCTGTCCCCAGTAGGTTGGGCCAAGGCAAACACATGCTCATAAAGGAGATTTAGGGGGTGACAGCAGCATATTCATTTGTACCTCTGCATAGTAAAAATAATTTATTAGCAGCTTCTGGGGAAGCTCAGTTCTGAAATCACATGGATGGCAATATTAGGAGCCTATTTCTTTCTCTCTCTCCCCACCCCAAATGGTTCCGGCTTTCAGATGATAGAAATTAACTGGGTTTGTGTGTGTGTATGTGCATCTATATTTATTTATTTACAGGCGCCTCTCCTTATTTATGTCTCTGGCTCCGTGAGCATTTCCATTTCTTTAGAGGCCCTGCGGTAATGAGCTTACAAGTGAACCATTCATTACCCACTGTGGCAGGGTGTGTGTGGGGGATAGGGCCCACACAGGCAAAGGATGAGTTTGAAAACTGGGTGTTTTTCAACAGCAGGAGACCCATTTGTCTCCTTAAGTGCCCCGTCCCAGAGGACCTGGATCGGAGAATGTTGGGGAGGAAGGATGATGGTTAGGACAAGAGGGCTTCCTGGGAGTTGAATCAAGAGAGACAGAGAAGGTGTATAGGGAAATAAAACCAGGGGACAAATAGAATATTGTGGTTTGTGGCTTTCAGGAGTCAGGGGCGTGGCACCAACCTAGAAATGAATCTCAAATAACAGAGGTAGAGAATGAATCACAGGCAGCCAGGCAAGAGGACTTTACACCAGGAACCCAGGCTTTTCAGATAACTCTCTTACTTCTGGACTCCTCCCTTCCCCACCCCAGGCCAAAGATCAGCTCACTTAGTGATTGCTTTCTTCCAGGGCCTTTGGTGGAAGTGGTGTTTCCTCCTGGGGGGGACTTTAGAAACCTGTGGGGCACTGAGCCAAGCGTAGTTGTTAACAGCCCACAGGAGTAACAATGTAAGTTTATAACCATGCTGTGTGATTTGAGGCAAGTTACTTAACCTCTCTATGCCTCCATACTTTCACCTGTGAAATGTGGATACTAATTGCACCTACCCAATAGAGTTGTTCTGGGGTTTTTTGTTTGTTGATGTGTTTGTTTATTTTTGAGATGGAGTCTCCCTCTGTTGCTCAGGCTGGAGTGCAGTGGCGCAATATTGGCTCACTACAACCCCCACCTCCCAGGTCCAAGCGTTTTTCCTCCCTCAGCCTCCCGAGTAGCTGGTATTACAGGCGCACACCACCACGCCCAGCTAATTTTTGTATTTTCAGTAGAGACAGGGTTTCACCATGTTGGCCAGGCTACTCTTGAACTCTTGGGCTTAAGTAATTCCCACGCCTCAGCCTCCCAAAGTGCTGGGATTTCAGATGTGAGCCACCGTGCCCGGCCCTGCTCTGAGAGTTTTAAAGATAATCTATATAAAGTGTGTAGCTCAGTCATTAGAGTAAATGTTCACTAAGTGTTAGCTGGGATCGTTGTTATTATAAAAGGAGTTGGGCTGGTCCTCTCACCACACCTTTGCACATGCTTTGCCCTTGCCTGGAAAGCCCTTTTTTCCTTTGTCTGTCTTGCTCCTTTCTTCTCAAGATGAGGCTGGAAAACTGCTTTCTCTGTGAAGTCTCCTCCATTCTCCTTGGACCCCAGACCATGTGAGGCTCCACACCCTTGATGAAATTCAAATCCTGAGCACACCCATCCCTACACTCCCTTTTGGTCCTATATTAAAATAACTTATATTCATACTTACTTTCCTCTCTTTTCTCAGAATTCCACCAACAGCAGGAAGCATACTTTAGTTCCCCTTCCTATATCCTTTTCCCCTGCCCCATCTGTCAGGGAGTGGACACCCAAATAACATATGTGGAATGAATAAACCTGTGATTTTAACCCCAGCAGACCCAGCCCTGCTCAATGTCACAAATCTTTTAAAACATTCCTTTCACCCAACCAGAAATGAAATCCAGCCTTATTCTATCCTACTTAAACACCCACAACTCTAAAAAAGATCAATAGACTGCTAAAATAGTATGAAGAAGAAATATATGACAGCAATTTATAAACAGATAATATGTTTTATTATTTAAATGATGATGCCTGTAATCCCAGCACTTTGGGAGGCTGAGGCAGGTGGATCACTTGAGGTCAGGAGTTCCAGACCAGCCTGGCCAACATGGTGAAACGCTGTCTCTACTAAAAATACAAAAATTAGCCAGGCATGGTGACGTGCACCTGTAATTCCAGCTACTTGGGAGGCTGAGGCAGGAGAATCACTTGAACCCGGGAGGCAGAGGTTGCAGTGAGCCGAGATCATGCTACTGCGCTCCAGCCTGGACGACAGATCGAGACCCTGTCTCCAAAATAAACGAATGACTGACTGACTGACCGAATGAATGATGGGTGCAACAACATTAGCACTTCTCAATTTTTTTTTTTTTTTTTTGAGACAGATTCTCACTGTGACGCCTAGGCTGGAGTGCAGTGGCATGATCTTGGCTCACTGCAACCTCTGCCTCCCGGGTTCAAGCGATCCTTCTGCCTCAGCCTCCCGAGTAGGTGGGATTACAGGCACCCACCACTACAACTGGCTAATTTTGATATTTTCAGTAGAGACAGGGTTTCATCATGTTAGCCAGGCTGGCCTCGAACTCCTGAACTCCAGTGATCTGCCCACCTCGGACTTCCAAAGTGCTGGGATTACAGGCATGAGCCACCATGCCTGGCGTACTTCTCAATTTTTGATGTGCAGACGAATTGCTTGGGGATGCTGTTAATGTGCAGACCCTGATTCCTGTGGTCCAGGCTGGGGCCTGAGATTCTGCACATCTAACACGTTCCCAGGTGATGCAGATGTTGCTGGCCAGTGGTCCACACTTGGTTGCAAGGGGCTGGAGGATACATGAAGAGGTCAGCTACTGCGTATTGAGTCAGTGAGAATTCAGTAGTTACAAATGCAGGCGGGGAATGGATGTGTGTGTTGGTGACTCACAGCCACAGCTTGTGTGGCCTTTGATGATGTAATTTTCTGAAACTGTGGTCAAACTAAGTGATATAAAATCTCTTCTTGAGTGAAACAGTAGTTACTTTCCTAGAAAATTCAGCTATGTTAAAACCATTCATAATAATGTTGTATCATATGTAAATCTAAGTTAGGCTCCTGGCCTGGATAATTATAAATGAGTTGTTTACGCACAGGACATCTGGGGACGTTCAGAAGATGTGCAGGATGCAGGACAGCTCTTCATTGTCCAGCCACGAGTGTTCCCCTGTCCTGCTGGGTTTCTGATGTTCTCCCACCCACTCATTGCCAACAGCATCCCCCAATCATTGTGATAACTGGAAATGCCACCACACGCTTCCAGAACACCTCATTAGGGACAATGCCACCTCCATCAAACACTCTGGAATACAAGGATCTTTTGGGGTTCTGAGATCTCCGAGGCAAAGCTCAGGAGGTAGAAGGCCTCCCGGAAGAGCCTGTGTCATTGGTGGGAAGCAGTGTCACCGCGTGCAGACATGCCAGAGGGCTAAGGGGACACTGGCCGGGCCGGACAGAGCAGATGCCCCTTCTGGAGACCATGGGACCGCTACTTAGCCTCAAGACAACTGTCATGCGTAGAAATCTAAGCTCAGTGTTGTCAGGTCCCTGATGTTTCCAGAAGGGGCAGAAATCCAAAGTTTTAGATGAAATCTCTAGATTTTGAAATGTGGGCCGAGATTAAGTTAAACAAATGAAAACAGTCTACAGAGTGAACCAGACACCTGTGTGCCTGAAGGAGCCATTGGTCCCGGTTGTGGCTTCTGGCTTAAATTAAGAGACATGGCCGGGCGCAGTGGCTCAAAGCCTGTAATCTTAGCACTTTGGGAGGCCAAGGGAGGCAGATCACTTGAGGTCAGGAGTTCGAGACCAGCCTGGCCAACATGGTGAAACCGCGTCTCTACTAAAAGTACAAAAAATTAGCCGGGCATGGTGATGCGCATCTGTAATCCCAGCTACTTGGGAGGCTGAGGTGGGAGGATTTTGTTGAACCTTGGAGGCCGAGGTTGCAGTGAGCCAAGATCGTGCCACTGCACTCCAGCCTGGGTGACAAAGCGAGACTCTGTCTCAAAAAAAAAAAAAAAAAAAAAAAAAACCAACAACAAAAAATAAATTAAAAGACATGCCATCAACTCAAAGACTATCCACTGCCCAAATGAATGTGTCCCTCCTCTTCTGTGTCATCCTTCCCTAGCGGGAACCCTAACTTCTCCCGCTTTCCTCATGCAGCTGCCATTTCTCCCTGGTCACCCCAGCCAGCCTCCTCCCTCTGTCCCCTCTGGAATACCCTTCCTTGGTTAACTCTGGCCCTTTCTCCAGCCAGCTCTCTTCATACCAGCCTCTCTCCTATTCTGACTGCTCTGGCTGGATGCCAGGGTCTGTTTCTGTTGGAAAATGAGGGAAAGAAAGGCTGTTTCTGAATGGGAACAGGATTTGAGCAGCTGAGATCGGCCAGTATGGGCCCTTGAGCCCTGGTTCCCAGCAGGGGTCGGGGGTGGGAAGGTGATTTTGCCCCACTCCTACTCCAGGAGACATTTGACAATGGTCTGGAGACATTTTTGGTTGTAACAAGGGCACATGACTGGGGTCTAGTGGGTAAAGCTCACAGATGCTGCTAGATACCCTGCAATGTACAAGATAGCCCCTAAAACAAAGAGTTATCCAGCCCCAAATGTCAACAGCGCTGTCCTTGAGAAACCCTGCCTGAGAGGTACGCAGAAGGCTTTATTATTAAAGCAAGACTGGGTTGTTCACATTCTCTCTGTGCCTATCTGTGTGTGTGTCTCCCTCTCTGTCTCTCTCTCTGTGTCTCTTGCTCTGTGTCTCTCTCTGTATCTTTCTCTCTGTATCTTTCTCTCTGTGTCTCTCTCTTTGTCTCTCTGTGTCTCTCTCTCTCTGTGTCTTTCTCTGTGTGTCTCTCTCTCTGTGTCTCTACCACACCCCCTTTCTCTCTGGATCTTTGGGTATTGTGGCCATAACTGTGGAATAACGCAATGGAATGCTGCAATTAATTAGAGGCAAACTGTGTTCAAATAGTAACGAAGAAGAGGCCAGCCTTCGGGACACTTAAAAACAAACAAACAAACAAACAAACAAAAAACAGTTAGGAGGCCTCTCTCCATAGAAAAGCTCTTCTGTGTGTGAGGCATTTTGTTCCAAAACAGACATGGTTGTTGTCATTTCTGGAAGGCTCTGCTCTCTCTCCCTCTGTCCTTGGGTCTGACTTTGCAACCTCATGTTGTCTCTGGAGTCTGACTCCTGTGCGTCACTTCTGACCCTGCCTCTTACCCACCGAGTGACCTTGGGCAAGCCTGGCTCAGCCTCACTGGCCCCATTTGAAGGGGCATTCATTTTTTCTGCGGAGAGCCAGATGTTGGCTTTTCTGGGCATGTAGTCTCTGTCATAGCTACACAACTCTGCCGTCCTAGCACAAAAGCACCACCTTCAGTGTGTGCACGAATGGGCATGGCTGTGTCCTGGAAGAACTTTATTGACAAAAGCAGGTGGTAGGGTGTTTTGCTGACCCCTGACCTACTTTTTGAGATAATTTTGAGGAATGAATAGCGATGCCAAGCCACGGGCTTAGCTCCGTGCCTGGTAGGTAATCAGCACATAGTAAACAATAGCTGATGTTTGTTTCTTCTTCTCGTTCCATTTTCTCTTGCATTTCCTTCCTTTTCGTCTTTTTCTCCTCTGCCATTATTTCGCCCTCTGCTGTGTATCTCTGTACCACACAGCTGTCTCTTATGCTGATAGGGAAAGAGCCAGGAGATGCCAGTTCAGATCTTTCCCTGCCACCTGCCTGCAGTCCCTTGGGTGCTCTGAGCGCTGTGACTGTCACTGTCATGTCCCCCTGGTGGGGTTGGGAAGAGGGGAGTGGGTTAAGTCAGGGGCTGGGCTCTGAGCACGCTTTGCTGGGCTCTTTGGTTTTTACCCCAAGGACTTAGCCTTGTAGGCTTGAGGTCCAGGCTAGGTGGCCTTGGGCTGCGTCAAACATAAACAAAGCCAGACCCTATGAAAGGGGTAAGGGCACATTTAATCAGTAATGCCTGTTGCAATAGGAAAAGCATCCAGCATGGAACTGAACTCAACTTGGATTTGTTCAGAGGTGACTGGGTGTTTTAAAGAGAGAAGGAAGCAGAGTGCGGTGGCCCACGCCTGTAATCCCAGCACTTTGGGAGGCCAAGGCAGGTGGATCACGAGGTCAGGAGTTCGAGACCAGCCTGACCAACATGGTGAAATCCCATCTCTACTAAAAATACAAAAAAAATTAGCTGGGCATTGTGGCACACGCCTGTAATTCCAGCTACTCAGGAGGCTGAGGCAGGAGAATTGCTTGAACCCGGGAGGCGGAGGTTGCACTGAGCAGAGATCATGCCATTGCACTCCAGCCTAGGCAACAGAGGGAGACTCCATCTCAAAATAATGATAATAATAATAATAATAATAATAATAAAGGGAGAAGGAGAGAGGTGGGAGGGAGGGAAGGGAGATGAGCTCAGTGGACTCAGGGAAGTGAAGAATTACCAAAAGCAGGAAGGGAGGGTTGGTCTATGTGTGACTCAAATGGGTTTGCTAACTGCTGTTTATGAAGTGTGGCTCCTGCTCTCTTACAGAGGCTGGGAGATGATGCCCTGTCTAGAGGTGTTAGCTGGAACAAACAGTAAATTATTTTGGCAGCCTTGAGTTTTCTAAAGCAGTCACTTTAAGCAGGAGCTGGGGTCATCCCAGGGATGTTGCCTTGAGCTGTGAGAAACTATGTTAGTGTTTCAGGCCAGGCGTGGTAGCTCACGCTTGTAATCTCAGCACTTTAGGAAGCCAAGGATTGCCTGAGCCTAGGAGTTTGAGACCAGCCTAGGCAACATAGCAAGGTCCTGTCTCTACAAAAAATTTAAAAAGCTGGGTATAGTGGTGAAAGCCTGTGTAGTCCCAGCTACTCAGGAGGCTGAGGCAGGAGGATCGCTTGAGGTCAGGAGGTTGAGGCTGCAGTGAGTCGTGATCATACCACTGTACTCCAGCCTGGGGAACAAAATGAGACCCTGTCTCAAAAAATAAATAAATAAAAAAGAAAGAAAGAAAGAAAAAGAAAAACAACGTTAGCATTTCATTCAAGTCTTTATAGGTAAAGCTGAGAGGCCCAGTAGAAAAAGGGGGCAGAGGAGGCTGACTAGAGTTTGATCAAGGACTAACTCTTGACAGCAGGTCATTCTTCCTCCCTGAGGATGATTCAGGACTTGAGGGGCCTGGGTTCCTCTCTCTATAGGAAAGTATTTATCGGCTGGGCGCAGTGGCTCACGCCTGTAATTCCAGCACTTTGGGAGGCCAAGGCAGGCAGATCACCTGAAGTCAGGAGTTTGAGACCAGCCTGGCCAACATGGTGAAACCCTGTCTATACTAAAAATACAAAAATTAGTCGGGCATGGTGGCGGGCACCTGTAATCCGTGCTACTTGGGAAGCTGAGACAAGAGAATCGCTTGAACCCGGGAAGCGGAGGTTGCGGTGAGCCGAGATTGCACCACTGTACTCCAGCCTGGGCAACAAAGAGCGAAACTCCGTCTCAGAAAAAAAAAAAAAAAAAAAGTATTTATCACTCAACTTCGATTTCTATCTGTTCTGTGTGTGTGTATTGTGTATGGAAGTAAAATACAAATCAAAAGGCTTGGCATGTAGCAAAACAGCCTACATAAAAGAATCCTAAACTTTTAATTTTAATAATCAGTAAATATTTCTGATTGTACTTATGTATTATGTCAGTAGTTCTCAAACTTGGTCTCAGGATTGCTGTATAGTCTCAAACATTATTGAGGAACACCAAAGAGCTTTGGCTTAGGTAGGTGCTATCAATTACTTCCTATATAGTAATATTTAAACTAAGGCATTCTTAAAATGTTTATTAATTCACTTAAAAACAGTCATAATAACCTATTACTTGTGTATATAAAATATATTTATGAAAAGTATGCATATTTTTCCCCAACGAAAACAAATTTAGGAAGAAGGGAGGCACTGTTTTACATTTTTTGCAAATCTCTGTAACACCTGGCTTAATAGAAGATAGCTAGATTCTCACATTTGCTTCTGATTTCTGATGCAGTATGACGTGCAGTGGAGTTTCTGGAAAACTCCACTGTACACTCATGAGAGAGTAAGCGAGAAAGGAAAATAATGTCTTTATATTATCGTGAAAATAGTTTGTCATTAAAGATCCCCTGAGAAGGCCTCAGGGACCCCCAACAGTTCCCAGACCACACTTTAAGAACCACTTTAAGTCACCATTGCAATCATTAATTCTATTTTAATAAATTATACCTAATATTTATTAAGTTCTAGGTATTAAGTGTTTTAAATTCATTGACTCTTAATTCTCATAACAGCCTCATTAGATTGGGTACTCATTATTGTCCCCATTTTACAGAGAAGGAAACTGAGGCAGACAAAGTTAGGCACTGTGCCCTGGGCCACACAGTGAGCAAAGGCCAGGGTCCAGATTTCAACCCACTGTGCCTCAACACTCTGCCTTTCCAAAAAGTCTCAGTCTTGGCCGGGCGTGGTGGCTCACGCCTGTAATCCCAGCACTTTGGGAGGCTGAGGCGGGCGGATCATGAGGTCAGGAGATTGAGACCATCCTGGCTAACATGGTGAAACCCCGTCTCTACTAAAAAATACAAAAAATATTAGCCGGGCTTGGTGGCGGGCGCCTGTAGTCCCAGCTACTCGGGAGGCTGAGGCAGGAGAATGGCGTGAACCCGGGAGGCGGAGCTTGCGATGAGCGTGATCGCACCACTGCACTCCAGCCTGGGCGACAGAGCGAGACTCCGTCTCAAACAAACAAACAAAAGACTCAGACTTGCTCATCAAGTGACAAGGCGCTAGCTTAAAATATCATCCTGCTGCCACTTGAGTGCTTAACATGTATCAAGCCTCTCACCCAATGTTGTTTTGTTAAATAGAATTATATGTGCATGACATATTAGTTAATCCCCACCTTACATTTGCAAAGTAGGTCTTCTTACCCCCTTCTTTTGTAGATGAGAAAAATGAGGCTCTGAGAGGTTAAACCTCTTGCCCTCCGTCTCAGAGTTAAGGAGCAGAGACTGGATTCCAACCCAGCCCTATCAGTCTCACTCCTTCCTGCCTCACCCTGTGCTGTTTTGCATCCCATTAACATGATGCTACATTGCAAAGGGCTTTTTACTTAGGGTTCTGTTAAAGCAGGGCCTGCCTGCGTCCAGCGTGGTCCACGGGTTTCTAAGTGCTGGCCAGCCACCTTTTGTGCATGCAGATGAGCTGGACGAGGGGCCTCTGTTAGGTCTATTTGCATTGGCAGCCTGGGTAATTGCATGTTCTAATTGGTACAGCCACACACACTGTGCTTCCACCGTTCGCCTACCCTGGCACGGAGGTCCTTTTGGAAGCAGGTGCAGGCCTCTCCCTGTTTGTCCCTCCCAGTGGCCTTGGTAGCCTTGGTGATTGGAACGAAGCCTCGGACACTGAGTTCAACACCAAATAACTACCCAGCCGGCTGTGCGTGCACATGGCACAAAAGGAAGCCGTAAACTGATCACGATGAGCGGGTGGGCCAGGCGCCCTCATGTGTGAGCAGTGCACCTGGCTGGGGTTTCCCTTTGGCCCTGTCCCTATTCCTAATAGCTGCGGAGAGGCAGTGGGGTATTGAAAGGCATGACCTCCAGACCTAGACAGCCTGGGTTCAAATCCTGGCTCCTCTGTTTCCTAGGTGTGTGGACTTAGTCATTTAACCTCCCTGAACCTTAATGTTCCAATCTGAAAAATGGGTAGAAAATATAGCGTCTTCTTTATCAGCTCATCATGGAGATTAAATGAGTTAGTACATGCAACAGGCTTGGAACGGAACCTAAGACATACGTGTTTCTTAAGCACTTTGGACGTGTCAGGCACTATCTTCTATGCTTGATCGATTCAGTCCCTGGGAAGTAGGTGCCATCTTCGGCTCTCTGGGATGGATGAGGAAACTGAGGCAAAGAGAGGCGAAATGTTCTGTCCCAGCTTGAAGAACCCCAGCAAATGGAGAAGGGAGGAATCAAACTCACTTCTTCCTGAGTCCAGACCTCTGAATCTCAGTGTGCTGCTATAGACGATAATAGAGGGATAGGGCTGCAGACGGGATGCGCTTTGAAGCTTCCATTTTGTCCTCAGTTCCTGGTCTCTTAAGGTCCATCGAATTGTTTTAATGAGCTGAAGTGGCAGAATTTTGTTCATTGAATATATTGATTAATAACTAACTCAGAATGGTTAGTAACACACATTCGGGACACATCATTTTACAGATAAGAAAATTGGACATCAGCTAATGCAATACTAGTACCCAGGTCTTCTCCTACATAAACAATAAGAGCAAAGGTGGATAGTTTAAAAATCACGGCAACCCACCCCCACCCCTCAGAAATGGGAGCAAGGGGCCAGGATTCAGTAGACTAAGTATTGATTCATCCTGAACCAAGAGAACCTGGGAAAAATGGAAACAGACCCACGTGTCTTTGCAGCAGCAGCGTGGGTCAGGTAACCTGCTTCTCGGAGCCATATTATGTTTAGCATATTTCTACCTGATTGAAATTGACTCTAAACATGCCCAAGGTTGAATGGGAATGGAGGACATTATTGCATTTAATTATTTCTCCAGAATAAAAATGGATTCTAGCAGCAGCTTAGAGGTAAGGCAACAGCAGAGCAATTAGAGTTTTGGAGCTTGCACACAAACATTTGAATGTGCAATCATTGTAATAAGTACATTAAAATAAAGTAAGTCAAAGGGTTGCATTAGCATAAATAACTCAAGGTGAGAGAGTTGGATTGATGAAGAGTAGAGAAGATGATGCCAGTTGATCACAATTGCGAAATAATAACCCATCTGTCCTCTAGGCAGAGACTGTCAGGGGAGAGAGAGTGTTAATTGGTAGAGTTCCCCAGTCTGGTTTACTGCTCATTCTTCTTCCAGCTTTGTGTGGTGGGCATATTCTAGTAGTTTTACATACACTCTTCCTCACTGAATTACCCAAGAGGTGAGGTGTTGTTTGTTTGTTTTGAGACAGAGTCTCACTCTGTCACCCAGGCTGCAGTGCAGGGCACGATCTTGGCTCACTGCAACCTCCATCTCCTGGGTTCAAGCGATTCTCCTGCCTCAGCCTCCTGAGTAGCTGGGACTACAGGTGCGTGCCACCACGCCCAGCTAATTTTTTGTATTTTTAGTAGAGACGGGGTTTCACAGTGTTAGCCAGGATGGTCTCGATCTCCGGACTTCATGATCCGACCGCCTCAGCCTCCCAAAGTGCTGGGATTACAGGTGTGAGCCACTGTGCCCGGCCTGAGATGGATATTATTATCATCCCCATGGATACCAAGGTGTTATCATCCCAATGTTTTAAATGAGGAAACTGAGACACAGAGAGTTTGAATCACTTCATTACTAGCAGTGTAGCCTCGGTCAAGTTATTTAACCTCTCTCTATGTTAGTTTCCTCCTCTTAAGGAGTACTAATACTGTCTGTTTTGGTGAGTTTTCAAGAAGATTCAAAGGACACAGAGCATGGGCCACTTGGGTGCTGGGCATATGATGGTTATTTTTTATGGGTCTGCCTGGAGACCTCCCAAGATTGGTTTTGTGAAGGGAAGGGATCCTGGGTTTGGCTTTCTGGATCTTGAGTCTCCACAGAAAGGACAGAAAAGCCAAAATCTGTTTGCCCCTTGGCAGTCAGATGAAGAGTTAGGGGGAACATGAAGTGATATGTCATGTCCATCCTTGGATGGCTGGATAAAGAAAATGTGGCATATACACACAATGGATGTTAGCTTCAAAAAGAAGAAAATCCTGCAACATACAGCAACATGGATGAACTCTGAGGACATTATGCTAACTGAAAGAAACCAGTCACAGAAGGACAGATAGTACACGTGTTTATTCTGCTTCTATCAGCTATCGAAAATAGTCCGAATCCTAGAACCAGAGAGTGAAGTAGTAGTTGCCAGGAGTTGGGGGATTGGGGAGGAGCATGGGGAGTTGCTGATGGACAGGCATAACATCTCAATCATGCATGCACAATGAAGAAGCCATAGAGACCTGCTGTGCAGTACTATAGCCAACAATATAGTAGTACATGCAACAATATACAACAATTTGCTGTATGTTGCATATAGTACTATAGTGTTGACTATAGCTGCATAGTCAACAATAATACACACTTAAAAATTGGTTCAGAGGGTAGATCTCATGTTAAGTGTTATTATCATAGTAGTCCCAGCACTTTTGGAGGTTGATGTGGGTGGATCACCTGAGGTCAGGAGTTCGAGACCAGCCTGGCCAACATGGTGAAAACCCGTCTCTACTAAAAATACAAAAATTAGCCGGGCGTGGTAGCACACACCTGTAATCCCAGCTACTCAGGAGGCTGAGGCAGGAGAATCACTTGAACCTGGGAGGCGGAGGTTACAGTGAGCCAAGATGGCGCCGTTGCACTCCAGCCTAGGTGACAAGAGTGAAACTCCATCTCAAAAAAGAAAAGAAAAGAAAAAAATGAATTGAAGGGGGGAAGCCAGAGAGAACGCCGCAGTCACTATAGAAAATGACAGTGACTCTGAGGGACAGAAATTCTCAGGCCTCCAATTCTCGCTGACTGCGCCTCTCTCTGACTTTTCTGGAAGCGATCTAGTATCTGTGAGCCCTTTTGTTCCAGAAGACAAAATATTTTCCTTCCCTCTTATACTCAAATCTTTTGGGTTCCCATGGCAGCTGAGTAGCATCTGGGGCCAGGCAGAAGTTCACAGGGCCACCACAAGCTAATCATCGCCATTGTGGTGGCCTGTCTTGAGTAGAGAGCGGGTATTAATCATGAGTCCCATCAGAATCAATGGTGGTGCCTCTTCCTGATATTACACATTAGCCAGAGGAATTGGCCATTCTCTGATTGTCAGATTAGCTTCATTGGCCGTGGGGGGTGGAGGGAGATGATCGCAGTGTTTTCTGTCTGGTTTTGCTTGGCAAAGTTCAGCCAGAAAGTGATGGAGAACAGGAGCTTTTGAAATGGGGGTTTGTGGAGGTTTTCTGTTGTGTGGCGGGGAAACTTGCTGATAACAAGGAAAGAGAAGGGCCCCAGAATGACACTTAGGATATGTCTGAAGAGAGAAAACGAAGATGTCCATCAGGGCAGTAGCTCTTCTGGCTTACTCCCTGCCCTTTAGACATTTCTAGAAACTTCTAGAAAATGGGCTTAGGGACAGAATTTAAATTTATGTTCTTGGAGCATGGGAGTCGTCAATAGATGTTTCTGTCTGTTGGAGGGAGAAAAAAATTGGCTCCTGTACCTGACTCAGCTCAAAGGAAGAAAGGAGATCAGGTTAGCTCCTGGATTAATCGGGATGAGTTAGACCATGCTACAGTAACACAGATCCCCCAAATCTCAGTGACTCAAAGCAGCAGGGGTCAATTTCTGCACACTGAGGGTTGGTAGAGTCTCTACTCCACATGGGCCTCACTCAGGGATGCATGACCTCCACCAGCAGGAGTGTGGCTGGATATTGTGGTATCCAGGGAATGACACCTTATGGGTTCCAGTCACTGCTCTTGGCCATAGCATGTTTCCTGTCTGTGCCTAATATACAAGGGATAGGGACATACAATCCTAACACATCCCTAGAAGGAATGGAACAGAAATGATTTTTCATAGCTTTATTGAATGCCACCCCTGCCCCATCAGCTCCATCCCGACAGACGCTAATATGAGCAAAGATGGTGATACCCATTATTCCACTGCAGGGGAACTGAATGCTTCTTGATTTACTTCTCAGCAAAACACAAGAGGCGTGATACAATAGCAGATTTTAGAATCAGGCAGATGCAAGTTCGCTGCCTCCCCAACATGAATTTGTGCAAATTACTCGACATCCCCAACCTTATTTTCCACCCTTTTCTGTAAGGTGGGCGAACAGTAGTGCCTACGTTGGAAATTATTTCCAGGAGTTAAGTGAGGTACTGCATCCAAGGGCTTAGCATGGCACCTAGCACGTGATCCATAGTGAAGAATGTATCACAACAAGCGTTGGCTCCTCGTTCTATAAAATGGCAAGATAAATACATCCAATTGTCAGTACCCTATAAGTAATACCTGTGAATAACTTACTGTGGTGCCTGGCTCATGGTAAGAGCTCAGAAAATGCGCCTGAGAGGCTGCTTGGGACTCTTCAAGGGCCTCTGGATAGAAAAAAAGGGAAAAGAGGAACATCAGCAGGTTTTGTTTAGGTTACAAGAATAAAGATGTACTCTAGGTACCAACTGAAGGGGATTTTTTTTGTAGGTATCTGTGGAGAATAAGAAAGACCAGAAGCAGAAGGCCCTCATTTATAGGTCAGGATATAAAAGCAGTTCCTGTGTACAACCAGTAGCCGCCCTGTGACCCAATATGGACTGGTCAGCTGTTTTTTTCTTGGTTCTTTTTCCTTCTTCCTACCTTGTTACCTCCCAGCTCCTGCAGCCTCAGACTCCACGTGCTTCGTGGCTGCTGCTTACTGTCTCTATATGACTTCCTGCAACACAATAGGCCACTAGCCAGCCTGAAGATTGCAATTTGGAGGTCACACACCTCTAGCAGATTCATTTAGCTGGGTGGGAGGGGCCAGATCTTGTGGTTCAGTGTCAGCTTGCAGTACTTAAGGGTTTTGGGTGATGGGTGTAATAAGGATCATACAATTTCTTGGAAGTGGATCATGTCCCTGGTAGCCCAGAGTGTGGGGTCTGTGATCTGCCTGGTTTGAATTCCAGCTTCACCGCCAACTAGCTGGGTGACCCTGGGCAAGTCACTTGTTCATGGGTGCTTAGTTTCCCATCTGCAAAATGAAAGTCATAGCAGTACTCAGCTTACAGAATGGCCACAAGGTGTCTTAGTGTCAGAGCCTCCAACAAATAGGAGAAATTCGTGCTTACTGCTAGGAGCAATGGAGCAGAGGCTAGAGGAGCATCTTTTTTTTTTTTTTTTTTTTTTGAGAGCCAGTTTCACTCTCCCCCCAGGCTGGAATACATTGGTGCAATCTCAGCTCACTGCAACCTCCGCCTCCCAGGTTCAAGCAATTCTCCTGCCTCAGATTTCTGAGTTAGCTGAGACTACAGGTGTGCACCACCACCCCTAGCTATTTTTTGTGTGTGTGTGTTATTGGTAGAGATGGGGTTTTGCCATGTTGACCAGGCTGGTCTCAAACTCCTCACCTCAAGTGATTCACCTGCCTCGGCCTCCCAAAGTACTGGGATTACAGGTGTGAGCCACCACGCCCAGTCCTAGGGGCACCTTCTTCTCCAGGCCATCACTAAGTCGTATATGGATGGTGAGGACAGAAGCAACTAACCCAGTCCCAGAGGAGGAGGCCTTTTAACTCACACTCCAGCAGAGCAGGGGTCTGCATACATTTTCTTAAAGGGCTGGATAGAAATATTTTAAGCTTTTCAGACCAGAAAGTTTCTATTGCAACTATTCACTCTGCTATTGTATCAGGAAAGCAGCCATGGACAATACACAAATGGACAGGTATGGCTGTGTTTCAATAAAACTTTATTTATAAAAAACACAGGCAGTTGTTTGCTGACCTGCTGGGGTGGGAGCCTTGCTGAGGGTCAGCTGCTCTTGGGTACCCCTGCAGATCCGCTGTTCAGGCCCCGACACCTTTTTCCTTGGGAACTGGTAAGAGGCATATTTCAGCCCTCCTTAAAAGGAGGACTAGCAGGGATGCCGCCCATTGCCCCTGTGTTTCCATAGCAACAAGGGCAGCTATATGGAGCCATTACTCTTCTCTGTGGCTTCAGAGGTCAGGGGCCGTGTTGTAGGACATTGGATATGCTTTCAGATTAAGGCCTTGGGAATGAGCTTTAAGCAGAAGCAACATGTTGCAGAAACAATTTGGGGCATTGGTTGAATGATGCATTTGATCATTCGACTGATCAAAGTAACCAGGACCCATTTACCCATGGAGGAGCTGAGTTTGGGGTCCAGCCCTTCTGGAAACATCCATGCCATGCGTGGTCTCCAGAATGACTCCTGATCTTTGTCTTGACCCCAAATGACTTCATCACTTCTGTTCCATGTACACACATGAAGAGCCAAACTCAAGCACAAGAGTGTCGCAAGTTTGCTTTGCTCCAGGACTTAGTGTAAAGTTTATTCTACAAGGGCTGCATTCCTCTTAAAAAAAAAAAAAAAAAATTGCGGCTGGTTTCTTTCCCACAGAATTTACAACGGCTCAGTCTGATTTCTCTTATGGGCATAGATATATGAGCATGTCCTAAAGGCAATGGAATGTATGTAATATCCTACCAATATTTTTCCCTTTATAACTTTATTATATCATTTCCAGCCCTTAAGTAAACCATCACAGCACTTTCAGCTGGAATTTAAACGGGACGCTGGAACAAAATGTTTGTTACCCAGTGGCAAAGACAGTCAAGGAAAGAAACTGACTTGAAAAGGTGTGGTTAATAAGAAGCATTGAGAATCGTAGTCATGGCACTTTAGAGCTTGAAAAAGCCTTGGTTTCTGGTTGGAACATCTCCTATTTCCAGATGGGGAAACTGAGGTCCAGAGAGAGCCATCTTACCAGAGGTTAAACCAGTAGCAAAAGTAGGATGTGAAACTATGGCCCCGGCTTCCAAGTCCGTATGACTCACTCTTCAAAGGCCAGTCTGCTTAGCATGATCTCTCAGTCAAGTTTCTCTTCTGTTTCTCTCCCCTCTTCTCCAGGATGGCTACTTTTCTCATCGGCCGAAAGAGAAAGTGCGAACAGACAGCAACAACGAGAACTCTGTCCCCAAAGACTTTGAGAATGTCGACAACAGCAACTTCGCACCCAGGACTCAAAAGCAGAAGCACCAGCCTGAGTTGGCGAAGAAGCCACCGAGTAGACAGAAGGAGCTTTTGAAAAGGAAGCTGGAACAGCAGGAGAAAGGAAAAGGACATACATTCCCTGGGAAAGGCCCCGGTGAGGTGCTGCCTCCCGGGGACAGAGCCGCAGCCAACAGCAGCCACGGGAAGGATGTGTCCAGACCGCCTCATGCCAGGAAAACTGGGGGCAGCTCCCCCGAGACCAAGTATGACCAGCCCCCTAAGTGTGACATCTCAGGCAAGGAGGCCATCTCTGCCCTGTCCCGTGCTAAGTCCAAGCACTGCCGCCAGGAGATTGGGGAGACTTACTGCCGCCACAAGTTAGGGCTGCTGATGCCTGAGAAGGTGACTCGGTTCTGCCC
Organism: Homo sapiens; assembly: GCF_000001405.40. Classification (NCBI taxonomy): domain Eukaryota; kingdom Metazoa; phylum Chordata; class Mammalia; order Primates; family Hominidae; genus Homo; species Homo sapiens. Next base: position 17,258,995 of record NC_000016.10, on the reverse strand, counting down.
CCTCGAGGGTAAGTTCCAACCCCGCTGGCTCAGAGAGGGATCTCCTGGCCACTTCCTCCTCCTGCCCAGCCCCATTCTGCTCACCTTCTCAGACCTTCTGAGAAAGGCCACCCTGTTTTCCAAACCCCAGATGAGCACACGAGATCTGATGTGTTCTAGTACTCCCTGAGTGTTGAAGTCTTGTATCAGAAAAATTTTGCAAAATCAGATTACCTTTTGTAGGTGCTTTAACCCATTGCCTTTATGGCAAAGGATGAAATTATAGTGAAATCGGGAGCTGATGTGATGCTGGCAGGAGCCAAGGGAGCTGTATTGATATGGTTTCGTTTCTCTTTCAGTAGAATATTGGGATTAGAATTGATATGAATATTATTGTAATTGATTATGATTTGAGAGGTTTCTAATTGGTTGCATTAACTTCAGAGGCTCTGTAACTTTCCGTTTTCCTTCATCAAAAGTTTCTTTCCCTCTTCTCTTCTCTTTCTTCCTCATATGTTTCCTGTTTCCCTCCTTCTTTCCTTCTCATTCCTTTATTTTCTTTCTCCCTTTTTCCTCCCTTCCTTCCTCATTTTCTTCCTGGTTTGTTTCTCCCTTTCCTTTTCTTCCCTCTTCTCATTCCCTTCCTTATTTTCCTCTCTTCCCCCTTCCTTCTTTCCTATTTCCTTTCTTCCTTATTTTAATTTTCTTTCTCTCTCCTTTCCTCTTTTCTTCCTATTTTCTTTCTTCCCTTCTACATTCCTTCCTGCTTTCTGTCCTCTTCTTTCCTAATTTTTCTCTCCTCCCTCCCTCCTTTCTTCTTTTCCTTCCTTCATTCTTTACTTCCTTCCTTCCTTCCTTCTTTCCACCTTTCCTTGCTCTTTGCTTTTCCCCTCCCTCTTTCCCTTCACTGGCACTCTTTTATGTGCGGATGACCTGATGATAAACCAGCTCTCTTGCTGAGACACGGAGGGATCCAAGCTCTGATCCAGAAATTCACAGGCAGAGTGGAGGGGCCATCTGAAGATGGGGAGTCCAGTTTCACTAGCGCATGTGCAATCGTGCCATTGATGTGTATTTCTTGGTAGTGATTTTCACCTTCTCTAGTGCCCTTGGAAGGGGAATGACAGCAGCCACAGGGGGCTGCTGAGGCTTCGCTGTGTGCTAGACACCGCACCAGGCTCTGTGCAGTCAATTTGTTTATCACATCCAACACTCTCTGAGGCTGATGCTGATGTCATGAGCCCAATTTTTTTCAGATGAGAGATGTAAAATCCCTCTCCCAAGGTCACATGGCCTTTAAGTGATCTTACAAGCTTACTGTTATGGCAGGAAATTTCGGACCCACTCAGAGTAGAGAGAACCCCAATGTACCATCACCCAGCCACGTGGTCGCTGTTTATTGACTCGTGGTCACTGTTGTTTAGGGCACGCCCCCTTCCCTCCCGCTAGCCCCTGCCACCATAGCTTACGATAATCCAGCCTCTGGGAGCACTCTTAAATTTTACTTTTTTCCTTGGAGAAGATATTCTCAAAATGTTTGTGAATTCGTTTGCTCAGTGGTTTTCTCTGTGGAGAGGGCGGATAGCATCCAAAAGGCACCTTCCCACGAAGAGTTGGTGCCACTAGCAACAAACAGAGAGGAATGCATTTGAAATAAACGGGTGTGGATTTCATTCAAGCTCAGCTACCAGCTAACAGGGAGAGTCCTTTCTGCTCTCAGGGCCTAGATTTCTTATCTGTCCAGGGAGCAGCTTGCATTCTAGGGGTCTTTTTGCTCCACCTTCCCTGGGAGCCTACTTCACTCTTTACTCCTGGCCATCCCTCCTTCTCATTGGGCCACACTGCAAGGCCAGCCCAGCTGTCCCTCACAAAGTGGCCAAAGGTTCACAGTACCCCCTTGTCGCTTCTAAATCCAAATACCAACCCCTGCTTTTGTTATCTCCGAAGGGAAAAGACCCTTAAATGAGCACGGAGGCCAGCAAGGAGGCAACAGAGAGCTCTGGGGGCTCCGATGGGGTTGGGGGCATGTCAGAGTCGAGCTAGATGGAGATTGGGGAGGTGTCAGGGTCAACAGATGCAGCTGGAAGGGATCCACTGAGGTGCTGCTCAATGTCAAGGCATAAAGTCAGAGAATCAAGCCAGCTGCAGAATTGGGGAGGAAGGGCTTTCCGTTCCACCGGCATCGGTGCATCCGGGAGCCATGCAAGGCTTTGCCTGGTGTCCTCCTGAGAAGGCAAATGGTCAATTCACCCAACTCTCTTGATGAAGAAAGGAAGTGCAGCAAGAGAATGGCTCCCCAGAAAAGTAGACTAAAAAGACCTCTTAAGAGAACTCTTCATTCGCTACTCTTTTTTTTGTTTTTTTTTTCGAGACGGAGTCTCACTCTGTCATCATGCTGGAGTGCAGTGGCATGATCTCGGCTCACTGCAACCTCCACCTCCCAGGTTCAAGCAGTTCCCTGCCTCAGCCTCCCGAGTAACTGGGATTACAGGCGCCCGCCATCACACCCAGCTAATTTTTGTATTTTTAGTAGAGACAGGGTTTCACCATCTTGGCCAGGCTGGTCTTGAACTCCTGACCTAGTGATCCACCCGCCTCGGCCCCCCAAAGTGCTGGGATTACAGGGGTGAGCCACCGCGCCTGGTGAGAACTCTTCATTCGATTCCCTGGACAGATAAGAACATGAGGCTCATAGAGGGGAGGAGACTTATGCCAGGTCCCCCAGTTAATTAGAGGTGTTTTTCATTTTAAATATGTGCCTCTGTGTTTACCACTGGTCACAGAATAGAGGATTTAGATCAAATAGGAGGTGGCCACCTACACTCATTGCACAGAAAGAGGGCTGGATGGATAGACAGCAAACCTTCCTTATGGCCCCCCCATCTGCAGGGACAGGGTGGCAGCAGGGACAACTTTAACAAGTGCATCTATATTATTTTAGTTTCTAGTAGCAAGCATGTGTCTGTGCAATACTTTTGTTTTCTATCTGTTTTGTTTTGTTTTGTTTTTTTGAGACAGTCTCGCTCTGTCGCCCAGGCTGGAGTGCAGTGGTGCCATCTTAGATCACTGCAACCTTCAACTCTTAGGTTCAAGTGATTCTCCTGCCTTAGCCTCCCGAGTAGCTGAGATTACAGGTGCCTGCCACCTCTCCTGGATAATTTTTGTATTTTTAGTAGAGGTGGGGTTTCACCATGTTGGCCCCGTTGGTCTCAAACTCCTGACCTCAAATGATCCACACACCTCGGCCTCCCAAAGTGCTGGGATTACAGGCATGAGCCACAGTGCCTGGCCTACACGATACTTTTAAATAGAAAGATTTAGAAAGAAAAGCTTCCTTTCTGCCTTGCTGTTTCACCCTTGTCTAAGTGGTCGAGGTGGTTCCTGTCTATATTCTTGATTAGATTTGGCACACAGAGTGTAGCAATAATTAAGTGGAGTGCAACGTTTCCAGCATCTTTTGTTAACCTGTGCCTGGTGGAGAAGTTTTGGAGGCCTGAGTTGAATGCCATTCCATGAACGAAATATTGAGCTCCTTCTGTATATCAGAGACAGCACATTTGTTCTGTGAAGGGCCAGATCTTAGGCATTTGAGGATTTGGGGGCCAGTCTTTGTCACAGCTATTCAAGTCTGCCATCCGTCATAGGGCAGAAGCAGCCAGAGACCACACATACACAAATGCGCTATGTTCCCATTAAACCTAACTTATAAAAATAGGCTGGCTGGGTGTGGTGGTTCATGCCTGTAATCCCAGCACTTTGGGAGACTGAGGTAGGCAGATCATTTGAGATCAGGAGTTCGAGACCAGCCTGGCCAACATGGCGAAACCTCATCTCTACTAAAAATACAAAAAAATTAGCTGGGCATGGTGGTGTGCACCTGTAATCCCAGCTACTCTAGAGGCTGAGGCAGGAGAATTGCTTGAACCCAAGGGGCAGAGGTTGCAGTGAGCTGAGATCATGCCACTGCCCTCCAGCCTGGGCAACAGAGCAAGACTCCATCTCAAAAAAAAAAAAAAAAAAGAAAAAGAAAAAAAGGAAAAAGAAAGAATAGGCCATGGGCCGGATTTGGCCCTTGGGCTTTTAGTTTTCTTAACCCTGCAAAATGCTATCACTGTCTATAGTTGACCCTTGAAGAATTCTGGGGTTAGGGGTGCCAACCTCCTTGCAGTCAAAAAATAGAGCACAACTTTTGACTCCCTGAAAACCTTAACTGATAATAGCCTGTGTTGACTGAAAGCTTACTGGTAACATAAACAGTTGATAAACACATATTTTATATGTTACTTCCATTATTTACTGTATTCTTATAATAAAGTAAGCTAGGCCAGGCACGGTGGCTCATGCCTGTAATCCCAGCACTTTGGGAGGCCGAGGCAGGTGGATCACCCGAGGTCATCAGTTCAAGACCAGCCTGGGCCACATGGTAAAACCCTGTCTCTACTGAAAATACAAAACTTAGCTGGGTGTGGTGGCGCATGCCTGTAATCCCAGCTACTCGGGAGGCTGAGGCAGGAGAATCGCTTAAGCTTGGGAGGTGGAGGCTGCAGTGAGCTGAGATTGTGCCATTGCACTCCAGCCTAGGCAACAGGGCGGGACTCTGTCAACAAAAAATTGTAAATAAATAAATAAATGTAAGTAAGCTAGAGAAAAGAAGTTAAGAAAATCATAAGGAGGAGAAAGTATATTTACTGTTCATTAAGTGGAAGTGGATCATCATAAAGGCCTTCATCCTTGTCTTTATGTTGAGTTGAGGAAAAGGAGGAGAAGAAGGAGGAGAGGTTGGTATTACTGCTGTCTCAGGGATGGCAGGAGGGAAGAAAATCTGTTTATAAATGGACCCGTGTGGTTCAAACCTGTGCTGTTCAAGGGTCACCTGTGCTAATATGTGCAACACTGCCTTGTCACACTGTGTCCCCACACCAGCCCTACAGGCTGAGTCTATTGTGAACCCTTTTTGTCAGTGAGGAAATCGAGGCTCAAGGAAGGGGAGTCCTTGGCCAGAAACACATGGCCAGCAGATGACAGAGCTGGTACTGGAACTCATGTTACAGAGCCTGTATCCCTTTCCATAAGCCTGTCCCTCTTGGGGAGGCAGAAGGGTCACTTTATCTCACATTGTCAAGCCCCAGAGGTGTTCTTCCACCTGCAGGCTCGCTCTCTCTCTCTCTCTCTCTCTCTCTCTCTCTCTCTCTCAAGTTGCAAGGGAGAAGAAGGCAGGGCATTATTGGGAAGCCAGGGGTGCTGATGCTGTCAGTGCTTAAGAGCCTGGGGTGGTGGAGGCAGACCACGTGGATCTGAATCCCAGGTGTCCCGTGCACAAGCTGTAGGACTTTGGGCAAGTTGCTTGACCTCTCTGTGCCTCAGTTTCTCCATCTGTAAAGGGGAGATGAGCATCATCACACTTAGCTTAGAGGGTTTCCAAGGGCCTAGTACACAGCTAAGAACTGTACCTGGTAGTGCTAATGTACATTGCATCCCTATTTGCTTTATGACTGCTCCACAGTTGTTCAAAAAAATCAGAACCTCAGCATCTTAGGCCAGGGGTTCCTGCACTTCTCCTGGTCATGCTGAGGTTATCTCCGGATGGCTTTGCAGTGTGAGTTTGCCGGAGTTTGTCCTGAGGCCTTTAGTGCACTGGCCAGGATAGCGCACCCTCCCAGGACCTGTGAGCTGGTTAATAAGATTGGCATTTAAAAGCCATTGCACACCCAGCCTCAGCGACGCTTTAATTTGCTACACCACAGACTCCCCCATTTGCAATAAATTTACTGTGAATAGACTAATTGCAAAATAACCCTAATTGGGTAGTTATCAATGAACAACTTCCCATGGAACAAAACGGCTTACAATTAATAGCATTTAAGCCATAAACTATTCTTCTGCAGAAAGCTAAGATGTAATTACACCCCATACGGGGATTGTGTTCCCTTTCTGGAAACCATGACACCCAGATTTCCCTCTGCTTAGGAGGGATTTGAGCTTCAGCCCAGTGGTCCTTTTATTTCTTTGCTAAATGAGGAGATGGAGACAGGGGTGGAGGGAAATTTAATATATGAGTAAATATTCATATACATATAAGCATACACACAGATGGATGCCCTGTGTTTCTCATTTTGCTTTACGCAACATCACCTAAACTTCAGCCAAGAGTGTGCTGGAAGTTGAATATAATTAAGGAAACAATTCCTCATGGCTGCAAGTCTGAAAAATTCAGGGGAAGAGAAATAGATTTTAAATGTTGACTTTGGTACAGCGCCCCCACTCCTCCTGTCCCTCACGCTCTCTGTCCCCTCACCCCACCACCACTCAGGGAAAATGTCGAGTCCAGAAGCCCAGGAGATGGTTTGCTTTCTGTGAGACATTCCTTGCTCTCGGGACTTTTCTCCTTTACTTTCCAGAGAAAAGGGATTTAGAAGGAAGCCCCAGCTCCATCCCTTTTCGGTGACAGCTGTTTTCACGAGGGGAAGAGGGATTCCTCTGGCTGTCCACTGGCAACCGTGCAGAGGGAGATGCAGTGAGGTGTGGGGAAGGGACTCTGCTGCATCACCCCCAGTGATGGCCTCCGAGAAATTTGTTTTGAGCCACACACCCTAGGGTCTCTGGTCATTCAACTGGAACCCCTAGTGTTTCAGGGCAATGAACCAGGTCAGATTGAAAGTCAAGGACAGCTTGGGCAATGGGGTTTAATTCCTGGCTCTGCCGTTACTCATGACATAACCCTAACCGCTCAGTGACTCAGTCTGCACAGTAAAATGGACACAAAAACTCATCTTCTGTCTTTATAGCGTGGTTGGCTGAAATGAGACAATGCATATAAAATGCTGAGTGCACTGGGGAAGTTAAGTGGATGTGCTTGGCTTGTTAGTATTACCACAATGACTTTTTTTTTTCTGCAATTACTTTTGCACCAACCTAATCGTCGCAATGGAGGAGTTGTCTAAATGAAGGGGCGACAAGAAGAGGAAAGGAGAGGAGAGGAAAAGGGTTTCTTTGATGGTGTCAGCCATTGTGCAGCCACGTCTTGCTGGGTCTGCTCTTCAGACACAGCCCCAGTAGCTTCCAGTCCTCCCCAGCCCCCTCCCTGTCCCCACAACTCCCACTCACCCCACTTTGGCTGTTACCTCTTGCCTCTGGAGATCCCACCCTGAATGCGCTTCCTCTGGGAAGCCTTCCAGGACCACCTCTTCCCCAGAAGCCCTGGTTGCAGGGAACACATGGATCCTGGGTGAAGGGTGCATCTCTGCCCCTTTCATTGTCAAAGCATCTTTTCCAATAAAGGCTGTTTCACCTGCGACCCATAGGAGGCAATCTGTGCCAGCTGCCAGGTGACACAGCTTTTTCTGCCTCATTACATTTTGAACACCTGCATGTCAGGAAGCGCCCTCCGTGCAGTGGCCCTCACGGCCACCAGCCTCTCTGTGTCTTGAGTTAAAATGTCCCAAGAAAGGCCCTGCTGGCTCCTTGCGTTGCTCCTGCATTTCTTCCCCTTTGCTGGGTCTGGTTAAGCCACCACATAGATGCTGTAAGTGACCTGTGGGTCTGCAGTCTAGACATCCAGGTGAAGAATTAGAAATGAAAAATGTGAGAAGTTCCAGGGAAGATGATTGGCTGGGAGCTGGGTGGGTTGGACTTGAGTGGGGAACCCCGGTCTGGGCATCTGAGTGAAGTCGGCAGTTCTCCAATGGGTGATGGGCAAAGGAAATTGCGCATGACTGGGGAAGCTGGCACAGGTGTTAGGGGTGAGGATGAACAGAAGGGGGTTCTTTGTGGCAGCAACAAACCGTCTTTACCCATCAGCCTTTGCAGGAATGGATTTTTGGATATGGGGATTCTGGGGGGAAGGCTGGCCGCTCGCTGCAGAGAGAGACTGGCAGATGATACTGCCAGCTGCTTAAGGGCAGTCTCTTCTACATCCCTCCTGCCCTGGGGGCAGTGGGGTAACTACACAGCGTGAGTAGCCGGCTTCTAGAAAGCGTAGCTGACAGCCGCAGTGGAGGGAAAATAGAACTGGGGATGTCACAAGTGGTCCCAGGTAAATACCTCAGTTTCCCCATTTGTCAGCCAGAGATACTACTTTCTCCCAGATCCTTTGCTGTATCACCAATGATGAGAAAATGAGGGAATAGCTGTGAAAAGTTAAAAGGTACCACGCTAATGAGGGTGATGTGATGAAGCCACATTGACCAGGAACAGCTTGGCTAAGTGGGTGGGGTTGACGGGCTTTCCCAAGGCGGCCCTTGCAGTTCCAACTGGGCCCTTTGGCATCTCCTTCTGAGGAGCCCAGGAAGGAAGAGGTATCCAGTAACAGTTCATTGGAGTTGGACAAAACTAGTCCCAAAGGTCTTCCTTGGGCTTGCTGGGGAAAGGCAAGAGACTGGCAAATCCAGAGAACATCAGAAGACCCATTCATTGGTCAGCCACCACATTCAAGGCTGTGCTCCAGGACAGGGCCTCACACACACAGTTTCTATAAAGGGCCAGATCATAAATATTTGGGACTTTGTAAAATGCATGGTCTCTGTCTCAGCTATTCAACTTTACCATTGTAGCGTGAAAGCTGCCATAAACAACACATCAACAAATGACCATTGTGGGCATGCTTCAGTTCAAGTCATTTATGGTCACCGAAATGTGAGTTTCACATAATTTTCACTTGTTGTGAAATGCTGTTCTACTTCTGATTTGTTTTCTACCCACTTAAGATGTCAACCCATTCTTAGCTCAAGGGCCATGCCAAAATAGATAGTTACAGGCTGTGGTTTGCCAATCCTTGTTCTAGGACCTGGAGTTAGAGCTGTGAACAAGAGCAGAGAACACCTTGTGCCACTTGAGTACCATGTCCATTGGTTCTGGAAATCAATTGGGCGTCTAGATGGCTGTACCCTCATGGAGCTTCTACCTGAATAGGAGAGACCAGAGGTGACAAGTGAATAGCCACATCTGCAATCTAATGTCTGGATATGACTCTATGATTTATTTGAAGACGTTGAGCAGGATGAGAGGACAGGTGAGGTGGGGAACCATTTAGATAGGTGCCTACAGGCTGTGTGTGGTGGCTCACGCCTGTGATCTCAGCACTTTGGGAGGCCAAGGTGGGTGCATTGCTTGATGCCAGGAGTTTGAGACCAGCCTGGCCACCATGGAGAAACACCATCTCTACTAAAACAAAACAAAACAAAAGTTAGCCAGGTGTGGTGGCACATGTCTGTAATCCCGGCTACTCAAGAGGCTGAGGCATGAGAATTGCTTCAACCCGGGAGGTCAAGGTTGCAGTGAGCTGAGATCACACCACTGCACTCCAACCTGGGTGGCACAGCAAGACTTTATCTCAAAACAAACAAACAAACAAACAAACAAACAAACAAAAAAACTACATAGGTGCCTAGAGAAGGAACAGAAATAGATTTGGTCTCATTGTGGAAGAACTTGCTAAGAATTAAGCTGCTTGCAAATGGAACAGTTCCTAGTCTTTGGATATGCTGAATTCCTTTATTCATTTAATATTTATTGAGAGGCTGCTTTGTGCCTGACATTGGTTTAGATGGTGGGGAAAGACTTGCCAGGGGCCTGATCGTACTCATCTTTGAATATCTCGTGCTTGGCACATCATAATCCTCAGTCTTGCCCTCACTGGGAAAGAAGATAACGTGGTTGCTTTTAGCCTCAGTGGCTCAACCTCCCTTCACACTGGGGTCTCTACAGAGGCCTGTGTGCACCAAGCAAAGCAATGGAAATGGGCATCTAGAATCTCTGTGGAGGTGGTATTCTGAGCATGGCATCCACCACCTGGGACCTGAAACTGTTTGTCACCAGCTCCCTTCAATATACCCTCATTCAACAATTAGTCATCGAGCATCCCCTGTCTATGCCAGGAACTAGTTTGGATGGATTCATTTGGGAGGAAAGCAGATAGAATCCCCGTCCTCAGGGAGCTTGTGGCCTGTTAAAGTTGGGTAGGGAAACACAGGGGTAAACGATCATTAAAATGTGCACGTAGGCCAGGTGCGGTGGCTCATGCCTGTAATAACAGCACTTTGGGAGGCAGGTGGATCGCTTGAGGTCAGGAGTTTGATACCAGCCTAGCCAACATAGTGAAACCCCATCTCTCCTAAAAATACAAAAATTACCTGGGTGCCAGCTACTCAGGAGGCTAAGGCATGAGAATTGCTTTAGCCCGGGAGGAGGAGGTTGCAGTGAGCTGAGATTGCACCATTGCACTCCAGCCTGGATGACAGAGCGAGACTCCATCTCAAAAAAAAAAAAAAAAAAAATTCACATGTAAAATTGCAACAGCAATTCTGGGGAGTTGCATAGTTGTGTTTTATAGTTGAGCTAAGAGATGAAGGGTGGTGAAAGTTAACTAGAGGAAAAGCTGGAGGGGGACATTCCAGGTCAAGGGAGTATCGTGTGCAAAGGCCCTCGGGTAGGCAGAGGTGTTGATAGTTTAAAACACTCACAAGACCAACAGGGGAGCTCTTCCTATAAGCAAAAAGGTTAATCTGCTCGTAGGCCAAGTTGTAATTCCTAAAAGTGCTAGGTTTAGAGGATCTGTGTCTTTGCTTTGAGCAAGGAGAATGGAGGTAGAGGCATCTCTCAGTACTGAACTGAAATTGCCAGAGACCTGAGGGGAAGGTAGGCCCCCCTGTATTAGTCTGTTCTCATGCTGCTGATAAAGACTTACTTGAGACTGGGTAATTTATAAAGAAAAATAGGTTTAATGGACTCACAGTTCCATGTGGCCGAGGAGGCCTCAAAATCATGGCGGAAGGCAAAAGACATCTTATAGTGTGGCAGGCAAGAGAAAGAGCTTGTGCAGGGAGATTCCTCTTTATAAAACCATCTGATCTCATGAGACTTATTCACTATCACGAGAACAGCAAGGGAAAAACTCACCCCCATGATTCAGTTACCTCCCACCAGGTTCCTCCCATGACACATGGGAATTATGGGAGCTACAATTTAAGATTTGGGTGGGGACACAGCCAAACTATATCAGCCCCAAAGGTAAGGGTCTGGCAGGCTGGGACTGGGGGGCAGGTCTCACATCCTCTCTCTACAGAATCATGCTTCTTCCACTTTTGAGCCCTGAACAAGAGGTCATCTTGGATCAGGAAAGCAACCCCTGCCCCCAAGTTCTTAGCCCTGGATTTAGGGTACACATCTTTGGGAGGTCTTTCCTCCTCTTACAGTGCTGTTTCTCATGACATCCAAGCCATGGAAGGAAATCCTCAGTGCCTCCAGCAATGTCATAGACTCAGTGTCCTGGGCTGTTTCACTATCATTGACCTGACCCTGGATTAGGAGAAGCCTTTGAACCAAACTCAAAAGACTTGCGGCCCCTCTGCCACTTTATCGGCTGCGAAAGCCTTGAACAAGGCACTTGTGTTCTCTGAGCCTCACGTCTTTCCTATAAAACAGATTGCACAAGGGCCTCCCCTGCCTCCTCAGGTTGCTGAATAAAATACCGTATTTGAGTGTACTTTCATTAATCCATCGGTCTAGCCAGCAAATATTTACCAAGCACCTGTTACAAGTCAGCCATAGGCCACCTCTCGATTGGCAGCTCTTGTGGTTCTGGAAGCCTGCAGGTGGGCATGGGAGACTCGCTTCCATGGCAGGGTGGTTTGTGATGATTTTCTTGGCGTTCCATGAGTTCTTGCCCAGTAGCTGCCCCAGAACAAGGCAGAGAATGGAGATTCGAAGAGCACATAGAATTCTTGCTCCATGAGAGGCTTGCTCCCTTGGGCACAACTGATTGTGTGTCTGCCACCCAGGGTCCCCAAGACAGAGACTTAGTGCAAGAAGGAAGGAGCCCAGACATGGCCCTTGAATGAATGAATGAGTGAATGAGTGAATGAATAAATGAATGAATGAATGAAATAAGCCCTAGAGTGAAAAGACTAGCTATCTCTCCTTTCTGCATAAGTCAACAAAACTAGCTGGCCTTTTCTCCTCTCTCAAATTACTTGGCAGTCCAGGGCTAGGAATTCATATCAATGCCACTTCCTCCTGGAAGCCTTCTGTGATGCTGTCTCCCCACACTGCACCTCTCCAAGTCTGTGTGAGGTGCTCAAGCTGTGTGCCCCCAAACCACCTTGCCTGTTCCCTGCTGGGGTACATGTCACAGGATAGCGTGGTTGCTGGAGTGCTCTGTAGCCCACACTGAGCCACAAGGGCTGAGTACCCTTAATTCTGTTGGGGACCCTTAGGTGAGACTGGCTGCTATAGCATATCCTGAGTCTCCACCACTGGATCTCCAGCCCCTGCCTGCACGGGGCTAGGACACGAGAACCCACATTTCTTAGGCACTTCCTGAATGCCAGGTGTGGAGGCGAGCACTTTGCATGTGTGATCTCATCGCGACTCCTGCACAGCCCTGGAGAAGGGATGTTCTCTAGTTCCATTGAACAGACGAAGAAACTGATCCTCAGAGAGGTTAAGTAGCTTGCCCAGGGTCACATTTGCAAGTGACAGACCTTAGACTCAAACCCACTTCTGCCTAACTTCAAAACCCACACCTTAACTTGTCTGCTCTGTGGTACCCTTAGTAAATGTGGAACCAGATGTGTTAAATGACTGATCTAGCTTCTCCAGAGATAAAGGAAAATGCACTGCATGTTAATCAACACCTTTCTCTAGCTATTGATACTTGTTACTCTCCATCTCTGCAGCCAGAAAGAACAGGGAGCTAAGGTCTCTATACAAGAAACTGCTCTTAAATAATAACACTTAACCTCTACGTAGGGATTGTTAAATGCCAAGGGCTATCCTAAGAAGGTTTAGCCACATTAACTCATTTATTCCTCATAACAACTTTGTATTCAAAGAAGTTGAGACACAGAAAACTTACCCAGAATTACACATTTCACCAGTAGCAGAGCCAGGCTCTGAGCTCAGAGACTTTGGTTCCAGTGGCGTGGCAAGGGGCTTAACCACTGCACTTTGGTGTCTATAGGAGCAGCTGCATTCAGGCTGAAGCAAGCCCTTTGCAGCTTACATTTGCTCCTTGTGCTCAATCTGTCTGTTGCAATGAGACCCACCCACACAGTCAGATAATTCACCTGCTTTTGGAGGCGGGGGCGCCAATCCCATCCAAGACGCTAAGGACTTGTGTTTGAAGTCAGTTCATTGCCTGGGGTGAGAAATAGCCAGCCGCGGTTACCTCCCATTTCTCTGCCAGTTTCTAGTTGCTGTGGTATATTTGTGTTAGTGTAAAAATGACAAAGCAATAATTTTTCATTGTATCCTTCAGTCACCCATGAGAGATTGGATTTAGGTCACAATTTATTACCCCGTGGAATTGAATTCAATTTTTAACACCATGTCAGTCATTCTGGTGTTAGAGCCTTTTAATGGCTGTGAAATTTATACAATGATAAAGTAATTTAAAACATATGTAGGAAGAACATCAGACAAATTGATGTGTATAGAACCCTCTGGTAAAAATTGAACAGGAGATAAACACGGAAAATGGTGATTGATTAAGAGACGATTGAAATAGTGCTTGCTTTGATAAACTCTTAATGGCGAAATTAGTAAACTAATTTATTCTTCGCAATTTTGAGGAGGGTTTATGTTGCCCTAAATCAGAATCGAGCTGAGCCACAAAGCGCAAATTAATAGCTCACCTCCAAGTGTGGCATGGATAGAGTGAGAAACCTTTCAGAGGAACTGGGAGGCTGCCAAGAGCCAGTCCCCGGTGATATTTGCAGCGACCAAAGTGAAAAGATGGTGAGAAGGCAGGGAAAGGAGAATTCTCCTCACGATTTTTAAGAACTTGCCCAAATAATGCAGAAAGGATGCTTGTTAAAATCTAATTCCTCAAGTCAAGGCTGTATACATTCTCATTATTTTAAAATACTGAAACATTGCAGATAAGGGGAAAATCCACCCTGATCCGTCAGTCCCATCTGAGCAGTGGCACTTGTGTGTACATTTTTGTTTTTCTTTAGATATCTAAACTCAACACATGTCAAAAAAAAGAGTGTGGTTTTGTGACAAGAGATTCATAAATCATATGAAACTGATGTATAAATCTGAAACTTGTAAAAAATATATTAATAGTATCTGGCTGTGGGATGAAAGAATTCACAAGTTAGATGATTTTTTTGTTGTTGTTGCACATGTCCAGGTCTGAGGTCTGTTTCCTTGCCTGGAGCTAGAGACCTAAGTTATTTCTTTATAGTAGCTGACCATATAACTCTGGGTATGGATACACCACAGTGTAATTGGTCATTCCCCTATTGAGGGACATTTAGGTTGTTGCCAGTTTTTTACTATACTAAGTGACTGTTTTCTCAGATCTCTCAAAGATGTACATAACTAGTACCATTCTGGATACATCAGAGAAAAGCTAATTTGCTACCTACAACGGATGCCCCAGGACATTCGAGCTTAATTCTCTTGGGGATCCTGAGTTGAGACTGGCTGCTACAGAGCATCTGAAGAATAGAATTGGCAGGTCAAACAGCTTGCCCATTTTAAATTGTGATAGACAGCATCAAACTGCCCTGTGAAAAGCCTGTATTGGTTATAACAGTATATCCTGTATTGGTCACCAACAGGACCTTGACAGCCTCTAAAACATCCTCATCTTCCATCCTGCATTCTGCCTGGGATCCCTCTTCAGGTTTCACGTTAGTAACATCTCTCGTGCCTAGTCCTCCGAGATCCCAGCAATTTTCTTGCGTGGTCAAGGACAGTGCTTGCCGGCCACACTTGGGCTTGTGTTGGCAACAGACCCCCCAAGGCCCCACCCCCAGGGATTCTGACCCAGGTCGAGGACAGAACCTGAGAAATCACACTTCTGCCAGAGGCTGCTGCCCTCCAGAACTACACTTTGAGAAGCCCGGACCTGGGAGAACATCCTGTTCCCCCTAGTTCTGCCCTTTCCCTGATTCAGTGGTTTGCAACCAATGCTACTGAGCCCCTCGGGACGTCTGGACATGCCTAGAGACATTTGGTTGTCTCGACTGGGAAAGGGGGTACTACTGGCATCTAAAGCGTAGACACGAAGGATACTGCTCAGCATCCTGCAATGCACAGGACATCCCCACAATGATTTTCCAGTCCAAAATGTCCATGGTGCCGTGGCCAAGCATGGTGGGAGACCTGGGCATCTGCTTCTCTCCATGGGGCAAGTTCACATTTGGTATGGACACATTGGCATCCACAGTCTCACTCCTGGGTGTGAAAAGCCTCCCCCTCACCCCTCTGACTTTCTCAGCCCTTGATGACCCTTTGCGTCCTGAAGACCCCTCTCCCCAGCCTGAAGAGTCCATAATGAGACACCTCACATTGATTGCTGACCGTTGCCGCTCCTTGTGCTAAGCACATAGAACTGTGCTTAGCAGTGAAAGCTTGAGTCGGTCGGCTTGGGTTTGAATTTTAGCTGTGCCCCTCCCTCACTCGGGACCTTGTGCAAGGGACTTCACTGCTCTGTTGCTTGATCTTTAATCTATAGAATGGGGATGATGATTGGTATCTGGTTTGCCCAGGACAATCCCGATCTGTGCCTGTCATCCTGGTATAGTTAGTAATGGAGCCCCTTTTTCCTCTCAAGAGTTCTCCAGTCTCACTCTAACCTGATGAGGATTCTCCTATAGAGTGAGACTGGATGATTTGTTTCAGATAATTCGTTTGACCTTTAGGGAGCCATGCATGGGTTTTGAGCAAGACAGTGCTGTGATCTCATTTAGACTTTAACAAAGGGATTGGCAGGCTTTTCATAAACTGACCATAATAAGTTATCTGGTCACCCTAATGATGATAGTCTTAATAGTTCTCACCTTGTAGGGCTGTTGTGAGGATAGAATGAGAGGATCTGTGTGAATTATTAAAGCAGAGGCTGTCTCTAGAAAGTGCTCAATAAAAGTTAGCTCTTCTGGGTGTGTACCTAGAAGAATTGAAGGCAGAGTCTTAAAGAGACATTTGTACACCTTTGTTTATAGGAGCATTATTCAGAGTAGTCAAAAGGTGGAGGCAACACAGGTGTCCATGAACAGATGAAAGGATAAACAAAATGTGGTCTACACATACAGTGGAATACTAGCCAGCCTTAAAAAGGGAGAAGACCCTATCGCATGCTGCAACATGGATGCACCTGGGGGACTTCACGCTAAGTGAAATAAGCCAGTCACCATAGATCAGATACTGTGTGATTCCCCCTTACACAAGGTATCTAGAGTAATTAAATTCCTAGAGACAGGAGTAGGATGGTGAGACCTAGGGGCTTGAGGGAGAGAGAAACAGGGATTTGTTTTTTAATGGCCGTAGAATTTCAATTCTGCAAAATGAAAAAGTTGTGGAGATTGGTTGCACAACAATATGAATATACTTAACACTATTGTGCACTTAAAATGATTAAGACGGTAAATTTTATGTTGTGTGTTTTACCATTTTTTAAAAATAGCTCTTCTGAAACATGCATTGCCTCATTTAAATCTTGCTCTAAATTGGTGAAGTAGGCTTCTTCATTCTCCCATTTCACAGATGACAATTCTCCTGCAGAGTGAGGCTAGATGATTTGTTCCAGATAAGTCATTTGACCTTTACTCTAGGGTCGTAGGGAGCCCTGGATGGGTCTTGAGCAAGACGGTAGCACAATCTGATTTACACTTTAACATAGGGATTGACAAACTTTCTGTAAAAGGCTAGATAATAAATAGTTCAGGTTTTGCAGAGTAGAAGGTCTCTGTCCTAACTACTCAACTCAATGTGTAGATAGTGCATAAATGAATAGGCATGTCTGTGCTCTGATAAAATGTTGTTTACAAAATGGATGGCTGGGTTTGGCCCAAGACCATAATTCGCCAACCCCTGCTCATATGGTTTGGCTGTGTCCCCACCCAAATCTCATCTTGAATTGTACTCCCACAATTCCCATGTGTCATGGGAGGGACCTAGTGGGAGGTAATTGAATCACGGGGGTGGGTCTTTCTTTTGCTGTTCTTATGATGGTGAATAAGTCCCAGGAGATCTGATGGTTTTATAAAGAGGAGTTCCCCAGCTGAAGTTATCTCTTGCCTGCGGCCATGTAGGACGTGCCTTTCACCTTCTACCATACTTGTGAGGTCTTCCCCGCCACATGGAACTGTGAGTCCATTAAACCTCTTTTTCTTTGTAAATTACCCAGTCTCGGGTATGACTCTATCAACAGTGTGAAAGACTAATACTCCTGCTTTGGAGAGCTCCCTGGCTGCTATCACCTTCCAACTCCAGCATGTGGAGAAGACAGTTCCAGAAGATAGGCTAGTTAACTGCCTCTTCCCCACACTGTATCCCCTAAAAGTCAACCGTTTCATAACCTGGGAGTAAGAGACTCGTAAGGAAGCAGCAAGTTCCCAGGGGTGCCCCATCAGTTCCAACGTCAATGCTGCCTCTTGTCCTCCCTCTCCTCATTGTTGCATTGATTGTGCAACCCATCTCCAGAACTTTTTCGTTTTGCAAAACTGAAATTTTATGGCCATTAAAAACCAAATCTCCATGCACTCACGCACTCACACTGAAAGCTCCCAAGAAGGAGGGCCCTGGCAAGGTGACCTGGAGGCCCAGCGAAGCCACGGCAGTGGGCCAGGCATGAAGAAACTGTAGTCTCTACTCCTGATGCTGGCTTGACAGCGCTGTTTGTTTCAAGACTTTATTAGCATTGCAGTGAGGGACCTGGAGAATTTAGAGGTGCTGTTGCCATTGCTTTCTCAGCCTAAACCTCAAAGAGCAATTAACCTGGTTATCCAGGCCTCCCTCTCTCCCCTTGTTTATTGCCGTGAACACAGGAACTGCACCATTAGGTGCATGAAACGCTATCAAGGAATTTAACTGTAATTTAAAAGGCTCTATGGGGAGGACCCCAGTGGCTGATTAATAATGCATTTGTAGAGCAATAAAGACTGCAGCAGATCAGCGGAGCTCAGCCTCCAGACTTTACTTATGCGTCTGGAATCCTATGAGGTTTCTCTCCGGGGTGGCAGAGGGGTGTCTACGCCGGAGTTCTCTGGCTCCAAAAACATGGAATAGGATCCTGTGAAATGTGGAATACTGGAAATGGTCCTGTCCAGATGGTCAAGGACATGGGCTTCTAATCATTGGGGTTCTAGAGTTGAATCCTGGGTCTACCAACAGCTATGGAACATTGAGCACATCACCTAAACCTCTGTGTGCCTCATTTTTCCCCGTCTCTAAAATGGGGCTAATGATAGTATCTATCCAACAGGTTCTCCTAAATGGAATGATGTGTAATACATAATAAAGTACCTGGTGCTTGTAGAGTAGGTGCTTGTTCAGTGCTAATTATCTTATTACTATCCTCATCATTAAAGAAAGCATTATTTCCTTCTGGAAAGCTCAGGCCACTGAGGCTGGTTCAGGCTTGGTCCCGAAGAGCTTGAAAAAGGTTAGTTCTCATTCTCACATTTCAACCAGCAGCAAGACCTTCCAATTCTACATCCTGAATATCACTGCTGGGTCCATTTCTCTCTCTGTCTCTTCTGCAACATCCCTGTCATGTAGATTGTGGCAATACATTCCTAACTTACCTGCTCACATCTGCGTCTCATACCCGCTCCCTGCCTCTCCCAAGTGAATCTTCATTCTGCATCTAGAGTGTGCTTCTTAAGATGTACTTGGAACTGTGTGGCTCGTCTGCTGAAGACTTGCCAAGGACTTTCCCCATTGCAAGTCAGTGAGACCTTCAGGACTCACTGCAGTCTGGCCTACCTCCTTCTTCAACCTTATCTCCCTTTATTCTCACCCATTCTCCCTGTTCCTGCATCCCCTAGAGAAAGCAGACTGTAGCTGAAGGCTTCCCCACATGCTAGTCTTCCTGTCCATACCCCTGTTCTCATGCCTCTCCCAGCAATTCATGCAGTTCCTTGGATCTGAGTTTAAACCCAGTTATGCTTTCTCAGGCAAAACTTTTCTTTTATAGCATTTATTCCAGTTTATTAATATGCATGTATTTGTGTAGTTTGTTTAGCATCCCTTTTCCAAATTAAACTAAAAGATCCAGGAGGGCAGGTTCTAAATATTTTTTTTCACTACTTACACCACCTGGTACTAAGTAGATACACTGGATGGATAAATGGAGGGATGAATGAGAAGATGGGTGGATATATGGAAAGATGGGTTGAGTGGATGAAAACATGGATGGGATGAGTCAATTAATGGATGGATAAAAAGATAAGTGAATTGGACAGACAGATGAAAGGATGGATGAATGGACTGGCTGAGCGAGTGGGTGGTTGGTGGATGGATGGATGGACAGGCTGGGTGGGTGGATGGATGGAAGGACAGACAGACTCGGTGGGTGGATGGATGGATGGGTGGATGGATGAATGGATGAATGGACTAGGAACATGGATGGATGGGCTGGGCGGATGAGTGGATGGATGAATGGGATGCATGGATGGATGGATGGATGGATGGACGGACTAGGTGAGTGGATGGATGGATGGACTGGGTGGATGAGTGGATGGATGAATGGGATGGATGGATGGATGGATGGATGGATGGATGAATAGATGGACTGGGTGGGTGGATGGATGGATGATGGATGGATGGATGGATGAATGGACTGGATGAGTAGATGGATGGATGGATCATGGATGGATGGACTGGGTGGGTGAGTGGATGGATGAATGGGATGAATGGATGGATAGATGGACTGGGTGAGTGGATGGATGGATGATGGATGGATGGATGGATGAATGGACTGGATGAGTGGATGGATGGATGGATCATGGATGGATGGACTGGGTGGGTGAGTGGATGGATGAATGAGATGAATGGATGGATGGATGAATGGATGGATGGATGGATGAATTACAGGGGTCCAAGTCTGCAAGTGAAGAGTCCAGTAAGCATGCCTTTGGGGTAGTCTAGGCAAGAAATGACAATAGGTTCAATTAAGAAAGAGGAAAAGTTGGATTTGAAAACAATTCAGGAGGCAAATTTGGCAGAATTTGGCAGTCTGTTGGCTGTAGAGATGAGGCTGGGGAGGAATCGAAGAAGACACCTGGATTGTTCATTAGAGGACCTGATTGGTGTTGCTATCACTGACTGAAATGGAGAAATTACTGCATCTAGAAAATGAGCAGATGACTGCCCTACCTCATATCATGAGATATCTCACCCCATTGTGAGATCACGTAAACTCCTCGACTTATTTGGAAAAGTTGATAGAAGTGGGAGAAACTGAAAAGGATGGAGTCCAGCTCCACTGGTGCCGTTGAAACTGAAAGAACAGCTTTGCAAAAGTCCTAAAGTTGCCACACACTTGGCATGACTAAGAGCCAGAAGGCGGAAGGGATAGCTGAAGTTTAATTAGCAATAAGAAGCATAGATGCTGAAGACAAAGAGGAGGGCAGGGATCTGGTCATGCAGGACCTTGTAGGCCATGAAAGGGAATTTAGAGTTTTCCCTTATTGGGGTCCGACAGCATCACAAAACCTGATTTCTCTAAGACAGGGGTCCTGGGTCCAAAGACAGCTGCCAGTCTGCTTTTGTAAAAACACTACCACGCCCATTCATTTATGCATCATCTGTGGCTACTTTCCAACCTCAAGGGCAGAGCTGAGTGGTTGCAACAGAAACTGTGCAGCTCCAAAAGCCTAAACTATTAGGTTGGTGCAAAAGTAGTTGCACTTTTGGCCATCACTTTCAATAGCAAAAACCGTAATTACTTTTGCACCAACCTAATATTTACAGTCTAACTCTTTACAGAAGAAGTCTGCTGACTCCTGTTCTAAGACAAAAGCTGAAAATTCCGGCCTGCTATTTCCTGTGTGTATTTGAACATTTTACAGATTTGCCATTGTCTTCAAAAAGGATTAATGGGAATAAATTACAGATTTAACAAGGAATAACTGCAACTTGTTTCTCCAGGGTTTCAGTTGACTTTTAGGGATGGGGTGGATGAATGGAAAGGCCAGGGGAAAAAGTGCTCTGACTTCAGCTCATGATAAAAATCCCCCAGCCTGTGTGCCAGGTACCACTGCCCTCACCGAAAGGATGCTAAGTGAAGGTGGAATGGCCTGACATGTACCAGATGCTCTACAAATGTTTGCTGAACTGCTAATGCATGAACAATGACCTTCAGAGGGATTTGGAGCCAGCCTTACGCCTGGACCATTTTAATACTGACTTGGAAATAAGGACAGACACTTACCAGCCTGCTACTGACTTTTACCTGGGCTCTCAGCTAACTTGCTTGGAATGGACTGAACCCCCAGTGTCACCCAAGTGACCCGAGAGGAACCCCTGCATTTTGCCAGCAGATGGCATCCAGCAACAACATCCCATGGTCTCCCAGGAAGCAGAACTAGGCCCAGATGAATATTGGAGCATCCTGTAGAAACGCTGGTAAGAAATGCTGATGAATCCGTCTCCGGATTCTAATTACACCGCTGCGTCTCTCAGGAAGGAAGAGACCTTTTGCCACAGGCACACTTCACTAATCTGAAACCCAACACAGACTCAGTTTAATTACATGTGCACTTCCTGGAGTCATGAGAAAGGTTCTGAAAAACCAGTTCACTGCCTGTCAGGACGAAGGGCATTGATCTTAAACCTCCAACCAGTATCTTCAACCAAGACACATTGCTGAGTGTGGGAAGGCAGAGGAGAGGGCAGGAGTCACCCCAAGGGAGGCCAACTTGTGGGGTGAGAAAAGTCCATTTGGAAAAAAAAATTAATAGTTTCTCTAATGTATTTTGGAACTTCTTCCTGGAATGAGAATGGGGAAAAAATACTGAAAAACACAGATCTCCTTCTGGAGCCCTTCAAATAATAATAATGTAATAATTGGGATTGTAAGTTGAATACCAGTATTTCTACTTTATGGACATTAAAGTTTGAGAAGCACCAAACTTCGTATATTACACATCCTTAGAATCTTTCATCTTTTAAATCCCCAAACAAGACTCACCTGAACATTGTTCTTTACGTTACTTTCTGCGTTGAACAGCCACCTAAATGCCAATTATACCTAAATCAAGCCTCTCTTCAGAATTTCAGAATCCTATACTCAATTGCTAAGTAGATATTATGGATTACATTGTATCCCCCAAAATAGGTTGAATTCCTAAGCCCCAGGACTTGTGAATGTGGCCTTATTTGGAAATAGGGTCTTTGCAAATTATCAAGTTAAAGTGAGGTCATTAGAGCGTGCCCTAATCCAACATGACTGTGTCCGTATAAAAAGAGGACGTTCAGACCCACAGATAGACATGCACACTAGAAGAATGCCAAGGGAACATGGACGTAAAGACAGGTGATGCATCTCAAGGCCAAGGAACATGAATTACCGGCAATTCCCTAGGAGCCAGAAGAAAGGCATGGAATAGATTCTTCCTTCTCAGCCCTCAGAAGAAACGAACCCTGCCAACGCCTGGATCTTGGACCTCCAGCCTCCGGCACTATGAGACAGTAAGTTTCTGCTGTTTAAGCCCCCCAGCTGTGTGACTTTGTTAGGGCAGCCCCGGGAAACTACAATGGGCATCACCAGTCCGATGTCCCACTGAGGTCACAGTCCCACATCAGTTTTTCCACACTGTCCCCTCAACCAAGTCCAGCCTTTTTTTTTTTTTTGTACTCTCCATTTCAGTTGTGATACTGACACTCCTTAGTCCCTCTAACAAAAAGTCCATGTGTCTTTGATTCCTGATAGCCATTTAGACTCGTAAAGGAAGAAGAGGTGGTAAGACCCTACACATGCTCACTTTCACTCTTAGCATGGAGACTAAAGCCAGCAAGATGCCAGGCCCAGGCTAGATGCTTGAATTTTCTGAATTAGTTGCTAATAATTAAAAATCAGATGCTTGTATTTAAATTTCAAGATCTCCAGCTTCCCTCAAGATAAATGGAAAGATCTAGCAACCTTAAGCCTTCAGGGCCACACATGGCCATGCTGATCTGTTGATGAAAAAGGCATCTCCAGACCAGCCTGACCAATATGGTGAAACCCCGTCTCTACTAAAAATACAAAAATTAGCTGGGTGTGGTGGCGCACTCCTGTAGTCCCAGCTACTCGGGAGGCTGAGGCAGGAGAATTGCTTGAACCCGGGAGATAGAAGTTGCAATGAGCAGCAGTTGGGCCACTGCACCCCAGCCTGAGCTACAGAGCAAGACTCTGTCTCAATAATAATAATAATAACAATGATTAAGTAATAGAGAGTGATGTATGTGATTAAAAGGCTAGGGATGGTTGCCCTTAGAACCTGGGTTTGGACTAAAGCTGTTACTTGGAGGACACTCAAGGTGCAAATTTACCAACACGTCAGATTTTCTGTAAACAGATGCAGGCACTAGGCAAACGTTTTTTAAGCCAGAAAGCTATATCAAGAGAGACACAGTCCTTAAAGGAACTGCAAAGAAAGCATTTGTCATAATTCCCCACTCAGTATCCTGAATGCATAATTTCTACCGTGACTCAGCGCGTCTTTGGGGACTGAGAAACAAACAGTCCCTTTCGTGCATACAAGAAATACTGAGAGGCATTGAGACGGGGCCCTTCGAGTTTGGAGTCTGCCACTGCCTCTTTCCAGCTGTGTGACCTTTGGCCAGGTTAGCTGACCTCTCTGAACCCCATTTGTAAATGGGGATACTGGTACGTCCTTTTGCAGGATGGGTGGGAGGACTGGAGAGAAGAGCTCACCCAGCACCATGCTCAGCACATTCAGCACATAGTAGGTCTCCAAAAAAAAAAAAAAAAGATGATAATGATGATGATTTGGCTGTTAGTGGTTCCAGGCCACTTTCAACACGTCTCAACTTGTGTATGACTTGAACAGCTTTGTCTGACTTGTGTGAGATAAGGGAGCTTTTCCCTCTGAAATCTAGAACTACATTTAATCAGGCATCAGTAACCTCCATTCCCAAACTGAACTGGAACAAGCTACTTTTCACACTAAAACAAAGCGAGGAATAAAATAGAGCAAGATGACTCTACTTTTTTTTTTTTCAGGAAGTTTTCCCATTTTCTCATAATGAGAGATGATTAAAATAACCAGGAGACAGATGACACCAAATTAATAAAAATGTAGATCAAATGATCCTCCATTACCTATTTTGCTCAGTTGCAGTTGAAGAATGCATTGATTAAACTGCCGCAGACCATTATGGTCGTATTCATTACTATAGCATAATCTGTTTTATTATGATAGGATAATAACTAACACAGTCTTGCAGACAGACATTTCTCTGTGGGCTAAGTAATCATTTACTGTGGATGTGCACCAAGGAATGCTGGGTTCACTTTGCTCAGGGTAGACTTGAACCTTAGGGTTGCAGAGAAGATGGTTTATTTATTTATTTATTTATTTATTTTATCACATGGCTCAGTTTGCTGGATTCCCACATGGGGAGGGTTCTTCGAGTGCTGCTGTGAAATGTATAATGATCCCAGAGAGATTTTAGAAATGCCAAAAAAAAAAAAAGAGTAGTCAATGAGCTGTTAGTTTTTTGTTGTTGTTTTTATCTACTCTCTACCCACTAGCTGATTTGATTGATTTCTTATGTGCTTATTTACCCATTATTTATTTATTAGGTATTTATTCATTATTCATTAGGCAAACGGGTGATAGCTGTGCAGAACTTAGTATCTCAAGACTTAGCGTTGATCAGAGCCTCATCGGAAAGGCAAAGATGTAACTGAACAGTTAAGCGGGGATAAAGGTAGGCCCAGAGATTTGCAAGAGCTGAAATGGAGGGATGATTTTGCCACTTGGGAGTGAAACATCTAGAGTTGGAAGTGGTGATGACTTGGGTGCAGAAGGCAGGCTTTCTGCAATTGAATCCAGGCTCTGTCACTCACAAGCTAGGCATTCTTGGGCAAATCACTTCATCCCTCCAGTCTAAGGTTTTTCCTCTGCAAAATGGGCGTGGCAGCAGTACCCGCCTCACTGTTGACACAGGTACCAGTTATGAGAATCACTCCATAAGTGTGTCTTAGGTCCGGTCTTCTTGAATCCTTCAGTATGGAGGAGCCATGTCATTAGCATCCTTTGCTTGGCCCATGAGGAAACTAGGACTTAGGGAGAGCAAGTAACCTTGCCTGAAATCACCCAGCTACGCAAAATCAGAGCCAAGATGTGAAGCCAAGTCTGCCGCACCCCCAAGCACGTGCGCTTAACCAGGATGAAGTTGGCATTTCATACACTGGTGGTATTTATAGCAAGCGTCACAAAATACCCCAAGGGGCCAGGCAGGATGTCAATGCCTGGAGTAGGCAGGTAGAAGCTGCCACTCACTTAGCTCCACGATAGTGTAAAGCCCCAGGCTCCCTTGCCTTGAGAACTGCAGGCCCAGGCTTGCTTGCTCACTCTTCCAATTATTATTCTTTTTGTAAGAAATCTGAGTTTTAATCTGAAATCTCTTGATTTAACTGACAACTATTTTAATTTAAAACAAAGCAGCACAACAGAGTGTGAGCCCAAGAAAAGCTGTCTGCAGGCTGGGCAGGCCCAGGAGCTGGCAGCCTGCAATCTCTGCTTTGAAGCAGGGCGCGTCTGCAGGCCGCTTAGTATGCGCAGAGCCCTGCACCACACCTTCCTACTTAAATTTCTGCTCTGAGGACTCTTGCTCGCTTCCGCAGTCAGAAGTCTCCATCACTAGCTTGCAGCGGGAAACCAGGCTGCTTCCTTTCCAGGCCCTCCTTTTGCTTTGCTCAGCACTGGCATCCATCACTCACTGTTTTCAAGCAGGATGGGCAGTGCCTGGCCTGCAATGAAACTTGTCTTCTGGTGCCACCTCCCATTTTCTGAGTGTTTTGAGGCTGGGCATGAGTTTGCCTTGAGGTCTCCTTGAAGCCGGCAGGGGATGCAAAATTCTCATCGAGTTGCTTTCTGTTGTCATTTTTCCTGTGGAGTTGGGGAGAGGCTTGTTGGAAGGTTCTGGTGCCCCATAATCCACCCTATTTGATGTCAACATGCATTTATTAAACGGCCCCTCTTTGTATGTGGCAGGTGAAGGGAAGGTGCCCCCTGAAGAGCAGAGGAGACAAGTCCTGATAGTGTATGTCAGAGAGTGATATGGTGGAGGCATTAAAAAAATATGACACAAAAGAGGAAGAATTATGCCCAAAGGGGGCAATCAGTGAAAACGTCGTAGTCTTTGAGATAAATAAGTAGGCGAGTATATAATTTCACCAGGTCAAGAAGGACAGTCCAAATAGAGAGTACAATACCACCATCACCACCGCTGCCAACATTATCACCAACACCATGACGAAGGCCGCCACCTCATATCATCACCATCTTCATCACTACCACCATTGCCAACACCACTATCACCTCTACCACTGCCGCCCCCATCAGAATCA